>NC_000021.9:26115420-26745342 GCF_000001405.40 Homo sapiens
CATCTGCAAACAATTCCATGCTTTCACTACATATGCCTGTCTCCCTGAATTAAAACAAGACAAACAACTCACGGCATCCTCACCTGCATCAAATAACCCATTTATGAAACAAAGCCTGGTTGCTAAGCGCAGCCACTCCCTGGCATTCAGCCAGAAGGAAATGTGGCCACATTAAACATTGCCATCCAAGGGTTAACTCCCTTTTCCTGAGTGAAGCCTCCAAGAAATGACTTAATAAATGATACACAGGGTCCTATTCAGGATCTGTTAATATGGACACTCTTAAAATTGAAATCTTTTAAGATTCAATTTACCTGCCAAATACCTGAAATCTGGCAGGTATTTGCTGCCAGTAAAAAAGCACAGTCTTACAAAGTCATCCTAAAGATAATTATTCCTAATTTTTTAAACATTTTTATTTTCTAAAAGAAAAGAAATATAAATACCTTAGTAGATGGGAAATATAACCACTTAACTACTACATTTTAGTTCTATTTATGTCTTAACACTATTCTAAGGTGAGTTAAGATTACTTTGCAAAAATCTAAGACAACATTTAAAAGATGAGAACTGTGATATAACTGGCCGTTTGTGGTCTATGCTTTTCTAAGACTGAATATGAAGGTAATTCTTGTAAACTGAATGACTTGCCACTGACATCATAAAACTGGAGATGCTTTCCCATGGGAAAACAGTGTTCCTGACAATGAACAAAATAACCAGCTAAAAACAATGAAGCATTCATAAATTGCCTCAAAAGCAAGAGGCTGTTTACCAAGTGCTCTGAACTACAGAGACGTACATATCAAACTTAAAAATGCTACAAGTCTTAAAAACAGAAAGAAAATATTTTTGTTACCAGAAAAAAAATATTTTTGAGCCACAATATAAAGAATACTGAAGTGAAATGGACTTTCCAAAGCAATTTTTAGAAATGGCTTTAAAAGAGGCTTAAGGGGATAACATAAACGAATATAAACATATATACCTAATCTGGACCAGTCTGCAGATGTGAATCTGGAAACCCTACGCCTACAGTTGCTACAATTTTCAATTAAATGCAAAGCCACCTTCTTGAACAAGTTCTCTTGTTGTCCTTTCAAACAGGGTGTTCCCTTTCTCCAAAAAGTTTCTCTCTGTTATCATCTAGGAGATCAAAATTCCTTATAGAGCAGGCTTGGCAGCATTCCTCCCCAACAGGGTCTCAACTAGGAGGGAAAAGTGAACAAGGAGCTCTCTGTTTTGCTAGCTGAGAGGTCCTGTTTGGCAAGGAGAGGGCACAGATCCATAGCTTAGTTGCATCCGTGGATTTATGTAATTTTAAGGTTTCTGGCTAATGAAAGCCATCTGTTTTCTGCATTTGAACCACCCGCTGACTAGTCTAAATAGCTGGCCTCATATAATGAAGTATTTGGTACTTTTTAATCAGTTCAAACTTCTTCGAGTCAGATTCTTGCATAATCTCAGTATTTTTTTTTGGATACACTGTCACACTCCACCACCCAGACTAGAGTGCAGTGGCATGATCTCGGCTCACTGCAACCTCTCCGCCTCCTAGGTTCAAGCTATTCTCCTGCCTCAGCCTCCCAAGTAGCTGGGACTACAGGCCTGTGCCACCACGCCCAGATAATTTTTGTATTTTTAGTAGAGACAGGGTTTCACCATGTTGGCCAGGCTGGTCTCGAACTCCTGGCCTCAAGTGATCCTCCTGCCTCGGCCTCCCAAAATGTTGGGATTACAGGCATGAGCCACTGTGCCCAGCTTTGTAGCGATACTATTTCTATCACATCCATGGTTTCCTGACATAAATACTGGATTCCCTTAACCTGGGCATAATTCAACTATACCCCACAAGAGTGCTTTACATTTTCATATTAAAACATTTAAATTCTCCATTGTCAAATGTAAAGAACTATTTTCTAGAATCATAATCTAGAAAATCTGAGTGAACCCCTTTCAGGGGAATAATTCATCTGTAGGGTTTTCTTTTAAATGCCAAAAAAGTATTTCCAGTGTAAGCGGAACATCTGCAGTTGCTCATTTCATCACTAACAGAGAACTGAAATTAAAATCAGAATCACAAAAGTGGACCATAAGAGGGAGGAAAGGGCACCAGGTAAGGATATGTCCAAGGCCATGGGGTTATAGGGACAGAGAAGGGAATTCAACCTATTCCGTCAAGGGTTCTGTTAATGTGACCGGGCTGTCTCTCAAATTAAAATGGAAAATTGCAATTTTCCAAGGCTTTGCCCCTGTGTGTGTGTGTGCATGTATTTGTGGTGAGCAAAAATAGAGAAGCTATTAAAAAAGAAAAATAAAATGTGATGACTGAAACTGCAAGTGGTTTCTATTTACCCTTGTGGAGAGTTGCCACATCTATTCACAGCCACTATTTGCTACACAATTATTTCAGAGCTTGAGTTTCGGCTTAAAAAATGATTTGCCATGAAAGCGAATAGGAGAAAAACAATTCCTTTCAGAGGAGTAATCTACATATTTCACTCCTGGAAACCTGAAATTCTTTTTGGGTCACTGTTGATCTGGCTTCTAATTACAAGCTATCCTCCCTTGATGTTTTTCACGGCCTCTGTTGATATTAGATTGGTGCAAAAATCGCAATTACTTTTGTGCCAACCTAATACCAAGCTTTTTTACTACTCAAAGGATAGATGTTCTCAAGTTGACCCAAAACTCCTACCCACTCATAAGAAGGCCAGTAAGTCATGCTTGCTGCTGGTGCCCAGTAGGAAATCAAGAGGTCCCTCAATAGGAGTCTTTGTTATTCACTACTCGTGAAATTAATAACCAACATTTGAAGCATGCATTTAGGCAGGACCCAGTAAGAGTGGCATCTACTGCTAGGACTGATATAAATGAATATAAAAGTGGAATTACAAAAAATAGAGCCTTATGCATGGCAAACAAACTCTTAGCCTCAAAAACAGTTTACAATCTAGTCAATGTCCATTTAGTCTTAAAAGGTGAATGTTTTCTTTTAACTTCATATATATACATACACACACACTAACATATATGAAACCATACACATACTATATAGTATGTGATGAAATGAGCGAGATGTAAAAAGTTCATCTCTTTCATTCTGTCTTTACAGTTTTTCTGTGTGTCTTTTGTTTTGTTTCGTTTTCTGAGACAGAGTCTTGCTCAGTCGCCCAGGCTGGAGTGCAGCGGGGTGATCTCGGCTCACCGCAACCTCTGCCTCCTGGGTTCAAGCGATTCTTGTGCTTTAACCTCCTGAGTAGCTGGGACTACAGGCGTGCACCACTACGCCTGGCTAATTTTTGTATTTTTTAGTAGAGACGGGTTTTTGCCATGTTGCCACTCCTGACCTCAAGTGATCTGCCCGCCTCGGCCTCCCAAAGTGCTGGGATTATACGCATGAGCCACAACGCCTGGCCTGTCTTTAAAGTTTTACTGACATGTCTCATACAGTCACCAAAGGGAAAAAAAAATGAAAAAAAAATATATATATAGTATTTGAGATCTTTATCCTATTCTGACTCTCTCAATATTGCCATATCTCATCAGCCTTGACCTTGTGAACATGCAGATAGAAAAAGGGTTAGAGGCAAAAATCAAAGACCTACTAAGGCCTTTGCTCATTATCTCATTTGACTCAGAAAAACCAAGATAAGTCACTTCCACATCTATTTAGATAATCAGAAGGGCTCAAAACCCGCCTAGAGTCTACTCAAGAGTGTTATTCCAAAGCACATGCTTGCTTTTTGACAGAACAAGCCAGCTGGCATTCCTGGTACTAGATGTCAAGCTTTTTTAATTCTTCAATCTTGAATATTATTTTCAAGTAATTTTTCCCCCATGGCAGTACTATTTTGCATGTCTTTGTTACTGGCTTTTAAAAAAATTACTTTTAGAGCAAGTAAAACGGGAAGCAAACCCACAGCTTAAATGTCTAATTTGCATTTCTCAAATTTAAATCACTAGATGTTAATATCTACTAACCTCTGGTAGTTTCCTCTTTAAGAAATCTCTCCTGAAATGCAAACACAAATTTCTCCAAAGTTAGTTCTTTCCTTAAATCTAATGCAGCCAACTGAATCTGCAAAGTAGAAGTCCAAATCTCCCAATGTTCCAACTACTAATGTTTATCAACCCTTACTTTATTTAATGTGTATTTTCTAGTTTTTCAACAGTTGACATATACCTACCTATGTACATATACACATGTATATATACCTGCTATACAGCTACTTGTATGGTATGTAGTGGGAGTGCTAGAATGAACACACACACACACACACACATATACACACAGTTTAAGAGCTCAATTTGCACAAATCTCAAATGCTGGTACTTTGCTAAGATCTCATTCTAGAATTAGTGCATTTAAGTCCATGTTGCTAACAAGGTGGAGGACTTGGTAACTGGGCTCCTCAGAGAGAGTGGTTTGAATGGCATTCACTGAAATAAATTTGATAGTAACAAATAAATGATTTTCCAGTATGGCTTCTACTTGTTCTGACAGCTAGGACAGATTAGCACCCAGCACAGAATACAACAAAGAAAAATCAAAATCTATTATTCCTCTTCATTTTTGGTACAAGAGATATTCTACATATATTCAATTTCTAAATTTCTACTGTTTTATATCAAATGTAGCCAAGCTAAGCCGGGATCAGCTGACCCTTGAGCTTGTGGGCTATAATAAATGGTTATTGTTCTAAGCCACTAAATTTTGGAGTGAGTTTGTGGCTTTGCAGCATTTTTGTGGCAAAAGAAATTAACACAGTCATGTATTTGATAGGAATAACTAAAATACTAAGTGATAGAATCAAGGCATAGATTGTTTCAGAAGGTAGAAACTTTCTCAAGTTGCCTTTTTTTAGGCAGCTGGGAGTACAGGCCCATACCACCATACCTGGCTAATTTTTCTGTAGAGACAAGGTCTCAGTATGTTGCCGAGGCTGGTCTCAACTTCCTGGCCTCAAGTGTTCCTCCTGCCTTGGTCTCCTAAAGTGCTGGGATTACAGAACTGGTCACCATGCCTGGCCATAAATATTTTATATTTAATGTATTATGTAAGGTAGGATCAGTTATGGCTTATGATCTATACACTTTGGGTTGTCCTAGAATTGGAAAGAATCTGAGCAGAGGCAAATAGAATGATACTGTAAACACATGTACTGAAGCTTTTAAGGAGATGGTAATCAATCTTTGCAATCTTTAGATCTGATTGATTTTGTGAGCTTCTTTTCTCCTACATTTTTTAGACCTCTGCAAATGATAAACAATTTGTACAAAGGCATAGTTTTTAAAAAAAATTAAACATATTTTGTTTACACAATATATTTCTAAAAGGAAATATTTCAAATCTGAAAGCAATCTAATGCTATTAAATAGACCCCGTTCCTGCTCATACCTCACATGTGGCTATGTGAATACAAAAATCTTATAATTATACTTCTCCCAGCAAAGGACATGCAAATTTCATCACCAAACATTCATGCTACTGCAATCACACTCCATCAAGCCATATGTGTTGAAATCTGTGTAACAAAAGCAGTGAGGGCTCTTGCCACACGTAGGCTCCCGCCCAGCCCTCTCCGGGAGGTAGGTATGTATGCAGAGAAGAGAGTGGGCTGAGAAATGGAATTCTGGCATGTTGGGTCAAGCAGACTGATCATGTGACACTCGCACTGAGATCCTACCAAATTTCACCATGTGGCAGAGTCAGCACCAAACAAATCCCAAAGTTAAAGCCTCAGTTATCACCTGGGTTTTGCTGCATAGACCTAGCCAAATATGTGTAAGAGTTATGAGCTCTAGACATAATTTATTTTATTGCCCTGAAATAGAGTATCCCCACATAATTTGCAAGTTTAATTGCAATTATATTCCTGGGGGTCACTCCTCATACCTGCACAGTTAGGATATTGCCAGGTTATTCATGGTACCTCACACAACACCTGGCAGTTATACACAGATCCTCATCTTTTTTTTTTGGAGACGGAGTCTCACTCTGTCGCCCAGGCTGGAGTGCAGTAGCGTGATCTCAGCTCACTGCAACCTCCACTTCCCTGGTTCAAGCGATTCTCCTGCCTCAGCCTCCTGAGTAGCTGGGATTACAGGCGCGCGTCACCACACCCGGCTAATTTTTGTATTTTTAGTAGAGATGGGGTTTCATCATGTTGGTCAGGCTGATCTCGAACTCCTGACCTCGTGAGCCACCGCGCCTGGCCTTACAGATCCTCATCTTTTATGCAATATCATATTCATCACTAAATAACGACACAGCATAAAAATGAACTTTTACTTTATCAGTGGTACTTTACAGCACTACAGTGAGTTTTCTAGAGTTTAAGGCTTACGCTAATATGCTTAATGCACAAGTAAGTGCAAACTTAACAGGTTTCTTTCTGGTTCTTTTATTTTTCCCCTCTATTTCTTCTCATTGACCCACTGCAATGTTGACCCACTCGGAACGTAGAGCATGGGCAAAAAAAAGAACCAAGAGACCATTAGAGAAGAGAATAAGTCTTTGAAAAGCTGCAGGTGGGAATATAATGGAAAACAAGATTCCAGAAGAGGTAGTGGGTCTACCATTTAACTAGAACATGCCCAGTAGAGCCATACTGATAAATCTGCATCTTAGAGTTGCTGATATACTTGGACAAGGGGAAAAAGAAGCATATTCCTCTATCCTTTGTCAGCCCAGAAATTTATCCCAACCCTATTTTCCTATACAGTTTCTACCAGCTTTCAGGCGTCAGGCCATTGTAAAACCAACATAGGTGGAGAGGGCAATTCAGGCTAGGATGGGGAGAGGTAGTTAGCGGGATTTCCAGTTCTGGGCTATAGTGAGGGAGTCAGTATACACTGCTGAGTCTGGTACATACATTCCACATTGTCCATACCCTTTAATATCTTTACAATTTCTAATACCAAAGTGGTATGAAAATACTAATGAAGTTAAAGACCCTTACCAAAATGCTAATTTTCCAGGTTAAGTTATCATATTGTCTTCAATGTGCATTAAAATCTCAGAGCAGCTATCGGGGGATAAGGAGAGTGAGTACCCACTAAGCTTGGAGGCCAGCTAAACTCTCTAGAAAGTCATTTCCATCTGACTTCCCACCAGCATGAGGCAGAGCAGTTCAGAGCATTTTTCAAGTGAGTCGGCCTGCCGTTACCAATGCCAAATTTAAAGCACTTATATGTTTTATCACAAGCCCATGAGCTTGTGATTTCATAAAATGGTACTAACTGGTCCTTGCCATGAGTAAATTCAAGTAACACGTATGAAGAAGATTTTAATAAAATTTTTTATTAGAAGATTTTAATAAAATTTTTTTATTAAAAGATTTTAATAAAATTTTTTATTTTATTAAAAGATTTCTTAAAGGTCATTAACGCAAGTCATATTAGAAGAGATCACAGGCAAGTAGACAAAAAGAATTTACTCCGTGAAAGCTCACTGAAACAGGAATTCGGATATTTGACATTTACTTTTGTTCTTGTCTCTCATATGTACACATCAAAGCACACACATTCACATGGATGTAAAGATAGTAAGAGGCCACCTGCAATCAGAACAAGTGAGATTATAAATAAGTATATTATATAAGAATCCAAGACAAGAATTCCTTACTTTTAAGGAAAGGGCATCAGAGATTTATGATCTTAGACCTTTACCTTTCTATTTTTAGCAGATTTACAGAAATATTGCAGGAACAGAACATGAAGTCACTTATTTTTGATAAGCACAAAGGATATTTACATTATATCGTCTGGTTTATTTCCTTTCAAAGTGTCATAACATTTACTCATCAGCCTTTACTGTGTGCTTATAACTCTCATACTGTTGTGGTTTTATTACTAGGATTTTTGGTCTAGGAGAAAGCTGCTTTACAAACATAATAGAAATTCAGTGAGAATATTAACTTGACATAAAAACCCAAGATAATTTTCAAACAGCATTCTTGTTCATTGTTCAAATTGTATTCTGTTAACTTATTTAGTTTAAGCCAAGATTACTTCTTTTCCTGCAGACTTGGAACACTAAAGAATACTCCAGGTTTAAATTCCAGGTTATTTGCTTGATAAGCCTGGGTAGATTGTCCTTCTTAAATAACTTACACCAAAGCACTATCAAAGAAGCTCTCCCTTTGTAGAGCCCTCAGATTCACAGAAGGAATTTTTCGAATTGCCATTTCTATAGGAATAAAGGCTATCAGGAACCACAATACTAGGAGAAAATAATTCTGAAGGGGAGGTAGCAGTGAAGACTCTTATTTCTATTTTCTTGACTATATTTATAAAAAATTGTTGCCGAAAGAACAGAAGACCAAGAGCCAAAAATCACACTGCAGTCTTACTCTTGGATGTAATGTTACTATCAGTTTCAGTGACACAACATCAGAGGCAATCTGATATTGACAATGGTAAAAATATGCAGACGCCAATATTAGGAGGGTGCAGTTAGTTGACAGTAGAGCCTATAAGTATTCATCTAAGTTTTCTCTGTTTGAAGAGAAGAAAAGAGAACATCAAACATTTCTAGTATATAGAGCAAGGATTCCTAATCTTTTTTTTTTTTTAATGTGCAAACAAGACAAAAGTTACTTCACTGTCTAGGGGTTATTCCCTACTCTTTAGCACTGGCCTGACTCTCTCACTCCCACATATAAGCATTCAATAAATACTTATGCCAACAATTAAGAAACACCTGGCATGAAAAATAATAACAGTAATAAACTAGAAGGTAGAAAATGTAATTATTGACAAAGGTGTGGAACAATACAAAATAAATTCCACTTTAGATACCTGTGAAATTTTTTATTGTGGCACCAGGAGAGTAATTTCCTAACAGAGAAAAGAAAACATAGCATCCACACCTCTGTCTTTACCAATTCCTAAATACCAGCTACAGTTCAACTTGTCCACGGACTTCAGGCTCCTCCTAGAAAACAAGAAGGCTTAAAAAGCAAGACAACCTATTAGCTATGTTGCTCAATAAATTTCAATGTTAATTTCCTAATTCTTTGATAACACATTCCTGAACTCCTTTGTAATTCAGGCAACATTTTAAAAATCAGATGATCTAACTGGACTCCAAGAATTACATAAACAGTGTGAGCAGTGAGACTTCGAATGTGCAATCAACTATTTTTTTAATCCTGCTGCTAAAAGCCTTCAGTAGCACAGAACTGGTTGTCAGAGATTTCAGTGTAACCTAACACCTAACGTGAATGACTGCTGTACAAAAATACAGCTGAAAATACTATGAGGAAGAGATAGAAACGGATTGTTGATGGCTAAGCAAAACAGCAAATGCTGATGGTTATCAAACACATGCCGTTCCCACTCTACACAGATAAGATTTCAAAGCTGTTTGAGTCCTAGGTTAAGTTTTGGGCAAGTTCTGGCTTGATGCCTTATATTCAGATAAACATTTTCCAGGCAGTGAACATATTCAAAGTTGGGGACAGTGGGGTAACCCGAAAACATTCCTGACCTTGATGGACAGATAATCCAATGGTGGAGACACAAATAAGGCCAAATTGGCTAACCAAAGGTGCTGGAGTGTTAATGCAGAGGTCTGGCAAGGGTACACCGAAGAGCTCTCAGGAAAGAGTGACTGGTTTGACTTGGAGAAGGAGAAGGAAGGCAGACCAAAGATCAGAGCAGAAAACATGCCCAGGCTGAGTATGGGTCGGACAGGAAGCATGAAAGGTAGCACAAGGCTAGCGTCCAAATGACCTTGAATTTGTAATAAACGTGTGAAGTCACTGGGAGCTGCTGCCACATTCCAAAGCAAGCAAGAGCAGCATCCCACCAGTGTATGAGGAGGATGCGGGGGCCCCAGGACAACTTTCGTGGGCCTCTTTCTCTCTTAAAAAAACATTAAAAGCTATATTTTAGGGCTCTGTTGATTGGTATAAAGACAACTCTAAGTCAGGCTGGATTCATTATTGTATATTCATGATTATTATCTTGTTCTTTATTTTTCCTTCTGATTTTAAAAGAAATTAAACATTTTTGAGGGCTCCTAAAGGTACTGCACAGCCAAGACTACGGTCTGACTGGAAGCACCAGGAGTAACAGGAGGCAGTAAACAGGAGTGGAGGTAGGGAAGATTCTAAGGCTTGTAAATTTCAAGGATGAGCACATTCGGTGCGGTGTTTAGGGGGTGAGTCTAGAGTGCTTTCATGGCCAAGGTCAACAGGCATTATTAGAGTGCACCAGGCTACAGAATGTGAGTTTGTCCTGACGGGGGTGGGGGAGAAAAAGAAGGAAAACAATCACTACCTCCCTGATTTATTAGCAAACATCCCATTCTGTCTAGCCCCACATCACATCAGGAGTTCTAAGAGTCAATCTGGCAGAGCAATTCATCTACGTTTCATTGCCTTGAGTGATGGGAACTTATTTTAATTTTCAAAACTAGCATATGTTTAACAGACTTGTGCAGAGCTGCCTATGTGACCTGGGGAAAAAATTATCTGGACTCTCACCATGCAGATTATCAGCTTGAATTGCTAATGCATTCCTTACCCCCGACGGATGTCTTTTTGACATGTCTACAGAGGAATAAGCCCTAAAACACAGAAATAACAAACTGTACAATCTATATCTCGCCCTTGGGCAGGAGGGGTATTGCACTGTGTGGGAAAGATTTACATTCTACCAAAAAATCTAAGCAAAGAGTATTTACATAAGCACAAAAATTTTTTCACAAACTTGTTCAAATAAACTAAGAGAAGAACACAACTGTGATCGCAAAACAGATAACATCACATAGATTCTGGCTTCTGACTTTACTGCTGTTGTTCATAGCATGTAATTCTAGATAATAAGAATTTTAGGTAATTAGAATAGAAGTGCCTCTTCAGATGTGCTAAAATGTTACGTGCATGGCTGTTTCTAAAGAGGGAATAATGTTGGTGTACACCTAACGCTAACCAACTGTGCCCTAATGAAGGTAAATCCCCAAATATCCATAACACTCACTTTGTTTTCTGTGTACGGCCAATCTCCAGTCAAGAGCTCCTTTACCCTGACACTAGTCTCACCCATGTTGTTCAGCTATGCAGTGGTTCTCCAACAGGGTAAGCTTGTTAACTACATGGGTCCTAGGCCACTTTGCTTTTTGAGCCCTATGAACTGTTTCTAGGTAGAGGTTCAAAGTTCTTGGCAAAGATGATTGTCACGACTTGGGTGGTGCTACTGGCATCTATCTAGTAGGTAGAAGCTAGGGATGTTACTAAACATCCTACAATGTACAGGCAGCCTCCGCTGTAGGCCCTCCCCCACCCAACATAAACAATTATTTGGCTCAAAATGTCAGTAATTCCCAGGTTGAAAACTCCAACCTAAGCCTTTACTTAGGGGGAAAGAGTCATGTCTTACTGTTCTCTGTATTTCTATTTGTTCACAGAACAAAATTAGCATTCAAATATTGGTTGAACCAAACAGAGTTTCCACTCAAAACATAATTAATCCAACTGACATCATATAAAACAATAACTATGTAAACTGTAAATCCTACAAAATACAGCCTCCCTTCCACAGAAGCAAAAAAAAAAAACGTTAATTTTTAAAAGGTAGTTGGTGTATCAAAAGTTATTAACATTAAGCAAGATAACCCCTTCAACTCAAGATTACAGAAGATTGCCCCATAATTATTTCATATAAAATGATCAAAAATAATTTTATTGTATTAACTCCCTGTGGGTCAATTTATAATAGTAATCTTTTAATTAAGAAATCTTGAGGGTTAATTATCCAGCTTTCATTTAAAAAAAAAAAATGAGGTGGTAACTATTTCTGGGCAAAGTTCACCAGGAAGCAAGACAATGCACTCATAACTAGGGTTCCAAGACCAAGCAAGCCAGTCAGAATCTCTCTGTAGGTAAAGACTTTCAAATTCTAGCCAATCATTTCATAATGAACAACTTAGACAAACGGAGAAAAGGCTTAAAAACTGGAATCTCTTTGAATAATGTATTAACTCTACTGGAATAACAAATATATACTAATAGGTTACATAAATCAAAAGCCCTATGAAAATATATAACTAAAAAAATTATTGCTAGAAACCTCTCTATGTCTTGTATCTGCAACTATGAACAGGGTCTAATCCATCACTGTCTATATCTCTAGAGACCTCAGGGGACTTACAGCTGGGTCAGGGTCACTGTAGGAACTGGCTGAAGGGACCCACACATGAAAGTACCAATATGATCTTTGGAATCAAAAGGCAAAAGTCAATTCTGTATTTAGTAATTACCAGCTGTTTGGAGAAAGCCAGTTAACTTTACCTCTTGATTTCCTTTATCTCTCAAATGGACATAGTAACATCCCACCTCACAGGATATTATGAGGATTAAAATGCAGTAATATACATAAAATGGAGAGTAAGCACTTTAAGAGCTAATCATATTGTCTCAACTTGTATCTAGCAGGAAGAGGGAAAAGAAAAGAAAACTAAAATGAGCACGTTCGTAAGACATCTGGGGAGCCTGAACTGATGAATACACAGCATTTGAAATCTCCTGCGAGCTATCCCTACAAAGATACCTGCTATTTATTCAGGAACCCTGAGAGAGGATTTCCTGCACTAAAGAAAATGCTGACTATATAACCACATATGACACACTGGTTTAAAGAATGTCTTATGCCATTTAAAATAGACAATCTTTCCTTGTTTATCTGCAAGACGTCTGCCTGCCAAGTTGTCTCTAAAAGAGACAAACTGGTAACGACACTGCAACACGTGTGTCGTCAACCCCAGCTACACGCTCAGTGTGGCAGATCTGACTCACCAAGTCTACATAGTATTTTTAAACTATCTAAGATATTTTAACTCATGCAGTTTAATGGCAATTTTAGCTCTTTTCAGAATGTCTGATATAAGGTTCATGAAGTCCACTCTGACAATTTACTATCCGTGAATCACAATGATTCTAAACAGAGCTAAGAAGCAAATTTCAAGATATTAAATTTTTTTGGTTCATTTCTTTAGCCACAGTATTAAATTTGTTTCTACACAGAACTTCTCTTGTGTAAGAAATTTGTTATTGCATGCTTATACCACTAAGTTATTAAATATATCACTAGTAATGTATACTCAAAATGGCCCAGTGAGGTTTAAGACATTCGTTTCGAAGTATGAATAAATGCCTCATTTCATATCTAATTCAGTGTTCTCAAAAACAGTTTTCAGAAAATGTCAACAGTTATTACCTGGGAGTGGGGAGAATTCTGTCATAAAACACATATGGGAAATGGATCATTCAAGATGGATACTGGAGGCTTTTGAAAAAAAAAACCGTAATAATGAAGTCAGTTTAACTTTTTTAAAACCAAGGTTTCCCAAAATGTATTTGACCGTGGGCCACTTCCATTGTGACACATTTAACATGCTTGGAACTGAATTTGAAAAATGTACTAAGAGATTTGAAATGGATGATCAAGCAAAACTTAACCAGATCATTCTGAGTGAAACAAAATAAACAAAACCAAAAGAAGCCTTAAAGGGAACAAAAGCAGGAGTGTTACCAAGCTCCTGCAGAAATGATGATTATAATAACACATCAGATTTGGCTCTAGGCAAAATAATTACATGACATGAAGAATTGAGAGCAAGAAAAGAGAGGATTAGAATGAAGGAGTGTTTCCAAAGGCCTAAAATATTTCAGAAGCAAATCATGAGCATTCAGAAAATGCCAAAAGGGTACAAGTCAAGAATTTTATAAGGTCCCAATGCAGTGTAAAATTCCAGGTCTTGGACAGGCACCATGGCTCACGCCTGTAATCCCAGCACTTTGGGAAGCCGAGGCAGGTGGATCATGAGGTTAGGAGTTCAAGACCAGCCTGGCCAAGATGGTGAAACCCCGTCTCTACTAAAAATACAAAAATTAGCCATGCGTGGTGGCAGCTGCCTGTAATCCCAGCTACTCAGGAGGCTGAAGCAGAGAATTGCTTGAACCCGGGAGGCAGAGGTTGCAGTGAGCTGAGATCACACCATGTATTCCAGCCTGGGTGACAGAGTGAGACTCCGTTTCAAAAAAAAAAAAAAATTTCAGGTCTTAGGTCTTTTAAACTATACAGGTGAACTAAATCATGGTGGTTTGTTCCAAACTAAGTTAAATTTTCACTTAGCGATATAAACGTGAGATGGCTAATGACAAGCAGATGCACAAATTTTATCACATCCCTGGATTCCTAAATTGCATTTGTGAAATTCAATAAAGTGACACGAAGTATAGACAATAAGTGAATAAGAACTAAGAACAGAAAAAGTAGAAGACATGGATATCTGCAGCAAAGCCCACACCCGAGGGGAGAAAAACATTAGTGCTGTTGTTTCCATGATACGAGCACAGGTTCCTACACTGATTTCACAATAAAAAATACAAATTACTTCTAATTTTCCCATTTTCACACAAGTGAAAGAGAGTTCAGCCCAATTTCTGAATTAAATTTTCCTTCCTATAGAGGGAAGGTCTTTAGAAAATCTTTACAAAATAGTACTACACATGCCTTGTGATATTAGGGTGATACGGTGATAAATTAAAAGCAACAGGTAATTAATATGATTAATGTAATACCCAGAGAACTTCACTATTTCTTAAATGTTTTCCTGAGATGTTATATTGAAACGTTGTGCTAAATGTCATTACATAAAATGTTGAGCATCACACAACAGCTGACAAACTAACCTTCCAAAAAGAAAGGAATAGATGGTCATTCACACGAAGGTTACATTTTACAAACAAAACTGGACACACAATACCATTCTGTGATGTTTAAGATACAACAAAACATGTACTGCTTTTTTAAAAATTGCTGTAATGAGGCTCTCACAGTTATTCACGTTTTATTTAGCTACAAGTTTTAAGATATCTGTGAAAGAAAACTTCTTTGTTTTAAGTTCTTGTTTGAAGATCACCAAGCTTCTATAGTGTCTCTCTGAAGTGGTGACACGCTGACTTCCAGGCACAAGCCAGGCACAAGAGAAGCTCTGCAGGAAACAGCAAGGCCACTCTCCATAAGGAGACAGGCTTGGCCATGACAACTGTGGCTTAGAGCTGAGGAGCACAGCAACTCACAACTAATGTCTTTGAATTTTAGGTACCAGCACTGAGAATCAAGTTCCTTTCCATGTTTTAAGAAACTAATAAAATCCTCAAGAAGACCTGTTTTAGATATTCATGACATTTCCTAAGGCATTCTATAATGTTAAAATACTTAGAAATGACTCAACCATTTGGCTAAGCTTACGCTAAGGGCAAATTCCTGTTTCTAGATGCGTCAGGTCTGGACAGCACCAATATGTGAGCTTCAACACCCAGAGACTTGACTTCTATTTAGCAATTTATATTTTTAGTAGTAGCCTTCCCTTCCTTCCTTCCTTACTATCACAGAAAAGAACAAAGAAAAAAAAATTCTGCTTCAAAAGCCAAAGAGTTCACTACTAAGAATAAATTCTATTATCTTCCTTAGACTATGCCTATTACTGGGTAATATAAATATATGTTGTTGGTCAGATGCAGTGGCTCCCGCCTGTAATCCCAGCACTTTGGGAGGCCGAGGCAGGTGGATCACGTGAGGTCGGGAGTTCGAGACCAGCCTGACCAACATGGAGAAACCCCTTCTCTACTAAAAATATAAAATTAGCTGGGCGTGGTGGCACTCACCCGTAATCCCAGCTACTCAGGAGGCTGAGGCAGGAGAATCGCTTGAACCCAGGAGGCGGAGGTTGCGGTGAGCCAAGATCGCACCACTGCACTCCGGCCCAGGTAACAAGAGCGAAACGCCACCTCAAAAAATAAATAAATAAATAAATAAATTAATTAATTAATTTAAAAAAAAAGGTCTGTTGTCAATGAAGTAGTGAAAAGGCCCGTAAAACAAAACACTTCATTATTTACCAAAGGAGCACCGAGGTTTTCCAGCGAAATGCAACCATTTTATTGTTCACAGTGATTCTATAAACGTTTTTCCTTTAAGACAATTGCGCATAGAGCAATACACTCAGTCAGTCACTCATATATTTGTTGGCTCTTTTTACTAAGCCAAAACAAAGATTATTAAACTCTTATTAGAGACAACAACAGTGTAATGGAGGCATGCTTAAATAAGGGAAATAAGAAAATTTATACTATACTGAGTATAATTTAAGCATTGATAGCCAAATGACCAATACGGCAATACTTGAGAAATGTCCAGTCATAAGAAGCTCCTCTGAACGATAAAGCCAAACTTACTGACAACTGACTTGAACTAATACCTAATTCAAGTCATCTGAGAGATCTAACCAACTGTTCTCATCAGTGAGAAACATTATATGTTATCTATTGCACAATATGACTGAAAGATAGTCATGTCTTGAATCTCAAATCTTCAGAATGATAAACCACAAAACTCTACTTTGACACCTAATGTATACAGATGAATGTCTGTCTACTTCCTACTGGAATCGTGATAGTTGAATTAAGATTTTTTTTTTTTTCACTCAGATCCTGTTTTCTTAAATAAGGAAAAACAATAATAAACTTACCATATTAAACAACTAAAAATCAGTTGTCCATAGATGACAAATGTGATACAATCTAGCTGTCACTAGATAAAAGGTTAATTTTGTAAACAGAGTCAGTTAAAAAAATAAACAAAAAAATAAGCAATTTAAGATAAAAGTACTTTGGCATGGTGAGACATTACACTCACTGGGGCCAGGAGTTCAAGGCTGTAGTTTGCTATGATCGAGCCTGTGAATAGCTACTGCACTCCAGCCTCACATAGGGAGACCCTATCTCTTTAAAAAAGAAAAAAGTGATGTCTCAAATATGGTGTTTGGGACTCACTAAAAATAACTAAATTTAAGGGGGAAAGATTAAATTGGTATTATATATGCCATATGCTTAAATTCTGATTTTAGCTCAACCTTATAATTAAATCTGTACTTTGCACCCATTAGACATTTCAGCAAACTGAAGTTCATTCAAATCAAAATCTACAAAAAGAACAAGATCCCAAGGCACTGAATTAGACTTTTAATATTCAAGATGTAAAATAGGCACTCTTTTAAGAAATTACTTTTAGTTCTCCTCTACCTTTAAAAAAAAGTTTCTCTCCTACTCGTGAACTAATTCAGAACTTTACATTTCTGTTACACAGCATATGATTTCTGCTTTATTACTTGGATATCTGTTTAGTATTCACAACATATATGTATCTCCATTAAGCCCAGAATTCTTTGACAGATGGTCTCACCCAAAGAACTCATAAATACTTGATTACTTCAACTTAGTTTGCAAAAATTAAAAAATCAGTAAATTATGTTACAGACTATAGTATTTTGAGTGTTAAAATCACTTCTAAAGAACACCATCACAACAGAACCCTAAATTCAGAATCGGGTTGACATGGTCTAAGAAAGTGAATAAACGGGTAAGTGATCTTCCTAGTGCATCATATTCTACACTAAAAATTCACCATTTATACTTCATTTCTGAAACTCAATGTCAAAGAGAAGATTAAAAATCTGGGGGCTGGGCACAGTGGCTCATGCCTGTAATCACAGCACTTAGGGAGGCATGGGTGGGTAGATCCCTGAGCTCAGGAGTTGGAGACCAGCCTGGGCAACATGGCAAAACCCCGTCTCTAAAAAAAGATACAAAAATTAGCTGGGCATGGTGGTGCATGCCTGTAGTCCCAGCTACTTAGGAGGCTGTGGAGGGAGGATCGCTTGAGCCCAGCAGGTCAAGGCTGCAGTCAGCCAAGATTGTGCCACTGCACTCCAGCAGAGTAAAACCCTGCCCCATCTCTCAAAGACAAAACAAAACAAAACATCTGACAGTTCCTGAGTAATCGGCAGCCTACGTAAGGAACCTATTAATACTGCATATGCAATTTTTATTAACACACTTGCCAATATCCTCATTTTAGGACTAGTCTAATGTTTGTATGATGCCAGACTAATTTTGAATGTCTGAATTATTCACAATTACTAGGAAGACAAATCATTAGACTATGGATTCAGTCTACAATCTTATTCTATATCTTTTGGCTATGTTAACTGATTAACAACTAGAATAGGCCGGGCGCGGTGGCTCATGCCTGTAATCCCAGCACTTTGGGAGGCCGAGGCGGGTGGGATCATGAGGTCAGGAGTTGAAGACCAGCCTGGCCAAGATGGTGAAACCTCATCTCTACTAAAAATACAAAAACTACAGCACGCTTGTAATCCCAGCTACTCGGGAGGCTGAGGCAGGAGAATCGCTTGAACCTGAGGGGCAGAGGTTGCAGTGAGCCGAGATCGCACCACTGCACTCCAGCCTGGGCGACAGAGCGAGACTCTGTCTCAGAAACAAAACAAAACAAATAACTGGAATAAAGAAAACAGTTCCCTGTCCGTATCAAACCAATCAGAACCAATATAAGAAAATGCTCTTCCACCAAAATACAGATTTGATATGGTTGACCAGATAATACATTTCTCTTCCTGGCCCTAATCTAGAACTTAACTTGGTTGTGACTTTGATTTCTGACATTTACAAAATGGCATTCAGTCCTTTATAACCCATTGACTTCGCTTATGTTGAAATTCCTTTGCAGGAGTTTCCAAACATGTTAAAGTACAGCATTTGGAGGAGAAGCAATGTTTGCCTCCTGGACTCAAGCGATCTTCCCACTCAGCCTCCTGAGTAGCTGGAACCACAGGTGCACACCACCACTCCCAGCTATATTTGTAGAGATGAGGTCTCCCTATGTTGCCCAGGCTCATGACAAGGAATACTGCATGCCAATAATGGATGCCAGCTGAGTGTCCTCTAATTCAACTGGATTCTGACACTGTACTTGGAGATTACACATCCCACAGGCTGAGGGCTCAGTACCACAAAACTCCCCCAACTTCAGATGTCAATCACAAGCCCCAGGTTGTAGCCTGTGCTTCTGACCAACTGGCTACCATTCCCCAGACCCCTTACTTCGTTTTGATTCATTGCTGGAGCACCTTCAGAGAACTAAGAGAAATACTTGCTTACATTCACCCATTTATTTTAAAGGATATTACAAAGGACACACAGATGAACAGCCAGATGGAAGAGATGCACGGGGTGAGGTGCGGCTGAAGAGAAAACGAGATTCCATGCCCTTTCCTGACATCCAACCCTCCAGGAACCTCCATGTGTTCAGCTATCTGGAAGTTCCCAGAACGCGGTCCTTCAGGGTTGTTAAGAAAGCTTCATTATGTAGGTATCATTGATCATTAGTTTATCAACTCAAACTTCAGCTCCTGGAGGTTGGGGAGGGTGACTGAAAGTCCTAACCCTCTAATCACATGGTAGGTTACCCAGCCACCAGTCATCTCATTAGCATATAAGACCTTCTTAGCACTGGAGATTCCAAGGATTTTAGGAGCTAAATGTCAGGAAACATATACATCAGGAAGACCAAATAGATGCCACAGTATCACATGACCATTTTCTTGGAGTCAAGATATTTGTTCTTCCTTAAAACTTCGATGTTTCTAAATATCCAAGGTATCCACATAAGGTTAAAAATAAACTTCTCACCACTCCACTTGTCATTTAAAATCATCCAACATTTTAACATTTCATCAAATCTCTATATCTATACAATAGTGCCCATCTCTTCATGTTTTTAAGAGCCCTGTCCTCACACTATTCTTAGTGAATAGACAGCAAGAGATATTATTCCCTTCTTACAATTATGCTCTGTGCATAATAAGATAGCAAGCCAAAGATAAAGCCAGGATTAGAAGTACTTTCTTAAATTGAGAGCTTATCAGAAGGTAAAGCTGGCTAACATGATTATCTATGTAACAGCACCAGACCTTCTCACTTCGAAATTCAAGACATCTCCAACCACTCAGAAAGGGTATGGGGGTTGAAAACAGCCACATTATATGCACGACTTCTATAACTTAAAGATAGCCAAGTTCATATCAAACTAAGTTATTGAATTTTATATCACTTTCTAACAAGTAATCATAGAACCATGACAAAACATACAAAATACAGAAGTTTTCTCCTTGACTTGGTGCAAATTCAATCCAATTACTCCACAGACCTCTTTTATTTTAGTCACTCAAACTTTGATTTTTCATTTCCTTAGTCGTACATTAGGACAAATGCAAATTATATACAGAAGGCAGCACATTTAGCCTTATTATCTCAAACTCATTCCTAAGCAAGTACATCTGCCTGGATGGTGAGGCCTCCATCAGAGGTTAAATGCAAGCCCTAGCTGGAAAGTTACTGGAAGGGCATGTGTCCTACCTGCCTTTCTCTCTCATCATCCCAGATCTTTATCTCCCCAATGTCACCACATTAGGAGTGTTTTGCATATAAATCAAAACGAAGCCCCAGAGAGCCCTTGGTAGGAATATCTGGACTTGTGTTTTAGAAATAGTTTTGTCAGCCAGGCACGGTGGCTCACACCTGTAATCCCAGCACGCTGGGTGGCCGAGGCAGGCGGATCACGAGGTCAGAAGTTCGAGACCAGCCTGAACAACACAGTGAAACCCTGCCTCTACTAAAAATACAAAAATTAGCCAGGCATCGTGGTGCACACCTGTAATCCAGCTACTCAGGAGGCTGAGGCAGGAGAATCGCTTGAACCCAGGAGGCAGAGGTTGCAGTAAGCCAAGATCACACCATTGCACTCCAGCCTGGGCAACAGAGTGAGACTCTGTCTCAAAAAAGAAAAAAGAAAAGAAAAGAAAAGAAAAGAAAGAAAAGAAAGAAAGAAAGAAAGAAAGAAAGAAAGAAAAGAAAAGAAAGAAAAGAAATAGTTTTGTCACATACACATCTGTGATCCTCTCACTCTGCACGCCACTGCCTCTCTGAAAGAACCAACATACCACACAGGCACGCACACGATGGACAATATACAGCCACCGAGCAATCATATACATCTTTTAAAAAGAAACAGGCAATTTCATGATTCTACTGTACCCTGGATCCATCAGGCTTTATCTAGGGAGTGCTATTTTTAAAATATGTACAGGCTTTTTTAGGTCCTCAGTAAGATCATGGAAGTGTTTTGCTCCCTAAGGAAAACTGAAATTTGAGGTATAAGACTGGAGTTTTACACCTCTAGAATTCATCTTTGGTAACCATGCCCATTTGATTTATAAATAATCTAAAAATATGGATTTTTAAGGAGCAGTGTATTTACCTTAGTCCACCTCATCTTTTTCTTTTCAGGAATGTTATCACAAAAATGTGTGCTGATTACTTCCTTGTATCTGAGCTTTGAGCAACTTACAAGGCAGACACTGGACCTAAAACACAGGTTGGTTGTTTTAGAAGAAGAAAAAAAAAAAGCTGGTTTTAAATCTGGATTTAAGTCTTGGCCCTGACTCCAAAGCAGGCCAGTTTATGTGCCTGTCTTCTGTTGCCAGATCTGTAGAAACTAGAATGTCATTCTCCGCTGAGAAACCACAAACTAGTTTCCTTAGACCATTCGTCTTCCTTTTTGAGACAGTCTCAATGTCACCCAGGCTGGAGTGCAGTGGCGCGATCTCTGCTCACTGCACCTATGCCTCCTGGGTTCAAGAGATCCATCTCTGCTCACTGCACCTATGCCTCCTGGGTTCAAGAGATCCTCCCGCCTCCACCTCCGCCTCCTGAGTAGCTGGGACTACAGGCATGCGCCACCACACCCAGCTAATTTTTCCTATTTTCAGTAGAGACAGCATTTGGCCATGTTGCCCAGGCTAACATCAAGTGATCCGCCCACCTCGGCCTCCCAAAGTGCTGGGGTTACAGGCATGAGCCACTGCGCCTGGCCCTCCTTAAACCATTAGTTTTCAAACCGTATTTGAAGTTCCTCAGAGGTGCGCCAGTATTTGAGAGAAGGTTAAGGTTTCAATGAGAGCAAATGAGATTTTAAAATCTTTTCTATAAACGGGGGTTCTATCCCATCTAAATTTTGCTTTTTTATGAAAAGGGTTACTGCCCTTTTTTTAAACCTAAGTAAAAACCCATACCCTTTACTTTGTTACAGGTGTGTTATAATTTCAAGTTGTCTTTTAAGTATGAGATAACTTTCATTGTTACAAAACAAGTGGGTTGGGAGTGGATCAACGAGACGGAGGTTTGCTCCTTCATTTAACAAAGAAACAAGACCAGAGAGCTCTTTCCTCACTGGGAGTTAGAAATGACCACAGACGCTAAGAACAGAAAGCAAGACACCAAAACTAAGAAAGGTTTTAGGAGCTACAATCTCTCATTTAGAAACTCCAGATAGAATTTTAAAGAAAAAAGTAAAAACAATATATTTCTACAATTCAAATAATATAAGTCAGAGTAAAAAACAAACAAACAAACCTACTTAGCACAACATAAAAATATTCTGGTTACTCATCCTAGAGATTTAAAAAAAAATCAGGAGGTGAGGCAGGTCCTATTTTTGTTCCTTCATTTAGTGGATCTGAGTCATGGCTGTTCCAATGATTTTCCTGATGAAACAAAATACATGTTTGTTCCATCAACAAAGGGCTACCCTAGGAAACTCATCTTCTACTGCAGTAAGAAGGGTATCATAGGTATTTTTTGTGGTTCTAATGGGTACTCAGAAAATCCTTATGTGATTTAATATACTCTTAAAAGGACCGTCTGAAACCAAAACATGTACTAATATCCAGTGGCCTTTCTCTCTGTATACTGGTTTAATAATAACATTCTGCATCAAATCCTTTCAGAAACCTATGAACAGAAGTAAAATGATATGATACCTGAGAATTATTTTAAAATGCTTCAGAAAAGAAAATGGGGCAGGGGGAGGTGCTGAAACAAGAACAGCAAAATGTGGTCAATTTTTGAAGCTGGATGATGTATATGTCTGAAATTTAACATAATAAGTTTTAAAATCTTCTTAGAGAGTTGGCAGATCATATACTATACACAAATATTGTACATGTTATAGGATCAAAATATGGGATTAAACTAAGGGACTGAAACTACTTATAGAATGTCATTCTCAAGCCAGGCACAGTGGCTGATGCCTATAATCCCAGCACTTTGGGAGATTTCTTGAGCCCAGGAGTTCAACACTAGCCTGGCCAACACAGCGAAACTCTGTCTCTACAAAAAAAAAAAAAAAAATTAGCCAGGCATGGTGTTCCTCTCCTGTAGTCCTAGCTACTTAGGAGGCTGAGGCGGGAGGATCGCTTGAGACAAGGAGGTTAAGGCTACAGTAAGCCATGATGACTCCATGGCACTCCATCCTGGGTGACAGAGAGATAGCCTGTCTCAGAAAACAAAACAAAACAAAACAAAACAAAACAAAACAAAATCCTCCTGCAAATATTCTGTTGGTGGATAGTTTTCAATGTATACAATACAGTCAGTACCTGTTACTCAATATTTATCCATTGCAAACACAACACAGAAACCTAAGGAACTCAAAAAGCAAACTGACATTTGTCAGGAACTGCTCCCTTGTTGGTCAAAGAAGAGGAAAAGGAGGGCTTTCTTCGATATTATTGTCTACTTTCTTGGTAAGCAATAAAGTGTTTGCAGTTTTATGTAGACTGGCGGGGTGGGGCGGGGAATTGTGACACGGTTACACTTTCGTATATATCAAGTTACTCCCATACATGATTTTAGGTAGAGTCTGTATTTTAATGTGGTAGAAAGGGGTGATTAGTATCTTGAACTGCAGAGGCTACAAAAAACAATGATGCAACATTACGTAAGGGATGAGAAATAAGTAAATAAGTAAAAAAAAATAAGTAAATTGAAAAGTTTGTTAATGCACAAAACCAAGTAACTGGAGAGAAAAGGACAGAAGAGTCAAAGAATCAAGGTCCCCAGACCTAGAGTGAGAATGTACATTATCGTGTGCATACCTTAATCTCAAATATAAGCTCATTATCAAATAATTGTGCAAAAAAATCATCTGTTACCTTGTGAAGGATAGAAAGGGTTATTTCTTCCAAAGCTCAAAATGTGGTCCACAGATAAGGTAAGGTTACATTAGTGGTTCTCCAATTTTAACTTGCACCAGACTCTACTCAAGGTTTTGTTAAATAGATCTCTGGGCCCACTCCCAGAAAACGGTTTGAGAACTATGTGTTTATACTATGGCTAATTCTTGCAAATCATCTGATTTTGAAACCAGTCACAATTTTTTGAAACATTCTATGAGAAACATCTTATTAATAAGAATTTTCAACAGGGCTCAGTGGCTCACGCCTGTATCCCAGCACTTTAGGAGGCCGAGGCAGGCAGATCACGAGGTCAAGAGATCAAGACCATCCTGGCCAACATGATGAAACCTCGTCTCTATTAAAAATACAGAAATTAGCTGGACGTGGTGGCACACACCTGTAGTCCCAGCTACTCAGGAGGCTGAGGGAGGAGAATTGCTTGAAGGATGCAGTGAGCCAATATCGGGCCACTGCACTCCAGCCTGGCAACAGAGCGAGACTCCGTCTCAAAACAAACAAACAAACAAACAAACAAACAAACAAACAAACAATTTTCTGGCAAAGTAAGAGTATTTTACAAAGAGAACAATCACACTGGTAGAGAACTGCACTGCATGGATGGCCAAATTAAATCATTACACCAAATAATTTGCAAACTTCATCCCTACTTTGGTCACAATAAGTAACATTGTACTTTTGAAAGATATTACTGTCTGAGAACAGAGTTTCATCTTACCCAAATACAGACTAAAAACAATGCCAACTTCACAGTACTCACTTACATAGTTGATAAACAGAACCAACAAGTCCTCTAATTGGTCCATTTGAATCTGGGGAAGAGCTGGCTCCAATCATTGTCAATTACATCAGCAACTGTGGAATACTCCCTGAGATCAACAAACTGTTAACTGCAGTGACCACAACTTGACCCAGGCCAGAGCTTCCATCCTCGGGAGGGTGAGTCAACAGCATGTCAACACTAACCCAACTTCTACCACGCACAGCAAGGCTGTGCTATTTAGGCGTGGATCACACGCACACTGCGCCAACTTCTAAGCTAACAATGGACAACCAAAGCCTCCGGAACTCTGTCTTGGGTAGAGTAAATCAATTTCCTTTTGTAGGATTTTCTTGGCACAAAGCCAAGTGTCAGGGGCTGTGGAGAAGGAACTGCTGGCCCAAATTCCATCCAAGGTTGACCAGTGGTTTAATCCCTTCTCTAAATCAGGCCTCTGGCAAAACAGCTAGAATCAGGAAGCCAATTCATATTTAACAAATTCAAAGTCTATCACAACACAGGAACTTGTTAGGCAAGAAGATAACTGAATGAACACCTTTAAAAATTCTGCTTTTTTAACAAAAGCTGTCTACATTATTTTCTCATGGGAGTTTTGGTACTAGTGTTAATTCATAGACTCTCCCTTAAACTCAAATAAATTATCTATTGAAAGAATGGCAAGAAGTACTGCCAAACTTCATAGGGTGGTTGGGCTAAATGTTCTCAAGTTCTTTTCCAACGTTAAAACAACCGGATTATAAGAAACAATTCATTTAATGGAGCATTCTGGAGGAGTAAAGACAGAGGATTTGGAATGAGACTGCATAGGTTTAAATTCTAACACTAACTGTAATTCTGGCCAAAAGGTTATGATGTGGGGTCCTCATCTGTAAAATGGAGTATCTATCTCATGGAGTCAGTGTGAGAATTAAATAAGCACATAAATTTCTCAACATGACGCCTGGCACCTAGTCAACACTCAAAATAGAGGAAGGCTAATAATGATGACATGCAAATCTGATATTGCAAATACCAACGCAAAGAGTCTAATGAAAACTTTCTAAATTATATGTCATTGGTTCATTATTTAAGCTTCTGAGGTTTGTACAAGCACAGATTAACTCAAATGTTACTTAACGTTTTACATTTACTATAAACACCCTGATGATGTATTTTACAGTTTCTTGATTTTTCCCTACAGTTTGGGCACAGTCTTATTATGACAGAAAAGAAAGCAACAAACCCAAAGGAAAGGCTTTTCCCTAGACTGCTTTTAATTTTCTATTAACTGCCCAATTTTGAAAAATAGATCTACAAAACTGGGTTCTGGATGACTGAGTTCTTTTACTTTGGGGACAAGAGCTGATGCTAAAGGAGAAGACAGAGGATTAAGAAATTTACATTCTGTCATTTACAAACATGGGTATGAACATGAACAGAGCCTCTGAAAACATCTGGCAAATAGAAGACACTATGAGCCAATCAATCACCAATGCTGGCTTAGTAGTCATATTAATAAATACTTGCTGAGTATATACTATGTTCTCTGGGCTGTATTATTTCTTTTACGCCTCACAACAACCCTAAGTTTGGTACTTTTCTATCGGTTCCAGTTTACAAATGAAGAAACAGGGAAGAGTAAGGGGAGTTTTCAAAAAGAAATAATATCAACAGTTATTACATCAAGGGTTTCACAAATGAAGCATTCAAAAATTCAGAAAGGCAATGAATTGCTTTGCTAGACCTGTGGAAGGCCCTCAACCTGCACAGGTAGCCAACACCCGGTACATACCCAATTACATCCAGTTAGGTCACCTCTGTATGGCTGCAAGGAGCCAGGGCCATGTGTGGTGCCTAGCCACACTATATACATAACCTGGGAACCATGCAGCAAGATGGAAGAATAGGAAACAGTATCCAGAATCCAGATGTTAGATCTCAGGGGTAGGGTATGCACAAGGAGTATTTGCACCATTTAAGGTGATAACGCTGCTGTCTCATGGCAACATGCGGGGCAGTATAAGAGGCTTGGTAAATATCCACTGGACCTTCCCTAAGCTTAGCACAATGCGTCCTGGATGGAGAAAATATCAAAGCCACCAATCTGAGCATGTTGTGGAACCAGAGAGACTTAAGAGGCTGCACCACCACACAGCCCTCACTCGATCTTTCTAGGCTCTGCTAAGAATGTTGCTGCTGGCTCACTGCAGAAACTAACACTTACTCAAAGATGGTGCATCCTGTGCTTATTTTCACCAAGCCTCATATCCCCTTCTCTGCCAGACCATTTTAATACCATTAGATACTTCCCTATTCAAAATTAAGACAGTGTCACTGGGGCCAGGCACGGTGGTTGATGTCTATAATTCCAGCACTTTGGGAGATAGAGGTCGGAGGCTCGCCTGAGGCCAGGAGTTCAAGACCAGTCTGGGCAACACAGCAAGACCCCATCTCTACAAAAAATCTTTAAAACTGCTGGGCCTGGTGGTGCAAACCTGTAGTCCCAGCTACTCAGGAGGCTGAGGTGGCAGCATCGCTTGAGCCCAGGAAGCCGAGGCTGCAGTGAGCTAAGACCACACCACTGCACTCTAGCCTTGGCAGCAGACTGAGATCCTGTCTCAAAAAAAAAGTAAAGAAAAAGTGAAAAAAAACAAAAATAGTGTCACTCAGCATCACTTAAGAAAATTAATAAAAATAGGTACTACCTGTATTTCAGAGATAAGTAAAACTTATGTTGAAATGGTCAATGCTAGATTTTTATAAAAAGATGTCCAATTTTTAAAAACTCATTCAAGTTATAAGAAATTTTATAATCTTTATTCCATGTCAAAGATAGGCATTAGAAAAATTCAGTATTACTTTACTTTCCATAATTGTCAACTTTTATAAACAATGTGGTGGAGTGGGAATTAAAATCTGATAATAGTTTTGATCCATAAAATGAGTGGGAAAATCAATTTTAAGGCAGAAAAAAATGCTTCAAGTTAAACACTTACTATTAAATATTTAAACAAAAAAATGTAATAAAGATACCTTCAAAACTGGCTGGGTGTGATGGCTCATGCCTATAATCCTAATATGTCGGGAGGCCAAGGCAGGAGGATCACTTAGCCTAGGAGTTTGAGACCAGCCTAAGTAACATAGCAAGACCCAGTCTTAAAAAATAATAATGATGATGAAGTTTTGATAATCAAAAGTTATTATCCCTTTTGGCTTTACCATAGAGCTACAGATAGGTGTCCTGGTTAGGTCACTTCTTTTATTCTTCCCTAGCTTTACTGAAGTATAATTGACAAAAATTATGTATATTCAATGTATACAACGTGATGTTTTGATATATGTATACACTGTGAAATGATTATCACAATCAAGCTAATTAACATATCCATCACCTCAGAGTTACTTTTTTTGTTCTGTGTGGTAAGAATATTTAACATTTACTCTCGCAGACGTTTTCAAGTGTACAATTCACTATTATTAACTAGTCACTAGGCTGTACATTAGGTATTAATCTCATAACTGCAAGTTTGCACCCTTTGACCAACATCGCCTCACTTCCCCCACATCCAAACCCTGGTAACACCACCCTTCTACTCTTGTTTCCATGAGTTTGAGTGTTTTAGGTTCCACATATAAATGAAATCATGCAGTATTTGTTTTTCTGTGTCTGGCTTATTTCACTTAGCTTAAGGCCATAAGTACCAGGGGCCTGGATTTCAACCTCACCCCTATTGTTTATTGCTACTTGGGTCAAATTATGTAGCCTCCCTGTATTAATCTGATCTCACGCTGCTAATGAAGACATATCCAAGACTCAGTAATTTATAAAAGAAACAGGTTGAACTGACTCACAGTTCAGCATGGCTGGGGAGGCCTCAGGAACCTTACAATTAGGGTAGACGGGGAGGCAAACACGTCCTTCTTCACATGGTGGCAGGAAGAAGAAGTGCCAAGCAAAAGGGGGGAAAAGTCCCTTATAAAGTGATCAGTTCTCGTGAGAACTAACTCACTATTACCAGAACAGGATGGGGGAAACCGCCTCTATGATTCAGTTATCTCCACCTGGTCCCTCCCACTACACATGGGGATTATGGGGACTACAATTCAAGATGAGATCCAGGTGGGGATGGAGCCAAACCACATCACTCACTGAACCTCATTTTGTTTATACTTCATTTTGAGATAGTATTTGCTCTGCCTTTCTGATAAAGCTATGCAGAATACCAAGTTAGTACCTGGTTTCATATATGGTTTATAATACATTATTCCTGATACAATCTCAATTTACTGTTTTTATACAGCCTATTACTGCACAAACATTTTATATCTTAAGCAATGTGGATTTTATTATAATCTCCTACACTAAATAGTTATAAAAACATTAGCTATTGGTTTGGGAAAGGCTACACTCAATCTTAAATTTAAAAGTCAGTTACAATTTTCCATTAAAAAAATACAAAATAAGCTACAGATGTCTTATCATGGTCAATTCTCTTGAACAACTTTCTGGGTTAAAATGCAGAAAATATAACAGATCTCAGTATACAATTCAGTGGGAGAAAGAACAGTTCCACTAAACTGCTTTCTTCTGACTTACCATGAGAATTCCAAAGATAGCATTAATGTCAACTTGAAAAATGATATTACAAGCACCAATGCTAGAAATTTTAGATCGAGGGAGTTGCTCCTTGATGTTCAATGTGCTGAACAAAGTAAAGCAAATGGGCCTGAAGTAATAATTTATGCTTCCAGTACTTTCAAAAGCAAGTTTTGATATAAGAATCAGTTACCCATGAAAATAGATGAAATTCACTGAAATGACCTAGTTTTATAATACAATAAAACGTTCTTTTCAACTTTATAAAAGTAATGTTCCTCTGAAGAACAGCTGGGAGGATTCTAGATATCACATCAAAATACGTGCCTTCCTAACATTAGAGATGTTTTACGTGGAATGGGATGGCTTGCCTGTGGGATGAAGTCTCTGGGGAGAACTATCAAAAGCTGGCTGACTACCTACCAGGAATGGCAGAACCAAGGAGTCCTACATTCAAGATGTGCCAAGAGGGAGCAGCCTCTAAGGCAGTGATCTCTAACCTTTTTGGCACCAGGGACTGGTTTTGTGGAAGACCATTTATCCATGGGGTGTTGGGGGTGGGATGGCATGAGACTGGATGGGATGGGATGGTTTTGGGATGAAACTCTTCCACCTCAGATCATCAGACATTAGTTAGATTCTCACAAGGACTGGACCAGGCAACCTGGATCCCTCCCATGTTTAGTTCACAATAGGTTTTGTGCTCCTGTGAGAATCTACTGCCAGGAAGCAGCACTCAGGCAGTAATGCTCACTGGCTCACCTGCCTGCCACTCACCTCCTGCTGTGTGGCCCGGTTCCTAGCAGGCCATGGACCAGTACCTGTCCATGGCTGGGTGTTGGGGACCCCTGCTCTAAAGTATCTGCGTACAGTTAAAAAGACTCAAATAGTACAAAAGGTGATAATATACAAAGTAAATATGTACTACCTTCTCCTCCATTCCAATGTTCTCATTGCCCAGAGTCAGATTTTGTCAGATTCACTTGAATCTGCTACTGACATAATACACATATAAATTTTCTGTTTTTTATATAAATTACTGTTTAATCTGTGATTATGCCTGCATTCTGAATGTTTTCACTTATATCGGTATGATTTTAGATATTTCTATACATCAGTATGGTTATGCCCACTTTTAATGTATCAGCATAATATTCTACTGTATAAGAGTTTTTTAAAGGCTTGCTTAGTTGATACAAATAATGCTCTCATAATATCCTCATCTGTGCGCATTTATACAATATACTATGAACTAATTAGTTTCTAGAATTCCTAGATCAAGGGATATGTACATAAAATTCTAAATGACTGATCTAAAAAATTTCTGTACCAGCTGCATGCAGCGGCTCATGCCTGCAGTGGGCAGATCACTTGAGGTCAGGAATTCGAGACCAGCCTGGCCAACATGGTGAAACCCTGCTTCTACTAAAAATACAAAAAATGAGCCAGGCGTGGTGGCTCACACCTGTAATCCCAGGTACTCGGGAGGCTGAGGCAGGAGAATCACTTGAACCTGGGAGGCAGAGGTTGCAGTGAGTCCAGACTGTGCCACTGTACTCCAAGCAAAGAAATATCTGTTATCAATTGACAGTAGATGAAAATGCCAATCTGGCAAGCCTTTTTAGTCTTTGCCCATCAGGGTTTTAAAAAACAATGTTATATCACTGTTTTACTTTGCATTTCCCTGACGACTATGAGATTGAGCATATCTTCATAGGTTTATTGGCTGTGTATTTTTTCCTGTGTACTATAAAATTCTTTGCCTTTTTTGTCCACGTCTAATAGAGATTCTGTTAGACATCCACACTGAAATATTTATACATAAAATTATAGAATTGAAATTATTTCAAAATAACCCAGTGAGGGAAAAGAGAATTGAGCAGGTTGAGAAAGGGGAATACAGATAAAACAAGACTGGGTGAGAGCTGATCATTGCTGAGCATTCAGCGCACTATTCTCTCTTGTGTATGTTTAATTCTTTTCATAATAAGTTTTCAAAAATGTTCATTTTTCTCTGAAGATGTTCATATTTAGTATTTCTTACTGATTTGTAAGAACACTTCATGGAATAAAAAAGTTTGCCTTTTGTTGCTGACAAACTGTACTGGGTACATAATACTAGGTAATCCAGTATTGGTACTGGGTAAATAATTACCCACCTTCCTTCTATGTACAGTCAGATAACCCAACACCATTAACTAAATAATCCATCTTTCCCCTTTCTGATGTAAAAAGACACTTTTATCTTGCACTAATTTCCAATATATGCACAACTTTATTTCTAGACTTCCAGTTTGCCCCATTGACCTATCTATGCATGGGATGTGCAGTTTTAATTTCTATATCTTTACATTTTGCTTCTGGTTTTTTATTGGCTATTCTTACCTAATGGTTTTTCCCAGATGACTTTTATAATAATTGTATTAATTTTCCTAAGTATCTACTACACTTATAAACACCCCTCCCTGCAGAACTCCTTCCCAAAGACAGAGAGCCTGCTTTTCTCTTTCACACTGGTATGTTTTTATGTTTCCACCTAGGGTCTCATCTGTTGCATGCAAGCTCAGAATTCACTTGACATGCTGATAGCATATAATGTTAAAGAATTCTTCTCTCAGTGTAAAAAATATTTAGCTACTGTGGAAGGTCAAACTGCTAAAACCGACTGGTGTAACATTTGAATGCTGCCCTTTATATAAGCTTTATTTTTATAAATAAGCATCTGACTAGAAAGTCAGTAAAAGAGCATGATATAATCAGTCTGAAGCCCAGTGTTTTAAATATAATACACTAATTTTAGACCCAAGTATTTTAGTTTTGCTTTATTGTCTACAGTTTCTTAAGAAGATGTAACTTAAAAGAAAAAAAAAATCTTTTAAATGGCTCAATCAATTTATTAGAAATAAGCGGCAAAGAGCATCTGTTCCCACAGAGCAACTGTTAAGTTAATCCCCATTAAGTCGGCCTCAAAGCACTTGGATGCAGCTACAGGATGTGGGTGTGATAGGATCACACAGGCGAACACCTGATAGGGCCTTACACACACCGGGCTAATCAGAACATCAAAAAAAAAACCTGAAGTCTCTTGGAAGGACTGAAAAATCCAATCCCTCCCCAACCCCCCCAAAAAAACCTCCCAAAACAGACTATTCCATTCAATTCAGATTTTGTGAATTAATGAAATTTAAGAGCCACCTGAAACCACCAAAGATACACAGTGATTTTCTCCCGAATCTAAGGTCCAAATGACACAGGTAGAAAAATGCACTGATAAAATGTTAACAAAAATGCATGTCTAATACTTAGAGCTACGTGTGAGCAGGTTTTAGGAGAAGGATATTGATTCTCCCTGAGGCATGAGCATTACCCACCATTTCAGGAAGCCTCTGCAAGTGGAGAAGCCACAAACCCCTTCAAAAAGATCTCTCAATTACCCACTTCCCAGTCCCCTCTGATATGTGGTAAACAATTATTTCAATGAGGTTGGCAGAGATTTTTCAAAGCTAGCAGGCAGGCATTTTGCAGCTACCTCCAGCTGGTCCAAGCAGCCAAGGCTGTCACCAGTGCCTGGTCACCGCTGAAAACACAAGGAGGGGCAGGACTAGGGCAGGAGAGTAGATGGAGAGAGCTGTGTCCCGAACCAACATTCTTGAGATTCCTTTGCTAGTGTTTTTTCTTCAGGGTTCACTGAGAAGAGGAAGGTCAGATGGGGAGGGACAAAACCCAAGGAAATGAGGCTCATTTCAAACTCTAACAACTTGATCACAAACAAAATGTATGTAGAATTACAAATAAGTTATTCTGTTTTCAGGCATCAAAAATGTTATCAATGAAATGTTGAGATGCTAAAGCAGTGAAATGTGAAACGAAGCAGTGTCACAGGCAACTGGGCCTCTCCCCTGGCCCATCCCAGGAGGGATGAAGGGTGGCTGATATGAACTCTAAGGATTATTCTGAAGGGGCCAACAAATGTTACAAAGAGGCTCAAAAATAAAAATCAGAACCATTTTTCCCTCATTCATCCAGGGCCTACTCCTGGCCATGTTCTGTGCTTTGCACTTTATTCAATTTAATTCAATTTTTCTCCTAAGCAATCTATTTAGATACTTTGTAGATGTGGAAATTGGTTTAGGGAAGCTTACATCATTTTCTTGCAGTCATATTTCTAGTAAATTGAAAGAGTTGTGACTCAGATCCAAGGTCTGAATGACTCCAACATCCACACTCAGAACTTCCTTCACTTGGGATTGAGAAAAAGGGAAATAATGGAATTGGGAGGGGGAGAGAAGACACCAAGTAGAGATATCAGCATTCAGAACTTCCTGCAGGAGAGGGTGAAAGAAGCTGGCAGCCAGGAACTGAGGGCCTTACTGATTACTTTAGTATCTTACCAATCAATTGCATTCCAAGGCTTGCTTACTTAGGAGGCTGACTGCTTAGTCCAAGAAGAAACACTGGCTGAACTCTTTGACTTATTTTGCTGGAGGCAGAGAAGATAAGTGGTTAAGAGTAAAGACAATGAAAACATAGTTTAAACCCAGTCCACTGGCCAGCTCCCTCCCAGCTGGGGATAACAGTAGGTACCTCACAGGCTGCTGAAAAGAAAAAATTAAGTGAAAGCACTTTTCAACAAGGCCTGGTTCATAGAATGAGCTACATACAGTACCTGGTAATTAGTATTACTATTGCCACAACCAAGGAGGCCTCTCAGCAAACTATTTTTACATATGCCAGAAATACAGTTATTTTTTCCAGACTAATAAATCACAAACAATATGGCACGGTTGACCGCCAGGTTACTGATGCAATTTCTTTTCACTGGAACCAAAAAACAAAACCACCACCAAATCTGAACTAAGTATAATACAATAATTCTCCCTGTCTTAAATTTTAAAATACAGAAGAAAAGATGAATTGCTGTATACTCTAAACGCTCTTTTAAATGTTTGGAGTACAGAATGTCTTTCATGAAATCATCTTGATTAAAATGTACATTCTTTTCCAAGAAGGGAGTAAACTGAGTATGGAAGACCCTCACCATTAGTTTTTATAAATGATTGATCAATGGGAATCGTCACTGAAAAATTGCATACAATTTTTGGAATGAATGCAAATTGATGGAATGTTTGTAAGCTCATGTGCTTCTTCCAACACCCCAGCATGCTCCCACCTCACAGCCTTTACACTGTATTGTTCTCTCCAGGTTTAATACTTGTAGAAAAGGGGAAAAAAACCTTTTTTCTCTACCCTGTTAGGTTCAGCACATGAGGCCTTGCCAATTAAACTGACGAGACAGATTCGCAGGGGAAAAAACACAAATTTTATTTAATGTTATTATTTTTACATGAGGGAGGGGAGAGGAGGGAGCTCCACAGAAAAGCAAAAACCCAAAAGAAGCAGTTAGGCCTGAGAGCATACACACCATTTTAACAAAGAGCAATAAACTGTGGAGAAGTCACAAGACAAAGGAGAGGGGATTAGGGCTTCCAGGGGAAGTGTGGTAAGGTAAATATATGGGGGAAACTAATAGAAGATAAGGGTTATTTCAATAAGGTTTGTTTCTGCAGGCGATGGTGCCACCTCTAGTGGTCTCTCCAGGGATGGAGAGGGGAAGGAGGATACCTTCACACAGCAAAATTTTTATAAAAAGGGGGTAAAGCTTGTCCTGGGTCTGCTATTTCTCGATTGTCTTCAGCTCAAATTAGTACTTTGCTGAAATGGCATATTTGGGGGTAGCATATTCTGATCCCCTTCATACCCTTCCAGACTGTGTCTCTATCCAGCTCCTCACTGGCTTAATTTTTCTTCATAGCACTGACCACCAAGTGGCACAGAGTATACTGATTGACATCTAGATAGACAGATAGATAGACAGATAGATAGACAGACAGACAGACAGATTGACTGATTTGCTCTCTGCCCCACCCAACAAAGTACAAGCTCTGTGAGATCAGGAAGCTGGCCTCTTTCATGGTTGTATCCCAATGCTTGGCATAGTGTTGGTGTTCAATTAATGCACCAAATAAATGAACGGATTTCCATATTATATCAATATTTTCTTACAATTAGAATTTCTGTGATGTTGATAGTGTAAGAATTTGTTTTTATTAGTTTTCAACAGTATCAACATTTACTCATTATGTAGTTACAGTATTGTATTTTTTTAAAGTAAACAATAAACAACACTGTCTTTGCTCCAAATACCTATAATGTGAAATATATAAAACTGGCCGACTGACCACAGAAACGGCAGTTAATAATCAAAATTACATGTGTCTGGCTGAATGGACTCCACGACCTTACACTAGGTTCTGTAACAGCAGCATTTCATCACAATTTGTTAAATTTGAAGATAAATACCGTCTCTTTTCTGGTCAAAGATTCTTATATCTTTGGAAACTTGACAGAATTAATGTTTTTGACTTGTTTTTCACCACATAACATCAGGAGAGACTTTAACAGCAGTGAAGTGGCAAGGAGGACGCTTTATTTATATCCGTGTAATCATGTAACCCACTTCATGCTCCCACTGAATGGCTCCAGTAAACTGAAATCACAATTTCACTAATATCTACATTCCAGCTCCAGCTACATTTGCCTGTCAAATGCAACAACTTACAGTTAAGCTTCTGCCTACACGAGCAATCACAGAACCATTAAATAAGAGGATTGCTTGTTTGAACTACTAGATCAGCCTTTCCTTATTTTTGCTAATCTGTGTGGTGTACGTTCATTACCTTTTTTTTTTATGTTAAAGACCACCATGCGTAACACTACTTGACAGCAGCAATTTATAGCAGTGGTCCCCAGCCTTTCTGGCACCAGGGAATGGTTTGATGAAAGACAATTTTGTGGTTTGGTTTCGGGATGAAACTGCTCCACCTCAGATCATCAGGCATTAGATTCTAATAAGGAGTGTGCAACGCAGCTCTCACTTTCTTACATGCGGTTCACAATAGGGTTTGCGCTCCTATGAGCATCTAATGCCCTGCTGATGTGACAAGAGGCAGGGCTCAGGCAGCAACACTCACTCACCCATTGCTCACCTACTGCTGTGCAGCAAAGCTCCTAACACGCCACAGACCGGTACCAGTCCATGGCCCAGGGGTTAGGGACTCCTGATTCACAGCATTACAATAAATAATAAATAATTAAAATATTACCTGATATTTGGCAAACAATCCCTCTCTAAGTCACTACTTCCAGCCTATGTTCAGGCTAGAAATGCCAAATAAAAAAGCACATGTCTGTCTGGGCACGGTGGCTCACGCCTGTAATCCCAGCACTTTGGGAGGCCGAGGCGGGGGGATCACGAGGTCAGGAGATCAAGACCATCCTGGCCAACATGGTGAAACCCTATCTCTACTAAAAATACAAAACAAAAACAAAATTAGCCGGGCGTGGTGGCGGGCGCCCGTAGTCCCAGCTACTCGGGAGGCTGAGGCGGGAGAATGGCGTGAACCCGGGAGGCGGAGCTTGCAGTGAGCCGAGATCGCGCCACTGCACTCCAGTCTGGGCGACAGAGCAAGACTCCATCTCAAAAAAAAAAAAAAAAAAAAAAATGGGCCAAGGATCTGAATAGACATTTCTAAAAAGCAAATGTACAAACAAACAAAACAAAACAAAACAAAAGCACAAGTCCACAACTACATAGCTCCAGTTTCCCTAAACAGATTTACCCATTCAGTAAACATTACATGTACAAAGAACTTAAAATAGTATGAGATTTAATGTTAAGAAATAAAATGTAGGATCTAAAACGTAATCTATAGCATAATCTCAAAAATGGTTTAGAAATGACATAATAATACAGACATTTGTGGGTGGTAGGATTATGCATATTTTTATATATTTTTAAATATATTTTTCAAAAGCTTCCTATAAAGAATGTAATTCTTTCCCAATTCCAAATCTAGCTTAAACATAATTTTACAAAAATTATTCTCTCAGAATGTAAACTAGTACCACCTCTATGGAAAACATTATGGAGATTTCCTAAAGAGTTAAAAGTAGATCTACCATTTGATCCAGCAATCTTAATACTGGGTATCTACCCGGAGGAAAAGAAGTCATTGTATGAAAAAGACACTTGTACACATATGTTTACAGGACCACAATTCACAAATGCAAAGATGCAGAACCAACCTAAGTGGCCACTGACTAATGAGAGGATAAAGAAGATGTGGCATATATATATCAGGGACTACTACTCAGCCATTACAAGGAACAAAATAATGTCTTTTGCAACAACTTGGATAGAGCTGGAGGCCATTATTCTAAGTAAAGTAATTCAGGAATTGGAAAACCAAAAACCGTATGTTCTCTCTTATAAGTGGGAACTAAGTTAGGAATAAGCAAAGGCACACAGAGGGACATATTGGACTTTAGAGACTCACGAGGAGGAGGGTAATAGGGGACTAGGGATTAAAAGAAAAACTAGACATTAGGTACAAGGTACCCTACTTAAGTGCACTAAAATCTCAGAATTCACCACTACGTAATTCAACTAAGTAACAAGAAACCACTTGTACCCCAAAAGCTACTGAAATAAAAATTATTCTCTCAAAAATTTTAAGCCCTAAACTTCAGTTCCTATTGTTTATATTTACTAAGAAAAACAACAGAAAACACTGTTTTAAAAATGGTGGATTTTTTTAAGGTTAAAGGTATATAAGACAGCTGCCTAAGGAAACGCAGATACCCCTGTACCTTGTTGTTGTTGTTGTTTTTCACTTTTTTAAAAAACATAGAGATGGGATCTCCTTATGCTGCCCAGGCTTGTCTCAAACTCCTGAGCTCAAGCAATCCTCTGACCTCAGACTCTCAAAGTTTTGGGACTACAGGCGACAGTCACCATGCCAGCCAATATCCTTGTACTTTTAACTCATTCCTACAAGCCATGAATCCTCTAAGCATTGTCCCAGACACAGCACTGGCAAACTTCAATCGTTTTCATCAGAATATAAAGAAACACAGGGCATGCTTAACTTCAAGGTTGATATTTCCTTTGTGAGTAAAGCCTTGCCACAGATGAGAAGTCCTGAGGATCAAACAGGAAAACTTTAAGTTTAATTAAATCTAAAATCATAAAACCTAAGTTATATGACTAAGCAAACTCTTCAAAGCACTCAGTCAACATCCATGCTGGTAAATATTTCAGGAATGAAATGAAAAATAACTTTCAATTCTAAAAGTTCATCCATCATGCATGCTTCACGTTGTAAAGCAAATATTTCACAAAAATGAGTTTACAACAAAAGAACACCAATCCCACTTCTCCAACCCTCCATGTCAGGCAGTAAGCTTTCCACATTTGCTTACATTCTGAAAATAACTATTTTACATGCCAGGAATGCAATAGGCTTAAGCTGTCAAAAAGTATCATACTTTAAGTGTAACTGGGTAAGAACTATGGGCACACACACAATAAGCCTTCCAAAACAAGGGGAGGTAAATGAAATCTTAATACCTGTGTTTCCAGAAGCCCAGAAATGAAGTGCAATTCCTTATAATCTGTACATGTTTACATACCCATACAGACAATAAAATGTGTAAGGTAATGACAGGTCCATCTCTCCCCTTCCTTTTAGTGGGCATCTGACATTTCAGGGTTCAGAATCACATATCCTGGGTCCCAAAAGGTCCCCCCATTCCTATTCCAACAGTGCTCACAATAGAAAAAGATGAACTGATCACTGGACCCTACATCATCTCATATATGTATAATACTAGTCCACAGAGAGGTTGAAGATATGCCTGGTAACTCTATTCATCCTACCCCACAAGTTTTGTCCAAATCAGGCCATGCCTTCAAGTGGGCCAGATTGTCTTAAAGCTCCTGGCTTAATATTTAACTGATAGCAACAACCTAACGTTAGTACCTTAGTAACTAAAGGGGATGCAGCAACATGAAGCAGAAAAAGTGATGAAGAAAGAGATTAGAAGTTAGAGAACAGGGACTGGGCTCTTGATCCTTAAAATGTGGGTGATTTTGAACAACTCAACATCTCCAGATATTACTTTCTTCATCTGTAAAGTGGAGAAGCTTAAAAAGGAGGTCTTATAGATTCTACCTGTTCCAGAAACTATGATTCTCTTCCTAGACAGCTGCAGGTTGAAGAGACTCTCCTAGAGCTGCACTGTCCAATACAGTAACCACTAGCCATCTGTGGCTACTAAGTACTTGACATGCAGCTGGTCTGAATTAAAATATGTGAAATATGTAATCAGGTGCGGTGGCTCACAACTGTAATCCCGGCACTTTGGGAGGCCAAAGCGGCAAGTCACTTGAGGTCAGGAGTTCAAGACCAGCCTGGCCAACATGGTGAAATCTCATCCCTACCAAAAATAAAAAAATTAGCTGGGTGTGATGGCACACGCCTGTAATCCCAGCTACTCAGGAGGCTGAGGCAGGAAAACTGCTTGAACCCAGGAGGTGGAGGTTGCAATGAGCCAAGATTGCAATGAGCAAGCTAGATTGCACTCTAGCCTGGGCAACCGACTGAGTGAGACTCCGTCTCAAAAAAATAGTAATAATAAAATAAAAAATAAATATGTGAAATGTGAACATTTTGAAGACATAATATGAAAAAATAATGTATTTCATAAATAGCTTTTATATTGACCCCCTGTTGAAATAACATTTTGAATTTAGTGACAGACTAAAATTAATTTCGCCTGCTTATTTTTTTATGTGGCTACTTGAAAACTTTAAATTAGATCTAACGGTCCTATTATACCTCTACTGGATAATTCTGCTTTAAAGTCAGTCCTGGGCATGCATGACGCCCAGAGGAATTCACAGATAAAATGAGCCCAGGAATCTGTATGGAATACAGACCTGTAGGTTACCATTTCCATATTAAATGTGTAAAGGGCTGTTTTAAAACCATGCTTTTGTTTTCTTATTTTGTGCACCAACAATAAATCAACAGCAAATATCATTGGGTCTAAAAATAATTGATATCTGGCTGGGCGCGGTGGCTCATGCCTGTAATCCCAGCACTTTGGGAGGCCGAGACGGGTGGATCATGAGGTCAGGAGATCAAGACCATCCTGGCTAACATGGTGAAACCCTGTCTCTACCAAAAATACAAAAAAACGTAGCTGGGAGTGGTGGCGGAAGCCTGTAGTCCCAGCTACTCGGGAGGCTGAGGGAGGAGAATGGCGTGAACCCAGGAGGGAGGCAGAGCTTGCAGTGAGCCGAGACCGTGCCACTGCACTCCAGCCTGGACAACAGAGCGAGACTTCGTCTCAAAAAAAAAAAAAAAAAAAAAGATACCACTTCATTTATGCTATGCCTGAATCCTAATTATCAACTGTAGGCCTTAACAATAATCCTAAGTGGATGTGCCTTTATGCAGGCACTTGTGGCCTTTTTGTTTTCTTTGAATTAAATATACAAAGTAATAATTTATCTTACTTCATAAAAAGATTATAATCTCCCATTTTTTAAAACACATTTGATATTAGTAGGAATAACTAAAATGAACTCGTATGAATAGACCATTTTTATTTCATTGATATCTAACTAGGAACGTTGCAACTAATTTTTGCAATCTGTATCAATTTGTTTAATATATTTTAAATGAACAAAGAAGCAGAGATAGTTTCTAGAGAGCTTATTTACTTAAAAATACAACAGATATTAATCAATAAAATATTAATAAGATTCAGGTGAGTCGAGAGTGAGTACTCAAGTTCTCTTTTCTCACAACGTATTCTTGGAGTGCCAACCTTTTCAGTTCAATGATTTTATGCAAAGGTATACATCTAACTGCCTGCAAAATAAACTACTGACTATTTTAAATCAGATAAAGCAAACAACAGCCCCCAGCTCTGCAATCCAAAGCCAGCAAAGGTCACCCATTTCAGACTGGGTTTGAAGCATAGCCAGTTATGATAGCTCAAATATTTTCAGATGTATGAAAGCAGAACAGAATTCAGAAATATACATTCTTTGGCAGACAATTTTTTTAGAACCAAGTTTCTCAAATTATATAATACAAACTATATGACTATTAGAAAATTATGCATGAATTAAAGGAGATTTATTTAATTTTCAAATTCTAATATAATTAAAATTTTCAAACTTAACTATATGGGCTTCACGGGTGAAAAAAAGTATAATTTAAAAATATGAGCAATATAATATGACAGAAATATACATTCAAACACTCTTTCTAATTTTTCATAAATTAACAACTATTTGAGACATGCACAAATTTTCATGTGTTTTTCTGAAGGTGGTATCCAGAAGTGATAATTTTCCTGACAGTTTAACATTTTTTAAAGACATGCCAAGATTTAAATAATGTAGCTTTTTGATTACTCTTTTTTTTTGAGACAGAGTCTGGCTCTGTTGCCCAGGCTGGAATGCAGTGGTATGATCTCGGCTCACTGCAACCTCCGCCTCCTGGGTTCAAGGGATTCTCCTGTCTCAGCCTCCCGAGTAACTGAGACTACAGGCATGCACCACCACGCTCGGCTGATTTTTGTATTTTTTGTAGAGACGGGGTTTCACCATGTTGGCCAGGCTGGCCTTGAACTCCTGACCTCAAGTGATCCACCCACCTCAGTCTCCCGAAGTGCTGGGATTACAGGTGTGAGCCACCGTGCCCGGCCTTTTTGATTACTCTTAAAACTGCGGGATCAAAATGAAATGTTAGAAAGTAAAACCAACAGCAGAAAGTAAAACCAAGAGCAGCTTCTGAGGAATCATATTTTAGACATTTCTTTCAGACAGATTCTGTAATGTGTCAAACTATTGGAACATATTTCAACTAAATATTTAAGTGAAGACAAAATCCCTACTACAAAACCTCCAAATACTCTAACAATGATGATTCTATCAGGCCTACTCAGAACTACAGGTTTTCCCCACATCTTGATTTCAAAGCATACTTTCTGTGACGTATCTTCATTTAATCACTTTTAGAATAATTGAACAAGAAAATAGGTAAGGAATTAAAATAAATTTTAAAATGGCAGTCCCATTCTTACTGACATAAATTTATTAAGATCAATGTTCCTTTTTGCATAGATCTTCCCATTCTGTTTCAATAACACCAGCAAGCATAAACAGATTTGAAAAGCTACGCAGCCACAGAAAACAGGTTCAGCATGACAGACAGATCTAGCTCAAAAGAGGTGCTCAGTGTCAAGCTCTTTTCTAAAAACCTCAAAGCTTGTTTTGTCTGCTGTTGCTTTCAAAGAACAAGCACAACAAAATTGTTTTGAGGAAGTCTCTAGATCAAACGAAAGACAGTTAACCAACAGGGAGAGTAAACTGACTGCCACTGCTGTCCACACAGGGCCACAGAAATCATTGCTTTGTTCCATCACTCTAGCTGGAAGGCCTTCCCAGGAATGCAAGTCTGAACCATCTAGAGTTCTCTCAGCCAGAATGAAGGCTCAGCTCTTGGATGTTTCTACCATAAAAATGAGAAAGCATTTCCTACCTCCTCCTCTGTCACTCCACAAAGATGTGCTTCCTGTGTGGCTGGCTAGCAGATAAGAGAAGGTAAGCAAATCCCAAAAGCCTACTCTAATCGCTCACGGAGAATCTTAGCTTTGGTTCAGAACGTTAAGTCTACCCATTTTCCTCTATCCCTTTATGGTACTGTATTTCTTCTACATCCCAGAATGCCAGTTGCCACTCAATATCCTACCTCTCCTTTACCCTTAAGAAGAGAGCCGGAAATGTAATTTCTGATAGCAATGCTCCCAGCTAATAGAGCACATTTACATGCTCCCTTGCATCGAGGTGTCACTATCTGGCCCATGAGATTAAGCAGACCTTGAAAAGGACTTCTACAAAAGCTCCTAAACCTAACTGAACCATGAATATCAATGCCTCGTCCCCATTTTAGGAACATTTAAAAGTACTCCATTTCTAAGAAAATGAAGTTCAAACTCATTAAGGGCATCCAAAATTTATAATTTCACACTGTCTCCTTCACTTATTATACCCCTGGGCTTCCCCCTTTGAAACTCTACACCCTCGCTGTTTTTTCTGTCTGGGAAGCCCTCCCCACCCCAGTTCACCTTCACACATCCTTGAAACCTAGTTCAAATTCTGCCTGCCTTCTCTGGGAAGAGTTTGTACCTCCTCTATTATAGCCTTTGGCACACTGTACCTAATTATTTCTCCGTCTCTTTCTTCCTCCACTGGACTGCGGAATTCCTCAAGGCACAGACTGAGTTACCTTTCTATTTACTCACAGCCCCACCCAGATTCTAGATCTCCTGTCATAACTGAAACACAGAATCCATGCAGTATGTCCATAAAATGAATAATAATTTCACAAATTCAAAATGAGAGAAACAATAAGATAGTAAATTTTTTTTTTTTTTGAGACGGAGTCTCGCTCTGTTGCCTAGGCTGGAGTGCAGTGGCACGATGGCTCACTGCAAGCTCTGCCTCCCAGGTTCACACCATTCTCCTGCCTCAGCCTCCCGAGTAGCTGGGACTACAGGTGCCTGTCACCACGCCCGGTTAATTTGTTGTATTTTTAGTGGAGACAGGGTTTCACCATGTTAGCCAGGATGGACTGGATCTCCTGACCTCGTGATCCACCCGCCTTGGCCTCCCAAAGTGCTGGGATTACAGGTGTAAGCCACCGCACCAGGCCATAAATTAGTAATTTTTTAAACATCTAACTCCAAATAAATGTCAACATCACAGAAGTCAATCACAAATGCCCTGAGAAAACTTGCAGTAGAGACATAAAAGGGGAATGCACAATCCAAATATTCAGCTAAACATTCTGCATTAAACCTTCCCCCTCATCTGCACACAGAAGAATCACGGGCTTAGGCTTGGCTTTGTGTTCAACCTCTGATAGAAATGAGCAAACGAGCAATGAAGTCAACATGTCAGATTGCTTTGTAAATCTAAATAACTTCGCATGTGATAATAAATTCTAAGAATGCATCCAATGTCTTTTTCTCTGCAACAACAAGACACTAATATTTTTTTCTCATCTCATCGGCTATTTATTAAATCAATAAATACAATTAAAAACACATGCGCATAAGAAATACTCTCAATAAACTGAAGGGATGCTTCCCATCTGTGTCCCTACAATATGACCCAGAAAATTCACAATGATATAAATTTAACCTTTGAGTCTAGCTCACAAAAGTGAAGTGAAATATCCAAATAGCAAATACGAAGAAAGGAACTACCAAGAAACAAGGAAAGTCAGCCTCCAATTTTGTTCATTTAAGTATACCCTCTCTGCCACCACAACATTCATTATGTTTGTCCTGGACAGCTCTAATGGCCATGCTGATTGATACTCAGTGTTAAGGCCACCTCTGTCCAACAGACAGAGGTGGCTTCTACTCTGTTTCAGCCAAATACTCACATGGCTACTCTATCATCACCTGGAAATCTCCCAGCTTCCCTCAGGAATTCCCCCCTCTCCTATTTCACTGAACAAGCAGGAATAAGTGATTCCAAAATTGCAATTTTGTCTCAAATGTACTCTTAAAAGTGAAACCCTCCACAATTCAACTAGCAGCAGTTCTGTAAGCTGCCTTTACATTCAAACACCCTATGGGTTAGCCAAGAACGCCCCTCCACAACAACCATAGAATTTTTATATTCGTTTTACTTCTGTTGCATTTAAATTTTCTGGATTCTGTGGTATAAGAGGATTTAACACTTGACACAAAACATTCAAAATAAGATTGAGAAAATACTAGCAAGATACAAGGCTAATCATAATGACCTCAATTAGATTTTCAATTCCTGTCAAGTTAATGGTATATAGTAGTATTGGCTTCAAGCTCTTCAAATTGAAAAATACAATTCTTTTAGATAACAGAGGTAATAGAATTCAATATATTTTTTTAAAGGGCCAATTTTGATCCTTGTCACACTAAACACTAGCTGTAAAATGGCCAAAAAAGGAGCCAAAAAAAAAGACAATGACAGAGAAATTTTCATTTTCATGCCACTAAATTTAATTCCAATACACATTTTCTTTCCAAACTCTACTAACTTCTTCACACAAAATTATGTCTAGGCACCCTCTATTGAAAGTGTCCCAATCAATCAGGGCATGGATGAAATATTTCAAAAATGAGGCATTTTTTCTTTTTGCAGGCCAACTGAATTTTTGAAATACAATTGCAAATGACTGAACGTGATGTATTGACAGTATTTATGAAACCTTTTCACAATAAAATGTTCCAAAAAGAGGCTGAAAAAAAAGAATCTTATTTAAAAGGCTTTAATCTTCTTTCTATGCTTGTTCGCAGTTTCTTAAATGTTGAGAAGGTTGCACAGCTGTTCGAATCTTCAATCTGAACGTAATTCTTTATCACCACAACATAGAATTTCTAGAGAACTCATTTATTTAGTACATACAAAATGTAAGGCATTATCATGAGTGATCAAACAAATTACTGTATAGAAAAGTGTGTGATCACAATCAACACTAACTTCTCTCTCCCACCACTTGTTTTCAACATTTAATCACCCAAAGTAGATCTTCTGTCTACAATTATTCTTTTACAATGTAGTAAATATATAGTTCCTTCCCCCAGTTATCTAAGTTTACCTTCACATACTGAAATGATCAGAGAACTTTGACAATACTACAGAAACTATTGCATTCACAACACACATCCTTCTACGTAGCATTCTCTTATATTCCTTACCCAACTTAATTTTTTCCAAGTCACTTCCTTCCTCCTTTTTATTCTGTCTACCCTCTTGGGGGCAAGGACCTCGAAAATATTTGTGAAATGAAGGAGTGGCCCTTTCTTGGTTGTACCCCTAAGAATCTAGGTTTCTTTGTGTATGAAAATAAGCTAATTTCCACAGAAATTTGGCTTTAATTTTAAATTGCTAATCAATTTAATATGTAAGTATCTATGATTAATTATTCTTAGAATAATTAGTCTGCATATTTTCACATTTCTATGGGAGTTTCTTAGGTACTCTTCAGTTATATCCTCAAACTAATTTACTGTAATGACAAAATTATATTTGTGTTAAACCATAATAAGCAATTGAGAGCATCAGGATGGAGAATATTTGCTACTACATATCACTTTTCATATGATGGGTTTTAATGTTAGTCTCTGAAGACTTAAGCTAAGACTTCAAAAACTTTGCATCGGTTTTAAAGGCTTAATCTTTGAAGTAGATGAGGATTTTTTTTTTGAAAGATAAAAAAATCAATAAATACAGTTAAGAAACAGTGCTTATCCATCTTTATTCTATGAGCCTATCAATTCAATTATAAACAAAATAACTGAGTAATGATATTTATAAAAACAACATTGGCCAGGCACAATAGCTCACACCTGTAATCTAGCACTTTGGAAGGTCGAGGCAGGAGGATCGCTTGAGCCCAGGAGTTCAAGATCAGCCTGGGCAACATAGTGGGGACCCCATCTCTACAAAACATTTAAGAAATTAGTCAGATGTGGTGGCACATGCCTGTAGTCCCAGCTACTCTGGAGGCTGGGGCAGGAAGATGGCTTCAGCCCAGGAGGCCACGGCTACAGATCACACCACTGCACTTCAGCCTGGGTGACAGAGTGAGGACTTGTCCCGAAAACAAACAAAACCAAACACAGTATCAATATGCTTTTGAAAATTCATCCAATAGTAGGAGTAGATATAACAAGTCCTTTTTTAAGATGAATAAACCTTTAATGGATAAAGCCATTTTCTTTACTTTCTCTTAAAAATAAAATTTATGTTGCCTCACTAATTTTACTGTGAAATAACGAGCACACAGACAAGGAAAAACTAAACAAATGAGTTTGTAGTAACTTGGGATGAGGGGCAGGTCTAAAACACGTTAAGTCTATCTCAACAGTAGGATTAAACCTCTCATTTTTCTTCCTGTAAAATATCTCCAGGGGGTCAAAATATATTAGTTATTCAATGTTTGAAATTTAGCAAAGCAGCAAGAGTAATAATGCATTTCTTCACTTAACACAAATGACTTTTCTTTATGCAACAGATCTCTTATTCTCATAAGTATCTTTTATGGCTGAAAAGTAATTTATCAGTCTGTATCATCTAGGATGCCTTACATTTTTCAATGAAGACAGTATGTGGCTTTCTGGAAGCTAATGAAAGCCAAATTATTAAATAAGAGACAAATTATTAGATTCTCTCAAAAAAAGCATCAGGCAAAAAAAAAAATTCCTATCAAAATCACCAAAAAATTGGCCAGGTGCAGTGGCTCACACCTGTTATCCCAGCACTTTGGGAGGCCTAGGTGGGTGGATCACTTGAAGTCAGGAGTTCGAGACCACCCTGGCCAATGTAGTGAAACCCTGTCTCTACTAAAAAAAAAAAAAACAAAAACAAAAATTAGCCAGGCGTGGTGGCACATGCCTGTAAACCCAGCTATTCAGGAGGCTGAGGCATGAGAATTGCTTGAACCCGGGAGGCAGAGGTTGCAGTAAGCCAAGACACGCCACTGCACTCCAGCCTGGGTGACACAGTAAAACTCAGTCTCAAAAAAAAAAAAAAAAAAAAAAAAAAAAATCACCAAAAAACAAAAGAAGTGACAATTATTCTTGTTGAATCAAATTTCTCATAAGAAAACCTTCTGACTTTGTGAAGAAAAAAAGGAACCATCTGGAAATTAAGAGATTCAAACACTGTTTGGGGTCCATCATTAATAAGACCTTAAGGAATCACTGCACTTCATTCATCAGGATCCATTAATTTACAAAACAGGCTTATTCATCTTTTCCCTTTTCCAAAATGTTTGTCCTATTTATTCCTCATCCCTGCTCATGAACCCTCCACTCCTGCTTCTGGAACCATCTTAATCACTCCTCACTGTATCTACTGTAATCAGGATGTTTATCACAAATATGGCTTCTGTCATTACACATCCTCGTATGTGAACCCACTTCTTGTCTTCTTGTCTTTAGTTGGACAGGACAATTATAATTACATGAGCTGGTTAACAAAAACCCATGTGAATTCTTTGGGACTCTGCTTCTTGATTTTTCCCTGCGTTCATCATCATTTAACCACAGTATCACCAGTTTCATACACTCAAGGCTTTCAAATATCCTTGGCCTGCTTTTGAAGCTAAAAACCTTTTATTTTTGAGCAACATATGCTGATTTTTAAAAAAAATATATAATTTCAATTAAACAGCAGATCACTATAAAGTTTTAAAGATGTAACAGCCATAACATGGCTGGTTACACAAATTCACTTTACTGCAGCTGGGCGCGGTGGCTCACGCCTGTAATCGCAGCACTTTGGGAGGCCGAGGCAGGCGGATCACGAGGTCAAGAGTTTGAGACCAGCCTGACCAACATAGTGAAACCCCGTCTCTACTAAAAATATAAAAATTAGCTGGGCATAGTGGCACACGCCTGTAATCCCAGCTACTCGGGAGGCTGAGGCAGGAGAATCGCTTGAACCTGAGAGGCGGAGATTGCAGTGAGCTGAGATCGCACCACTGCATTCCAGCTTGGGCGACAGGGCGAGACTCCGTCTCAAAAACAAAACAAAACAAAAAATTCATTTTATTTTGAAACTGATTTCCTAGAGAAATGCCGCATTCTCAAGCAATCTGCTTTTTGGTTTCCCTGTCCTTGGGTGAACATAACTTCAAGCTTCCATATTAGGACCAAAATTCTTTTGCTGGCATTTGAAATCTTCCATTTCTACCCAGATTGGCAAAGCCTGTTTATTCGTTTTGCTAGCAAAGATTCTACTGAAAACTAAACCAAGTCTGTTCACAGTTCCTTGCACATAGCTGATAGCCAACTAATAGTTAATAATCAAGCCAGTGTATAAACTTGCTCAATATTAGACATCTGTGGCAAGCTGCCAGTGTGTACAACATTAAAAAATAGGTCTCTGGGAGGCCGAGGTGGGCAGATCACTTGAGGTCAGGAGTTTGAGACCAGCCTGGCCAACATGGTGAAACCCCATCTCTACTTAAAAAATACAAAAATTAGCTGGGCATGGTGGCGAGTGCCCATAGTCCCAGCTACTCAGGAGGCTGAGGCAGGAGAATCGCTTGAACCCAGGAGGCGGAGGTTGCAGTGAGCCGAGATCGCGCCACTGCACTCCAGCCTGGGTGACAGAGGGAGATTCTGTCTCAAAAAAAAAAAAAAAAGGTCTACATCCATGTTATGTGGAAAAAAAGAAAAAAAAAAACTAGGTATTTCCCATTTGTGTAAAAAATGCTTATGCTTTTTGCACATTTCTGTACTGTTTTAAATTTTTCAATGAGCATGAATTATTTTCATTTTTCAAAAAACCAATTGAAATACACAATACATATTTAATAAATGAAATTTTATAACATGTATTCTAAAAATTGTATCTGAGATACCATGTGCTTTTTAAATTTAGATCAAACTCATAGACAACAATCTGTCAATTTCCTGCAATAGTCTTAATTGGCCAATAAGTAATTTGTCAATAAGTGAAACATCATCTAGATTTTTAACTTTCAACTATGCAGGAAACTTACATATACCCATTGTACATCAACATCATCACCATACATAGCAGCAACTAACACACAGTGCTTATGCTATGCCATCAGGTTACATATATATTAACTCACACACTGTTTCAAGCATTTAACAAAGATATTAATTCGATCCTCAATAACTAGAAGTACTCATCCCATTTTACAAAGGAAAAAACTGAGGCACAGAAACTTGCCCATGGTCACTAGCTCAAAAGAAACAAAGACAGAATTTATGCCCATGCATTCCTGCCCTGGTCTAAACTCTCCTGATTAGTGTGCAATGCTGCCTTCTCTACATACCTGAGAAACACTCAATGACTCAGTGTTATTGGCCTAACATCACGCCTGGCATCAAATTCAACATTATAAATTGAGAACAACTCTGGTTCGTTCTACAGAGGTGACATTTTTAAAAACCTCTCATCTTCCCCATTTTAACTATCTTCTTTCGTAAGATACTGTGAGTCTCGCAAGGTTCAAGCTAAATCTCTATTGCATGTTTCTTCAACATGTAGCCACACAAAATAAACCTAAATAAAATGATCTCTTAGGTTTCTATTTCAGCAGATTTAATACATGTGAACCTGAGACTTCTGTGGCCCTCTCTGAATACTCAGCTAGCTAATCTACTAAGCATCCCTGTTTCATAAAGCTATTAATTGATGCACATATCCAGGCTTTTAAATTTAAATATGTGAATTTATTCCTAGAGCAATCATTGTACTCCAGTTTTTGCCAGATTTCTACTTCTGAAGAGGTACCACTCAAGCATAATAATAATCTATAACCAAGATTAATCTAAAGAGGAAAATTTGCCAAACTTTTTTTTCCAAGAAAAATACTAGTGTCCTCACAGTAATGATTATTTCTTAAGCCATCCACACTAAACTGAAAAAATAGTTACATAACATTTCCCCCTTTACTAAGCTTTTCACTTGCAAAATCAGCTTCAGGGTTTGAGTTCTGTCTGCTTTTCTTCTTATACAACAATAAAAAAAGAAATACATATTTTATTGATTAAACTTGCTACTCATTCTGGGGTGTGCTCATTCCTTCCCCTGCCACCTTCTGTCTTCTGTGTACAGATGAGGGTGTTATCTGTACACTGGCTGTGAGACCCACAGGGTGACAGCGTTTCCAAGGGTTTGCAAAAGACGGCATTTCCCATCCATCCCCACTCCATACATTTGCATCTGAGCTCTCACTATGAAAAGGAAAAGATTTTTTTATTTCTGTTTTCTTCAGCCCTTTTCTGTCTACAAAGCCAATCTCCTCTGTTCAACTCATCGGAACATTTATACTATTTTACAGAATAGTGTTGCCTGAATGTAGAATCACAACAAAGCCAGTTGAGATCTTTAAATTAAAAAAAGAAAAAAAAAAGATTTCATAATCAAGCATAGTCAAGTGAAACAGAGAGAGGTTGAAAACCACCAGACAAAAACAAAACACAAACAGAAAATGTGATTTTTCCCTATCCTCCTCGTTGCCACTGTTCATCTCATACTCTGCCCATCAAGATGCTACTGAAGCTCTCTGGTCCTGCATTCAGCCCCTTACCTTTGACCTCTCAACTCCTTATTTCAAATTCCCTACTCCTGTTGAGAATACCCTGCACCAGCATCTGTCACTCAAGTGAGAGAGAGAGAGAGAGAGAGAGAGAGAGAGAGAAAGAGAGAGAAAGAGACAGAGGGTGTGTGTGTGTGTGTGTGTGTGTGTCTGTCTGTCTGTCTGGTAGAGGCAGAGAGGAATGTAAACAAATATTGTATATGCAGAAACTTAACCTCCAATCCCCAGACCTGGGATATAAACCTGGCTGGAAATTTACTACCAGGAAATGCTCCAGGATTATCTATGATCTCATCCCATTGTTCCTTACTTTTTAAATACAGGAAGTTTTCTCTGTAACATATTTACTCAGTATACCTAATCTGTATTTTCCTTTTGGTATTTTAGTACATTCCACTTTGTTTTATTATCATGTGCATGTTTTATTTACCCTGCAAACTTCCTGGGAGTAAGGGGAGGGAGGAGGGAAGGGGAGGTAATGAGGTATGCAGTCGAACTAAACCTTACATTCTGGAAGCTTTAAATTTAAAATGCATCTGTACAGGTTTATCTTTACATTTGTAATTGATAGAGATTTTAAAAGAAATGTATTAATGAAAGATGCTTTGTAAGATTCTCAAGGTAATACAATTTGCAGAAACAATGTACATTTCTACTGAATTTAATGCACTTCTCACTGATAGTTTAGTGGCCACGTGAAATGCAAGTAATAGCTATGCTTATTTCCAGAATGACTGACAACATTCATACAAATATCTGTAGAAGACTCTAGTATGCAAAAAACAGTAACATAAAATAGAGATCCTCTAGCAACAAGACTTAACATAAAGACAACCTCTCCCATTCCTTCAAACCAATATTGTTGATCACGTTATTTCTTTTTAATTTTTTTGAATCAGCCATTCCTCATTTAACCTCGTGAACTTGCATGTTCCTTTTCATTTCCTCAGTCAGGACCAGTATTATTCCATCTAGTAACTTCTCCGCAGTACTAATAGCCTTGCAAATGTCGTTCAGGAGCCTCTGCTGGTTCCGGTGACAAGAGAAAAGCTTCTGCAGTCTGCCAGTTATCATGGTTTCTCATCGATTAGCAAGAACCGTGACTCCTTACAGATCACCATCAAACCTGAGCTTTACTATTCTGTGTGTCGGCTTCTACCTTTAGCGAGGTACTAGTCAGTAGCAGCAGGTTTCCATAAACTATAAATTAGCACTACCACAAAGGTAAGATGATTGTGACTAGGTTAAACCCTCAACAGAGGGAAATAAAACTTAAGAGGAAGCTAGATTTAAAAATAAATAAATAAATAAATATTAGGGTAGTGAAACATCATATAGATTAGGGTTTGTTAAACTCACACCTCTATCAACATACCAGCCAAAATCATCAACCCAGATAATAACCATGTTTCCCCCGATAGCCAAGGCCCCATTATCATTGCCCTTATTCATTTCTTTTCTACAGCCACCTGCAGCAGACCTATTTTCTAAGCTCTATAAAAGACAGTCAACTCGTAATTACATCTTTTCAGTGGACACAGAGAGAACCAGATAAACCACCCTCAAACCTCAGTAGACTGAATTACCTACCCTTCTACCAACACTTCGCAAAATGGCATAATGTGAATCTCACCTCCACCCTTTAAAGGAGTTAACAATAGCTACTGAAAAGGTCCCAAAAGATGGCAGAAAGAGCATATTAATGCAATTAAACAGACCAAAAACTAAATTCGAATCTGCCTACATGCTTCCTCTTTTTATACAGAAAGAAATATTGCTCAACAAAGTTACATATTTAAGTTTTGACAAAAGCTTCAAAAATACGGTTATCATATGCTTTTAATTCCTTAAATGTATGGTTTTTAATCTGTAGTAAGACCATTCGGGAAAACTGGAATAATTCTACAAATAAATGTAAGTAAGTCATGAGAGAAATCAGAATTCTCTTAGTTAAGTGCATTTTTTTAAAACATGGAAAACGAAATTCTTTAACTCTTAAAACAACCTGTCTTAACTAGCCCTAAGGTGATTCCTGAGCCACTTGTGGGTAAAAATCAGAAGAGAAAAAAGTTCAATGACCTTGCAAATTAGAAACTAAAAAACTAATGGTGTGATAGTCTGTACAGCCTCAGTGGAATTACAGGAAAACATCTGCCCGGAAATTGCTTTTTTTCTTTTGGAAAATTACTAGGAGGCTGGGGGAAAAGAGGGGAAAAACGGGTAAGGAAGGTTGCAAATGTTAAGATGCCAAACAGGAACCCAACCGAAGTCCGAAGTGAAATACAGCCTCCTCTGGCCCAACTGTCATGCAAACAACTTCTAAGCATCTTCAGATGTAAAGAAAAACAGTCATTGTGCACAGGCGTTAGCTGAATGTTCGAGAGTTGGATGAATGGGGAAGACTTGTTATACACCTAGTGGTGGGTGGATTTCACTAGGCTGCAGCCTCCACACAGCTTTTCTTTGCTGCACTGCAGAGGCGCCATCTTCTCCGTCTTAATCTTCACTCAATTCGATCCTTTTATCTGCACCCTAAAAAAAAGACCCTTCGGACCCTCCCCAGCATCCTGTGCCCCCAGGGGAACTAAACCAGAGTCCCCAGAGCTGCCAGGGAAGAGGCCGCGCCTTAATCAGACAAACGCCTCCTTGGATGCACAGGACAGAGCCCGTGCCTCCCCACCATCCGCCACTGCCCTTTCCAGACGCACATCCCACTCTCCGCCTTATTTCCTCCCCGCCAAGGACTTTACAGCCCAGCACAGAATTAAGCCTCGGAGGTGATCCGAGGGTGGGAAGCAGAGGGGCCCCGAGGCTCCGCCAGAAGCCCCGGCAGCGTCTCTGCCCCCTCCCAGGCGGACGCGCAGCCCCGGGAAGGGAGCCGGGCGGGAGCCTCGGTGGCGCACTGAGACTAACGCGGCTCGGCCCACGGCGAGGGCGGGGTGTCGCGGCTTTTGTTCCCGCGGACCTTCTGCCTCTCAGACAGAGCTTAGGGTGCGAGCGAACTCCCGGGACGTCCAGACTTGGGGAAGGCGCGGGGTGGCTATGGGTCTCCGACCCCTCCCATTTCTCGCAAGTTACACAAAAGGGAGACGCGGACATGCACAAAGTTTGCCTGTGGAAGGCGGTGCGCGACCCCGACGCCGGCTCGGGCTAGGGTCGCACCCAGGCTGCCGCCGCCAGCAGCCGCGAAAAGAGGTTGGAGCAAGGAAGGGGGATGGGGGTGAGAGAGGAAGGTGAAACGAGGCGGAGAACGCAGGGAAAAGCGAGGGGCTCCTAGCTTCCTGGGCTGTCCCGACTCCTCCTCCTCCTCCCCAGGGCCCAAGAGAAAGGAAAGGGCAACGATTCAAGAGCGAAGGACTGGCTTTAGGGACGCTGCGTTTTCGGTTTTCCCCACGTGCTCCTTCCCCCTTCCCCCCTGTCTGAATGTCTCTCGCCTCCCCCGACCCCCGCTTCCAAGGCAGGGACTAAGTCGGGGTCTGGGCTCAGGGTCGCCCCCTACCCTTCTCGCCCCGGGCTGGCGCGGAACCAGGGAGACCAGCGCCTCGCCCGCTCCCTCTCAGCGGGCCGGAGCGCGACTCCCTGGGGCAGGGCTGGGCCGAAAGCGGGGATGCGCTGGACGTCCGCAAGCGGGGGCGGAGAGGAGAGGGGTCCCATTGACGGACCCCCGGCTTCTCTGCATTAAAGACTTGGGTTAAGGTCTTGGGGGGTATCGCGTCCCCACCGTGCAGCCTCCCCCCGCCTTCCGAGGCGCGGCACCCACCTCCAGCGCCCGAGCCGTCCAGGCGGCCAGCAGGAGCAGTGCCAAACCGGGCAGCATCGCGACCCTGCGCGGGGCACCGAGTGCGCTGCTGTGCGAGTGGGATCCGCCGCGTCCTTGCTCTGCCCGCGCCGCCACCGCCGCCGTCTCCCGGGGCCCCCGCGCACGCTCCTCCGCGTGCTCTCGCCTACCGCTGCCGAGGAAACTGACGGAGCCCGAGCGCGGCGGCGGGGCTCAGAGCCAGGCGAGTCAGCTGATCCGGCCCACCCCGCTCGGCACCCGAGAGAGACCCCTAGCGGCGCCGCCGGGGAACTGCGCCCGCTCGCGCCGGGAGGGGCCCTCGCGCCCCGCGCCCACAGGTGCACGCGCCCTTGGCGCCGCCTGCACCCCACGCGCCCCCTCCGCTCCCCGGCCGACGGCCCACCTGGGCTTCGTGAACAGTGGGAGGGAGAGTCTGGGGCCAGGAGAGGGACGGTGCAGGATCAGGGAAAGGTGAGTCCTAGGACGCTGAGGCTCTAGAAAAGTCGAGAGCGCTCCTGCTCGTCCCCGTGAGCTTGAATCATCCGACCCCGCAGGCCTCCCGGGGGTGTCGTATAAAGGACTGCTGCTAGGGTGCGTTTTTATCCGCATTTCGTTTTTTCTCTCGGTTTGGAGAGGTGGGGCAGGCGTTTCTGGAAGAGAATGAGAACGAGTGAAGCTTAAAGGAAATAGGATTTTCTTTGCTTGTTGAGACAGCAAAACCTCATTTTTTAACCCCCAACGTCAAAAGCAGGCACGAGCAACCTGGAATTTCTATCTTTAGAACGAACCAAAGGAGCAAGGCGCAGGACCTGGCAAAGAAGCGGCCAACCCATTTACTTCTTCTTGAAAGCAGGGTTCTGGGCTTGGGTTTTGTTTCTTTCTTATATTTTTGTTTGTTTTTGGTTTTGTTTTGTTAAAGGGGGTGGTCAGTGTGGATTTTGCGGGGCGGGGGGTCTTTTTTTGTTGTTAAGCAGGGATGTAACATCCATCTGAGTTGGGGAAGAAGGAAAAATTAGGAGAGATCATTCGTATTCGACCCCCGTAAATGAGGACTTCTGACCTCAAACGCTGCCCTTGTTCTTCATTGTGTCTGTCCTGAATTATAGAAATGAACCTTCTGCCATGCCACTTTCTCCTGGATTAAACACAAACCGTCCACTGTCCAGTTAGTGTCCAGATAGTTTAGAATGCTCTAGAACTGCCCAGATATATCCCCTGCTCTTGACCTGAAGTAGCATTTAGTTACCAAGCCACAGCCCACTCCACACAGGGCTTGGAGCGAAGGACTGAAGCCAGGGAGTGCTCTGGCCCTTCTGAGGGCTGCACTGCAGCCTGCCTTCTCTCCCTTGCTCATTGCGCTGACAAGGGTGCCTAGGCCCGGGAAGGATGGCTCAGCCAGCGGGGTACAGACTTCCTTCCTGGGAAGTCATTTCTGTACCAGCTCCCCTAAATGTTGTCTTGTGTGTCTTTTCCCGCACTAGGCATTCAGTCTTGACTCTTGGATTACTTTTGCCCCTGAATGTCCTTTGGATGTCCTCAACAAATAAGGACAAATATTTATTGTCATGCAGTATTTGTTTATACGCTTCATGTCATTTACTTCCTACAAAAGCCAAAGAGGCTGTTACTATTATTCCTATTTATACATCAGGAAAATGAAGCTAATGAACTCCCAAATCTAATAGCAAGTAAGTGACATGAAGCTGGGACAGCAGGGAAAAGCCTAAAGTGACAGGACAAACCCAGTTGTTCACTTTCTGCACCACATTTACCCACCGCAATTCCGTATTTGTTCCGGGTCTGCATGAGCAAATAAGGCAAAAAAGAAGGTATCTGAATGCAAAGAGAAACGTGGTCCAAAGCTACAAATCTTGCAGAGTCCACTGCAAAATGCAAACGTGAGACCCTTTGTTACATTATTAAGAATTTTAAGGCCGGGCCTGGTGGCTCATGCCTGTAATCCCAGCACTTTAGGAGGCCCAGGTGGGCAGATCACCTGAGGTCAGGAGTTCTAGACCAGCCTGGCCAACATGGTGAAACCCCCATCTCTACTAAAAATGCAAAAATTAGCCGAGCGTGGTTACTCCTGCCTGTAATCCCAGCTACTCCAGAGGCTGAGGCAGGAGAATCGCTTGAACCTGGGAGGCGGAGGTTGCAGTGAGCCAAGATTGTGCCATTGCACTCCAGCCTGGGCGACAGAGCGAGACTCCACCTCAAAAAAAAGAAAAAAAATTAAATTAAGAATTTTAAGATGGCAATGGCAGAGCGTTAAACCAAGCATGGGGCTCCTCCCACCGCAGGGCCTGTGAGACTCTCCAGGGTTGCATGCCCATGAAGCCAGCCCTGGGAAGGAGGAGGCAACTTTAAGAGTGAGGGACTTTTCTTTGGGAGGCTGAGGCGGGCGGATCACGAGGTCAGGAGATCAACACCATCCTGGCTAACACGGTGAAACCCCGTCTCTACTAAAAATACAAAAAATTAGCCGGGCGTCGTGGCGGGCGCCTGTAGTCCCAGCTACTGGGGAGGCTGAGGCAGGAGAATGGCGTGAACCCGGGAGGCTGAGCTTGAAGTGAGCCGAGATCGCGCCACTGCACTCCAGCCTGGGCGACAGAGCGAGACTCCGTCTCAAAAAAAAAAAAAGAGAGTAAGGAACTTTTATTGAGCATGAAATTCAAAATTGTAGAGATGAGATCATAATCTATAAAAATTAAAGTTCTTAGATTTAGCAGTTTCTCTTTCCACTGTTGAAATTCACCACACTGACACATTCCCTGGTCAAGATGTTCCTGGGGGAAGATGATTATGCTGCTGATTGCGTCAGAATGATGGACATTGCCTGCATGTTCTCTGGTTCCTTCACTACTCAGAGATCCTGATGGCTTTTTGCTTTTCAGCCACTAGCTCTGTTCTGCATTTAATGCCATTTCCTGCCCTGAGGTGTCTTGCAGATCCTCCAAGCAGAAAACGCAGGAACATCCCTAGTTATAACCCTACAAAGTTGGGGAAGGAACCAACAACCACTTGTCTGCTGGAATTCCTACAACAGCATCCCCATCCTAGTTTCAAGTGTCTCCATTTGTGAGATATTCACTGGCTCTCCAGACTGTGCATTCTATCTTTGGGCATTTCTGGTTACTAGAATGTTCTTATCCCATTTAAAGCTCACATCCCCCGCCTTTAAACTCCCACTCAGATATCCTTGTATCCCCAGTGACCAAGCAGAATAATTCTTTTCCACACTTCAGATCTTTACAAATTTGCCAGCGGTTTTCATGCTACTTCTTCCTCTAGAGTCTTCTCTTCACAAGGTAAAACAGGCACTTCCTTCAACAGTTGCATAATGGCATGGTTTCTGGTTCCTTCCACACCTTGGCCATTCTCTAAATGTGTTCTGGCTTGTCTGTGTCTTTTTACAGTACTCGAAGTGTGCTCTGACTGCTGCAACATGGGAGATGTTGCCCACTACTCTGCCTGGAGCCTCATGTTGCATTTGACTGTTTTAGTAACCGCATCCCACTGCAGACTCCAATTGGTCCAGATACCCCATTTCTATTTTATGCATAGTCTGCTGGGCCGCGTTTCTGTCGTCTTGTGTTTAGGCTGTTATCTGTGCCCTATAAATATCACCAAAAGCAATCGTTAAGTCTGAGCCAGATGAACCCTGCAGGGGTGCCATAACTTACCATAGACTGGATGGATCAAACACCAGAAATGTATTTCCTCACATTTCAGGAGGCTGGAAGTCTGAAATCGAGGTGTTGGCTGAGTTGGTTACTTCTGAGGCCTCTCTCCTTGGCTTGCAGATGGCCACCTTCTCCCTGTATTCTCACATGGTCTTCCCTCTGTGTCTTACTGTGCCCTAATCTCCTCTTGTTATAAGGACAGCAGATATTGGGTTAGGATCCATGCTAATGACCTCATTTAACCTTAATTACATCTTTGACCCTATCTCCAAATATGGTCACATTTTGAGACACTGTCGGGTTAGGACTTCAACATATGAATTTGGGGGTGGGGGTACATAATATGTCCTTCTTTAGAACAGCTAAGACTTATTCTATAATCCTGTCACTCATCTTTGGCCTTTATTTCCAGTGACCTTTCTTTCATTTTCAGTCTGAAGATCATTCAACTCAACAGAAAAAAAAAAAATAGAAATGGAAGAGATCTACTTTCTGTCTGTCCTGCATCAGCATTGCATCATGATCCCCATGCAGCTGGCTTACCCCTCCCGCAATCATCAGGCTCTGAAAAGAAAGAAAATGACCTTTTATACTTTCCTTTAGAAAATTTTGTCAAAGCTTAAACATTGACATTTAATGACATTTAAAATCTGTATTAGTTTACTAGAGCTGCCATAACAAAATATCACAGACTGGGTGGCTTAAACCAAGAAATTTATTTTCTCACAGTTCCAGAAAAGTCTAAGATCAAGATGCAGATAGGATTGGAATCCTCAGAGGTCTCCTTGGCTTGCAGATGGCTGCACCCTTGCTAAGTCCTCACACGTTCTTTCCTCTGCACAGGTACCTCTGGTATTTCTGTGTGTCCTAATCTCCTCCTCTTACAAGAATACCAGCCAGATTATATTAGGGCCCACGCCAGTGGCCTTAATTTAATTAGCTCTTCAAAGGCCCTACCCAAATACAGTCATGTTCTAAGGTACTGGGGGTTAGGGCTTCAACATATGAATTTTGGGGGAACATAAGTCTATAACCAAACCTCTAAAATTCCCCTAAAATTATTCTCACATTTTAAGCTACTCTGATGTCCGTCCTTGGGAGTGGATTCCTTCTACTTTTTATTCATGTCCTTTTGAAATCAGAAACCTTCCTAGGTAATTAGAATATTTCTTTAGCTGCTTCCTGGTTGAATATATGGATTACTTAGCCACTCCAGACTTCCGGTAGTGTTGGGAATTACCATGCTTTCCATGAAGATGTGAGCTTGCTGGGTATCATGTACGTTGGCAGACGCAGTGACGTATTTGAGAGTTTCACATGCCTCTTAACCTGTCTTTCCTCCCAGAACCGTGTGCTAACTCCTCATCAAAGACCAGAAGTAGATCCTGAATTGTATTCATTCTCATCTCTTTCTACCTCCTCCAAGACAGAAGGACATGATTAACTTCTTTATCTCAATGTCAGCCTTCAATAGCTACAAAAGTCTAAACTGTAAATAGCGTTGAAGCTTTGCATAATAAAATTCTTTTCCCCAGTGATGGGCAGTTTTTCACATAGTAACATTCTTTTAATCTTTTTTTCTTTTTAATGAGTAGACATAAAGAAATGCTTAAATAAATAATTATCAACTAACTTACCTACATTTAACTACACATACCTAACAGACCTGAATATAGGCAGAGGATGTGACATTTTACTTACCCTTTTATTAAAGTTACTGCTTCATTTATTGGTCTTTACTTCACTAGTGCATCCATAAAATGTTTACATTTTTTTAAACAATAAAATACTCTTGAAATTAGTCCTTCTCTGTAATCACTACATAAAACTGCTTTAGAGACAGCCTTCAGATCAACTAAATTATATTTTACAAAATGGCTTAGGTATTTCAGTAGTAACTCTATGGAACAACAGAATTCACTGTTTAACCAGGGACCAATATTGGCAGCTGGCTTCCATAACTTGTTTGAGGAATGTAGTAATTCCAAGGTTGCTGCAAGGACTAATGTACAGGAATATTCCTGTATTTTATGGAATAAAAAGGAAGAACGAGAGGAGAAAGAAATAGATAGTACATACCAACCCCAGAGGTAGGGAGTATGAAAATCAATCAAGTAGCCAGAAGATGTAATGGAGCCATGTGGGTCTTACGTCAGTTCTCTTCCTTAGAGAACTTTGGATAATAGGGCAACAATATGCTCTGGTGGAAAAGAACTCAGGCCTTGAGAAAGCCTGAGCACTACAGTTTCTGAAGAATGCTCCTTTCATTAGGTGGTGTGGTGATGAATTGTAAAGGCACCCAGCACAGTGCCTGGTTTACCATAGAAATCGGTTCTTTTTTCTTGAGAGAACAACAATTCGCAATAGCTGTCACTTAAGTGACCAGCATAATCCTGGCTTTGAGCTTGCCAGGGGCTGCCAGTTAGAACAATGGCTGTCAACCCCGTGTTATTTATTTAGATTTCCTAAGTAATGTTTTGCTAATAAAAGCTCCAAATTTGTGAGTGATTTACTCTTGTTTTATTTATTTAATAAAGTGGCACGATTTATTAATTTAATTAATTATTTAATTAATTATTAGCAGTGGCACAATCTCAGCTCACTGCAACCTCTACCTCCTGGGCTCAAGTGATCCTTCACCTCAGCCTCCAGAGTAGCTGGGGCTACAGGTGCGCACTACCATGTCCAGCTAATTTGTGTACTTTTTGTAGAGATGGGGTCTTGCCATGTTATCCAGGTTGGTCTTAAACTCCTGAGCTCGTGATCCACCCTCCTTGATCTCCTAAAATGCAGGGATTATAGGCATGAGCCACTGTGTCTGGTTGATTTATTTTAATTTAAATAAAAGCAACTCGAGGTTAGCATCATATCAGGCTACTCTCAGTTGTATTCTAGTATCTCTCTTGAGTGTGGGAGTAAGGGATGGAGCTGTAGCTAGTTTGCTGAGAACTGGACAAAACCCTGACCACTCCCTAGGGCGTGTGCCTAGGATGTGAAAGATATGCCTCCTGTTTTCAGACGGCACCGTGCTTGGAAAGGCTGCTTGCCAGAGGTGTTGAAAGGATGCCACTGGGCTGGTCCTGCACAATGGAAGACCACATCACATGCTCCAAGAGAGTCACTCCCCAGAGCAGCTGCAGGAAGCCACAGCTCTGTGGCCTGGGATCCTTGCCACACTGAATATTAGTGATAGACATTGGAGCCGAGGGGATCTTATGCTTCAAGGCAGCTGGATCTCTTTTTTACTGGTCAAATCATACCTAAGGATTGTCTTTCGTGTCCTAGAGACTTTGATGAGTAATTCAACTTTTAAAATCCAAGTGAAGGCTGTGGCTAGAGAAGCATGAGCTAAACCTAAAATGAATGGGAACATTACAGTCTAACAAGCCTTGAGAATTCAGGTTCACATTCCCTAAAGAAACAACATCCTGAATGATGAAACAAACACACAAACCAACCAACAATTTGTGATGTGAGATACCAAAACAGACACCCCTTTATCACCTAAGATGGACTGTAAGGTTAAGGAAACAAAGTTACCTACAGGGTTAGGGTTCGGGGACTGGCTGGCATGACCAATTTCTCAATTTCTATGGCTCTAAACTCCCTAATAATAGGAACTATCAGCCCCATCCTGTGATTTACAACCCAGACCACTACAACTCTAATTGGAATGAGGACCAGCCTTACAAACATTCTTTTCTGATAAGCAATTGCAGACCTTAAGCCAGTGTCAGCCAGTTTATTAGAGGCTGTGCACAAACTGTCTTTGGGTCCTGTAGTTCACCTTTTGATGTAAAGAGCCAAATTTTACCTCATTTTAACACTAAAACCCTGCCCCAAAGTGTACATGGGATGTCACATACATATTTACCCATTGCACATGCACTCAGCTCCCCTCATAAATATGTATATCTTTTCCTCCAAACCTGCTGAATATGTATGACTCCACTGTGTGAAACAGACCCTGTGAGGCATGAAACCCAACTGTCCTTCCTCTCTTTTGAAGAGAGACCACATTCAGCATACACCGAAGACTATGTCTTCCGGGTTTGCAAATTGATATTGCCAATAAAGCTCTCCTTTCTGTTATTTAGCCATCACGATGGTCTTTTGAATGATAAATTCACAAAAGCACCAAATCATTCAATATACAACGTTGTCCCTGAGCAAACACCCAACTTTATCCCTTAAATAACATTTTTGTCCCGTGTGTAATTTATTCAGTTAAATATAACTATTAGAAATGAAAGTGTTCAGTATTGGTGGATCAATAAAAAATTTTTATATTCTCACTTTGGGTGGGAATTAAAAAAAAACTGGTTCATTTGCTCCCATTAAGGAGCTAATGTTTATATGAGAAAAATATCTGGGCAAGAAAAAGAAAAGGCACAGTGAAAAAAGTACATCAGTAAATACAATTTAGTATAAAGTATTTGTGCACATATATGTGAATTCATCAGAAGAAAAGTAAGGATCAGGCCTGGTGGCTTGTGCCTATAATCCCAGCATTTTGGGAGGCCAAGGCAGGAGGATCACTTGAGCCTAGGAGTTCAAGACCAGTTTGGGCTCAAAATGAGACCCTGTCTCTACAAAAAATAAAATATATTTTTTAAAATTTAAAAATTTTGGCCAGGCATGATGGCTCACACCTGTATTCTCAGCACTTTGGGAGGTCGAGGTGGGTGGGTTACTTGAGGTCAGGTGTGGTGGTAGGCACCTGTAATCCCAGCAACTCAGGAGGCTGAGGCAGGAGAATTGCTTGAACCTGGGAAGTGGAGGTTGCAGTGAGCCGAGATCGTGTCACTGCACTCCAGCCTGGGCGACAGAGCAAGACTCCGTCTGAAAAAAAAAATAAAATAAATTAAAAAAATAAAAATTTTTTAAAAAGAAAATGAGAGTTACAGACCTGTAGCGTTGGAAGGGTGAATAAGGGACCTTCAGAGGAGGTTTTTTGTTTTTGTTTTTTATCAGGGTATTTGATAACAACCATTAAGAAAGAAGAAAGGAGGATGTTCGAAGGAGAAACCATGTAAATACATCAAGAGTGTTCATGATGGGGGTGGTAAGTGGGAGTTAGCTATAGGAAGAGGTTTTTTTTTTTGTTTTTTTTTTTTTGAGACTGACTCTTGCTCTGTCACCTGGGCTGGAGTGCGGTGGTTTGATCTCCACTCACTGCAGCCTCCCCCGCTGCCCCGGGTTCAAGTGATTCTCCTGACTCAGCCTCCCGAGTAGCTGGGATTACAGGCACGCACCACCAGGTCCGGCTAATTTTTGTATTTTTTAGTACAGACAGGGCTTCACCATGTTGGCCAGGCTGGTCTTGAACTCTTGACCTCAAGTGATCTGCCTGCCTCAGCTGCCTAAAGTGTTGGAATTACAGGCATGAGCCAGCACAACCGGCCAGGAAGAGGTCTTAATGTTAGAAGACCTGAGGAATTTAGGTCAGATGGAATAGGCAGCAGTGGGCAATTAGTCACTACAGATTTACCAATCATGATCTGACATTTTAACATTTCTAGAGGCTTGTCCACGGGGAAAGTATAGGGAGATTCAGAGGATGAAAAAGTTGAGATTGGGAAGAGAAGGAAGAAGAATGTGCCAGAGGTTCCAGGAATGAACATAGATAGGGTCTGTGAAAAGTTTGTGAAAAAATCACACAAGGACATCTTATTACTAATAAGGATGCCTAAGGATTACAGTATGTCAGGCTGAGGACGTATACAGACGGGATCTCTGAATACTCATGAGTTGTATTGGGTTAACATTGCATGTCACAAATGAAGAGGTGAAAGAGTAAGGGGAAGAGAAAGGAGGGTTTGTACCCAGTTCTGTCTAACCTGGACACCTTTAGTGACAATGCTGAACTGCAAAGGAGAAAAAGTGATTTGAAAACTTTTTTTTTTTTTTTTTTTGAGACAGAGTCTCAGTCTTGCTGTCTTGCCCAGGCTTGAGTACAGTGGCGTGATCTTGGCTCACGGCAACCTCCGCCTCCAGAACTCAAGCTATCCTCCTGCCTCAGCCTCCTGAGTAGGGGTGGGATTGCAGGCACACATACACCTGGCTAATTTTTTTTTTTTTTGTATTTTGTATTTTTAGTAGAGATAGGGGTTTCATCATGTTGCCTAGGCTGGTCTTGAACTCCTGGCCTCAAGTGATCCACCCGCCTCAGCCTCCCAAAGTGCTGTGATTGCAGGCATGAGCCACTGCACCTGGCCTGAAATCTTTTTTTTTAAATGAGGGAAATAATAAATTTAATGTTCATTTTGTAGGTGGAAATCAGAAGTACATGCAATAGGAATTAACTTGAATATGATGCATAAAGTTTGAAGCAAAGGTGAGTGATAGATGAACATTGGTGATGTAACTCCGGAAGTTGTCTGTCATAACTGATGACTTATCCCCATCATATGTGCTGAAAACTACTCAGATGAAGTTAACAACCTGATATTACAAAATAAGCATATATATTTTGTGTTTATAAGAACCTAATAATCATCTGGAGACTTAGTACTTGGGGGGTGAGCTATAGATAGCCCTGTGTATCAGGGTTTTCCAAACAAACAGAACCAATGGGATATATATAGATATATAAAGACACTTCTTATAGGAATTGGCTCAGGAGATTATAAAGGCCAAGAAGTTCCAATATGTGCCCCCTGCAAGCCGAAGAACCAGGAAATCCAGTGTAATTCTTGCATGTGAAGCTGAAGGGCTGAAGAGTGTCTGCTGGTATTGAAGGCTCAAGAACCTGGAGCTCTGAAGTCAAGGGCAGGAGCAGATGATGGATGTCCCAGCTTCAGAAGAGAGAGCAAATTTGCCTTCCTCCACCTCTTTTATGATTCCTATGCTCAGTTAATTGAATGATGCCCACTCACATTAGTGAGGATGGGTTTTTGATACCCAGTCTATTGATTCAAATGCTAATCTCTTCCAGAAATACTCTCACAGACTCTCCCAGAAATAATATTTTACCAGCTGTCTGGGCATCCCTTAACCCAGGATGGGCTAAGAGACAAGTGGACACATAAAGTTAACCACCATACCCTGTAAATATGGTATGAGAAGGGATCGAGTCATATTTCATATCAAGATTATTTTCCAATGCATAGATGCCTTGGAATAATACTTCTTATAAAATAATGAGTAACATTTTCTAGCACAAGTTCCAAACTGTGTACCATGGAACCCTAGCTCGGTCATATGTTGCTCGGTATTGCATGCATACCCGAAAAGAATTCTGTAATCAAGTAACTTTGAGAAATAAGAGGTTAAACAAAATTAAACAAATACCTTCACTTTAAAATGCATACAATTCTTTAAGATGATAATCTGCATTTTGAATTTTAAAGAGGGTAGGTAGCTTCAGTATGTAGCATCACTCCCTCTCCCTATTTCTTTTTTCTTTTTTTTTTTTTTGAGACATAGTCTCTCTCTTTTCCCCAGGCATGATCTCTGCTCACTGCAACCTCTGCCTCCAGGGATCAAGCAATTCTCATGCCTCAGCCTCCTGAGTGGCTGGGATTACAGGTGTGTGCCACCATACCCGGCTAATTTTTTTTTTTGTATTTTTAGTAGAGATGGGGTTTCACCATGTTGGCCAGGCTGGTCTTGAACTCCTGACCTCAAGTGATCCACCCACCTCAGCCTCACAAAGTGCTGGGATTACGTGCACACACACCTAGCTAATTTTTGTATTTTAGAAGAGACGGGGTTTCACCATGTTGACTGATCTCGAACTCCTGACCTCAAGTGATCCACCTGCCTGGGTCACCCAAAGTGCTGGGATTACAGGCATGAGCCACCGCGCCTGCCTGGCACCTCTCCCCATTCCTTGTTTTTGTTTGCTGCACCAACTCCTAGTGTTGCACAAAGCATGCTTTAGGGAATGTGGTTTGGAAGCATTCGAATCAAACCCTTGAATTTTTTTAGACCCTTGTAGAAGTGAAGGTTTATAGTGTACATTTTTGTCAAAGCAGATGGGTTCTTTTCACTGAAAGTTGTTTTCACACATGACCTTGAAAATAAATTAATAAAAAAAAAGTAGAAATATTAGGCTGACAGACATTTTAAAGTAGGGCATAAGATGCCATAAAAAGCCTTTTGAAAGTTTAAAATAGGAGTTAAAGTGTGTGTTATATGGAAGATACCAGATTAGAGTCTTTGAATATTTATTATATAAATGTGCAAGTATATGACCAGCTTCTTCCCAGTTTGGGGGAGTAATGGGACGGCATTCAGTTCACATTTGAGACTGCTTCTCTTTAAATTTTCGTAAGTGAAAAGGAAGAAGGATCACTAAGTTTACAAAGACAAGTCTCGGAATAAGACTTTCGTTCACTGTATTGCCTTTAATCATCTGGTGGGAGGGCCCTCAAGAAGTGGCCAAGGCCCTATGAAGATTGGTGAAGAGTTTCAAGGAGGAGAATTGAAGGAGACAGCTATGGGATTAATTTTGAGAGATGCCTTTGCTGAAATGTCTCATAAAATATACATGGAGAGCAAGGGCACAAGGAGACAGAGAACTCTCTCGGCCAAACAATAAATCAGAATTTCCATAGTTTTTCTCTGTTAGTCCTTATTGAAAAATTTGTCTACTGCTAATGGTGTCAAGTAGCCCTGCCAGCCCTCATTATTGTACCAAAAAGCAAAACGAGGAAAAGGTTTAGGGAGCTAGGTCTAAAAGGAATATCATTTCTGTTTCCCAACAATTAGTGAAAACAGATTCTGTTACCAAAATCTTGCAGAACCAAGGGTCCTAATACCCACTTTATTCTGGTGAGTTTGTCAGTCGATAAAAAATACTAACAGGCCAGGTTCTTTTCTCAGATAAACAGTAAAATAACATGGTTATAAACAGAAAAAAAATGGTGAAAACACAAATCTTGGTGTATTAGGCCATTCTTGCATTGCCAAAAAGAAATATCTGAGACTAGGTAGTTTATAAAGAAAAGAGGCCGGGTGCAATGGCTCACACCTGTAATCCCAGCACTTTGGGAAGCTGAGGTGGACAGATAACCTTAGGTCAGGAGTTCGAGACCAGCCTGGCCAACGTGGTGAAACCTCATCTCTACTAAAAATACAAAAATTAGCTGGGTGTGGTGGCATGCACCTGTAATCCTAGCTACTCAGGAGGCTGAGGCAGGAGAATCACTTGAGCCTCAGAGCAGAGATAGTGCCACTGCCTTCCAGCGTGGGCCACAGGATGAGACTCCATCTCAAAAAAAAAGAGAGAGAGATTTAATCAGCTTATGATTCTTCAGGCTTTGCAGGAAGCCTGATGCTGGCATCTGCTTGGCTTCTGGTGAGGCCTCAGGAAACTTACAATCATGATGGAAGGTGAAGGGGGAGTAGGGATGTCACATGACCAGACCGGGAACAAGAGAAAGCATGGTGCCACACACTTTTAAACAGCCAGATCTCATGAGAAGTCACTCATCACAAGGACAGCAACAAACAGATAGTGCTAAACGATTCATGAGTAATCCACCCCCATGATCCAATCACCTCCTACCAGGTCCCGCCTCCAATACTAGGGATTACAATTCCACATGAGATTTGGGTGGGGATAAGTACACAAACTATATCATTCTGCCCCAGCCCCTCTCAAATCTCATGTCCCTCTCTCATTTCAAAATACAATCATGCCTTCCCAACAGTCCTCCAAGGTCTTGACTTGTTCCAGCATTAACTCAAAAGTCCAAAGTCCAAATTCCAAGTCCAAAGTCTCATCTGAGACTCATCTCTTTCCATCTATGAGCCTGTAAAATCAAAACAAGTTATTTACTTCCAAGATATAATGGGAGTACCAGCACTGGGTAAACATTCCCATTCCAAAAGGGAGAAATCAGCCAAAAGAAAGGGGCTATAGTCTTCATGCAATTTCAAAACCCAGCAGGGCAGTCATTAAACCTTAAAGTTCCAAAATAATTTCCTTTGACTCCATGTCCCACATCCAGGGCACACTGGAGCAAGGGGTGGGCTCCCAAGGCTATCAGCAGCTCTGCCTCTGTGGCTTTGCAGCTGGGTACAGCCCTCATGGCTGCTCTCACAGGTTGTTGAGTGCCATGGCTTTTCTAGGCACAAGGTGTAAGCTGCTGGTAGATCTGCCATTCTCAGGCCTAGAAGGCAGGGGCCCCCTTCTCACAGCTCTGCCAGGTCATGCCCCATTGGGGACTCTGTGTGGGGTCTCCAGCCTCACACTTCCCCTTGTCACTGCCCTAGTAGAGGTTATCTTTGGAGGCTCTGCACCTGCAACAAGTTTCTGCCTGGGCACCCAGGCTTTCTTGTACAGCCTCTGAAATTTAGGTTGAGGCTGCCAAGCATTCTTTAATCTTATATTCTGTGCACCTACATACATAACACTGTGTGGAAGCCTCCAAGTCTTATGGCTTGCATTCTCCAAAGTGGCAGCCCAAACTGTACCTGGGTCCCTTTGAACCGCAGCTGGAGCTGGAGTGGCTGGGATATGGAGAGCAGTGTTCCAAGGCTGTGCAGGGCAGTGGGGCCTTGGGCCTAGCCCACAAAACCATTCTTTCTTCCTAGGTCTCTGGGTCTGTGATGGAAGGAGCTGCTGCAAAGGTCTCTTAAATACCTTCAAGGCCTTTTCCCCATTTTCTTGGATATTACCATCTGGATTCTTTTTAGTTATGCAAATATCTCTAGCAAGTGGTTTGCTCTGCAACCTGCTTGGATTCTTCCCATGAAAATGGGCTCAGCTTTTCAACCACATGGCCAGCCTGCAAATTTTCCAAACTTATACGCTGTCCTTCCCTTTTAAATATGAGTTCCAGCTTTAAGTCACTTCTTTGCTCCTATATCTGAGTCGGGCTGCTAGAAGCAGCCAGGTTAATTCCTAAATGCTTTGCTGCTTAGAAATTTCTTCTGCCAGATACCCTAGGTCATCACTCACAAGTTCAAACTTCCACACACCCCTGGGGCATGAAGAGAATGCAGCCAAGTTCTTTGCTAATGCATAGCACATGTGATCTTTGCTCCAATTCCCAATAAGTTCCTCATTTCCATCTGAGACCTTGGCAGGCCTGGACTTCACTATTCATATTTCTGTCAGCATTTTGGTGACAACCATTTAACCAGTTTCTAAGATATTCCAAACTTTTCCTCATCTTCCTGTCTTCTGAGCTCTCCAAACTCTTCCAACCTCTGCCCAGTTCCAAAGTTACTTCCATGTTTTCAGATATCTTTATATCAATGCCCCCATTACTCAGCACTAATTTTCTGTGTTACATCGTTCTTGCATTGCTGTAAAGAAATACCTGAGATGGGTAATTTGTAAAGAAAAGAGGACTATTTCCCTCACACTTCTGCAGGCTTTACATGAATCACAGTGCTGGCATCTGCTTGACTTCTGGTGAAGCTTCAGGGAGTTTTCAATCATGGTGGAATGCAAAGGGGAAGCACACACATCACCTGGTGAAAGCATGTGATGAGCAAGAGAGAGAGAGCGGTTGGGGGTGTTGCCACACACTTTTAATGAGACCAGATCTCATGTGAACTCAGAGGGAGATCTCACTTATCACCAAGGGAGTGGCCCAAGGCATTCATGAGGGATCCACCTCCATGATTGAAACATCTCCCACCAGGCCCCACCTCTAACACTGGGATTATACCTCAACATGAGATTTAGACAGGGGCAAATATCCAAACTCTACCACCTGGTTTTCAGGTCATTCTAGAGCACTAGCAGCTACCCTGGCTTAAATCCTGAAAAGTATCAAATTTATGTGTTTTTGACCGACATAAGAAAACAGGTCAAAGATTTGCTTAGTCCATTGTACCATTTCTGCCTTAACTACTTGGGAGCTACTGGGAATTTTCTATTTTTAAAATCAGGTTGTATCAAGATTGTTTGGTGTTTTTCTTTTTTCTTTTCTTTTTTTTTTTTTTTTTTTTGAGACGGAGTCTTGCTCTGTCGCCCAGGCTGGAGGGCAGTGACGCGATCTCCGCTTGCGGCAAGCCCCACCTCCCGGGTTCACACCATTCTCCTGAGCGCCTCAGCCTCCCGAGTAGCTGGGACTACAGGCATCCGCCACCATGCCTGGCTAATTTTTTGTATTTTTAGTAGAGACGGGGTTTCACTCTGTTAGCCAGGATGATCTCGATCTCCTGACCTCGTGATCCACCCACCTTGGCCTCCCAGAGTGGTGTGATTACAGGCGTGAGCCACTGCGCCTGGCCCTGTTTGGTGCTTTTCGACCAAAATCTCTAAACAACTCCAAAAGCCATAAACAGACTAAGCTAGAAAAAGGCAGACAAAGATATTAGAAACTAAGCTTGAGTAACTCAAGTCTTTAATGCTGTCTTACTAGTCTCAGTAATTCAGCACCTAGGAAACATCCACAGAAGACATTTTATCAATCAAAACAAAGAAGCTCGGGCAAGCACAGTGATGTGTGCTCACTCATAGATAGACTTGTTTTTGAAATTAGTCTTCAGTGATATTCATTCAGTGTGAGATTTAGTCTCCATAAACCGAAGCACAACACAACTTGAAGCTTTACTGGACCCTTGGGAGTGAGAAGCAGTTCTGTAATGTGTCTGTGATTAAGTAGCAGTTTCATCCTGATTTTTCAAGCTCAGAGCTCTCTACCCTTTCACATGCTTGAAGACAAGATGTTGGACAACTGGCCCAGAGGATGTTTTCCTCTCATTTCTGTAATCTTCTGATAAGGAAGGAACGATGTGACTTAACATGACTCTCCTTCAATCTGAACGTGCCAGTGTACCTTCTTTCCCATCCCACTCCATATATACTCTGTGTCTGTCTTTTGTTGTTGTTGTTGTTGTTTGTTTTTTGAGACAGAGTCTCACTCTGTTGCCCAGGCTAGAGTGCAGTGGCATAATCATGGCTCACTGCAGCCTCAACTTCCAGGGTTCAAGCAGTCCTCTCACCTCAGTCTCCTGAGTAGCTGGGACTACAGTTGGGTACCACCATGCCCAGCTAATTTCTTCAAATTTTTCATAGAGATGGGGTCTCATTATGTTGCCCAGGCTGATCTCAAACTCCTGGGCTCAAGCCTCCCAAAGTTCAGGGATTGCAGGAGTGAGCCACTGTGTCTGGCCTCCGTGACTGTCTGAAGTCTCTCTTTCACAACTCTCTTACAGTTCCTGTTAGTTGAGGAAAAAAAATCTGGAATTACAGTGTTTACAACTGAAAGGGATGAAGTAGTCATTTAGGCCAAGTCTTTAATTTGATGAGGACTTACTGGAGAGCCAGATAAATGAAGTCCCTTGCATATGGTCATATGAATATTTATTGGCAAAGCTTGGCCTTTGTCCTCCTGACTTCCAGATCTCATTTCATCTTGTGGTGCTTCCAGCATCTGGCCACCTTGCTAGACCTGAGTCATAAAAGCAATGGGGCGCTAAGACCAGCCATACTATAGGAAGTGGTGACAGTTTCCTCATTTAAAGTTGGGTTGTCTTTCTAGAATCTTAGAGTTGGAACTCAACTCAGAAATCACCTGTTTGATCCTCCCACAAAGGCAGGTGTCTCTCTTGCAATATTCTTGAGACAATCATCTGGCTTCTGCCTCCTTATTTTCTATTATCGGGAGCCAGCTTCAGGAAATAAAACATTTCACTAGAATTTTTGTGTTGTTACATTTAGCTAAAATTTACCTTCTCTTCACTTCTGTCCTTACATCCCAACACTGCCCCATGCAGTAACACCAAATGCAAAGACAGACTGTGCTTTCGACCACAGGGCACTCCTCTAGAAGTGTTAAAATACTTATCCAGTATTTCCTCAAGCTTCTCTTTTTTTCTCAAAGCTAAATATCTGATTTTTCTAAACTGTGCCTTATAGGTTACAGTTGCTGGATCCCTTGTGATGCTGAACTTTGGATGTATTCCTTTTGGCAAAATGACTGTATCCTACTTATCCACCAATTTGACAGATATTTAATAAGCACCTACTAAGTTGCAGGAGATTTAAAAAATACAAGCATGTAAATAAGAAAATATACAAAGTGATATATAACAATACAGGCTGTGGAGAAAAATTAAGCAGAGCAAGGGGAGATGGAAAATTTGTGTATGGTTAGGAGCTTGGGACCTTGCTATTCTATTAATACAGTGATCAGGAAAGGCCCCACTGATGTAGTGAGCTTTGAGCAAACAAGTAAAGGAAATGAGGGAGGAAGACTTGCAACTGTTTGGGGAGAGAGGATTTGGGCATAGAGAATAGCTCCTGAGGCAGAAATAAGTCTGATGTGTTTGGAGAACAGCGAGGTGGCCCTTGAGGCTCCAGTGGAGGGCGTGAGTGGGAGAGTGGGAGGAAGTGAGGTCAGGGAGGTTGTTATGGGCTGAATGGTGTCTCCCCGGAATTCACATGTTGAAGCCATAAGCCCCAGAACCTCAGCACATGACTGTATTTCGAGATAATGTCTTTAAAGACCTAAAATGAGGTCACTAGGGTGGGCCATAATCCAATATGACTGGTTTCCTCACAAGAAGAGGAAATTAGGACACAGATGGGCACAGGGGGAAGACCATGTGACGACACAGGGAGAAGAGAGCCATCTATAAGCCAAGCAGAGAAGCCCCCAGAGAAGCCAATCCTGCTGACACCTTCATCTCAGCTTCCAGCCTCCAGAATTGTGAGAAAATAAATTTCTGTTGTTTAAGGCATCCAGTCTCTGGTACTTTATTATGGCTGTCCTAGAAAGCTAACACAGAGGGGAAAAGGGCCAGATAGTATAAGACCTTGAAAACCATTTTAAGTTCTTTGAGCAGAAGGGGAGCCAGTGAGGGTTTCGGAGCAGATGAAGGTGATGACTGGGCTCGTATTTTAAAAGCATCACTCTAGCTTCTGTACTGAAAGCAGTCTATGGGGAGGCAAGGACAGAAGGAAGAAAACCAGGAGGAGGCTATTGCAGAAATGTACATGAGGGTGGAAGGTGGTGAGGAGAGGGAAGTTTTGGAATATATTCTGAAGTTAGAGCCAAAAGGATTTTCTGATGAACTGAAATTGTGATGTGAGAGAAAGAAAGGAGTCAAAGATGACCCAAGGCTTTTGGCCACAGCAACTTGGAGAACGGAGTTAACATTCATTGAGATGGAAAGAACTGTAGGAGCAGCGGGCTTTTTTTTCCTTCTTCAACTTTTAAGTTCAGGGGTACATGTGGAGGATGTGCAGATTTGTTACATAGGTAAACGTGTGCCATGGTGATTTGCTGCACAGATCAACCCATCACATAGGTATTAAGCCCTGCGTCCATTAGCTATTTTTCCTGATGGAGCAGTGGGTTTTAAGGGGGAGGACCAAGAGTTCAGTATGGACACATTAAGATTAAGATGCCTACTCATCTTTGAGTTTGAAATGCCAGCTAGGCTGTTGGATGCATGAATTTAGAATTCAGAGGAGTGGTCAGGGTAAGGATACAGATGGTACTGAGTGAGATCACTTAGGGTGAAATGAGGACAAAAAGAAGGCTTTGGAGGCTGGGGATTGTGGCTCATGCCTGTAGTCTCAGCACTTTGAGAAGCCGAGGTGAGTGGATCACTTGAGGCCAGGAGTTCAAGACCAGCCTGGCCAACATGGCAAAACCCTGTCTCTACCAAAAATACAAAAATTAGCCAGGTGTGGTGGCAGGCATTGTAATCCCAGCTACTCAGAAGGTTGAGGCATGAGAATGGCTTGAACCTGGGAGGCAGAGGTTGCAGTGAGCTGAGATGGCACTACTGCACTCCTGTCTGGGCCACAGAGTGAGACCTGGTCCCCCTGAGCACCCCCCCAACAAAGTAAAGGATTTGGGATTAAGCCCTAGTGTACTTGGAAATGTTGAGGTTGTTAAGATGAGCAGGAAAAAGAGAAGCAAGCAGAGGAGGGGCAGCGAGTGGAGTAGGAAGAGAAAGAGGGTGGTTTCCAAGGAGCCAAGTCAAGAATGTGCTTCGTGAGGACAGAATGATTACTGGGTTGATGCTGCAGATACTGTGTGTCAAATAAGGTAAGGACTGCATTGTATTTAGTGATAGAGAGGTCATTGCTGACACTGACAAGAGCCAGTTCAGAATGGTGGGGACAGAAGTATGATTTGAGTGGGCTCAAGAGAGAGTAGGGGAAAGAAATTTGAGTCCAGCAATGATTAAAATATTCTTTGGGAAGACTTTTGCTGTGAAGGGAGCAAAAAGCTGAAGGTAGCTAAAGAGAGATACCAAGAGAAGGTAATTTTATTATTATTTTTTGAGACGGAGCTCACTTTGTCACCCAGGCTGGAGTGCAGTGGTGGGATCACAGCTCACTGCAGCCTCAACCTCCTTCACTCAAGCGATCCTTCCACTTCAGCCTTCTGAGTAGCTGGAACTACAGGCACGTGCACCACACCCAGCTAATTTTTTTATGAGCTTGAGCCTAGGAGTTCAATACCAGTCTGGGCAACATAGTGAAGCCCCATCTGTACAAAACAATACAGAAATTAGTGCTTGCTTCAGCAGCACCTATACTAAAATTGGAATGATACGGAGAAGTTTAGCACAGCCCCTGTGCAAGAATGACACGCACATTCATAAAACATTTCATATATTTGTAGAAGCACATAGGAAAAAAAATACAAAAATTAGCCAGGTGTGGTGGTGTATGCCTGTAGTCCCAGCTACTTGGGAGGCTGAGGCGGGAGAATCACCTAAGCCCAGAAGGTCGAGCCTGCAGTGAGCTGTGATTGCACCACTGCACTCCAGCTTGGGAGTGGAGTATCGCCCAGCTGGTCTTGAACCCCTGGGCTCAAGCGATCCTCCTGCCTCGGCCTCCCAAAGTGCTTAGATTACAGGTATGAGCTGCCGCACCTGGCAAAGAGGCTTTTTTTAATTGAATATGTGAAAATATATTTGTATGCAGAGGAGAATGATTCTGTAACAAAGGAAAATGGACAAAGCAGGAGAAGGAACAATTGTTGGAACAATGTCCTAGAGTATAAGAGAGAGTGGCACACTGAATACAAGCACAGGAGTTGGTCTTAGATGGGACTGACATCTCTAGCTATATTACCTTATAGACAGCCACATGTAGCTATTTAAATGTAAATTAATTTAAAATGAAGACAATTAAATTTTTTCTGGCTGGGCTAGGTGGCTCATGCCACCTCAGCACTTTGGAAGCACTTTGGAAGGTCGAGGTGGGCGGATCACGTGATGTCAGGAGGTCGAGACCAGCCTGGCCAACATGGCAACACCCCATCTGTACTAAAAATACAAAAATTAGCTGGATGTGGTGGCATGCCCCTGTAATCCCAGCTACTCGGGAGCCTGAGGCAGGAGAATCGCTTGAACCTGGAAGGCGGAGGTTGCAGTGAGCTGAGATCGTGCCACTGCACTCCAGTCTGGAGGACATAGCAGGACTCCATCTCAAAAAAAAAGAAAAAAAAAATCCGTTGTGCTAGCCATATTTCAAGTGTTCAATAGCTGCATATGGTTGGCGACTACAGTACTAGACAGCAGCAACAAAGAATATTTTGGTCATTACAGAAAGATCTGCTGAGCATGCCTGAGCTGAGAAATGAGGGAAGGCAGACATATGTATGAGCGCCTATGCAGAGAGGTGAGTAGATGTGGTTGCGGGGAGCTTGTGGAAAGTCTTTCCTGATTTCTTCTGTTTCTCACTAAAGGCTACTTAGGAGAAGGACCTGGAGCTTTGAGGAAAAGGTGCAGACTATATCTTTAGGAGATAGAGAGAGTGAGGGGACACGGGGAAAATGGCAGAATTGCAGAACAACTTTTAAGATCCACTTCAGGCCAGCACAGTGGCTCACACCCGTCATCCCTTTTTTAAAAACTTTGAGACAGGGTCTTGTGCTATAACCTAGACTGGAGTGTGGTGGAGCGATCTCGGCTCACTGCAGCCTCAACCTCCTTGACTCAAGTGATCCTCCCACATCAGCCTCCACTACACCCGACTAATTTTTGTATATTTTGTAGGGACAGGGTTTCACTATGTTGCCCAGACTGGTCTCAAACTCCTAGACTTAAGCAATCTGCCTGCCTTGGCCTCCCAAAGTGCTGGGCATAAGCCACCACAACTGGCCACACCTGTAATCCCAACACTTTGGGAGACCGAGGTGCGAGAATCGCTTGAGGCCAGTTCAAGATCATCCTGGACAACGTAGTGAGACCTCTTCCAAACAAAAAAGAATTTTAAAAGTTAGTCAGGTGTGACCGGGTGTGGTGGCTCATGCCTGTAATCCCAGCACTCTGGGAGGCTGAGGTGGGCAGATCACAAGGTCAAGAGATCAAGACCATCCTGGGTAACATGTTGAAACCCCATCTCTACTAAAAATACAAAAAATTAGCCACGCGTGGTGGTGGGCACCTGTAGTCCCAGCTACTCAGGAGGCTGAGGGAGGAGAATGGCGTGAACCCGGGAGGCGGAGCTTGCAGTGAGCTGAGATCGCGCCACTGCACTCCAGCCTGGGTGACAGAGCAAGACTCTGTCTCAAAAAAAAAAAAAAAAAAAAAGTCAGGTATGGTGGTTGTATTAGTCCGTTTTCATGCTGTTGTTAAAAGACATACCTGAGAACGGGCAATTAACGAAAGAAAGAGGTTTAATCAACTTACAGTTCCACATGCCTGGGGAGGCCTCACAATCCTGGCAGAAGGCAAGGAAGAGCAAGTCACATCTTATGTGGATGGCAGCAGGCAAAGAGAGAGCTTGTGCAGAGAAACTCCCATTTTTTTTTTTAAGCCATCAGATCTCATGAGACTTATTCATTATCATGAGAGCAGCACAGGAAAGATTCACCCCCATAATTCAATCATTTCCCATAATTCAATCATTATGGAAGCTGCAAGATGAGATTTGGGTGGGGACACAGAACCAAACCATATCTGTGGTGCTCATCTGTAGTGCTACCTACTTGGGGGGCTGAGGCCAGAGGAGCCCTGGAACCCAGGAATTTGAGGTTGCAGTGAGCTATGGTGGGCCACCACACTCCAGAGCCAGCCCATCTCTAAAAATAATTTTTAAAATATCCACTTTAGGTTAGTGATCTCTAATTTAGGGAAACCAATCAGCATGCTGTGTAGTTTTTTCCAACTTATGTTCACTGGCATGAATGCACTGTTACAGTAGGTAGAAAGCTGGGGCTAGTCCAATGAGTGGTTCTCTATCCTGGCTGCATGTTAGAATCACCTGGGTGAGTTATTTAAAAAAAAAAAAAAAAATCAGAAGCCTCATCCTTGTAGCCAAAGGATCTGATTGAACATTCTGAAAATGGGGCCTGAGCAACGAACAATCTATTTAAAGCTCCCAAGGTGATTCTAACACAGACATGCTTTTTTTTTTTTTTTTTTTGAGACAAGGTCTCCCTTTGATGCTCAGACTGGAGTGCAGTGGCGCCATCTTGGCTTACCGCAACCTCAGCCTCCCAGGCTCAAGCGATTCTCCTGCCTCAGTCTCCTGAGTAGCTGGGATTACAGACGCATGCTACTACCACCTGGCTAATTTTTTTTGTTCTGTTTTTTTTTTTTTTTTTGTATTTTTATTAGAGATGGGGTTTCACTGTGTTGGCCTGGCTGGCCTTGAACTCCTGACCTCAAATGATCCACCCACCTCAATCTCCCAAAGTGCTGGGATTACAGGCCAGATACGTGTTTAAGAACCACGGAGTTAGAGTAAGAATGTGGAGGAAATGTGCAGAGTAGAGATGAAGGATGGGGAACTGTGTTACTGATGGATCATGGGTTCCACAGGTGCAAAGAAAGGCACTCAGGATTTGTGCAGGGATGGGGGACGGGATGAGATTGAGAAGTGTTCAAGGCTGATGAGCAATGAGAGATGGGCTGGGAATCTAGGGCTTCTTGGGTGACAAATACAAATTGGGTAAAGGGCACATGGAGATTTGCCATGCTGGTCTAAATCAGCACAATCAACATAAATGTAGTACAGATAATTTTAAATCTTTTATTGACCTTACTAGAAAAGAAACAAGTAAACTTAGTTTAATAGTATATTTTGTTATCCAATGTATGCAAAATATTATTTCTTTTTTTGTTGTTTTTGCAAATTTCTTAAAAAAAAAAAATACAGACAGCATCTTGCTTTGTCGACCAGGCTGGTCTCAAACTCCTGGCCTCAAACTCCTGGCCTCAAGCAGTCCTACCACCTCAGCCTCCCAAAATGTTGGGACTACACAAATGAGCCACCACACCCAGCCCCAAATATCATTTCAACATGCAATCAGTATAAACATTACTGAGATATTTGTCATCCTTGTTTTTTTATAGTTAGTCTTCCAAGTTTGTGTGCATTTTACACTTCAAGCACATCCCAGTTCAGAGCAGACACATTTCAAGCGCTCGGTAACCACATGTGCAGTGGACCATGCAGGTCTAGGTGGTGGTGATGAGGTCGCAAATGTTGGATGATCTCTACAGAACATTCCTTTCAGAATACAAACATACTATAATATACTCAATCTTAAGGCAGCTGTATATGATTATATAGAATTATGTTCTTATTTAACCCAATATAGCTTTTCCAGAAAAGTATCATGAGAGTCTTAGTCACATGCTCTGCTAAAGTCCAAAAATTCCATGTTGGCCACACTTATCTAATAGAAATTAGTCTGGCATGAATTTCCTGGTGAATCCGTGCGAGCATCAGCTTCCAGAGGTGTCAGTTTCTTTTTTCTGTGTATTCTCATGCCAGTCTTTTAACAATCCAGTCTGCCTGCTTGCTTTCATTTGTGTGGAGCTGATCTTTTCTTATTTTCTGACAGTTGAAGTTACTTACTCTGGGGGAGAAAGGACGATGGGAAAATGAGCAACCACTTGCCATTTAAGTGGTAGCAAAGCTGGATTTGATTTATTAGACCTGATGCTAGGATTCCAGATTATTATAAGCAAGAAACGGCTTGCATTGCTTGTGGAGGATCACGTGACAAAGGATTGACCAATCGACCATGGAAATAACTTGAAACTAAGTTGCCAAAGAGGGGGTGGTTGGAGGACAATGTCTAGATAAAAGGGCACCAAGAAAAATGAAGGAAAGGATGTTATGGAGAGAAAAGCAACAGAGAAGAGTGCCCTCACACGTGCTCGCAGAAAAAAATCAGGAAGTCGACTGGGGAAAAAAAGTTTGTGTGGATGCTTCTCTGTCTACGTACTGATGCTCAGAGTGGGAAAGAAGCAATCTGGTATTTTAACACAGGGAAGTAGACATGGCTTCATAGATGACACCAAGTGTTGGTAGAATAAAACTGATAACTAGAGTTAAGGAATGAGAGTATAGTTCTTTTTCAAAAGAAACTGACCTGGGAGTATGCTCTTTTGCTTGCCCAGCTGGAAAAACATTTAAAAGCTCCCTCTTCAAACAGACAGCTTGAGTAGCCCCAGACCCAGGCGAACTCTTTGTCATTGTCCATGCCATTAGGGCAGGATTTTAAAACAGGATTCTCACATCACTGCTCTACGTTGGAACACTGAATCAGATTATCTTTATCAGACAGTCTACACTCTATTCCCCCTCTTGTTCTGGTTTTATGCATTTCTGTGCTAGACTGAGTACATAATTTGTCAATAAAGCACGGATTTTGTGAATCAGACACATCCATGTTAAACCGGGGTCCATCATTTCCCACATGGTGACATCATTCCTATTAGCTAAGCTTAGTCTCTATCCTCCTCTACAAAATGAGGATAATGCAACATACTCCCTGGGGCTATTATGAGGCTCCTGGGGCTATTATGAGGCTTAGGGATGACATCTGCGAAGGGCTTGGCACCAATGGGCATTCAATAAATGCTAGTTGGGTATCGAGACTGTGGACTCAATTTAGACAAAGATTTTTCATCTGGTTTAGCTGGTTATTATATATGACAAAAAGAGATCACAATGTGATAGTTGGCTAAAGCAGTCTGAGTCTTAAGTGAATTCTGCTCAGGGCCTTAAAAATAGACAAAGGAAAAATGAGAGCCAGGCTGGGACATCTTCAACAAAAGTTTGACATCATTCTTGTGAAAGTATTGGGAGGATTCTGATGGGTGGCCTTTAGTCTGACATATTTCAGCCTTCACTCTTTCTCATCACCTTATTGAGCTATAATTCACATACCGTACAATTCACTCATTTAAACTGTACAATTTAATAGTTTTTAGTATATTCACAGAGGTGTGCCACCATTGCCACAGTCAATTTGAGGGCATTTTCATCACTTCAAAAACAAACCCCTCTGCTTCTCTCTCCCCCAGCCCTAGGCAACCACTAATCTACATTCTTTCTCTGTAGATTTCCTTGTTCTGGGTATTTTATATAAATGGAATCATACATTATGTGGTCTTTTGTGATTGGCTTCTTTCACTTAACATAATGTCTTCAAAGTTCATCCATGTTGTATCACGTGTCAGTACTTCATTTCTTCTTATGACCAAATACCATTCCACTGGATGGTATACCTTATTTCATTTGTCTGTTTGTCAATTGATGGGCATTTGGGTTGTCTCCACCTTTTGGCCATTATGAATACTGTTGCTGTAAACATATGTGCATAAGTCTTTGTGTGGGCATTAAAAATAAAAAATTTCCTTTGAGTATATGCCTAGGAGTGGAATTGCTGGGTTTCAGCCTTCTCTTGGTTTTTCTGTTACAGGGAAGATCAAGAGTTAAGGACTGTACCATTATCCCCCTAAAAGACTTTCCTGTAAGAATCTTAAGTTAATAATGACTGAGCACCTACTGCATACCAAGTACTATTGTAGGCACTGGGCAGCTTCAGTAGGCGTATCGGATTCTAGTCTCTCCTGGGTCAAGATGGAGCCTGACACTAGTGACAACTTTTATTCACAGCAGTCATAATTGTAGGCTACCTTATGGGAACATCTGGTATGCCCAACTTACAGGGTTGCTGTGATACTTTGAGTATCATGCTTTTTCTATTTACTTGTGTATGTCTGCCTTTAGCTAGAGGCAGTAAATGTGGATCAAAAATAAAGATGTGGGGCCCGGCATGGTGACTCACGCCTGTAATCCCAGCGCTTTGGGAGGCCGAGGCAGGCAGATCACTTGAGGTCAGGAGTTCGAGACTAGCCTGGCCAACGTGGTGAAACCCTGTCTCTACTAAAAATACAAAAATTAGCCAGGTGTGGTGGCGCATGCCTGTAATCCCAGCTACTTGGGCGGCTAAGACAGGAGAATTGCTTGAACCTGGGAGGCGGAGGTTGTAATGAGCCGAGATTGCACCACTGAACTCCAGCCTGGGCGACAGAGCAAGACTCTGTCTCAAAATAAATAAATACATACATACATACATACATACATACATACATACATACATGCATACATATATGCATAATAAAGATGTATGACTTTCTTTATTGTTGTTGTTTTGAGACAGGATTTCACTCTCTAGTCCAGGCTGGAGTGCTGTGGTGTGATCCTAGCTCACTGCAGCCTTGAACTCCTGGGCTGAAGTGATCATCTTGCCTCAGCCTCCCAGACACCTGGGACTACAGGTGCACACCATCACGGCTGGCGAATTTATTTATTTATTTATTTTTTAGAGATAGGGCCTTGCTGTGTTGCTCAGGCTGGTCATAAACTCCTGGCCTCAAGCGATCTTCCACTTTGACCTCCCAAAGTGCTGGGATTGCAGGCATGAGCCTCCACACCTGGTGCAGCCGTACAGCTTTCAAAAATGAAGAGAGGAACTCGTGGGCACTACTGGCATACATCTAAGAATAAAATGTGAACAATCTGGTTGTTGTGTTATAACAACTTGGTTAATACAATATGATATTGATGAGATGCTCCCAACTCATCTTGGAGTAACTGAATGATGCTACCTGAAAGGTAGATATGAGTAGGAAGTGGAGGTATACAGGGGCTGGAGTGGGGCAAGGAGGCTTTCCAGGCATGGAGAAAAGTGTAAACTAAGACACAGCTTATGTGAGAAACAAGCATAGTACAAGTAATCTAGTGTTGCTGGATCATAAGGGCTTCTGGGATAAAGAATCTTCAAAGAAGGAGAGATATAATTGCTTAACATACAGCTCACCAATGGGATTATGCAATGATTTATAACTGTCCCCTAGATAGCTGTGTGGCATCAGACAAGCCATTAACATCTCTGTGCCTCATTTGTCATCAAATGCTGCATGGGAATAAAACGTCATGAATTATCTCCTTTCTAAAGTGACACATGAATTGCTAAAAAAAAAAAAAAAAGAAAAATTAAGTTCTAAAGAACTTTCTTTTTTTTTCTTTTTTTGAGATGGAGTCTCACTCTGTTGCCCAAGCTAGAGTGCAGTGGTGCGATCTCGGCTCACTGCAAGCTCCTCCTCCAGGGTTCAAGTGATTCTCCTGCCTCGGCCTCCTGAGTAGCTATGACTATAGGCGCCCGCCATCACGCCTGGCTAATTTTTTGTATTTTTAGTGGAGATGGGGTTTCACCGTGTTAGCCAGGATGGTCTTGATCTCCTGACCTCGTGATCCGTCTGCCTCGGTCTCCCAAAGTGCTGGGATTACAGGCGTGAGCCACTGCGCCCAGGCTAAGAACTTTCTAATATTGTCCTATATGTAGCCAAGCCTTGTGCAGATAAAGATTATTATTGCCGTTTGGGACAAGTGGATGCTTTCAGAGAGTCTTAGTTGAGGTTTCCTAGAGGCTGAACCTGAGATAGAGATCCTTATGCAAGTGGTTTATTGAACTTACTAGTTTTGGAAGAAACTAGTAAGAAGGTGAGGGAAGCAGAAAAGGGCAGGAGGAGAAGCAAATGCAAATGTTAAAATAGAAGGATTTAACCACTTTCAAAAAGAGGGCACTCATTTACAAAGTAGTAAAGGACACACATTTAATTATATAAAAATGTGCATAGATGTTTGGAAATTTTGACATGTAGTCACAGAATAATGTGAAAATTATATACAATTATTGACATTCAAATAGCAGAAACATAGAAAGTCAAAGGTTGGCCATGGATGACCCTCATCAAGGGCAAATGTGTACACATCTATGCACTTATATTTAATGGCAATGAACTTGTCAGCTACAGCCTGTTTGACATTTACAGAATGATGTGTGATAATGGGATTGATGAATTCATTAGCATTATGAATCATACATAAATAGAATCTTTAGCACATTTTATTAAGTGTGAACTAAAATATGTTGTTTGGAGAGGACAAAGATTACAAATGTTTTAAACTGGGTTCCCAAAGGGCAAGGAAAATTAAACAGTCAGATTCCACCCTAAATGATCAAAAGGTGGAATGTACATCTCAGTCACGTTGTGCTGATGTGGCAGTAGGGCCAGAGGAGTTTTGGAAAATCCAAAGAAGCACAAAGCTTGAGTATGAGCATAAAGGAAAACACCAAGCGCTGAGTCAGACACTGGACAAGAAGTTCTTTTCTGATTTTTCAAATGAAAAGACTGTACAGTTGAGATTAAGGTTCATTAATTTATTGATTCAACCAATATTTAGAGAGCACCTCTTACGTGCTGGGTCCTGTGGTTGTTGCTGCAGTTACAGACATGAAGAGGCAGGAATGAGCTCCCAAGCCAAGTATGCAGGATTGTGTCATTTCTCGTTCCATGCTTTTTGCTAATCATGTCTGGGGGTTTATAGGCTGTGTCTACATTTGTGTGGTTTCCTAGAGATTTCAAATATTAAAAAATATCCAAACCCCTTCCCATTGCCTTAAACTCTTCCCTTAATTCATATTCCAGAATTGGCACAGGGAAAAATGGATCTCTTCTTTCCCCCAGGAAAAAAACCCCACAAGCTTATAGTTATGGTAAATTAATTGGTGAATATTCTTCATTAACTATTCTGTATCTTAATTTTTTTCCCTGAAAAATGAAAATGTTACTTATACCACTGGGAGCATTTTGCTGATTATTAGTATCCAAGGTATAAAATTTTTTGAGATTCTGGGAACAAGAACTCCCCCATGGAGAGATTAAACTACCTTCTCTTATACATTATAGAGTTTACTATCTTGATTTATTTCTTCTTGTTGATCTCTAATCCATCCAATAACCATAGCCACTAGTAATTGTGAATATCTTTTTATTATATCGGGTTTCTTGTAACTTTGAGGATTTTGTTTTAGTAAATTAAATATATTATTTGTACATGTAATTTTGCTGCATAGAACAACTGGATTTCTGGATAAGTAGCTTGAATGTTATGTCCTAGAGAATAGGAGTTTATTACTTGCTAATATGGCTTATTACATTCTGATGAATATTTTGACTATGATCTGAGTTGAATTGATAGGAATACATTTTCGAAGTACTTAAAAATTATTTATGGTGGTTCTTTTGTAGTGTTTTCCTTTTTATAAAACCACACTGTCTGAGAAGAACTCTCTTACTTCTGTGTCTTAACTTGTGGGAACAATTTATTTATTTATTTATTCATATTAGAGATGGGGCCTCATAATGTTTCCCAGGATGGCCTCAAACTTCTAGGCTCATGGGACCCTCCCGCCTCAGCCTCCCAAGTAGCTGGGCCTACAGATGCCCACTGCTGTCCCCGACTATCTATATGAATTATCTTTATCATTGAAAATTTAGGCCAGGCGAGGTGGCACATGCTTGTAATCCTAGCACTTTGGGAAGCTGAGGCAGGTGGACTACTTGAGCCCAGGTGTTCAAGACCAGCCTGGGCAACATGGTGAAATCCTGTCTCTGTGAAAAATAAAAAAATTAGTCAGGGGTAGTGGTGCACACCTGTGGTCCCAGCTACTCAGGAGGCTGAGATAGGATTGCTTGAGCCTGGGAGGTTGAGGCTGCAGTGAGCTGAGATGGCACCACTGCCTTCCAGCCTGGGTGACAGAGTGAGACCCTGCCTCAGGAAAAAAAAAAAAGAAAAAAAGAAAAAGAAATTTTATCAATGTGTTTGTGCTGGTGTCAGTTTAAAGCCTATAGAGAGTCTTGGAATTTATGGGATGTTGAATTTTTAAAAATTCATTTGTATTAAGTGGACTTTTTATAAAAGAGTAAATACCTAATTAAAATAATATTTTATCTGATGTTACCAAAGAGTTCTTCATTTCAACGTTCCATCCCTGAGTAAGTTAACTTATGAGGAATGAATTATATTACCTAGCAACCTCCATCCATCTTACCACATTGTTAAAAGCCTATATTCTGCAAATAATTCACGTAATGAAACAATAGGCATAAATTAAGTTATACATTTAATTAACATATACATAATTAAATTATATATACCAAGAAACATTAAACTTTTAAACAATTATAACCAAATTCATTGCTCATTTCTTCTAAATCGATATTTACATCTTTATTGTTAATTTCTAAGAAAAGCCTTAATAAGAAAAATAACCTAGGAGTATCTTGAATTAGCAAATGTATGTTTTATAGAAATTCTACATTTTATAGATTCTATCACTGCTTCTACAGTACATACATTTTTATATTTATGGATTCATTGGTATCCTATAAATAGCCTGGATTTTTAATATAATTTATACTACTAGAGTATAAATTATACTCTAGTATAATGGTTCTCAGGTGCGCATATCAGAAGACAAACACAGAGATGGTTGACATTGACATATAGCAGACTTTTATCCCCCTAAAAATGCATTTTTTTTAGCAGGTTCAAAATTGGAAGCATGAATTGAAACAACACAGAAATAACATGTTTGCTTACAGTGGATAAATTTTGTACTATTTTATAGAAAACCTCTACAAATTTAAGACAAGTTACCGAGCTTGTTGACAAGTTATGAGGCCATATGAAAAGCAAACACACAAACAACAACAAACTAGGCACTAAGAAAAAGTAAAAGGAAATTAAAGTTGGTCATTGCAATTTAATTAAGACAATAGTTTGAATGCAAATGAAGACATAAGACAAATTCAATGGAACATTAGAAATTGTCTTGCTTGGTACTGTAGTTTATATAAGCAGAAGCGGAGACATACTGAGGTTAAGTTTTCATCCAAAGTCACCATTAGATTGTGGCAGAGCTGGCTCCTGTCTCTTGTTGAGTCTTCTTTTCACTGCCTGACATTGCCTCTTATAAACAGGACATGGTGCCAGTTAATTATAATTGCTTAAGAAAAAGCAATTGAAAAAATGGTGAATGGTAATTACATATGGGCTGAAATAACATTGATATAATCAGGAATATTTGGGGGAGGAAACACCATTCTAGAACATCTATTTCAACCTTGGCAAGCTGGAATGACAATCTGCAACTTTATTTTTACCAGTTATCACTTACTGGTATAATGAAACAAATGCTAACCGTAAAATTTAATTATTAAATCAAATATTAAAATAATTTATAAACATGTTTAAATCACATTGCACAAAGGAAAGAAAAGGGGTTGTATCATTTTCAGGCATAAAATCATTTCCTTCTTCCTTTTAATTTGATGTTAGACCAGCTTTTTTCATAGTCAAATTTGTACGGAAATGCCCAGAGAGGGCAAACAAGGAGCTTAACAGATGTCATTTTGCTATTCTGTGAAGCTAAATAGAACTGTAGTTTATTGAATGATTTCTCTTACTTCTACTTCTGCTTGAATGTAGATTGGGGGATGGATAGTAGCTGAGTCCAATTTAATTTGTTCAATTACTCACCATTTGATTTATTTATATCATATGATAAATTAATCAGTTTGTTTTAATCTATACTCTGTATAGGGTTTACAATAAGAACATCATTTAAAGTATGGAGTGCAACTCTTACAGGTTATATATATTCATTTTATTTTACGAAAATTTAATGTCATATACTTATGCATTTAATAATATATACCAAATATTTATAACAATTCATCAAGCTTGACATTTTTTTAAACAAGAATAAAATTTCAAGAAAGTTGGAAGAAAATACAAAGAATTTTTGCTCCCTCTCCTCATCCATTTGAAAGCAAATTGCCAATACGATGCCTTATGACCCCAGAATGCCTCGGTAGATTACAAATGAAGACACTATCATACAACAAAATACAACCATTGAAATCAGGAAATTAACCTTGATATTATTAACATCAAGCTTGCCAGTTGTGTAGAAAGAGGATCCAGTTTAGAATCATGGGCTGCATTTTACTGCCCTGTCTCTTAAGCATTTGTAGGCTTTGGAAAGTTTAAATTTTTTCTTGAGTTTCATAAATTTGACAATTTTGAAACTCATAGCCTAGATATTTTGTGGACTATCACTTAATATGGATTTGGCTGATTTTATCTCATGATTAAATCCATGCATCTTTGGCAGGGATATCACAGAAATAATGCTGCTCCCTCATTGCATGCTGTCTGTGGTGCATGACTGTGACTTGTTCAGTTACTGATGATGCCTCTGTGATAACTGGGTTAAAGTGGTGATTGCCAGGTTTCTTCACAGTCGTTTACTCTTTCCTCTTTAAGAAATAATAAGTATTTCATGGTGAAGTACTTTAAAACTCTGCAAACATCTCATTCCTCTTCAAACTTTCATGTTATTCATTTCTTTCTTTATATCTTTTCTTTTTCTTTTCTTTCTTTCTTTTTTTTTTTTTTTTTTTTGAGACAGAGTTTCACTCTTGTCACCCAGGCTGGAGTGCAATGGCATGATCACGGCTCACTGCAACCTCTGCCTCCTGGGTTAAAGTGATTCTCCTGTCTCAGCCTCCTAAGTAGCTGGGATTACAGGCACCCACCACCATACCCAGCTAGTTTTTGTACTTTTTGTAGAGACAGGATTTCACCATGTTGGCCAGGCTGGTCATGAACTCCTGACCTCAGGTGATCCACCTGCCTGGGCCTCCCAAAGTGCTGGGATTACAGGCATGAGCCACCACACCTGGCCTCTTTCTTTATACCTTTATAGATTTGTGGTCTACTTATTTAATGGACTAAAATCCACTACTATGATTATTTATTTTAATGTTCCAATTGTTGCTGTGGGCACCACTTTGATTGCTTTTATAATCTTTTGATATTTCTCTATTATTCTTTAAGTATTTCCTGACTTTCTGGTACAGCAAAAGATTCTAGGCTCATTTTGTACTTTTTCTTTCCCATCCAGGAATTGGTCATTTTGCTAAAGGGTCCTGTTTCTTTGTAACGAGAATAGTATTTAGAAGCCAAGATTTGGTTGCTAAATGTACTCATTACTCTTGGGGTGCCACTGCCTCCAGACTGTTTCAGAGGACAAAAACTAAGGAATATATAATAATATGCAGACATGCACCCATATATATGTTACTTATATGTCTACATTTATATACATTTATAAATTCATACCAATTCCTTCCATTTCAGTTCAATACCATTGAGTTCATTCTATTTTTCTTTCATTTCAATATTTGTAGCTTTCTTCTCTGACAGTTGAGAAACCTGGTTTGCCAATTATACTGAATATATTTATTTATTTCATCACACCTGTTTCCCTCCAACAGTCCGCTATATGTGGCTAAGCTTCCATTGCCATTCTACTCTCCACCATCCACGGGTGCTGTTGCATTCTGCTTAGGCTCTGCTGGCCTCGGCCAGGCCATCCCTCCATGAAGATGCCGTCTTTTTTTCTTTTTTTGAGATGGAGTCTCGCTCTGTCGCCCAGGCTGGAGTGCAGTGGCACGATCTCGGCTCACTGCAAGCTCTGCCTCCCAGATTCACGCCATTCTCCTGCCTCAGCCTCCCGAGTAACTGGGACGGACTACAGGCGCCCACCACCGCGCCCGACTCATTTTTTTTTTTTTTGTATTTTCAGTAGAGATGGCATTTCACCATGTTAGCCAGGATGATCTCGATCTCCTGACTTTGTGATCCACCTGCCTTGGCCTCCCAAAGTGCTGGGATTACAGGCATGAGCCACTGCACCTGGCCTTGTTATGGTGCCTTTTTATTTCTTTGCTCCTAAGAAATAGTCCTGGACTTTGTGATGCTACCTTACTGTAACATCAATGTTAATGCTTTTAAATATTTTCCACAGGTGTTAAGTCATTTATTACTTTACTAAGTCACAGAGTGCCATACATTTTATATGAAGGATAGGGATCCATTTCCTCAAATTATAACTGCTAGTAAGACAGAAGCATAGTGTGATGGTTTATTTTAGGTGTCAACTTGACTGGATTAATGGATACCTACATAACTGGTAAGACATTCTGTCTGGGTGTGTCACACCAATCTCTTAGATGGACTAAACCGGGAAGATCCACCCTCAACACAGGTGAGCACCATCCAATCGGCTGGGGGACCACATAGAACAAAAAGGCAGAGAAAAGGTGAATTTGATTTCTCTCTCTTCTGGAGCTGGAACACCCTCTTCTGCTGCCCTTGGACATCAGAATCCCAGGTTTTCCAGCATTTGGGCTCCAGGACTCATAAAAGAAGCAGCCCTCTGTGTAATCAGGCTGTAAGCCTCAGACTGAGAGTTACATCGTCAGCTTCTTTTGTTCTGAGGCTTTCTGACTTGGGCTGACCCGTGCTGCCACCTCTCCTGATTCTCCAGCTTGCAGACTCCCTATGGTGGGACTTCTTAGCTTCCATGATCATGTGAGCCAATTCCCCTAATAAATTTCCTGTTATCTATGTAACTATCTGCCATTGGCATCCAAACCAGAGTGATTCACTCTTCAATAAAGGCTGAATGAAGTGAGACCTTCTAGGTTACATTCCCAGGAATTTAGGTACTCTTGGTCATAAGATGTTTATGGTTGAAGGAACAAGTTAATTATGCTAATTAAGACCCAGAACTTAAGGAAATGTCCTGATATCCAGATATCTTAAGAACAGACCAGGCAAGGTGGTGCACACCTACAATCCCAGCACTTTTGGAGGCTGAGGCAGGTGGATCACTTGACCAGACTGGGCAATATAGTGCAACTCCATCTCTCCAAAAAATACAAACATTAGCCAAGAGTGATGGCACACACCTGTGACCCCAGCTACTTAAGAGGTTGAGGTGGGAGGATTACCTGAGTATGGGGACATCCAGGCTGCAGTGAGCCATGATTGTGCCACTGCACCCCAGCCTATGCAACAGAATAAAAAGCATTCTTAGTTTAGGAATAGGTTTCGCTTTAAAGATTATAGTACATCCATAAATTCTTGCTGATATCAATAGGTAAACAAAAGAAGAACAATACTAATAGACTGTTACAAGCTAATCACAAGCCTTTGTATAATAATAAAGCACATTATTCTTAGTTCTAACATTGTATATAAGCAAGCATTATGTTTGACGTAGGGGCGTTCCTTCTCTCGCTTTCTGAGGATGCCCTACTCTGTAATAAGAGTAGTCTCTAGTAAACTATCTTAATTTCACTCTACTCTGCTACTCACACTGAAGTCATTCCTGTCTGAAATCCAAGAACCCACTCTTGGGGTCTGGGACAAGACCCTTTTTCTAGTAACATCTATCTATCTTCTATCTATCTCCCGCCTATTGGTTCTATCTCTTTGGAGAACTCTAATACACACAGTAAAGTTAAGATTAACACACAGAAGCAGGTCATGGATTATTCAGGTGGAACCACAGGGGACATTTGGTTGGGATTGCATGATTAACGCCCTACCATGTCATGTCATTGATCAATGGTCACTTCTTTCCTGAGCATTAGCATGTCTCTAAGATTTGCTCTTATCTATCAAATGAATGCAGAATGCCATTCATGTGATAAACCCCAACAGGTCCCACAGAATTTTCACAGTCTATTGTGTCAAGTTGTACTTAAGAGAGATTTTTTACTTTATGGATCAATGACTGGATAGATCAAAATGAATCCTTTAAAGCTATCATATTTTATCAGTTTGCTGCAGTTGTCTTGCAGGCTCAATGAAACCATGTTTCCTAGAGTCCAAAAATCTGGGAGGTGACCATCGACTCTTCTAGATGAGCTGGTGTTCTCTGCTTAACTAACTGCTCAAGTTCATTCCATGAGGGAGAAACCTCCCTTTTTGACTTTGAATACCACTGCTGAGAATTGTGCTTCTATTTCACTTTGTGGAATGCTTGAAGTGATTTTTACAGAATTCTTTTTGGAAATGTTAATACTTGTGGAACAAATGGCTTATTGTTAAACTTGGAGCTGGAAGACCTGGATTTGAATGCGGATATTGCCAGTTACTAGCAGTGTGACCTCAGTTTCTTCAGTAAAACAGGATATTATCATTGTCTGACAAAGTTTTTTGGGCCTCAGTTAAAAAAATGTTAAGTTAAAGTCATTTCGGTTCTTGAAAGTGCCAAGCAAATGTGAGGCACTATTAGTATTTTGTAAAAAGCCATTTCTTTAAAGGGAAGACAATTCATGAAGAAAAAATTCAAATGAAAGCAAAGTAATAAATAAAATTACCGTAAGAACTGATGAGAGAATTCTGATTTTGTAGATGGAAATTTGTTTTTGAATTTAATGAATATACATATATTTACTCCTTTAAGTAGTTATTTTATGTTTCAAAAAGATTCAAACATTTTAATTGCAAAAAGTCTTTGCCTTGCTTTAAAAGCAAGTTTAATTTCAGGGACAATACACCTATTCATTACCCAAACCATTCCTAAGCAGTAACAGCCTTAAGAGCCTATTAATGTAAGGGGGGGTGTTAAGTCTTATTCAAAATGAATTGAACCCCTGACTCCAAGTCAGCTAGTTTATATTCTAAGACAATGAAAATTAAGAACAATGATTTAGCGACTCGAGAAGACTCAATCTAATATGATCCGAAAAAGGCCAATTATCGTAACTCTTTTAGCCAATATTAACTTCTGAATGTGTCAAATTCTCCATCTTGGAAAAACTGTGTTGACTCCAGCAGACATAAGAAGTTTTCTTCTCTCATTAACAAACCTTCTATGTTAGACCAGAGGAAGAAGCATTTAACTGGCATTATTCTAAAAATAATGAAACAATTCAACAAATACATATTTTATAATGATTTTGTATTAAAATAGAACTGGTTTTACTTAATTGGTTGTAATTTAAAGTTCAAAATCTTAAAAATATATTTGTTGTAAAAATGTCACCAGGTTCTGTGTTATCTCTTTTCAATTTTCCTTGAAAGAGTTGCTCATTATGATATTTAAATTCTTGTGTCTTACATTTGAAAATTAGTACTGATTTTTCAATACAAAAAATCCTATCGAAACAGCTTGAAATCTTAGCAGTCTTTGTACTTTTCATAACATATTTTATTATACATATTTTATATACAAATAAATAATTAAAAATATATAAATTTTATTTTTAATTTTTTTGAAACAGGGTCTTGCTCTGTCACCCAAGCTGGAGTGCCATGGCACGATCTTGGCTCACTGCAACCTCCACTTCCCAGGTTCAAGTGATTCTTCTGCCTCAGCCTCCCAAGTAGCTGGGATTATAGGTGTGCACCACCATGCCTGGCTAATTTTTCTATTTTTAGTAGAGACGGGGTTTCACCATGTAGGCCAGGTTGGTCTTGAACTCCTGACCTCAAGTGATCCACCCGCCTCAGCCTCCCAAAATGCTGGGATTACAGGTGTGAGCCACTGCATCCAGCTCTGTATTATATACTGTAGTAGTCTGTACAAACAAAAGCATGTATAGAATTTTGGCATTCATGTTGAAAATATGACCACAGATTTCTTCTTAGGTACATGGGAAGATTGCCTTGTATTCTAGTTTTAGGTTTCAGCAATTTCACCACTGACCATTTTATTGAAATCATGTAGTGCTGTAGGTAGTCAGATAATGAGATGCCACTTAAAAGGCCTGAAATACTTGGGGTTGCATAATGGGGATGTATGTACTACGTTAGAGGCTAATTCCAAAATTTGGGGAAAGACTAATAAAATGTTTCTCTTGTCAACTGAAGAATGATGAGGTTCATAAATTTAGAAAGGTGAGCTTTGTTTTTTATAAAGAATTGCAGCCCTCGGGTGGCCATTCTGACAGGGTTGGAAGTGTAGCCTCCTGCCAGAAGCCAGAAACCGGCACTTTGAGGGAGGGAAGAATAAGACAGGAATTTATGCTGAATGCGGTGGTTGAATATACATTTTTGTTTGTTTGTTTGTTTGTTTGTTTAGACAGAGTCTTGCTCTGTCACCCAGGCTGGAGTGCAGTGGCACAATCTCAGCTCACTGCAACCTCTGCCTCCCAGGTTCAAGTGATACTCCTGTCACAGTCTCCCGAGTAGCTGGGATTACAGGCACCCACCACCACGCCTGGCTTATTTTTGCATTTTTTAATAGAGATGGGGTTTCACCATGTTGGCTAGGCTGGTCTCAAACTCCTGACCTCAAGTGATCCATCTGCCTCGGCCTTCCAGTTGTTTGTTTTTGAGGCAGAGTCTCACTGTTGCCCAGGCTGGAGTTCAGTGGCCCCAACTTGGCTCACTGCAACCTCTGCCTCCCAGGTTCAAGTGATTCTCATGCCTCAGCCTCCCAAGTAGCTGGGGTTACAGGCGTGTGTCACCAAGCCTGGCCAATTTTTGTATTTTTAGTAGAGACGGGGTTTCGCCATGTTGGTCAGGCTGGTCTTGAACTTCTGGCCTCAAGTGAGCCTCCCGTCTCAGACTCCCAAAATCCTGGGATTACAGGCATGAGCCACCATGCCCCACCTGAATATACATATTTAATCAGCTATAGGAAAAGGCACAAATATACGAAAAGAGAAACGTGCACATAGTTGAGCTTCATGCCTGTCCATGGGCATCATGTTCAAAATATGGTGGCATTAGTATAATCTGAGGATGGAGTTTTCAGCCCTCTGACTCAAAAGGTGAAGCAGGCAACACAAAAACCCTCACTATGCATCCTCTATAAACCGGCCAGAGCCACTTCATGTTCGGTGTTCTTTTGTCAGGAAGGAAAGCTGAGTGGTCGTTTTGTCAAAACTGCAAAAGGAAGGATAGTCACAAGGTTGGTGGAAATCACTGGCGGAGCCAGTCTTTCCCAATGGCTGGTTTCTGTTTAACCCTTAAGAAAGAAAGCCTCATGGCTGTTAGCAAGGTTGCAGGGGAGGTGAACGAGGCATGTTCAATCTTCCATGTCATCATGGCCAGGAGCACAGTTTTCAAGGTTTCTCTGCAGTACCCTTTGCCAAGAGAGAGTTCTATTCAGCTGGTTGGGGGGCTCAGGATTTTATTTTTATTTCTCACTCTTAAGGGGAACATCAACTTAGAGGGTCTTGTCCATGAGACTGAAATGTCTTCCAGTTGTCTTCGAGAAGAATGTCCTCATTTGAGTTTCCCTGAAAGCAGAGGGCCTGAGACAAGTATGTGGGCTCAGGTAGTTTCTTTGGGAATTAATCCCAGGAAGCAGAAGTGAGAGAGTAGAGGCATGGGAAAACATGGAGTTATTGAGCTAGCTACCCCTGTGGAAAACTGGGGCTCCATTCTGTTGAAGAGCTTCTAAGAAACTTTGTGGAATCCCTCAGACATGTTTCAGGGAAGGACAGGGAGACTGGGACACCCGTCTATTAATTCAGTCTCCCATTGATTGTGGGTTTTGCTAGAGGCACTTTGGCACCATGCACTTCCAAGTGTGCCTGTTTAGGGGAGAGGCAGGCTGAGTTGCTTTCAGTGACTGCAGAGAAATCCAAATTGTGAGATGCCACAGCACAGCTTGAGGTGGGATGCTGGTTGCTTGCACAGACTTGTCCTTCGCAGCAGTGCTGAAATCTAGTGGCCAAGGGAAGTGGTTGAGGCACCACAAGTGTCTGCTACAGATAAGAGAAAGCAAATAGTATAAAAGAAGTTATTATCCAATTATTTCTAATAGAGTTGAGGGAGTGTCATTGCTGTAGGGTCATGGTCTGTACAGAGTGGTGTATGAGATGAGGACGTGCTACCCCAAAATATGCCTCTTTGGCGTAAAGATTACTTTGAGCTGATCATTTTTAGACACTAGACACAAGAGAAGTTTTGAAAACACAAACATTTCCCTTTTGTAAGGGAAACTTACACCTATAAAGAAAAATGTCCATTTGTAAGTGTGTCTCCCTCTCTGTACGAAGAAGGGAAAGATGATTAAATTACTAGAGACCCACCCACCTAAATCTGCATAACAAGCCTTACTCTTATTTACTGTGCTGTTTCCAGTCACATCCCCATTACTGGCCTTCCCAACACCCTTCTTTCTTTGTTTCAGCAGAAGATGGTGCTTAAGCCTGAATTCTAAGTCACCTCTTGGAGATTTGCTCATTTCTTTGGGTATCTCCCAGTATACATGAGGTATATATGTTATTAAACTTCCGTTTGCTATACTATGCAGCCATAAAAAAGGATGAGTTCATGTCCTTTGTAGGGACATGGATGAAGCTGGAAACCATCATTCTGAGCAAACTATCGCAAGGACAGAAAATCAAACGCCGCATGTTCCCACCCATAGGTGGGAAATGAACAATAACACTTGGACACAGGGTGGGGAACATAACACACTGGGGCCTGTCGTGGAGTCGGGGTAGGAGGAGGGATAGCATTAGGAGAAATACCTAATGTAAATGACAAATTAACGGGTGCAGCAAACCAACATGGCACATGTATACATATGTAACAAACCTGCACGTTGTGCACACGTACCTTAGAACTTAAAGTATAATAATAAAAGTAAATAAATAAATAAACTTCCGTTTGCTTTTCTCTTGTTAATGTGTCTTCTGTTACAGGGGTCCATCTCAACTAAGAACTCTGAAAGTTAGAAAGAAAATTATTTTTCCTTCCCTACAGTTTAAAATGAGAGTTAAAGGCATTTTCTTGTATTACACAGAAGAAGGAGAATGCTGTGATTTTTCTTGATTAATGTTGAGTATCGAAATGGATGTCTTTCTATAATGACTGGAGTCTAATTAGCTATCCTGATTTGAAGAAAGCAGGTTTTCAGAAACACAGTGTCATATGTTCCTCCTAAGTTCATTAAGTAACCAGTGATCTGCAATTTGGTATCCCAGATGGACCTACCCTCAGGAAGTGAATGTCCTGTGCAAAGGGCTATTTTTCAGATAAAGCTCCCAAGATATGGAATAGTGTTGTAGAAAAAAATTGGGTTCTTGTCATGCGACCAGGAAAATTTAGACATGCAGATGCATTGTAGGGTGAGTAGGGCAGGATTTATTAAGTGAAAAGAAAATGGGAAAGAGGAACTCTCAGCAAAGCGAGAGAGAGTCCTGCCAGCAGGTCTCTTGCCTCACAGATTGAATCCCAGGTCACCACCCAGGAACTGAAGAGGCCAGGCTCCTCCCCGCTGCAAAAGGTGCAGACTTCCCAAGGCTCCGCCCTCGTCCTCCCGGTGCATAGGTGGACATTATTCAGAATCAGTCGGGAAAGGGCGGGTTTCATCTGGGACCAGCAGTTTGGTTTTTCAGCCTTCAGGCTGTTTTATGCTTGGAGGTGGGGACCCTTTCGCCGGGGACCCATGGCTGGCTTCTGTCTCTATCAATAGCATATTTGAGTGCAGGGCTGAGGCAGCCTCTTGGAGGCTTATTATCATGTATCAAATTCTTACCCCAGAGAAAATCAGAGTTGTGATTTGAAGCGTTATTAGGGTAATTGCATCTGAGATTTTGAATAATCATCAACAGTCACCTAATCTGCATCACTTATTTTATAAAAAGGCTAATAGACATTAATAATTTACCTAACATCAAATAGTTTGTGAACAGACAGGCTGGAACTCTTCAGACTGGAATTCAGTTCAATACTCTGCAATGGCATCATAGATAATATGCATTTGTCAATTTGCATAATCAATATTTTATTTTTGTACCATGCAGGATCATTGTTTAAGTACACAGTGATATACTTCCTGACCTTTAGAATTTTAAATCACTGGGCTTAGTGAAATCCCCCAAACACATTTAAAAACTCATAGAAAGGCATATGAATGCAAGCATTTGGAGTGTTCTGAATACCAAAAGCCAAAACCAGTACAGGTAAATGACAAGCATCACTTAAAAAGAATGTCTGAACAGCTGGCTGAATAAATCAGCCAAAGTTGAAACACTCTTTTCACTTGTCTGTGAAATTTTTCTTCCTAGAAGTGAGGGAGTCCCTTGAGGGAAAGAGGATAACAGGTAAGCGTATTCACTGTTTGCCACTTCTAGAAATAAAATGCTGCGTATGTATTCATATGTATGATATATAACACACAACTAAACTTTTTTTTTTTTGAGACAATGTCTCTCTTTGTTGCCCAGGCTGGAATGCACTGGTGTAATCACAGCTCATGGCTCACAGCCCACCTCCTGGGCTCAAGGGATCCTCCCATCTCAGCCTTCCGAGTGGCTGGGACCATAGGTGCACACTACCATGCCTGGCTAATTTTAAAATTTTTTATAGAGATAGGGTCCCATTACGTTGCCCGGGCTGGCCTTGAATTACTGGCCTCAAGCAATCCTCTGGCCTTGGCCTCCCAAAGTGCTGGGATTACAGGTGTGAACCACTGCACCCAACCACAAGTAAACTTTTGAATCCAAGGAGACACATGGTGTGGGGTCCAGACTGCTGTGACCATCCTATGTCAGGACAAGTCTAGTGCTTCACTATCAAAGACATTTCTGAAACATGGCCTGGGCTTGGTGGCTCACGCCTGTAATCCCAGCACTTTGGGAGGCCGAGGCAGGCAGATCACCTGAGGTCCAGAGTTCGAGACCAGCTTGGCCAACATGGTGAAACCCTGTCTCTACTAAAAATACAAAAATTAGCCTGGCATGGTGACGACCTCCTGTAATCGCAGCTACTAGGGAGGCTGAGGCAGGGGAAACGCTTGGACCTGGGAGGTGGAGGTTGCGGTGAGCCAAGATTGCATCACTGCACTCCAGCCTGGGTGACACAATGAGATACTATCTTAACAAACAAACAAGCAAACAAACAAAAAATGAAAGAAAGAAAGAAAGAAAAAGAAATTTCTGAAGCAGAATAAAACACCAGCCACTGAAATTGGATTTAATATAAGTGCTTTGTGACTTTGGTTTATACTTTTGTTGCTAGGGACATGGAATTTTCATTTTTACCTCCAGCTTGGAACCAGCCATAAGCCAGTGTCTCCTCATGGCTAGCTAAGAGCATTTCCTAGTCTGTTTGGGAAGGAGATAGAACCTCATTTTCCTTTCTACATTCCCTATGAGGCACTCAAATTCCTTGAAATCATATTTCCCAGGAATCACAAATGAACCAATCTAAACTCTGTGGGGATGATAGACTTTCTTGAGGTCCTCTGGATTTCCTAGGTCCAAGGATTGGTATTTGTGGTAGTGGGTGATGCCCAAGGGTGAAGGAGAACTGTTACTATATTCAGAACCCTGAGAGTTCATTCTGTCCTTCACTTGAAGGAAAACTATCAACAGGTAACAGCACCCCTTAGACTTGCTCCTTCTTCTGTGGATGCCCTTTTCTGGCCATGGGCACTTGAAGGAAATGAATGAGAGACCCAGGACATAGGCGCTGGGGAAGGAGTAGAGATTGATGTCAGCTCTTTCCTGGAAAGGTTAACAGAAACTACAGGGCATGATTTATTGAAATAATCTGGGTGAAAATGCTTGTATATGCTAATCTTATTTTTTATTTTATTTTGTTTTATTTTTGAGACAGGCTCTCCCTCTGTCACCCAGGCTGGAATGCAGTGGCATGATCTTGGCTCACTGCAGACTTCGCCTCCGAATTCATGTGATTCTCCCACCTCAGCCTCCTGAGTAGCTGGGATTACAGGTGCGTCCCACCACTTCTGGCTAATTTTTTTTTATTTTTTTATTATTATTTTTTTTTTAGTAGAGACAGGGTTTCACCATGTTGGTCAGGCTTGTCTGGATCTCCTGACCTCAGGTGATCCGCCCGCCTCGGCCTCCCAAAGTGCTGGGATTACAGGTGTGAGCCACCGTGCCTAGCCTAATCTTATGTTTTAATTTCAAATATTATTTTTATAATTAATGTTCACATCCCTTATTTATTGAATGAAAACAATGCAATGGGTTAGATAAGTGCTAGAACTAATGCTCTATAATAAACTCTAAAAAACCCTAGCCGGCTGGGCGCAGTGGCTCATGCCTGTAATCCCAGCACTTTGGGAGGCCGAGGCGGGCGGATCACAAGGTCAGGAGATCGAGACCATCCTGGCTAACACAGTGAAACCCCATCTCTACTAAAAATACAAAAAATTAGCCGGGCATGGTGGCGGGTGCCTGTACTCCCAGCTACTCAGGAGGCTGAGGCAGGAGAATGGTGTGAACCCGGGAGACGGAGCTTGCAGTGAGCCGAGATTGAGCCACCTCACTCCAGCCTGGGTGACAGAGCGAGACTCCATCTCAAAAAAAAAAAAAAAAAAAACACCCTTTCTTGGTGGAAAACGTCAAAACTATTTAAAGGGAGTGAGAATAGTATAACGAACCTGGGTATGCATCTAATCTAGCTCCAACAATTATACAATATCAGTTCACAGCCAATTTTATTTGATCTATATCTCTCTCTGTCCCTCCTCAAATTATTTCGAGGCAAATACCGGACATATTTACATTTACCTTTAATCTTTTCTTTTCTTTTTTTTTTTTTTAGATACAGGGTCTCACTCTGTTGCCCAGGCTGGAGAACAGTGGCACGATCATGCGTTATTCACTGCAGACTTGAACTCCTGGCCTCAAGCAATCTTTCTACCTTGACCTCCCAAAGTGCTGGGATTACAGGTGTGAGCCACTGTGTTTAGCCTAGACTTACCTTTAATAGCTTTTGATAAGTTATTTTTTAATGTAATTTTGATAAAATAATTGTACCTAAAATGTACTAATGTGTTGGTATTGTCTACTATCCAATCTACGAACAAATTTTACTGATTCATTCGTAACTGACCCCAGAGTTGGTTTGTTTGAATCACTGTAACTGAGCCTCTATTATAAAGATCATACGATGTTTGTTTTACCTACTTTCCCTTTCCCCTTGTCCTTTTCTTGCTCTATGCGTGCTTGCTTGCATGTCATTATTTCAGTAGAGGGTAGTCACTAATAATTGATTAACTTCATATCCTAACCTACAGGGGTGCCTGGCAGATTGATGAACTTGTTTTTCTTTTAAAGAACCATGATCCTTAGGTTATGCAGACCTCCTTGATGGTGTCCAGAAATTTGGGTAGAGGGATGCCAACAGCTTTGATCACTGGGGGAGTTTCATCTCCCATATACCCACCTTACTCATACAAGTCCCCAGTTAAATTCAAAGGCAGGGCAGATTTGAGAGACTGTCTCTCCTGCCCTCTTGCTTTGGTCAAATTGAATAAACCTTTCTCTGTTCCTGAGTGCTGATGTGTCAGTGTTTGGCTTACCATGCATCAGGTGCACAGACCTAAATTTGGAGATTCTGTAACATCAAGACCCATATGACGTTCACATACTGGATTAGGCTGATGACTCATATATCTCTCTTTTAATGTGTGACCATTTACATCTCTTTCTCTCTCTCCTCCCTTTTTTTTTTTTTTTTGGCAATTTCTTTGTTATTAATGGTCTTGTTTTAAAGTGAAGTATTGTCATTTAAGTTTATATATCAATGTTATCATTATTTGTTTATTTACAACAAAGTTTTATGCCAAGGCAGTCATGCCATTACCCACCTGACCTGCTTTTCCACCATCAGTTTTACCTGTGTGTGTCCCTGGATCATCAGGAAGCATTGATTGAGAATCTTTTTCTCTTAATCTGCCTTACTATTTTCTAATGTAGTTACTGATCAAACTTAGCAGTAACCCACTCATTTTGTGTGTAGGCAAAAGCAACTATGAATAAACAGAAGAAGTCTCCCACAGTGGGTAAATGTGTGGACCTGGGTTTGAAACCTGATGAAACTTGCTGGCTGTGACCCCTTGGGCCAGGGATTAACTGCTGTCACTCTTAGTTCCCTCAACCCTCAGGTGCATGTGATTATATTCACTGCCTGATATGGTTTGGCTCTGTGTCCCCACCCAACTCTCATCTTGTAGCTCCCATAATTCCCACGTGTTGTGGGAGGGACCCGGTGGGAGGTGATGGAATCATGGGGGTGGGTCTTTCCTGTGCTGTTCTTGTGATAGTGAATGTGTCTCATGAGATCTGATGGTTTTAAAAACGGGAGTCCTCCTGCACAAGTTCTCTCTTTGCCTGCTGCCATCCACATAAGATGTAACTTCCTCCTCCTTTCCTTCTGCTGTGATTGTGTATCCTCCCCAGCCACATGGAACTGTAAGTTCAATAAACTTCTTTCTTTTGTAAATTGCCCAGTCTCAGGTATATCTTTATCAGCAGCATGAGAACAGATCAATACAGTAATTTGGTAGCAGGTAGTGGGGTGCTACTCTAAAGATACCTGAAAATGTGGAAGTGATTTTGGAACTGGGTAACAGGCAGAGGTTGGAACAGTTTGGAGGGCTCAGAAGACAGGAAAATGTGGAAAGTTTGAAACTCCCTAGAGAGTTGTTGAATGACTTTGACCAAAATGGTGATAATGATATGGACAATGAAATCCAGGCTGAGGTGGTCTCAGATGGGGATGAGGAACTTTTTGGGAAGTAGAGCAAAGGTTATGTCTTGTTATGTGTTAGCAAAGAGACTGGTGGGATTTTGCCCCTGACCTAGAGATTTGTGGAACCTTGAGCTTGAGAGAGATCATTTAGGGTATCTGGCAGAAGAAATTTCTAAGCAGCAAAGCATTCAAGAGGTAACTTGGGTGCTGTTAAAGGCATTTAGTTTTATAAGGGAAGCAGGGCATGAAAGTTTGGAAAATTTGCAGCCTGACAATGCAATAGAAAAGAAAATCCCATATTCTGAGGAGAAAATCAAGCTGGCTGCAGAAATTTGCATATGTAACAAGGAGTTAAATGTTAATCCCCAAGACAATGGGGAAAATGTCTCCAGGGCATGCCAGAGGTCTTCACAGCAGCCCCTCCCATCACAGGCCTGCAGGCCTAGGAGGAAAAAGTGATCTCTTGGGCCAGGCCCAGGGTCCCCATGCTGTGTGCAGCCTGGGGACTTGGTGCCTTGTGTCCCAGCTGCTCCAGCCATGGCTGAAAGGGGCCAACATAGAGCTCGGATTGTGGCTTCAGAGGGTGCAAGCTGTAAGCCTTGGCAGCTTCCATGTGGTGTTGAGCCTGCCAGTGCACAGAAGTCAAAAATTGGGGTTTGGGAACCTCTGCCTAGATTTCAGAAGATGTATGGAAATGCCTGGATGCCCTGGCAGAAGTCTGCTGTAGGGGAGGGGCCCTCATGGAGAATCTCTGCTAGGGCAGTACAGAAGGGAAATGTGGGATCGGAGCCCCAGCACAGAATCCCTACTGGGGCACCGCCTAGTGGAGCTGTGAGAAGAGGGCCACCATCCTCCAGACCCCAGAATGATAGATCCACTGACAGCTTGCTCCATGCACCTGGAAAAACCGCAGACAACACCAGCCCATGAAAGCAGCTAGGCAGGAGGCTGTACCCTGCAAAGCCACAGGGGCGGAGCTGCCCAAGATCATGGGAACCCACCTCTTGCATCAGCATGACCTGGATGTGAGATTTGGAGTTAAAGGAGATCATTTTGGAGCTTTAAGATTTGACTGCCCCTCTAGATTTCAGACTTGCATGGGGCCTGTAGCCCCTTTGTTTTACTCAATTTCTCCCATTTGGAACAGCTGTGTTTACACAATACCTGTACCCCCATTGTATCTAGGAAGTAGCTAACTTGCTTTTGATTTTACAGGCTCATAGGTAGAAGTGACTTGCCTTGTCTCAAATGAGATGTTGGACTGTGGACTTTTGAGTTAATGCTGACATGAGTTAACACTTTGGGGGACTGTTTGGAGCACATGATTGGTTGTGAAATGTGAAGACATGAGATTTGGGAGGGGCAAGGTGTGGAGTGATATGGTTTGGCTCTGTGTCCCCACCCAAATCTCATCTTGTAGCTCCCATAACTCCCACTTGTTGTGGGAGGGACCCAGTGGGAGATGATTACATCATGGGGCTGGGTCTTTCTCTTGCTGTTCTCATGATAGTGAATGGGTCTCACAAGATCTGATGGTTTTAAAAACGGGAGTATGCCTGCACAAGCTCTCTCTTTGCCTGCTGCCATCCACATAAGATGTGACTTCCTCTTCCTTGCCTTCTGCCATGATTGTGTGGTCTCCCCAGCCATGTGAAACTGTAAGTACAATAAACTTCTTTCTTTTGTAAATTGCCCGCTCTTGGGTATGTCTTTATCAGCAGCATGAAAATGAACTAACACACTACCTTAGAGTGTTAGTGTGAAAAGAGGCAATGTTTGAAAATTTTTAGCTTGGTGCTGCCCACACTGTGAGCATTCAGTAATTGTGAGCTGTAATGCTCACTGTTGTGTTCCATTCCCACAGTAATTTTTGTGTATGTGTTTTGATTTTTTAGACTTAAAAAATACAGTTTTAGATTTATAGAACAATTGAACAGATAATACATAGAGTTCTATACACCCACCCCATCCCTACCTCTCAATTTCCCTCCACAATTTCCCCTATTATTAACAACTTGCATTGGTGTGGTACATTTGTTAAAATTAATGAACCAATATTGATACATGATTGTTAACTATAGTCCATAGTTTACATGAGGGCTCACTCTTTGTGTTGTGTACTTCTATGGTTTTGACAAGAGTATAATAACACATATCCACTGAAAGGGATCAGAATATGCTACCCCAAAATATTCTACTTTGGCATAAGAATTATTTTGAGCTGAAGGCAATTTAGAAGCAGCAGACTCAGGAAGAGCTCTCTGACCTCTCTTTTCTGCCTAAAAGCAGGGGATAAATTTCCCTTTTCCCATACTGAGGAGAGGAGAATGATTCTCCATTCTTACAACCAGAGAGAACTTGAGTTTGTGTAGCAAATCTCAGTAAACAGCCCTTATCTACCATGTACTTCCTAGTCACCTTCTCCCAATTTACCACCCCTAGGAACCCAAGCTCCCCATTTCTTTTGTCTAGTCATGTCTCCCCGAGTTATCATCCTTTGCTAAAATGGTGTATTAGTCCCTTTTCATGCTGCTGATAAAGACATACGCTAGACTGGGTAATTTATAAAGAAAAAGAAATTTCATGGACTCACAGTTCCATGTGGCTGAGGAGGCCTCACAATCATGGCAGAAGGTGAAAGATATGTCTTATATAGTGGCAGGCAAAAAGAGAGAGTGAGAACCAAACGAAAGGGTTTCCCCTTATAAAACCATCAGATCTCATGAGACTTATTTAGTACCATGAGAACAATATGGGTTAAACCCATGATTCAGTTATCTCCCACTGGGTCCCTCCCACAACATGTGGGAATTATGGGAGCTACAATTCAAGATGAGACTTGGGTGGGGACAGAGCCAAACCATATCACATGGTATATAAGCCCCAGGGTCTAACTACCTCTCTGAGTTTTCAGTTCTCTTCTATGAAGCCCCTGTGGACATAAAATTAAAAATAAACTTTGTCTGCCTCTTCTCTGATTAATCTATCTTTTTTCAGTTTAACTCTTAAATTCCAGCCACAGAAACTAAGAGGGTAGAGGAAGTTTTTCCTCCCCTACATATTCATTATAGTTTCATACAGAACAATTTAACCACCCTAAACATACCCTGTGTACCTATTCATCTTTCTCTCCCTCCCTTAAAATCTCTGGCAGCCACTGTCTTTACTGTCTCTATAGTTTTGCCTTTTCCAAAATGTCATATGGCTGGAATCATATAGCACGTATCTTTTTTAGTCTGCTGTCTTTCACTTAGCGATATGACTTAAAGTTTCATTTAAAAAAACGCATGTGATTTGTAGTTAATGGAAAGGATTACATAAAGCACATTTTATGTGAAGACATGGGAGTTGCTTTTGATATTTTTACTTCCTTGATTCAATATGAGACTGATTAGAGGGCTTTCTCTTCCAGCACTGACCAGAGGGTAGAAAGAAAAACGCGAGGATTCTGGATTCTCTCTTTATAAGCACATTGTTTATGGTTATAGCTCATCCAGGTTGAGTTTAGTGCAGTGGCTCCTACAGCTGATCCGTGAACTAGCTGCAACCTGAAAATACAGATTCCTTCATCCCTGGGAGTTTGTGACTCTGGAGCACTGGAGAAAGACCCAGGACTGCATTTTTAATGGGCTTCTCATGTGATACTTACTTATACAGAACCATTTCTTTGGTAGTAAAAAGGAATACCGGCTTTGGTCTCAGAGGATTTGGCGTCAAGTCCTCTCTCTTCATTGAAGCACCAAATATTTATTTAACTCCTCCCATGTGCCAGACCTTGGACCAGGCTCTGGATTGATACAACAGTGAGCTTAATAGTCATGCTTTCTACCCTTCACAAGCTTACACTGGAGAAGAGGCAGGCATTAAGTACACAATTACAGAAATAAATCTTATTCATCAACTATGCTAAGTGCTAAGAAAGAAAATACAAAATGCTATGAGAGAGTGTTAAAAAAGGGATCTGGCTTTGTTTGAAATGGGGTCAATGATTCACTTTTCCCTGAGATAATGACTTTGAACTGAGATATTATTTACGTGACATGAGGGAAAGATGTCTGCCACCCGGGCACACGAGGTCCATTTGGCTTGGAACACAAGGAGAGACAGAGATGAGGCTGCAAATTAACCACTTGATATCTGTCCTTCTGCAGATCAACAGCCAGGGTCACTGGGTGTCTAGCTATCCTCCTACTCAACTGCACTGAAATTTCTCCCAAATCTCCAAAACATGTTTAGTAATTCTGCCAGTTATATTTATCAAGAGCTTAAACAATCAGATTGTTAATAGCCTTTTCTTAAAAAGTGTTAGAATTTTAGTTGTTAGTGAATGATTCTTAAAAGGCTGTTCTGTCTTTGGGTTAGGGCCAATTGTTCATTTACTGAAAGATATACACGGAAAAGAAAAGGATCTGATTCTGCATTGCCACTACTTAAGCGCTGTGAAATGCTTGAGCTTTTGTCAGGTGTCTGTAGCCTCATTTCATCTTCACTGTAGACTTGTGGAAATGCATTATTATGACGCCAATTGTACAGATGCAGAAGTAAAGGCTGAGAGAAATGTAGAGGTTCACTGCATTGACATAGTGAGGAATTGATTGCAGTGGTTGGCTGTCAGGGAACAGTCAATGTCCCTAGCTAGGACAATTTTAATACTACCATTGTGTCAGTTTTGGGCCCCAGTTATGCATTCTCTTTTGGAAGACATACAACCTGGACATACTTATGTGAACCCCGAAAATCTGAGGCAGGTCTCAGTTAGTTTAGAAAGTTTATTTGCCAAGGTTGAGGATGCACGCCCATGATGCAGCCTCAGGAGGTCCTGAAGACATGTGCCCGAGGTGATCAGAGCACAGCTTGGTTTTATACATTTTAGGGAGACATGAGACATCAATCATCATATGTAAAATGAACATTGGTTTAGTCTGGAAAGGAGGGACAAATCGAAGCAGGGAGTGGGCTTCCAGGTCGTAGATAAGAGACAAATGGTTGCATTTCAAGTTTGTGATTAGCCTCTCCAAAGGAGGCCATCAGATATGCGTTTATCTCAGTGAGCACAGGGGTGACTTTGAACAGAATGGGAGGCAGGTTTGCCTTTAGCAGTTCCCAGCTTGACTTTTCCCTTTAGCTTGATGATTTTGGGGGTCCAAGATATTTTCCTTTTCTTTTTTTTTTTTTTTCTGAGACAGAGTCTTGCTCTGTCGCTCAGGCTGGAGTGCAGTGGTGCAATCTCAGATCACCGCAACCTCTACCTCCCAGGTTCAAGTGATTCTTCTGCGTCAGCCTCCCATGTAGCTGGGATTCCAGGAACGTGCCACCATGCCTGACTAATTTTTGTATTTTTAGTAGAGATGGCGTTTCACCACGTTGGCCAGGCTGGTCTTGAACTCCTGACCTCAGGTGATCCACCTGCCTCGGCCTCCCAAAGTGCTGGGATTACAGGCGTGAGCCTGGCCTTTCCTTGCACACTTAACATCCCAGGATCTTACTTAATGCTGGGAATGAGGTTCTATGGAGGACTCCCGGTGTTTTTTCTCCTGCTCTCCAAAGCCAACCAAGATCTCTTCAGAAATCTTCAGCTCAGCCCAAAGGAGAAACTTCCAAGGTAAAAGAATTTTCCTAAAAGTATAAATGATATTAAGAATTCTGCCCATATGGACTGGGATTATGCTTTATTTCCTGATGGGCCTTTTTCAAAATAAATCATGTTCCTACTCTCCATCTTAGCAGATGATGAAGGCAATTGCTGCTGAAATGGAACCATGTGGTAACCCCTGCATTAAAGCAAGTGTAGGTTTATTACATACATTGGACACAGTAGGTGACAATGTAGAATTATTTATTTTAAGGGTACAAGACCATTTACCTTCCTTCCTCAATATCCTTCTTATACCTTATTATAGTGCTGCACTTTACACTGTAAGAATCATTCCTTGGAATTTGTAAGGCCCTGAATATAAAAAGCCACTGTTAAAATAGCATGCTACCTAAGAAAAGTAACCCATTAACATCCATTAAGGCTTAAGTGTTAATTATAATCATGAAGTTTGAAAGTTATGGCTAAATGATTTATTATTCAGAAGCCAAAGCCTTCTAGATTTGTTTGACTCCAAGGATAGAGTCAAAAGTTCAAACGATTCTAATAATGCAAAAATATCAAGAAATTATGGAATCTTCTCATTCCACCCTTCCTCTTTATCTTAAACTGCTACTATTTCAAAATATATGTGTTAGTCATGCCGATTACTGTGAGGTTATCAAGGGTAGTCTTCAATATAGAGCCTTTACTTTCTTTTCAGAGCTTTATGGGAGAACTGGTTGTCTTCTATGTTTTCCCTTGAGAATTTTGCTTATCTGTTGTGTCTGTCCTAAATGCTACAGTAGTTGGTCTCAGACTGAGCTGTGTTTTTGTACACTGTCATGGACAGTAGCATTTATGAAGCATTTTTTGCATACAATTCTTGTCTTTGATAGTGATTATATTTTGTATTTTAATAAATTATCCTGGGCTGGGTGTAGTGCCTCATGCCTGTAATCCCAGTACGTTGGGAGGCCAAGGAAGGTGGATCACTTGAGCCCAGGAGTTTGAGACCAGTTGCAGAAACCCCATCTCTACAAAAAATACAAAAATTAGCAGGGCGTGATGGCACATGCCTGTAGTCCTAGCTACTCAGGTGGGAGGATCACCTGAGCCTGGGGAGATCGAGGCTACAGTGAGCCAAAAGCATGTTACTGCACTGCAGCCTGGGCAACAGAGTGAGACCCTGACTCAAAAAAAAAAAAAAAATTACCTTGAATTTTTCTTTAAAAAATAAAACATATTTAGAACTCAGGTTTTCTCTCGTTGAATTCTAAGTCCTATTACTCAGCTGAGTTTTTTTATGGCCTTGTTGAATTGTCAACAGAGACAGTGGATTACTGATTCATCAAGTATATATTCTCTGTAGCAGGAAAATGGAATAAGGAATGTACTTGCATTTCCACATTACCTGACACCATCATTTTAACTTTATTCATTAACTTTATTTTACGGTGTGTGAGACTCAAAACAAAAATCTGCCATTAGTTCCAGTTTGGCTCCAAAATAAAATATTACTTTGTTCATTCATTTTCACATGTTGTATTAAAGTGCTGTCACTGGGCTGATGCTATGATCCTCACCGGAGGGAAATGGATGGAGCACATTCTATGGAGGACATAGAGAGAAATCTGGAGCATAAGGAAAAGGGCCAGGCTACGTTGGGTTGGACATCTCAGTTGATGATACAGGGTATCCAAGAAGCTTTAGTTTCCCACGTATGGTTAGGATCTAGGTACCTGGATATTGAAGATATAGGAAGTAGAACATAAGAAATAATTTTTCCAGTTCACAGCTTTGTTTTGAGAAAGGCTCTGAGCAAGTAAAAAGGAGCAAATGCTTATCTGAGTAGAACTTCAACGGTATGGCTTGTGATAGCCAGTCTCATGCAGGTACGTCCTTGGGATTTAACATATACAGGCTGGGTTCAGTTTAGAGGATTCTCTAGCAATTTGAGAAGCCAGGAAAACCTCTCAAACCCCTTAGACCCAGACAGAAAGAATCAATGAGGGAATGATTCACTCAATGAATAATTACCAACTGGAGTGAAGGATTCTCTAGTCTAGTGATTCTCAATGAATAAGCATTATACCATCTCTGTCAGAAATGTATGTATGTTAAAATGCAGATTCCTGGGCCCTACCTCAGGCTAACTGGAGCAAAATTTCTATGAAGTGGGGTCTAAGAATATGCATATTCACAGATATGCTAGAAGGTTCTTATTCATATTTACAGCAGACACTTATCCTTGGGGATATGTCAAACCAGCCAAGTGGGAATGAAGGTAAAACTTTGAGCCTACAGCACAAATGGGCTGAGATATTTTGGGTAGAGCTTCTTCTTATGGATAAAACAATAGTCACATGAGTAGCAAAAGGCTTCATAAAATATTTTGACCTCCACAGGTGACATAACTTTCTTTTGTTGTCAACTCCTGATTTATTTTAGAGAAATTTTGTTTTTAAAAGTTCTCTCTGATAGATAAATGTGCTGAGGCACTGAGTGTACTTTTAGTTCTTGCATTGGGATGTAATCTAATAAAATAAAATTCCATGCAGCTATTTGGATGACATCTGTTTGAATAGCATAGTGGGGCAAATAGATTTGTGTCTATGTATATTATTTGTGTGTTGTATTATTAGCAAATATGATAGTGTTAGCAAATATGATAGTATTATCAGCAAATATGATAGCAAATATGATATGATAGTTGTATGATTAGCAAATATGTATATTATTTACGTGTTGTATTATTAGCAAATATGATAGCTTTAATAATAATCTAATATTAATTTATACTACTTAATTTTGACAAAGAAGTAGAATTGAAGTAGAGATTTGATATTAAAGGCATTTATCCATCTGCTTTGGAGTGGCAATTGGTATATAGACAATGGGCTTTAGATTCACATAAATGTTGGTCTCACCTTTTCCATTTGCTCATTGTGTGACCTTGGCATATTATTTAGCTTCTCTGAATCTGTGTTTTTTTAACTACAAAAAGAGGACAATAGTACATTACTTCTATGATATAGAAAATCACGGCCGGGTGTGGTGGCTCACGCCTGTAATCCCAGCACTTTGGGAGGCCGAGGCAGGCGGATCACAAAGTCAGGAGATGGAGACCAACCTGGCTAACATGGTGAAACCCCATCTCTACTAAAAATACAAAAAAAATTAGCCAGGTGTGGTGGCGGGTGTCTGTAGTCCCAGCTACTCGGGAGGCTGAGACAGGAGAATGGCATGAACTCAGGAGGCAGAGCTTGCAGTGAGCTGGGTACCACAGCGAGACTCCATCTCAAAAAAAAAAAAAAAAAAAAAAGAAAATCACTTTAAGGCTGATATATATGGTGGCTCACACCTGTAATACCAACATTTTGGGAGCCTATGGCAGGAGGCTTGCTTGAGCCCAGGAGTCTGAGGTTGCAGTGAGCTGTGATCGTGCCACTGCAGTGCAGTCTGGGTGACACAGTGAGACTCCGTCTCAAAGAGAACAAAAGAAAGAGAGAAAGAGAGAGAGAAAGAAAGGAAGAAAGAAAAGAAAGAAAGCAAAAAGAAAAGAAAAGAAATAAAAAAAGAAAAAAGAAAGAAAAAAGAAAAGAAAGAAAGGAAAGAAAGAAAAAAGAAAAGAAAGAAAGTAAAAGGAAAGAGAGAAATGAAGAAAATCAGTTTAATATAGTACTTGGAACATATCAAATGCTTACAAAATTTAGTGCCCTTCATTGCACTGGAGAAGAGTTAGGTGGCATTTTGTAGCTCCGTATGCTCAGATACAGTTTGTTTTTGAGCTGGGAATATTTTAGACTTCATCTTTTCTTTCTTAGTCCTATAATTTTCCTTTATTCATAATGCAGTCATCCCTTTCCCACCCATGGAAACAGTGAAATGTGGGACCAGCCATGCTATATTATTAATTTTGCAAAGCTTGCTGACAGTGACCTCTCCAGCAGTAGCATTCACTCTTTTGCCTTAAAAAATTTCCCACAAAAGCTCTCCACTAGGCATAAGCATTACTCTTAGTCCTCCCACTGCTTCAGTGTGGCACAGTCATCAGTAATATGTAGATTTCCACTTTGGCTAGGGTCTATTTCTCTGCTTTGCTCAGAAGGTACCACTGACCTTTCTGATTAGCTGAGTTGCAGATGACTGAGCTTGCACATAAAAGGGACAGTCAGAAAATAAATCTTCCCTGTGTCTGTCTAGACAGACTCCAAGAGTCAGGAAAAATTCTGCTGAAAGTCCATAAATCTTCCATCTTTCTTCCTGAAAGCATGTACGAGAACAGTTCTCCTGTCACTACGTATGAGAGCATTCCTGAATGTGTGGGTAGGGTTTTTGATGTCAATTTTTTTTATATCAACTGGTAAAACTTTATTTTACAAGCAACAGGAATTGGATCAAATGATTATTATAATCCAGAGGAAATATTTTGGAACCACAGCAAATGCCATTATACATACTGCCAATACAGATTTAATAGACAATACTGAACTGTACAAGAGTTATTTATTTTTCCTTAATCTCGAAGCTATTTTTAGTAATACAAAAAAGCCATATTAACATTTTTTTCCCGTTAGAAAACATGATGTACAAAACTTTGGATGAAAAGATAAGTCAAATTTCGTTTAATCACTTGGAGGAAAATCCACCAACTCTCTCAATACCACCTTTCACTCGCGTCCGTGTGAAGAGACCACCAAACAGGCGTTGTGTGAGCAATAAAGCTGTTTATTTCACCTGGGTGCAGGCGGGCGGGCTGAGTCCAAAAAGAGAGTCAGCGAAGGGAGATAGGGGTGGGGCCGTTTTATAGGATTTGGGTAGGTAAAGGAAAAAGGGGGGTTGTTCTCTGGTGGGCAGGAGTGGGGGTCACAAGGTGCTCAGTGGGGGAGCTTTTTGAGCCAGGATGAGCCAGGAGAAGGAATTTCACAAGACAATGTCATCAGTTAAGGCAGGAACAGGCCATTTTCACTTCTTTTGTGGTGGAATGTCATCAGTTAAGGCAGGAACCGGCCATCTGGATGTGTATGTGCAGGTCACAGGGGATATGATGGCTTAGCTTGGGCTCAGAGGCCTGACGTTCCTGTCTTCTTATATTAATAAGAAGAATAAAACAAAATAGTGTCGAAGTGTTGGGGCGGCGAAACATTTTTGGCAGGGGGTGGTATGGAGAGAGAGAATGGGTGATGTTTCTCAGGATTAGGGGAGGCGTGGGAACCTGGAGTGGGAGAGATTAAGCTGAAGGAAGATTTTGTGGTAAGGGGTGATATTGTGGGGTTATTGGAAGAAACATTTGTCATGTAGAATTATTGGTGATGGCCTGGATACGGTTTTATATGAATTGAAAAACTAAATGGAATAAGAGAAGGAGAAAACCAGGTATTAAAGTTCTAAGAATGGGGAGGACCTAGGACATGTAATTAGAGAGTGCTTAAGGAGATTTAGCATAGTTCTGCCAGCAAAGATTATTTATTTAAGAGTTAAGAGTGGCAGTTTGGGGATAGCACCAGGAGATATCAGCTGTGATAGCTTGGAGAAACAGTGTAAACTGGCAGTGTAAACAAGAGCAGGGCACGTATGAGTAGTTGAGAACAGTGAACAGGAGTATGACTAGACAGAAGATAGTAGGGATGACAAGTTTTTTTGGGGCACAGTCTTAAGTTGGTCTGGTGTCTGGAATAAGACTGGGGCCTAATAAAAAGGAGCGTCCATACAGGAGCTTAAATGTGCTGTACCTTGTAGGATTCCGAGGACAGGCCTGAATTCTGAGAAGGGAAAGTGGTAAAAGTACTGTCCAGTTCTTTTTAAGTTGGTGGCTGAGCTTGGTGAGGTGTGTTTTTAAAAGACTATTAGTCTGTTCTACCTTTTCTGAAGACTGAGGACCGTAAGGGGTATAAAGGTTTCACTGAATACCAAGAGCCTGAAAAGCCGGTCTGCTATTGGACTGTATAGAGGTGGGAAGGCCAAAGCGAGGAATTATGTGTGACAGAGGGGAAGAAATGACTGCGGTGACCTTTTCAGACCCTGTGGGAAAGGCCTCTACCTATCCAGTGAAAGTGTCTACCTAGACTAAGAGGTATTTTAGTTTCCTGACTCAGGGCATGTTGAGTAAAGCTACTTTCCCAGTCCTGGGTGGGGGCAAATCCTTGAGCTTGATGTGTAGGGAAGGGAGGGGGCCTGAATAATCCCTGAGGGGTAGTAGAATAGCAGATGGAACACTGAGAAGTTATTTCCTTGAGGATAGATTTCTACGATGGAAAGGAAATGAGAGGTTCTAAGAGGCGGGCTAGTGGCTTATACTATAGCATAGCCTGCCTTTGCTGGTGTGGTGATTAGGCCTGGTGGAACTGCCATCAATAAACTAAGTGTGATCAGGGTGAGGAATAGGAAAGAAGGAAATATGGGGAAATGGGGTGGAATGTCAGGTGCATCAGAGAGATACAGTCATAGGGGTCAGGTGTGGTATCAGGAATAATGTGGGAGGCCGGATTGAAGTCCGGACCAGGAACAATGGTAATTGTGGGAGACTCAACAAAGAGTGAGTACAGCTGAAGGAGCTGGGGAGCAGAAAGTATATGCGTCAGGTGTGAGGAAGAAAATAGCTGGGGAGCAGAAAGTATATGCGTCAGGTGTGAGGAAGTTATGAGAACTGTTGAGAGTGAGTTGAGCATAGTTTGTGATTTTAAGGGCCTCTAAAAGTATTAGGGCAGTGGTGGCCACTGCACGCAGACTTGAGGGCTAGGCAAAACAGTAAGGTCAAGTTGTTTGGATAAAAAGGCTACAGGGTGTAGTCCTGGTTCTTGTGTAAGAATTCTAACTGCACAGGCCTGCACTTTGGCTGTGGGTAATGAAAAGGGTTGGGATTTGTCAGGGAGAGCTAGGGTGGGGGCAGTCTCTAAAGCTGTCTTCAAGGAACGGAAAGAGGAATGGGGAAAGGATTTAGGATCTATGGGGTCAGCTAGGTTTCTTTTTGTGAGTTTATATAATGGTTTTGTTAGGATAGCAAAACCAGGTATCTAAAGTCGAAAGTGTCTAACCATGCCCAGGAAGGAAAGGAGTTGTCGTTTTATAGCTGTTGGGGTTTGAGATATCAGCTGAACAGGATCAGCAGGGAGAGCACGTGTGTTTTTATGAGAATTACGCTGAGATAGGTAACAGCTGAGGAAGAAATTTGGGCTTGACTGAAGTAATGGGGGCTGTCTGTGAAGCTTGCAGCAGTACAGCCCAGGTAATTTGCTGAGCCTGATGGGTGTCAGGGTCAGTCCAAGTGAAAGCGAAGAGAGGCTGGGATGAAGGGTGCAAAGGAATAGTAAAGAAAGCATGTTTGAGATCTAGAACAGAATAATGGGTTGTGGAGGGAGGTATTGAGGATAGGAGAGTATATGGGTTTGGCACCATAGGGTGGATAGGCAAAATAATTTGGTTGATAAGGTGCAGATCCTGAACTAACCTGTAAGGCTTGTCTGGTTCTAGGACAGGTAAAATGGAGGAATTGTAAGGAGAGTTTATAGGCTTTAAAAGGCCATGCTGTAACAGGTGAGTGATAACAGGCTTTAATCCTTTTAAAGCGTGCTGTGGGATGGGATATTGGTACTGAGCGGGGTAAGGGTGATTAGGTTTTAATGAGATGGTAAGGGGTGGATTATAGGTCGCTAAGGAGGGAGTAGAGGTATCTTATACTTGTGGGTTAAGGTGGGGAGATATAAGGGGAGGATGTGAAGGAGGCTTTGAACTGGGGGAAAAGGTGGCAATGAGGTGTGTCTGTAGCCCAGGAATAGTCAGGGAAGCAGATAATTTAGTTAAAATATCTCGGCCTAATAAGGGAACTGGGCAGGTGGGGATAACTAAAAGGATTGCTTAAAAGAGTATTGTCTAAGTTGGCACCAGAGCTGGGGAGTTTTAAGAGGTTTAGAAACCTGGCTGTCAATACAACAGTTATGGAGGCAAGGGAAACAGGCCTTTGAAAAGAAGGTAATGTGGAGTGGGTAGCCTCCGTATTGATTAAGAAGGGGATGGACTTACCTTCCACTGTGAGAGTTACCTAGAGCGTCTGTGATGGTCTTGTAGGCTTCTGAGGCAATCCGGCAGTATCAGTCTTCAGCTGCTAAGCTGAGAAGATCTGGGAAGGAGTCAGAGAGCCTTGGGCCAGAGTTCCAGGGGCTCTGGAAGTGGCTGCCAGGTGAGTTGAACAGTCCGATTTTCAGTGGGGTCCTGCACAGATGGGACACAGCTTAGGAGGAATCTTGGGCTGTGGGCATTCCTTGGCCCAGTGGCCAGATTTCCAGAGCTTGTAGCAAGCTCCTGGGGGAGGCAGGCCTGGAGGAATGCCTGGCCACTGAGGTTTAGGCGTTTAGAAGTTCTTGTGTGCTGGAGATGTGGCTGGGGTTTGTCTCATAGTGGAGGCAAGGAATTGCAACTCAGAAATATGTTGCTACTTGGCTGCCTCTACTCTATTATTGTACACCTTGAAGGCGAGGTTAATTAAGTCCTGTTGTGGAGTTTGAGGGCCGGAATTTAATTTTTGGAGTTTTATTTAATGTCGGGAGGAGATTGGGTAATAAAATGTATATTGAGAATAAGACGGCCTTTTGACCTTTCAGGGTCTAGGGCTGTAAAGCATCTCAGGGTTGCTGCCAAACGAGCCATGAACTGGGCTGGGTTTTTATATTTGATGAAAAAGAGCCTAAACGCTATCTGATTTGGGATAAAGAAAAAGGAGCATTAACCTTGACTATGCCTTTAGCTCTAGCCACCTTTTTAAGAGGAAATTGCTGGGCAGGTGGGGGAAGGCTAGTCACAGAATGAAACTGGAAGCCAGACCAGGTGTGAGGAGGGGAGGTGATAAAAGGATTATAGGGTGGAGGAGCAGAGGCTGAGGAAGAATTGGGACTTAGCCTGGCGAGGAGGGGAGAAGTCAGATGAGTCTGTAGAAAAGGACTATTAGAAAGACTCAGTGACACCTGGGGTTGGGACTGAGGGGACAGGCAGGAGGGAAAGAAGGAAGATTTGGGACTAGTTGCATTGGGAACAGAGACTAAGGAGGGATTGATGTGTAAAAGAATGGCTGGACGTCAGGCACCTCAGACCGTTTGCCTATTTTATGACAAGAATTATTTAGATCTTGTAGGATGGAAAAATTGAAAGTGCCATTTTCTGGCTATTTGGAACTACCGTCGAATTTGTATTGGGGTCAAGCAGCATTGCAGAAGAAAATAAGACGCTTAGATTTTAGGTCAGGCGAGAGTTGAAGAGGTTTTAAGTTCTTAAGAACACAGACTAAGGGAGAAGAAGGAGGAATGGAGGGTGGAATGTTGCCTATAGTGAAGGAGGCAAGTTTAAAGAGAAGGGTAGAGACGTGGAGTAGGGGATGGGGAGCAGCCAAAGCAGGCATCCCCGCAATTGACTTGCCACCAAGGGAACGTGGGTGAATGACCAAGGCAGGTGTCCCTGCGGAGATCAGACACCAATGGAATGTGGGTGAATAATCAGAGAGGCATCCTTGCAATGATTAAACACCAAGGGAAGGCTGCCTTCCCGAGTCCATGACCGGCACCGGAGTTTTGGGTCCGTGGATAAAATGTGTCTCCTTTGTCTCTACCAGAAAGTGAAAGGAATTGAAATTAAGAGAAGGGAGAGATTGAAGTGTGGTGCCAAGATTGAAAGGAGAAAGAGGTTGAGAGATAGTGAGGGAGGTTGGAGAAGAGAGTAAAAAGAGGCTGCTTACCGGATTTGAAATTGGTGAGATGTTCCTTGGGCTGGTGGGTCTGAGGACCCGAGGTCATAGGTGGATCTTTTTCACGGAGCAAAGAGCAGGAGGACAGGGGATTGATCTCCCAAGGGAGGTCCCCCACTCCGAGTCACGGCACCAACACCAAATTTCACTCGTGTCCATGTGAAGAGACCACCAAACAGGCTTTGTGTGAGCAATAAAGCTGTTTATTTCACCTGGGTGCAGGCGGGCTGAGTCCGAAAAGAGAGTCAGCGAAGGGAGATAGGAGTGGGGCCGTTTTATAGGAGTTGGGTAGGTAAAGGAAAAAGGGGGGTTGTTCTCTGGTGGGCAGGAGTGGGGGGGTCACAAGGTGCTCAGCAGGGGAGCTTTTGAGCCAGGATGAGCCAGGAGAAGGAATTTCACAAGACAATGTCATCAGTTAAGGCAGGAACAAGCCATTTTCATTTCTTTTGTGGTGGAATGTCATCAGTTAAGGCAGGAACCAGCTATCTGGATGTGTATGTGCAAGTCACAGGGGATATGATGGCTTAGCTTAGGCTCAGAGGCCTGACACCACCCAAAGTGTTTTATGCAGTGAATAAAATCAAAATAATGCATCTTAATAAATTCCAGCTGTTAAAAGAACAAACTTAGCAATATATAACAGTTTGCTACGCAGGATTTTTGACTATTCACTTTGGGAGTTATTTTTTAAAATCCACTTTTTTTTACTGAGTCTTACTACATATCAGGCACTGGACTTGGCCATCTAGGTAACTAAGAAAAAGTTGGTTAAGATAGGAAAGACCCATAAATCAATCCTTTGATTACCAAATGCAATTTTTAACTTTCAAACATCCCCAAGATCAAGAAACCCTAACTAAAAATACATACCCTTCTAAGTGTTATTTGATTTTATTAGTAGCAAGGGTGTTTGGTAAGGTCGTGAACCTCTATTTTTGATCCATTATTCCAATTAAAAGCATGCGTCAAAAGCTAATTTGTTATTTTTCTAATGTGTTTAAGATTTGGCATTCAGTTTTTACACATGTGGTTCAGTGATTTATCATGAACCCTAAACTGCACACTGCTCAAAAACAGCAACACAGATGTGCGTTACATGAAATAATGGTTTTTGATACATATCTTCAAATTCAATTCAGTTTAGGGTCCAGTGAAGAAAAAGATATCCAGTTATCGGGTGGTAAAGAGCAGAGGAGGTAAACTAGTTAAGATTATTAATATGCAGTGAAGTGTTATTGTCTATCTTATCCTTTGAGTAACAAGATGCTAACACGCTTTCAAGAAAAAACTGCTTAAAACTATGCTAAAGGCCCATGCATTGACATCATCCATTCAACACCGTTACTTTGTTACATAAAACGGTTTTCTTAAGGTGTAACATATTAGGCAATAATTTGGAAATTAGCCAAGCACTAAGCAATTATAATAGCAGGTAATACACCATCAATTTTTGAAACACATTTGGCCACATTTCACAATCCATCTGCAGTATGGATTCTATAGACTCTCACTCAGTTTAAAATTTGTTTCTGGACCTGAATGACAGGAGAATGGCTTTATGAAATTTTCTCATAAGACATTTAAGTAGTCTTAGGTTCACAACCCTTTTGTTGTAAATGATTTAATCTGACATGCCATATAACTACAATACAAATAATTATGTTCAATTCTTAAATGAAAACTAAATGCCAATAAATGGTAACAGATTTGACATGGAATGTTCTAAGATCTTCCTCTACATAATCTGCCATGGCAGATTATGAATTTCAGAGCTTGAAAACTTCAGATTAAGAACCACAAGAAAATTTACTCTTGATGGCATACAAGATCTTCCTAAAAATTAACCTAAGACCTAGAAGTCTCAGTATTATTAGAACATAAAGAAACGCAACAAATCTGTATATTTTATTCACATATATTTTTGTTTTTAGTGTGCTCACAGAAAATTAGAACACCTTAAGTAGGAGTTTAATAGCAATTTTTGTAAGCAAAGTTACATTCCATCTCTAAGTCAAATTGGTCGACGCTTCTCCAGCATTTACAAAACATGATAGACAAGATGCTACACAAAACCATTGCATCTGAAGATTTTTTTTTTCCTTTATTCTCAAAGATGACTGGAAAAGAAAGCATTATCTGCTGTAATCAAAAACATACCACAGTATAAACAGTAACCATTCCGCTTATCACAGCTTGGTTGAGTTTAAAATTTGTGTTTAAAAGGTCCAAGATGACTGCAGTTTTACAAAAATGGGCAGGGTGGAAAGTCGCAAACTTCATGTGCTTCTGGATATCAAGATTTGTTTTTATACAATAGTCACAGTTAAAAACACCCTGCTGGTAATACATAATTACACTTTATTAAGGTCATAAACCAGCAATAAACAATACAGCCTATATAACTTGTAGTTCTACTTAATCACTGACTGGTACACCTAACATGAGATAAGTGAAAAGTTCCTATGGTTTAAATGAACTCCTAAGACTATGATCATTTTTTTTTTTTTAAATATGGGTATTGGTGTTTTTTCTTTTTTCCTCTTTCCTTCTTAGTCAAGACTTGTAGTGTTGTAAACCTGCCTCACAAAATACATGGTAATAACTTTTCTTAAAAAAAAAGACAGCCTTTACACCATTTCTAGTGGCACATTATTTTGGCAATGTTATGTACCACTTCCATTTCCCCATTGTGACCCCTATCACTTCATTTGATATCCCTTTTTGACCCACCCATCTCTTTCATATATGGGCATATCCATAGATTGACAAAGGAAGTTTACATTTTTGGATAAAGATGGAGAGTATGCAAAAACATTAATACTGATGCAAAAAAATAAAAAAATAGAAACAAGGCAGAGGAAGAAGGTGTTTAAGCTCTCCTCGACCTGTTGGAATGGTGGTTAACAGAATGATTTGAGATGGGATCTGTGGGGAGGGGAGAAAAAAAACAAAATTTTGTGCTTAAAAAAAGTAAAAGATTGATGTCAAATATTTGTACTAAGATTGCGGGTGGCAAGAGTTAGCATCCTGCAGTTAGAAGCAAAATTAGAGATTTGGACTGGTCAAGGACAGCATTGATATGTGTGGGGTATGTAAATCACCCAAGCTCTGCAAAAGTACTGAGAATAACTTGTATTTTCCAGACTGAAAACCTACCATGATGGGGAGGGATTGAAGTGGGCCCTGGAACAACTCCGGAATACATTACAAGCTTAAGGGGAGAGCAAGGAATTTAGACCATAGAGCTCATCATTCATCATTTTATTCCACATAAAATGGGTGTTTCAGCATGTCCAAAAGCATAGATAAGGAAATTGAGCTTCCCAAGAAGTTAAGCCAGTTGTTTGCAGTTAGAGAAAGCATGTTTTTATGAAGCTGTCCTACCCAGGAGCGGGGAACAGGTCCCTGGGCTCTATGACCATGGAAATCTCTAGATGAGTAAAAGAAAGCTTGGCAAAAATTGGGCAGGATCCTCAAACAAAGATTGAGAAAGGCTTTTCTCATCTGTGAATCAGAGTTCTGGACTTTCCTGAGGATGAGAACAGCTGCATGGCTGAAATGCAGCAGCCCAGAGCAAAGAGGGTGCTCCCTGGGGGGTCACAGCTGGTGAAGACTGAAAATCCAGATCCTAAAATTCAACCAGACCTATCATACCAGCAGGCCACCACGAAATGACTGCAGGTTTCACTGGAGAGACGAGGTACTTGGCCTGCGAATTGCTTTCTATGTCCTAGACAAGTAATTGCGAGTAAGCCTTGAGATAGCAATTTGATAGTCTTTGATAGCAATATGACATTGCTACATCCAAGTGTGGGAGTCAGTACACTTATATTGCGCATATCTTGGACATTTTAGGTTTCATTTTCATTTCTTTTTACCGTCAAACTGGGGGAAAGATTGGCCCTTCATCCCAGATTGTATTTATGCTCATTTTTGTTTTCACCCCTGCCCATGCCCACCCAACCACACTCCTGTCCATCCTCTCCCTCGCTACTCATATACCCCTGGGAAAAGCTCACTGCATTTAGATCCCAGGTTCTTCTCCCCCAAGGCACATCGCTTAACATTAATGCTGGGTGCTCACTTGATGGCAATAACATTTCTTTTGAAATTTTCAAGAATATGACTCTTCAAGAAGCAACAACTAGAAATAATTAAAAGTTCACATGACTGTCAGAGAAAATATAGCAGAGGCAGTAGCAGTCCTCGCTGAGAAACCCAGGGAGCAACTGGTTGGGCTGAGAAGGTTCGTGAGGAATCTTTCATGGAGAAAATTATTTTGCCAACAGTTCCTTGATTATTATTTAATCATACAGTTGGCTCTCTTGTGTTCCTTTAAGATCTGTGAGATAGGTACAAACAAGATTTTATATTCAATAGCTTATACCTGTAAGCAGTACAGGCTTTTAAAAGATTGGACTTTTAAGGCAAAGGTAATTGGTGTGAAGTATTAGCCACTTAATGGAAAATGATAAAATGGTACATGTTTCAATCAGAATTATGAGCTGTGCTCGACGTGGCTGTTTGTAGCTGAAGTTCACTGATTTCTGTACAATGATGAATTTCTTTGTGGCAGCTAAACTGCTCAGCCTAGAGTTACACAATCTTCAACGATGACGTTTCCACCCTTTGCTTGGGTCATTGAATGTCTCAGGAAGAGGCATGAAGAAGAATGAGGAGCTCGACCCACCTGGAGATGGGTAGACATGTTTGCTGAGCTATCAGTGAATTGACGCATCCAAGGATGCTTTTCTCCCTACAGGAATAATCTCCCGTCATGTCTCAAACTTCTCTCCATCTCACTAGTGAGGATGAATGCTGTCTTCCTCTAGGGTAGTGGAGGACAATCAGGTCACTGCCAGAAGACAGCTTTTCACACTCTCGCTTTCCTCGAGAGAATGTTAAACTAATTGGAGTGAGGCATGAAAGGATGAAATTTGGCCAAATTGGCAGGTGTGAACGTCCTTTCTTCACACCAAGTAGAGTCAACTGGGGAAAATGATGGTGCTGTCCTGATGTGAGACTGTTTCTCATAGCACGGTGCTGGCCACTGCATGACACTCTCTACCAGCAGAGAAGTGGAGTGCTACTGTGAAAAGAACTGACGGATATGATTTGGTTCTGGGAAGTGAGTTTTGTAACACCATGCTGGAAACTAACTCATTAGCTGTGATCTTGCAAAAATTCTGGCATTCTGAGATAAAGCAATTTGATCACCAGTATGTCATATAAAGAGGTTTTGGAGTAGCTTTAAAAGACACAGTAGATCAATATGAAAATGAAATGTATCCATCTAATAAGAATATTCCTCTTGGAGGAGCCAGTAAAAGTGTGTGTTCTTGTGCCTGCCTTTGTGTGTGCAGACACGTGTGCATATGTGTGTATGTGCAGCATACATGTGTGTGGTATAAAGAAAGAAAAAAATCTTGTTGCGTAGGAAGAGTTGTGTAGAGCCTACTAAAAATTATATAGCCAAGGCATGTCTCTTAATTTTGGAACTACTAGGTGTTAAAAAGCAAAGGAAATGAACATCAGAGCAAGTGAAATATGAGAGCCAGAAAATATCAATGTGAGTTTTGATATCAATAGACCAATGAATTGCCAATGATGCAGAAGAGCTTTATGAGCCTTGGCAGGCAATTAGGTAAGAGTAGTTTCTTCTGGAGTGGCAATTTGAAGTGGTTATTAACTATATACTGAAATTTGACGGGCTAAAGAACCCAGTTAAAAAGAAAACCATCCATATCGAATTGTTCCCTCTACTTTGTTTAAAAAACAAAAAACTTCATGATGAGCTGAAGTAAGAGATTTTTATACCAAACAAAGATGACTAAACTGAAAGTATGAAACCTTCTATTTTTAGTGAATCCTGACATTCTCTACTGCTAGCATTCCCAGCTTCCAGATAATATGTTCTCCAGTTGGCTGGTTATTGTGCTGTAAATCACATTTCACTATATCAGCAAACGATGGCATGAACTTGAAGAGCAAAACAAAATCAGCTTGGAAAAACTGACATAAAACCTCTAAAGTCTAAAGGTAGTCCCTTCCCTTAGAAAATGACTGGATTGATTACAATTGCATTGTATTATCAAATATGTGGTTTTATTTTAATTTTGTTTACTTTTTATTTGTTTACTTTTTGAGAGATAGGATCTCACTATGTTGCCCAGGTTGGTCTCAAACTCCTGGCCTCAAGTGATTCACCTGCCCTTATCTCCCAAAGTGCTGAGGTTACAGGTGTGAGCCATGGCACTATTTTTAAAGATTAAAATATATTTAAACAATTAAATTCCAAGTGAAGAAAAACATAGATAAAGTGGAAGGTGATTAAAAAAGCAAGTGTTTGCTGCACTCTGTTTGCTGTTCTTTTCTCTGTTAGTTGCTGAATCACACTTATGATAAATTACATTTACAATTCATTTGAAAATAAAGCTAAATATCAAGTTTTGGGATATTAGAAAGTAGAGGCTACAGAGAAGTATTCTTATCTAAATCAATAGGAAAAGTAGAATTTTTCCCATTGCTATGTGATAACATAGCTTATCACTAGCCAATTTCTCACTATCTGCATAAGATTTTGCCAATGGACAGAAATCTGCTTCCTTACTTTCTGTGTCAATCAAAAATAGTATCCTGAGATATTATTTTGTGTTTCACAGACTAGAAATTTTTAGCAACCTGAGGACATGTGACTTGAAAACATGAGCAGTGCCAAGAATTATATTCTCTTCCAGTTTTCATAGCTAAAGGGAGTTAGAGTTGAACAATTCCCAGAACAGCACAGAAAGCTAGAAAATATTAAATTTACAGGCTAAGGCTTTGCCATTGAAAGCTGACTATGGAGATTTTTAGGGTAGGCAGGAAGAACAACACAATCTAGAAGTTTGGGATCTTGCTATATTTCCCCTTCACTAAGACTTTTCTAAGTAAATAGTTAATTAATATCCCAGGATCTCAATTTCCATATCTGTAAAGTGAAAGATTTGAATGGATAAACTATAAGGTCTCTTTCAAATAAAAAATTTTATCCTTGTATGGCACTCTCCATAATTACACACATGTATAATCTAACCCTATGGAACTACACATTAATTTCCCAAGTGTGATATTTATGATCTCTTCTGATGGTTGCATGCCATTTGTTAACGTGACTTTGACCTTTCCTGGTCTGTGTGGCAGCTGAGCTACTACTGCTATATCCTGAACCAGGGCTTTGGCTAAGCAGGGATGTCCAAGTGCATTCCTTATGACCCAGAGAGGCTCATAATTCCATACAGGAACATTCATGGGACCTTGAAGAATTTATGTTTGTGTTGGTAAATTTCTCTTCATGGCCTCCTTGAGAGCAATGAAAGAAGTGTATTTTCTGACAGCTCCAACTTCTTACTGCCTGTGTTTGCTCAGCATTATTTCAGTCATAGGTGTCCGGAACCCCAGAAAGTGCAAAGACATCCTCACAGCTCCATGAATATATGACCAATACTCTTCAGAGGGGACTGAAGATGGATTAGCACTTTGTAGGTAGAGGTTCAAATCCCAATTGCAACAGCAGGCTGTGTAACCTTGGGAAATTTGACCTCTCTCCTTTGTAAGTGGGCACAATGGATAACATGAGACCATATTTGTAAATCACCTGATGCGGTATGGCAGGCTCAAGGAGTGTTGTCTTTGCACTGCCCTTCCATGCTGTGTTTATCCTGTTATGAATAAAATGAATTCAACCTGTTAGACTGTCAGCGCCTTCATAACTGGCCTTCCCTTTCGGCTTGAGGCATGCCATCTGCCGTATTTTGCACCAACTTCAAGAACATAATGTACTTACAAAATACTTGTCAGTGTGGACTCTGAATGAATTTTTATAGCATTAAAAACAAAAACAGACAATCAGAGCAAGGAACAAGAACAAGCCATTTACAACAGAATAAACACAAATGGCTAATCAATATATGAAAAATTGGTCCAACTTTATCCTCAGAGATCCACAATTTAAAAAAATAACAGCTTCGAGATAATTTACATACCATATGATTCGCCTATTTAAAGTGTATATACTTCAATGGTTTTTAGTATGTTCACAGAGTTGTGCAACCATCATCATTAATTTTAAAACATATTTATTACCCCCATAAAAACTCATACTCATTAGTGGTCATTCCCTTTTTTTTTTTTTTTTTTTTTGAGGCAGAGTCTCGCTCTGTCGTCCAGGCTGGAGTGGCACCATCTACGCTCACTGCAAGCTCCGCCTCCCGGGTTCACGCCCTTCTCCTGCCTCAGCCTCCCGAGTAGCTGGGACTACAGGCGCCCGCCACCACGCCCGGCTAATTTTGTTTTTTTTTTTATTTTTAGTAGAGACGGGGTTTCACCGTGTTAGCCAGGTTGGTCTTGATCTCCTGACCTCGTGATCCACCCGCCTTGGCCTCCCAAAGTGCTGGGATTACAGGCCTGAGCCACCGCGCCCGGCTGTGGTCATTCCCTTTTTATCCCTTAATCCTTTCCTTCCCCTTAGGTAACCACTATCTACTTTCTGTCTATAGATTTTCCTGTTCTGGACATTTCATGTACACAGAATCCTACAATATGTTGTCTTTTGTGATTAGCTAGTTTTGCTTAGCAAATTGTTTCCAAAGTTTATCCATATTCTAGCACATTCACTTTATGCCTTTTTAAAAAATTTGGAATTTGTTTTTTTATTTTTTAAATTCATATAAGATATATCTAACATAAAATTTGCTACTTTAACCACTTTAAAATATGCAGTTCAGTGGCATTAATTATGCTCATAATGTCATGCAACCTTCGCGGCTATTTCCAAAACGTTTTCATCACCCCAAACAGAAACTACAACCATTAAGCAATAACTTTCCATTCCTCCTTCTTCCCAGGGGTTGATAACCTCTAATGTCCTTTCTCTCTCTATGTATTTGCCTGTCTTAGATATTTCATATAAGTGGAATCATACAATATTTATCCTTTTGTATCTGTTTTATTTCACTTAGCGTAATGTTCAAGTTTCGACCATGTTGTAGCATGTATCAGAACTTCATTTCTTATGAATAAATATACCATATTTTGTTTATTCATCTGTTGATGAACACTTGGGTTGTTCCTACCTTTTGGCTACTGTAAATAATGCTGCAATGAACATGGGAGTGCAGATATACCTTCACCATATTGATTTCAATTTCCTCTGGATATATACCCAGAAGTGGGATTGATGGATCATATTGTAGTTCTATTTTTAGTTTTTTGAAGAACCTTCATATTATTTTTTATAGTGGCTGTACTAATTTATATTACCACCAACAGTGTATAAGGGTTCCCTTCACTTTGTATCCTTGCCAACACTCATCTTTCATCTTTTTGATAGAAGCCATTCTAACAGATGCAAGGTGATATTTCATTGTGATTTTAACTAGCATTTCCTTAATGATCAGTGATGCTTAGCATTTTTTCATGTATCTATTGGTCATTTGTATGTCTTTTTTTTTTTTTTTTAGAAGTGTCTGTTCAAGTCCTTTGTCCATTTTTAAATCAGGTTGTTTTCCTTTCATTGAGGTGTTTGAGTTCCCTATATATTTTAGGTATTAACTCCTTATCAGAGATATGGCTTGCAAATATTTTCTCCCATTCTGCAAGATCTACGGCTTCAATGCAATCCCATTAAAATTCTTTCATTTTCTGCAGAAATAGAAAAAACAATCTTTAAATTTGTATGGAACCACAGAAGACTCCAAATAGCCAAAGCAATCTTGAGCAAAAAGAGCAAAGCTGGAGGCATCACACTTCCTGATTTCAAAATATTTTAAAGTGATTTTAATCAATAGATAGTACTGGCATAAAAACAGACACCAGTGAAATAGGATAGAAAACCCAGAAGTAAACCCACATACTCACAATTGATTTTCAACAACAGTGTCAAAACATAACATTGGGAAAGGGCAGTTTCTTCAATAAATATTATTGGGAAAACTGGTTAACCACAGGCAGAAGAATGAAATTGGATCTGTATTTCACACTGTTTACAAAAATTGACTCAGAATAATTAAAGAGTTAAATATAAAATCTGTCTTTTTGATTAAAGCCATCCTAGTGAGTGTTAAGTAGTATCTCATTGTGGTCTGATTTGCATTTCCCTGATGGCTAATGATGTTGAATATCTTTTCATGTGTTTATTGGCCATTTGTATATTCTTAAACTGTTAGTGGAAGTGCAAATTAACTTTAAAAAGCCACTCACTTTGGAGGACAGTTTGGCAATTTCATTCATTTTGAGCCAACAAACCCATTTGTGGGAATTTACCTTAAGAAGATAATTACAGAACTATGAAATGATGTGTGCTCAAGTTATTGCAGCCTTCTTTTACAATAAAGAATCGGAAACATACTCTGTAGAAGTTTTAAAAAATAGTAATTTTCTGATATACACAAAATGATGTACTATGCAGCCATTAAAATGATGGTATGGAAATAAGTACTTCACACGTAAAATACCTATAATATACAAGTCAAGGATTCCTTATCCAAAATGCATGGGATCAGAAGTGTTTTGGATTTGGAATTTTTTAAGATTTTGGAATATTTGCATATACATAATGAGACTTCTTAGGGATGGTACCCAAGTTCAAGCATGACATTTATTTATGTATCATATATACCTTATATCCATAGCCTGAAGTTAATCTTATACAACTTTTTCTTTCTTTTTTTTTTTTGAAACGGAGTCTCGCTCTGTCACCCAGGCTGGAGTTCAGTGCTGCATTAAGCTCACTGCAACCTCCGCTTCCCAGGTTCAAAACTCTCCTGCCTCAGATTCCTGAGTAGCTGGGATTACAGGTGCACGCCACCAGGCCCAGCTAATTTTTGTATTTTTAGTAGACATGGAGTTTCACCATGTTGGCCATGCTGGTCTTGAACTCCTGACCTCAAGTGATCCACCCACCTTGGCCTCCCAAAGTGCTGGGATTACAGGCGTGAGCCATGGCGCCTGGCCTATACAATATTTTAAATAACTTTGTGAATGAAACAAAGTTTATGCACATTTAGCCATCAAAAAGCAAAGGTGTCACTATCTCAGCCACCCACGTGGACAACCTGTGGTTGTTTGGCATCACCATCATGCCTGACTGAATTTATATGCCACCAATGAACAATTATTTTCTTACTCTTATTTATACATGAGTCTCTAATAGTAAAGACAATGACATACCATCAATACAGTGAAAAAATACTGTGTTCAGCATAGCTAAGCAGAACAGTAGCATCACCAGAATATCTGTATCAGCTGTTAAACAATAGCAGCAATGAACAACGACAGGCTTTCAGTCCCCACTTGTGACCTGTTACGTCAGGTCAGATGTGGAATTGCCCGCTTGTGACATCATGTAGTTGCTCAAAACGTTTTGAATTTTGGAGCATTTTGGATTTCAGATTTTCAGTTTAAGGATGCTCAGCCTGTTCTGTTGAATAAATAGTGTGTCACAGAGTAGCATGCCATTTTACCTTTTGTCTTTTACCACTTTCGTGAAAACGTTCGCCTTCTTCTCTTTGTATTTGTGTACATAAGGAGATGTACAGCGGATGACTGGTAAAAGTGAACAGTGTTTACCTCTAGGTGCTGGAATTTGGGATAGCATTTTGTTTTTCCTTTGAGATTTTCTCTGCTGTTAGAACTAAAGTAATTCAGCCTATATCAAAACAACAATAATAAAGTTACTTTCAAAGGAAGAATAATTTTGCTCTGAACTGTGCCTACCACTATCTCCCCTTACTATTGAGGACCACACCATTTTGACCCTGAATTTCTACTTTCAAACCACAAGAGAATCCCAATAAACTATAGTAACATGGAGAACTGGTGTAAGAAAAACACAGGAGCTTGTTTTCATTGAATTTCCTTGCAATAATTACACGAGTTTAATTAAAACAAATAAATTAGAATTGATACACTGGAATCAATATGCAAAAAACAAAATGTGCTTGTTTTACGGGTCCTAATAGGATTCCAAGCAGGAACCATTTTCTAGCATTTATTTCTAGCACATCTATCTTTGAATGGAAATTTGTGGGAGATGATGAGAGAAATCTAAACATTTCCCATTTTGGTGCTTATCATCAGCCCAGAAGGTTTAGTTCATCCAGTCTTGTTCAGAATTGTTCATGCTCTGTCATGCCTGTGCTCATTGATGTGGTTGGCTCCGTGTCCCCACCTAAATCTCATCTCCAGTTGCAATTCCCATGTGTCAGGGGATGGGGCCTCGTGGGAGGTGATTGAATCGTGGGGGTGGACTTCCCCCTTGCTGTTCTTGTGAGAGTGCGTGAGTTCTCATGAGATCTGGTTGTTTGAAAGTATGTGGCACTCCTCCCCTTGCTCTCTCTCTCTTGCTGTCAGAGGTGATTGAACCAGAACAACTCCATTTTGAGTAGGGGCTGGGTAAAGTAAGGCTGAGACCTACTGGGCTGCATTCTCAGACAGCTGGTTAAGCTTTCTAAGTCACAGGATGAGATGGGCGGTTGGCACAAGATACAAGTCATAAAGTCCTTGCTGATAAAACAGATTGCAGTAAAGAAGCTGGCCAAAACCCACCATAACAAAGAAGGCCACATGAGTGACCTCTGGTCATTCTCACTACTCATTATATGCTAATTATAATGCATTAGCAAGCCAAGAGACGTTCCCACCAGCACCATGAGAGTTTACAAATGCCATGGCAATGTCAGGAAGCTACCTTATATGGTCTAAAAAGGGGAGGAGTACTCAGTTCTAGGAATTGCCCATCCCTTTCCCAGAAAACTCATGAATAATTCACCCCTTGTTTAGCATATAATCAAGAAATAATCATAAAAATGGGCAACCAGCAGCCCTGGAGTAACCATTCTTTTATTACTTGACATTCTTAGTGAACTTGCTCTCACTTTACTCTATGGATTCACCTTGAATATTTTCTTGCCCAAATCCAAGAGCCCTCTCTTGGGGTCTGGATCTGGACCCCTTTCCAGTAACACTGCCACCACATGAAGAAGGTGCTTGCTTCCCCTTCGCCTTCCATCATGATTTTAAGTTTCCTGAGGCCTCCCAGTCATGCTTCCCATTAAACCTGCAGAACTATGAGTCAAACCTCTTTTCTTCATAAATTTTTATAGCAGTGTGAAAACAAACTAATATACCCAGGCTGTTCCACATCTGGCTAAAAAGACCCTCTGCACCTTGAATTGCTAGACAAATCCCATTGTTCTACCAAGACTGGCTTTGATTCACATCTATGCTCCCAATACTGTGTAAAAACTGCCTGGAGATCTGTTTCTTGCTTATCTATCTTCACATCTCCAGAGCTCTGTGCCTGGAATACTGTGAGCACTGTGCCTGGAATATTGGCAGCACTCAATAAATGTTTGTTGAGTAAATGCATGCATGTGTGCATGCAGGCAGTGGTCAGATTGTAAAAGGCTTTATAAGCCTTTTACATGCTAAAAGGGAATGCTAAAGAAAGGGAAATCAGGCCAGGTGCGGTGGCTCACACCTGTAATCCCAGCACTTTGGGAGGCCGAGGCAGGTGGATGGCCTGAGGTCAGGAATTCAAGACCAGCCTGGCCAACATAGTGAAACCCCATCTCTACTAAAAATACAAAAGATTAGCTGGGTGTGGTGGTAGGTACCTGTAATCCCAGCTACTAGGGAGGCTGAGGCAGGAGAATCTCTTGAACCTTGAAGGCGGAGGTTGCAGTGAGCCAAGATCGTGCCATTGCACTCCAGCTTGGGCAACAAGAGTGAAACTCCATCTCAGAAAACAAGAAGCGGAAATCAGAGTCAGTCACAGGAGTAGGGTCCTATGTTGCCTTAGAGGTAGTGTGGCTGCTTTCTTGATGTCCTCTCCTTACTCGTACCTGCCCAGTCTTGTAGCTTTCAGTATGATCCACAAATTCAACACACACATACCCCCACCACGCCCAACATACACACATATACATACATAAATACACAAACAACAGAAAAGAAAATGTCACCACATATTTCACATGACCTTAGTTCTTTGTTTAAATGAAAAAAAATCTCATAATTTTTTCTCACTGAAAAATGAATATATAGTCAATGTACACTAGACTATAGAAAAAAGTACAAAGAAGAAACATCACTTGATATCCCATTATCTACAGATGAATGGTTAGAGTTTTGCTGTCTTTTCTATATAGGCATATATATTTACATATATATGCATATATTTAAGTGGCTGATAAGACAAAAAATAAAACAATTAAAGGAGATGTTCTTTTTTCTTGGGAATATCAGTTGAACAGACTGTACATTTTGTCTTTTGTAAATTTAAGGCTAGCTAGAAACTCTTACACTTGGGAAAAAGAAGTATTCACAGATCTTTGTGTTTTTGTGTGGCTTTTACTCCCCTTTTACTAATAGAATTTTTTTTTTTTAAATCAAGAGTAAACATGAATGAAGGGTTATAGATTTTGGAAAGACATAACAGAAAGCAGCTGCCTCATGCACCCTCTCTCTTCACTTCTAATCCTGTTCACCAAAGCTAAGGACATTCAACCATTTGCACTTTTTTTCATATGTATCTCCTTATTTTTAAAGGACATGCCTATATTGCTATTCTGGATTTTTCATTTTTAGTAGTTATCTATTCTTACCATGGAAGATGAAGATTTCATTCTCTTACATGCCCCCTCCCCACTCTTCCAACCCATGTTCCTTCCTTATGCTCCAAATACTGTTCATCATCATTTTTGTTCAGAGTAGACTGTTGAAGACATTGTTTCAATAATCTTCTCATTTTATTTACAGTTAAGCTATGTGTCATTTAATTTTTCTTGTAGAACATTTTGTTTTTCCTGGAGTTTATAATTGTGTTATTTTTTAGTTTGTTTGTAAGTATGTTTATTTAGATACTGAGAAAAAAATTTACTCGAATTTTACCAGTGCCAATACCTGGTTTAGGGTAGAATATTTTTGAAAATGACCTACAATTCCTAGTAAATTGCTTGAGCAATTTTCTGGTAGAATTTAACAAGATGAAGAGCCCACTTTAGAGGTTGGATTTATCTGCCCAGCTAACTGTCGTCAGCCTTATGATGAGCTTCATAAACTTTAGCCAGACTTTATTATACCTAGTCTAACAAAGTCACCTAGCCAGCTTTCTTTCTCTTTAAATGTCTCTACCAGAGAAATCTTGACTGGCTTTATCAGAAGCCTTTGCTCTTGCAGCAAGTTTGACATAAAATATTGACACTAACCAGTAACCAATTCGCTTGGAAAGTTCCTTCAGCTATGTTCATCATTAATTCTTCCACTTAGTTTCCCCAAGAAGTGGAAATGGCCTCCCAATACCTTAAAACACATTGGGTAATCTCTACATTTCATTCTTTCCTTGAAGACATCCTTCTTGGAGCATGCTATTTTCTGGCTGCATTGTAGGTTGATGAGTCTCTAGACTTGCTGCACAGAGATCGTCATGGGGACTTCTTTTGCCATCTTCCTGGGAATTCCCTTTCCCCTCTCCTAGATTGGATGAAGAGTTGGTCTCATGGGGGTCTGTGACCGTTGCAATCGCACTTACCAGGGCTCTGCATTTGGCTTAGCACTCTGCTGTTGCCATTTTGAAATTCTTAATAGCTGGGCACGGTGGCTCACACCTGTAATCCCAGCACTTTGGGAGGCCAAGGCTGGCAGATCACTTGAGGCCAAGAGTTTGAAACCATCCTGGCCAACATGGTGAAACCCCATCTCTACTAACAAAACAAAAATTAGCCAGGTGTGGTGGCAACGCACCTGTAATCCCAGCTACTCCAGAGACTGAGGCACTAGAATCTCTTGAATCCAGGAGGCGGAGGTTGCGGTGAGCTGAGATCGTGCCACTGCACTCTAGGCCTGGGCGACAGAGCAAGACTTTGTCTCAAAAAAAAAAAAAAAAAAAAAGAAATTCTTAATAAGTTCTGAACAAGGGGCCCTGTGTTTTCATTTTGCACTGGGTCCCGCAAATTATATAGTTGCTCCTTATTGGACTCCCAGGTTTCTGTCTTTTGGTTTTTTTTTGGCAACTCTCTCTTTTTGGGGGAGCACCTACTCTAGCAGCTTCCTAAGTAATGCTGTATAAGAGATAAGAGTTTTTGAAATTTTGCATGTCTGAAAAAAAATCTTTATCTTACCCTCATATTCTTTTTTTTTTTTTTTTTTTTACTTTAAGTTCTGGGATACATGTGCTGAACGTGCAGGTTTGTTACATGGGTATACATGTGCCACGGTGGTTTGCTGCACCCATCAACTCATCATCCAGGCTTTAAGCCCCATATGCATTAAGTATTTGTCCTAATGCTCTCCCTCCCCTGTCCCTACCCCCTGACAGGCCCCTGTGTGTGATGTTCCCCTCCCTGTGCCCATGTGTTCTCATTGTTCAACTCCCACCTATGAGTGAGAACATGTAGTGTTTGGCTTTCTGTTCCTGTGTTAGTTTGCTGAGGATGATATCTTACCCTTATGTTCTAATAATAGTATGGTTCAGTATAGAATTCCCAGGTGGAAATTATTTTCCTTGAGGGTTTGTTTTTGTTTTTGTTTTTTTTTGAGACAAAGTCTCATACTGTTGCCCAGGCTGGAGTGCAGTGGAGTGATCTCGGCTCACTGCAACCTCCGCATCCCAGGTTTCCTTGAGGGTTTGAAGGCATTGCTTCATTGTCTTCTGATGTCCAGTGCTTCTGTTAAGAAAACAGATGCCCTTTGATTCCCGACCTGTGGATACGATCTGTATTTTCTCTCAGTTGCAGCTTTGCCATCTACTTTCTGGCAATCAAGCTTGATTGCTGTTGTCTTGTCTCATCTCCTTGTTTTTGCAGGTGATTATTTAAAAGTCACCATTTTAGCAGTATTTTGAGAGAGAGCAGATGTAAACACACATTTTCAATCCGAGCCACTTTTAAATGTCTGTGTTGCTTATAAAGTCAGCTCTTTCTCTTCGTATGTAGAATCAGGTGGTAATGGTGGGGATAATTTGCATAAGAAGCCTTAGTGCCTTCTGGAAGACACGAATCTTTCTTTTCAAAATTTGGTGGCACATGCTTGTAATCCCAGCTACTTGGGAGGCTGAGGCAGGAGCATTGCTTGAACCCGGGAGATGGAGGTTGCAGTGAGCCAAGATGGTGCCGCTGCACTTTAACCTGAGCCACAGAGCAACACTCTATCTCAAAAAAAAAAAAAAGAGAGAAAATTCAATGTTAAGGAAACCTTTGCTCCTGATGAGAAAGAACACGAAAAACTGCAGGGAAAAATTCACTATTAGAAGGAAGTAGACTGTATTGGTAACCTAGTTGTGCCTGCTGGATCAAAGTTTGGCTACATGAGATTGAACAAAAGAACCATCTCCTTGTTACCCAAGGAGATGTATCATGCCAAATCTATTGTTTTTGTTTTGTTTTCTTCAAATTATTTTTTCCTTAATAACCTGGCAGTGATTCAAAATATGAAAAGAAGATTCAGATGTGTTCTCTTTAAGGGGGATTCGACCATGACTGCCTTACATAAGCAGGATCAAAGTCCATCATGGGACTGGATTCCAGAGAACAATGATGGTAAGAAGGCTTCAGGGCTCACAGTTTGAAGAGTGTTGTTACAGAAATTCTCTGAGGGGTAGCAGGTGCAGAAGAGTCATAAAATTTAAGGGACCAACCATGGATAGGCTGTTGCCAGGTCATGAGCACCTTGAAGCATCTCTTGATGGCCATTCATTAGCCTAAGTATTTGTTGTCTGGGAGAACTGAGCAAGATGAGCTGCACAGTTCAGTTGTCCATAGGGTCATGTTTCTTCAGCACAGAGACCTGGTCTCCCTGATCATTGTGGGTTATGGAAAAACGTGACCACACTTAAGGCAGAAGTTTCAATTCCCTCTGCAATTTTTCCTGCAGCACTACCTGCCTAAACACTTCACATATATGTCAATTCCCTTCCAGATTCTCTATTGTTGAACACGAATGTGTGTGGTTTTAAACTATTATGAATAATGCCATCAATATCCCAAATCACATATTTTTGCATATTCTTCATTTTTTCCCCATGCACATTTTACATATTGTGTTTTGCCAGCATACCTCCAGAAAAGTTGCTTCTTCCTCAGACTTAGTGTAATTTTACTTAATTTTTTTTAAAACACAGCAAATATAACAAATGGAAGAAATGACAGGGTCATTTCAGCCTCTTTTTATTTGAATATCTGTATTTCTTAAGGTTCATTTTCATCTTTGATAGAATTGGAATGCATTTACAACATGATTATAATATCTGATTATTAATAAATCAGAAATAAGGATGTATTTTTTGTTATCACTGAGATTTCACCTTCATGTAGCTCTGTACCCACTTCTAAGTATATTTTACAAGCATTTCTCTAAGAATTCCAACCATGTGAAAGTACTCTGGCAATAAAATTTTAAAAGCCTCTGTTTGCACTTTGTACTTTTTAAAGGTAAGAGAAATTTGAGGCACAGGTGGGCAGCCGAGCCCTTGAGAGAAAGCAACAATAGCACCAGGTTTATCACCGTTCAGGTAAATGTTAGAATGTGGAATGCTTTTATTATCCCTGACATAGAGATCCTTCCAGTGTATTTAGACTGAGGGGTAGTTTTATTGTGCCAACTGTCAAAAGGTATTGACTTCAATGTATGTGGGAAAAGATTGGACTCCAGAGGCACCGTGATTTTCCTTGCTCTCCTGGATGGTGCTGCACAGCCCACGGGGGCTCTGGCGGCTGCATACATGTGCAGTAAGTGCACCTGAAAAGAATACATGTGCTCAGGTGTGTATTCTGCCATCCAAATTTGCTGTACAAGCTCCCTTGAAGTTGACTATTGATTTGCTGCCAAATGCAAGGGCAAGAGACTTAATGAACAGTTGGCAACATTTATGCCAAATTATCTTTAATTTTTTTAAGGGACTATATCTTTTTCAAGTAGTCTGGCAGTGAACTTCAGCTTCACTCATTCTCTCACCCTCCTCAATATCCAGTTAGTTATTTGGCCTGGCAATTCAACTTCCAAAAATCCCTCTCAATTCAGTATCTCCTTTCCATCCTGAGCTACCGCTGCTCATGTTCTAGCTCATGAATTTAATCCCAACACTAATGAGGCTCCCTGCTTACTGGATCTTCCTTTCTTAATAACTCATCACTCTAAATCCATTAGGTCATTGTTCTTAAGAATCTTAATGGAGAAAATATTCACAAGAGGTTAACGTAATGCAAAAGATGGTGAAACGCTCTGGAATAAGGATGGAAGCTTAATGGGAAACAAATACCCCATCCTATTTTTGCATGTCCTCTGATCTCCTGCTGGGGCCACCCACTGCCAAAAACAACCAAAAGTTAGAGGGCAAGCAAAAGAGCATGGGTGATACCATCTATCTACAACAGTTAGCTTCTTAGGGTACAGACTAGGTGGAGAGATACCATGGTGGGGAAAACGACATGTGGACGCCATTCAGCACAGTTACTTTTTCTGACTCTCCCAAGAAGAACGCATTTTCCCCTCATTGATATTCCAAGAGAAATATCATTTTATTGGTACCTCAACTGAGGCACCTGTGATACTATATTTGTAAATTATTTCCATGTTTAGACCTTAGCTCCTTCAGTTAAGAACTATATCTTAATTATGTTCATATCTTTAGCAGTTAGCACTATCTTGCAGACAGTGGTGCCCAATATATGTTTGCTAAATAAAAGAACAAATGATGGCATAGTTGTCCTGGTGTCTTTAAAGAAAATAATGGCTATAAAGAAATCCTTTACACCTGTAATCCCAGCACTTTGGCAGGCCAAGGTGGGTGGATCATGAGGTCAAGAGATGAAGGCCATCCTGGCCAACATGGTGAAACCCCATCTCTACTAAAAATACAAAAATTAGCCAGGCGTGGTGGCGGGTGCCTGTAGTCCCAGCTACTCAGGAGGCTGAGGCAGGAGAATTGCTTGAACCCGGGAGGTGGAGGAGGCAGTGAGCTGAGATCACGCCAGTGCATTCCAGCCTGGGGACAGAGCGAGACTCTGTCTCAAAAAAAAAAAAAAAAAAAAAATCAGGTTAGCTGGAGTCAGGGATTAGGTAATACGGAATGCAGAAATAGTGTTTTCTTACTTAGATCATGAGCATAAAAGCACTTTGTGAGATATAATGCTATTCAAATATTACTAGCATCATTTCCATTATTCTGGATTGAACATAAGAAGGAACAAAAGAGAAACAACAAATAGCAGTCAATAGGGAGAATGTTAAATCCTTTGGTAATACCTATTACATGGAGAAAGTTAAAACAGACAAACAAAGGTCCTTATTCAGCTAGGAATGGTGGCCAGATCAGGGTCATTGAAGTCTAGTTTCTTTTCTAACCCTGACTTGCTTTGCAGTATTTGGTAAATCACTTAACCTTTCTGCGGTACAGTTTTTCCAATCCGTTAAGTGTCTATTATAGTACTTTCTCCTTACTCTCGTGCAAGGATGTTTGGGTGATTCATTTGATAATCCTGTAAAGTACTTTGAGTCCCATAGAGAAAGCCAGGGACACAAGATTTTAACTGGGATTATTAGTTAGAAAGTCTTTTTGCCTTGGTTGAATCTCCGTTTTTCATTTGTAGCTCACCTGCTTTTCTGTGGCTTTCCCAGTTCCATCCTTGTTCCTGTACACAACTGTGAGGGTGTAATGATAACCAATTATATATCCCAAATGATGGGGCTATCATTAGATTAACTAGTTGGGTAGATGTAGAAAAATTAGAAAAGTGAGAAGATTTTCAGCTTGTCTGCAGATGACTAAGGAAAACACTTAGAGTGGGTGCAGTGGAGAAAGATTATTAGCCAGTGACTGAAATCAATTAGGAACCTAACCAAAATGTTGTTATGTTCGTTGGCACTTGACCATGACCTTTTTGCCTTCCTAAGGAAAAATAATAACTGGCTCCAGGTTTAAAGAAGCTTCATAGTTTACATTGCTTGATACATTAAATTTTGAATACGTTTTGATATTGGTCCAGTTTTACAATTTCCTTCGAATGACAGAACCTTTACGGAGGACAATATTAGCACCTCTTTATGGAGCAACTGAAAAACTGCAATAATATCTCCACCATATACTTTTGGAGGATTGAGAAAATGTGTCATCGCTTGGAATTCCTAATCTTATTTTATTCATTCAGGTTGAGGAATAATGTAAGATATTGCTCCACTGTGGCTTTATGAAATTTTTTACTTAAAAAAATCCAAAGCATGTAAGTATTTATCTCATGGCTTAAATGTTCATCACTGTAAGGAGAAGTTTAAGATTGGAATGTATCTCTAGCCTTGCTCTCTCTCCCCCTGAGATCTGGCTTTATACTTTACAGCAGTAGGTTTGCAAATCAAAATGCCAGCTTGACCTAGCTGCCAGAAAGTCCTGAATATGAATCCCACAACAGAATTTATTAATTTTCCTTTACAAGTTGGTAATTTCTTATTTTCTCTTAAGTAATGCTAATTTCGGGTACACCCTTGCCATGAGGGAGGTTCTAGGTCTCCAGTGTTATTGTCATACACTGGCATGTATACTGTCATCTCTACTGGTATTATATAATGTTGTTGCTGGTACAGGCTTTCCCCAGAATTTATAGAGATGGAGACAACACGAACTAGGCATCATCAGTCACAGCAACTCAGTTTATAGTTATTGAAGGAATTGTTGAAGGAACTCCTGAGTCAGTCTGTAAGTGAAATCACAGACATGTAAAATAAACACTTACATTTTAGATTATATGATGATGCTAAATTTTCTTTAAGACATTGGAGAATTAATGTGGGGGCAAAGAACAGGGCATGACAGGAGAAAGGGCCAACTGGGTCCCTCTCCATTTACAATGAGTATTATCTATTTTATATTTAATTTTTATCTTTTCTATGAGGCATAGTTTTATTAATTTCAGTTATACACCATAGGCAAAAAAATGTTCCCAGTTAGAGATCCTGCCAAGCATCTCTAATCAATGTTGAAGCCCTGGTGGAATTAAGTTGGTTGCTTTGCTTTTTAATTTTTTTAAAAAAATAAATAGGGTATATGGGCTTGTTGTAAAATAATTCAAACAGCAAAATTGCAAAGTAGATGTCATCTGATGTCATAGCTGTTCTTCCCCTAGCCATGCAGTTTCACTGCTTTTGAAACTCCAGCCCCCTTTTCCTAGGCTAGCTCTGTTGGGAGCCTTTCAGAAATCTTTTCTCTGTATACACACACGCATGTGTATGTTATGTACATATGTATCAATCATGTCTTTATTTATATCGCTGCTTTATTTCAGTCAGGCTGCTATAACAAAATGCCACAGATTGTAGCTTAAACAATAGAAATGGATTTCTCACAGTTCTGGAGGCTGGGGAGTCCAAGATCAAGGTGCTGGCAGATTTGGTGTCTGCTGAGGGCCTGCTTCCTTCATAGATATCTGTTTTCTTGCTGTGTCCACACATGGTGGCAGGAAGGGCAAAAAGGCTCTCTGAGGTCTATTTTATCAGGGTGTTAATCCCACGTGCTTTGCCCTCATCACTTAAACACCTCCCAAAGCTCCACCTCTTAATATCATGATTTTGGGAGTTAGGTTTCAACGTATGAATTTGGGAGGACATAAACATTCAGACCATAGCAATCACATTATACATATTGCATGTCAAACCTTATATATATAAGATATATCTTTTTAATTTGACAAAAAAGGATCACTTTCCAGGTACTATTCTGTAATCTACCTTTTGTGCTTTATTATACATCGTCATCATATTTCTGCTTCAGTGTGATAAATCTATTGTATTTACCCTAATGGCTACAAAGTATTGTCCTGAGAGATATCCTAATTTATTTTTTTAAATGATTCCCAATTGACTGGCCTTAAGTTGCTTCTATTTTCATAGAAGCAATAATTATCATAATGCTACAATAAACATTATTGTACATATAACATTTTTGCATTTGGGGAGAGTATGTATATTGCAGGAGAAATTCTTAGAAATGGAATTTCTGGGCATATGAATTTTCAAAAATATTGCCAAATTAAAAAGGACTGCATATATTTACTCTCCCACTAGCACTGTGGGAAAGCCTTTTTTTTTTTTTTTTTTTTTTTTTTTTGAGACAGAGTTTCACTCTGTCACCCAGACTGGAGTGCAGTAGTGCCATGTCGGCTTACTGCAACCTCCGCCTCCTAGGCTCAAGCGATTCTTCTGCCTCAGCCTCCGGAGTAGCTGGGATTACAGGTGCACCACTACTACCCAGCTAATTTTTGTATTTTTAGTAGAGATGGGGTTTCACCATGTTGGCGAGGCTGGTCTTGAACTCCTGACCTCAAGTGATCCACCTGCCTCGGCCTTCCAAAGTGCTGGGATTATAGGCGTGAGCCACTGCACTGTGCCCGGAAAATCTTTTTTATTCATGTCTTTACTACCATTGGTCAGCTAAGCCAGAAGACAGATGACAGAGGGCTGGTCTATTTTTGAATATTGACAGAGAAGAATGAGACTCTGGGCTGGGCGCGGTGGCCCATGCTTGTAATCCCAGCACTTTGGGAGCCCAAGGTGGGCAGATCACCTGAGGCCAGGAGTTCGAGAGCAGCCTGGCCAACATGGTGAAATCCCATCTCTACTAAAAATACAAAAATTAGCTGGGTGTGGTGATGTGCACCTGTAGTCCCAGCTACTCAGGAGGCTGAGGCAGGAAAATCGCTTGAACCCTGGAGGCAGAGGTTGTAGTGAGCTGAGATCATGCCGCTGCACTCCAGCCTGGGCAACAGAGTGAGACTCGGTCTCAAAAAAAAAAAAAAAAAATGAGACTGATCAATGTTGCTTTGACTTCAATTTACTACTAAAACAGCTAGCAAGAAAGGGAAAGGGTACTCGCTAGACCAGTGGGTCTCAACACCTGGAGCAGCAGCAGTAGCACCACCTGAAACTTACTAGAAATGCAAGTTCTCAAGTCCCATCTTAAATCTGAATCAGAAACTCTGGTGGCAGGGCCCAGGAATCTGGGTTTAACAAGATCTTGAGCTGATTTTGATGGTGGCCCAAGTTGGAGAATTACTGCAGTACAGCTTGATGAAAGTGAGAATGCAGTTTCCCAGTGCTTTCCTTATGCCTCTTGGAGGTGAACCTGGAGTCCTCTGCTTTAGGTTGAAGGTACCCAGGGCTTTGTACTCCCTGCATCTCACCCCACTGGGGTGGAGCAGGGGACCCACTGGGATTCAGTGTATTACTTACTTTCATATAAGGCAACTCTTGTTGTCCCATAGTTATAAAGCTCTGTGTTCTGTTTCTTATTGTATTACGTGTACGTGGACATGCCAAACATTAACAAATATTTGGCTTCTTGTCTATCTGAAAAATGGCCCCTCATTTCTATTTAACATGAATTTCTTTAATTATAAGTGAAGTTGAGCATCTTCTTATTTTTATGGGCCACTTTGCACGTTTTCCTCTTATTTATTACTTTCTATATTTGTCATATTTTCTATTGGTTGGTTGTCTTTTTAAAAAAGAATTAAATTGTAACAGCTGTTTTAATTCTAAGGAAATTAGCCTTTCATCATTTGTGTTGCAAATTCGTTTTTACCTACTTTGTCATCTATCATTTAAATTTAGTTACAATACATTTTTGCATCACAGAGAGTTAAGATTTTTATGTAGTCAAATTGATAAGTTTTTATGTGTCTGAATTTTGAATTTTATGTATGCTTAGATAGATCTTCCCAACCCTAGGATAATTAAAAAAACATATTTTTTCCTAAACTTTATGGCTTTATTTTTAGCATATACATCTTTGATGTGAATGGAATTTATTGTGACTTAACAACTGAAGTATACATATTAACTTCCATTTCCAATGGAATATCATTGATTGAGATTATAATTAACTTATAGCTCAATAAAAAAAGAGTTTTAACCCAGAGTTTTCCTAACCAAGAACAGAGTATACCTTTACAGTTACTTATTTTTTCATTTTTTTTTCCTTCGGGAGTGATTTAAAGGTTCTTTATATAGTTATTACATATGTATTTTATAAACTTTTGGAATGTGATGTTTCTTATTATAAGTAACCTTTCTACTAATTATTTGCATATAATAAAGCTCAATTTTTTTTGTGTATTGATTTCATAATCACCTTACTGAATTCTCATATTATTTTTATTAGTATAGTTTTTAGAGGATTCTTAGGAGTTTTCCAAGGCGATGTGGTTTGGATCTCTGTCCCCACCCAAATCTCATGTTTAATTGTAATTTCCAACTGTTCATTGCTTGTAATCCCCAGTGCTGGAGGTGGGCCTGGTGGGAGGTGATATTGGATCATGGGGGCTGATTTCCTCCTTGATGCTGCTTGATCATGAGTGAGTGCTCATGAGATCTGGTTGTTTAAAAGTGTATAATGCCTCCCCTCTCTCTCTCTTCCTCCTGCTTCAGCCGTATGAGCATAACTGCTTCAGCTTTGCCTTTTGCCATGAGTAAAAGCTCTCTGAGGTCTCTCCAGCTATGCTTCCTTTAAAACCTGCAGAACTGTAAGCTAATTCAACCTCTTTTCTTCATAAATTACCCAGTCTCTGGCATTTCTTTATAGCAATGGGAGAAGAGACTAATACACAAGGTTGTAATAATTATCTATGAATAATATAAAGCAGCCTGTTTTTGAAATTAGACTTCTGTTATGGAGTGAATATTATGGTGGAATATGACCTTTCTAAAATTTTTCTGTTCTTAAAAACATCATCTTGGGCTGGGTGGTGGCTCATGCCTGTAATCCCGGCACTTTGGGAGGCCTAGGCGGGTGGATCACAAGGTCAAGAGACCGAGACCATCCTGGCTAACACGGTGAAACCCTGTCTCTATTAAAATACAAAAAAATTAGCTGGGCATGGTGGTGGGCACCTGTAGTCCCAGCTACTCTGGAGGCTGAGGCAGGAGAACGGCGTGAAGCTTGCAGTGAGCCGAGATTGCGCCACTGCACCCCAGCCTGGGTGACAGAGTGAGACTCCGTCTCAAAAAAAAAACAAAACCATATCATCTTTAATGAAGTAAATGTCATACAACAAAATTGACCAATTTTACATTTGTAATTCTGTTTTAATCATGTAGTACAGCTGTATAATTACCACAATCATCATATAAAACATATCAATCCTGCCAGAAAATTCTCTCCTACTCCTTTCCTGTCAATTGCTTCTCCCTATCTCTTGTTCCTGGTACCACTAAATAACTTTTGGTCATTGTAGTTTTACCCTATCTAGAATTTTATATAAATAGACTCATACGGTGTGCAGTCTTTTGTGTCTCACTTTTTTCACATAATATATCATGATATGGCTATACAATAATTTGTTTATATTCACTAGTTGATGAACATTTGGGTTGTTTACAACTTTTTGGCTATTAATGAATAAAGAGGCTATTCATGTACATTCAAGTACATGTCTTGTCTGGGTGTGTGTTATTATTTCTCTTGGGTAAATACTTAGGAGTGAGCCTGCTGAGTTGTATGGTAAGAGTATATTTAACTTGGGCCGGGTGTGGTGGCTCACGCCTGTAATTCCAGCACTTTGGGAGGCCGAGGCGGGTGGATCACGAGGTCAAGAGATCGATACCATCCTGGCCAACATGGTAAAACCCCATCTCTACTAAAAACACAAAAATTAGCTGGGCATGGTGGCGTGCGCCTGTAGTCCCAGCTACTCAGGAGGCTGAGGCAGGAGAATAGCTTGAACCTGGGAGGCGGAGGTTGCTGTGAGCTCCATTGTGCCACTGCACTCCAGCCTGGTGACAGAGCAAGACTCCATCTCAAAAAAAAAAAAAAAAAAAAGTATATTTAACTTAATAAGAAACTGACAAACACTTTGTATGACTCTACCATTTTGTATTGCCATCAGCATTATATGAGTATTCCAGTTGCTTCACATTTTCACCAGCATTTTGTATTGCTATCTGCTGAATGTGTCCCCAAAAGTCACGTGTTGGAAACTGAATGCCCAGTGCAATAGTATTGGGAGGTATGGTCTTTGAGAGGTGACTGAGTCATGAGGACTCTTCTTTCAAGAATGGATTAGGTCTCTTATAAACAGGGCTTACAGAAGTGGGTTCATTCTCCTTCATTCTTCTACCATGTGAGGACACAGTGTTCCTTCTCTCTGGAGGATACAACATTCAAGGTACCACCTTGAAAGCAAAGACCAGACTCTTACTAGACAAGGAACCTGCCAGCACCTTAGTCTTGAACTTCCCAGTTCCCAGAACTGTGAGAAAATAAATTTCTGTTATTCATACATCACCGTTTCAGGTATTTTTATTATAGCAACACAAAACCAAGATGGGTATTGTCTTTTAAAAAAAATTCTAGTGAGTGTTTTGTAGTATCTCAGTGTGTTTTTAATTTTCATTACCTTAATGACCGATGTTGCTGAGCATCTTTGCATGTACTTACTTATCATTTATAGATATTATTTGATGAAGTGTTTGCTTGAATTTTTTTGTCTAATTTTTATTGGTTTGTCTTACTGAGTTGTAAAAATTCTTTATATATTCTTGAAGCAGATCCTTTATCAGCTATATGTTTTGCAAATGTTTTCTCCCAGTCTCTGTGACTTGCCTTTTTATTTTTTAAATGATACTTTTTGAAAAGCAAGCTTTTAAATATTTTGAAATCCAGTTCGTAAATTTGTTGCTTTTATAGTTTATGCTTTTTAAAGAAATTGAGTGTAACCCAAGGTAACAAAAATTTCTCCTGTGTTTTATTCCAGAAATTTTAGTTTTAACCCTTACAGTTAGGTCTGTGTTCCTTTCTGAGTTAAATTTTGGATATAGTGTGAAGATGAGGATTAAAGTTCTCTCTCTTCTTTTGGTATATAAATATCCAATTTCCCAGCACTATTTGTTGAAAATGGTATCCTTTCCAGAGTGAAATACACTGGCACCTTTGTTGGGAATCAATGAGCCATATAAGTGTAGGTCTATTTCTAGATTCACTATTCTGTTCCATTGATTCACACGTCAATACCAGATGTCTTGATTACTTGAGCATTATAATAAGTCTAGGTGTAAGTTTTATAGTAAGCCTGAGTGTAAGACTTCTGACTTTATTTTTCTTTTTCAAAAGACTTTCAACTTTACTTTTTCTTTTATTTTGGCTATGCTAGTTGGTTTTCATTTCTATGTAAGTTTTAGAATTTTCTTGTAATTTCTGTGGAAAACACTGCTGGGATTTTGGAATTCTGTTGAATCTATAGATCAGTTTGGGGAGAATTGATATTTTAATAATTTTGAATCTTTTGATTTATGACCACAATATATATTTTCATTATCCAGATGTCTTTAATTTCTTTCAGTAATGTTTAGTAATTTTCTGTCTACATGTTTTACAAATATTTTGTTAAATTTATTCCTCTGTTTTTCATATTTTTACTATATTTTTATGATATTTGTTTAAAATTTCCAACTGTTCACTGCTTATATATGAAAATGCTACTGATATGTTGACTTTGAATCTTGTGACCTTGCAGTTAGTTCTAGTAGATGTTTTGAAGATTTCTTAGAATTTTCTACATAGACAATAATGTCTGTGAATAAAGATAGTTTTATTTATTTATTTATTTATTTATTTTTAAAATTTTTTGGAGGCCTTGTGGATTTGAAGAGTTTTTTTTCTTTCCAGTCTTATACCTTTTTAGTTTTTTTAAAATTTTTCCTGCCTTATATTGTATTGATAAGAACGTTCATACAATGTTGAATAGGAGTGATGAGAGAGACCATCCTTGCCTTGTTCCTGACCTTAGAGTAAAAGCATTCAGTGTTTTGCCCTTAAGCAGGATACTGTTTTTAGTTTTCTCATACTTTTTTTTTTGAAATGGAGTCTCGCTCTGTCACCCAGGCTGGAGTGTAGTGGCATGATCTCCACTCACTGCAACATCTGCCTCCCCAGTTCAAGCGATTCCCCTGCCTCAGCCTCCCGAGTAGCTGGGACCACAGGCGCCCGCCACTATGCCAGGCTAATTTTTGTATTTTTTATTAGAGACGGGGTTTTGCCGTCTTGGCCAGGCTGGTCTCGAACACCTGACCTTGTGATCTGCCCATCTCGGCCTCCCAAAGTGCTGGGATTACAGGCATGAGCCACTGCACCCGGCCCCTATAGATGCCTTTTATTGGATTGAAGAGCTTTTATTTTATTCCTAGTTTGCTGCAAATTTTTTTTTTTATTATTACAAATGGGTGTTGAATTTTGTGAAAACTTTTTTCTGCATCCATTGAGATGATCATATGGTAAGTTCCATTTTAGACAATTGATATGATGACTCATTGTTTTTCTAAGGTTAAACTAACTTCACATTACTAGGATAAACCACACTGGATTATGATGTATTATTCTTTTAATATATTTCAACTGACTGAAGTATTGTTAACATTTTTATATCTATGTTTATAAGGGATATTAGTCTTTAGTTTTCTTTCTTATAATTTCATTACCTTTGGATAAGTTAAAAACATTTCAGTCGTATTTTAGTTTTTCCACTCATTACATTTAAGACTTTAAATAAACATACACTTTAAACTCTATTTCTATATATATCAACTTTAAATAATATATTCTGGAGTTTTAATTTTAGGTAGGATGGAGTAAGCACACTCCTCCATCTCTGAGTGCACACTCCTCCATCTCTTAGTACACACTGAATACAGCTAACTCATTAAATATAGCTTTAAAACCTGGGTATAATGCGTATAACAGTGATATAAGGACACTGGAAAGTAAACAGTAGCAAGAAGATTGGGAAGAAGACCAGAATTTAAAGTTTTATGAAATGCCAGTTAGTTTATCTTTTTTTTTTTTTTTGTACCACTATCCCTTGGCATGGATTCAAGGTAGTCTGAAACTCAAAACCTGTACATAGACATGGCATGGATAAGGAACAAATTACAGACAGAGCTCCAGAAGAGGCCCTATAGTTTTGACTTAAGCAGTATGAAGCAGGGCTGGGGGTGGGAGGCATCACTTAATCTCCAGAGACAGTGAGGGCAATCCATCATTTTTATTTTCTTTTTCTCTATGTTTCCTTGTACCATAGTCCCCAGGCAATGCTGTGGCAATGACAGCAGTGGCCTACTGGACCTGCAAGGGGCTAAAAGTCTGAGCTGGGGGGGTCCCTTCCTCTTCATTTGGAGAAGACTGATCTCAACAGAGTGATATGAACACTCATTGATTTTTTTTCCCTCTTTTTATCCTCCCACCAAGTGGCCTCATATGTAGGACAATTGTTGGAAGAGCATGGTAGAGCAGGATAATTGAAGCCCCAGCTCTTTGTCCAGAGGACTGAAAGGGTAGCCCCAGGAAACTGAAGAGTATCAGCAAGATGTGGTGAGAAAGGACCTCAGGGAAATGACTCCCTGAAAGTAGCTTATGAACTCTCAGGCTTGCTCCTTAGATACCCACTTACAGATCTGATTCTAAACAACATATCAACGACTTTGAGGTCTGAGCTAAGGAATAGATCATCACTTAATTTCCATATTGGCCACCGGGTGACATAAACAGGAGACAGATCAGAATAGCACTACAAATGCTTTGAGGGAAGAAAACAAACCCAAACCGATATTGAAACTACAACCCAGGAAAAGTCAGTTGGAATTTGTGGCCTGAATCTAACTGGGTCAGCTGCTGAAACAAAACAAAAATATCAGCATTCTCCATGGGATTTAAATAAGACCCAGAGTCTTATATTATTCAAATGTCTGTGATATGATCTAAAGTAACTTGGCATCTTAAGAATAAGAAGAATCTCAACTCTTATGGGAAAAGATAGTCAACAGAAGCCAACGCGGAGATGACACACAGGTTAAAATTTTCTGACAAGGTCTTTAAAAGAAGAAAGGGTGAATACATTTGAAATGAGTTGAATGAAAGATAATTTTAGCAAATAAATAGAAGACTTAAAGAACATCCAAATAGAAATTTTAAACTGAAAAACATAACAATCAAAATAAAAACCTCTCCAGATGGTTTCAATAGCAGAATGGAGATGGCAGTGGAAAGGGTGAATTCTAAGAAAAATAGAAATTATACAACTGAGAGAAAAAAGATGAAAAAGAAAACAAACAGAGACTTAGGGATCTATGGAACTCTACCACAATGTCTAATACTTCTGTCATCAGAGTCACAGAGGGAGGAGAAATATTGTTGTATAGAAAAAATATTTGAAGAAAAATGTTTATAAGTCCTCAAATTGGGCAGAATTTCTATGTAGCTCCTATAGATTCATGGAACGCAGGGAAACCCAGACAAGATAATCCTAAAGAAACATGTTTAGGCATATCAAAAGCAAACTGTTAAAAATTAAAGACAAAGAAAAAAAAGCTTGCAGGCAGCTAGAGAAGCACAACTCATTACTTATAACTGAACTATGATTCTAATGACTACACATCTCTCATAGAAACCATGACTGTCAGAAGAAAGTGAAGCAATATTTTTAATGTGCTGAGAGAAAAAAGTGTCAACCTAGAACTCTATATACACTGAAAATATCCTTCAGAAATGAAGGTAAAATAGAGACCACAGATGAAAAAAAACTAGAAAATAATTCATTGCCAGTAGACCTGCTCTGAAAGAATTGCTAAAGTAGGTTTTTCAGACAGAAGAAAAAATGATACCAGAAGGAAACTTGGAACATTAGGAATAAATAATATCTTTTAACTCTGATATGAATGGTTAGGAAATTGGCACATACATCCTCCTTTCTGATATCTTTTTTTTTTTCTGCCAGTGTCCATTTTTTCTTAGCTATACTCTTATTTATACATTTCAATGTCTATAAATTTGCACAATTGTCAAGCCTTACTTCTATGTTTTAATCAATTCAGTGCAAACAATACTTTTATGCCATGAATTCTTCCTTTCTCAAGTTCTTTTGATGACAGCACTTGTTTGGTGAGAATTTGTTATCAAGAGGTTTTATATCCCTTAAGAAGGTCTGTCTATAATCTTTTGACTCACAATTTTGGATACTAAATGTTGGTATGAAGAAATCTGAGGTCACTCTGATTTTCCTCCCATGCAAATGAATTGCTTTTTCTGAGTGAATGCTCATTCAGCTTTTATTTTTATTCTTAAAGGTAAACAGCATCACCAGAATATATCAAGTTGATTACTGGAATGAATTACTTTTTCCTGGAACATGATGAATCCTTTTCATCCTCAGACCCAGATGTTCCTTTATTTCAGAAACATTTTCTTCTATTTAATTTTTAAATATTATTTTCTGATTGATTTGCTTGACTCCCAGGGTTAGTCAAGTTTATGCCAACTTTATTTGGTCTCTCTTACATATCTATCTTTTAAATTACTTTTGCTTCTTTGTTTTTTGCATTTAAGTTTTCAGATTTTTTTTTTCTTCTTTTCTGAGACGGAGTCTCGCTCTGTCGCTCAGGCTGGAGTGCAGTGGCGCGATCTCAGCTCACTGCAAGCTCCGCCTCCCGGGTTCACGCCATTCTCCTGCCTCAGCCTCCCGAGCAGCTGGGACTACAGGCGCCCGCCACCACGCCTGGCTAATTTTGTTTTTGTATTGTTAGTAGAGACGGGGTTTCACCGTGTTAGCCAGGATGGTCTGGATCTCCTGACCTCATGATCTGCCCGCCTCGACCTCCCAAAGTGCTGGGATTACAGGCGTGAGCCATCGCGCCTGGCAGTTTTCAGATTTTTATCAGCCTTTCTTCTATGCTCCCGATTCTTTTATAAATTGTATTACATTGTTTTTGTGTCTCTATATTGCGTTTATGTCTATGGTATTTGTATTATTAACTTTTGTTTCTTTTGTGAACTCTGGTAGCTTGGTTTCACTATCTTTATTTCCTCTTTAATTTCATATCCCTTCTCAGAAAGTCTCCTTTTCAGATCGTTTTTTTCCCTCTTTAGTTTCTTGAGCGTGTAGACTATTATTTGTTTACTTTTTTTTTCATTTCCTGTGGTAATTCTTCTGATACATATTCTTTTTAAGTGTTTTTCTTCTATATTTATAACAATTGTACAGGTGGTAAATTATACATGCCATAGTACTATAGCCAGGTCTGCTCCTTGGAAAGTCTTTATGTAATATGGAAAGAAAATCTGGAGGTGGGAGAATTAGAAATCTGACATCAGTAGCAGGAAGATTGGATCTAGATGATGGGGAGACACAGGGTGGTTACTTCATTGTGTAAGGCAGAGATTGGGGCTGGGATGTGACACTCTGAGTTGGTAGGAAAAAGAGCCTGAGTGTAAAGAGAAGAACAAGGCTGATCTGAGTAGCAAGACCCTCTACCCTACCTTACTGGAATAAGCTCATCCATGCACAGAAAGCTGTAGGAAACTGTGCACACTGCTATCAAGTATAGTTTTGAATGGCCAAATTATTTATTTGATGTTAGTTAAGCAAACAGTTTTTACCACCGTGAAAACTTTTTCTGCCTCTATCATTTCTGCTGGTCTCCATATAGTCCCATTAAAAAAAAAATCAAGCAATAAAAAATATACATACTAAAAGTGAAAGCTGATCTTAAACTTCCTCCCAGTCCTTCACCTCCTTCCTAAGAAGTAACTACTATTTAACAATTAGCTGTGCTGTGTCTACATCTTGACCTTTTCCTGCGTATGCTTATACATAAGAATTTTCTGTCTTTACTAATATATCTTTTCAATCTTTCTATGCCAGTAAATATTTTTCTACTACAAAAATCATTTGTATAGTATTATATACTATTATTGTATACTATATATTGTACTATATATTGTATACTATATATTGTGTAGTATTATATACCTATTATTTATTTAACTATCTGCTGTTCTTGGTCACACATTTACCCTAAAATGCAGCAGTGAACAGTCCTCTATGTGGATATTATGAGAGTTTCTGTAGCATATAATCCTAGAAGTGGATTTTGTGGGTATAAGAATATGGACAGATAAAATTTTGATAAGTACTGAGAAATAATACTTCAAAAAGCCTGTTCCAATTTACTGTCTCATTAATGAGTCTATTTTCCCACATCTTTATCAAAAGAATATTATTCTGATTTTTTTATTTTTGCCCATTAGATAAGTTAAGAATTGTGACTCATTACTTATAAAATTTGCATACTACCAACTGCAGTGGAATTTCAGCATATTTTAAAAATACTCTTTGACCCATTTCTTTTGTAAATTTCTGTCTATTTTTAGTAGCTTTTTTCAGTTCTTTTTGGTTTCTAGAGGTCCTTTATATTGGTTATTAATTGCTTCTCTGTTGAAGATGTTGGAAATATTTTCTCAGTCTCTCATTTTTGAATTTATTTATAATCTTTCTATTATTCAAACTATTTGAACCTTTATATAGCCAAATATTTTAACTTTATGGCTTTTATATCTTTGCTTATAAGAATGTTCTCTAAGGTTAAGATGAAGTTTGCCTATATATTTTTTTCTGATATGTATGTAGTTATTAATGCTTTTAATGTTTTATTGAGCTTAGTTTTTAATCTGTCTGTAAATAATTAGCCTCTTATTTTGACACTGCTTATTGAATTGTTGGTTCTTTTTCCTCTAATTTGAAATATCACCTGCTTTATCTTTCCATATTGATTTATGTATCTACTCTGGGACCAGTGCCACACTGTTGTTGGTATTTAGAATGGTCAGGCAAGTTCTTCCTCATTATTCCTCTCTTCAAAATTGTGCTGGCTATTTCGTTTCAAGCCATCTGTTTAGAGTTTTGATTGGAAATGGTATCAAATTTATACATAAATTCGAAGAGAACTGATGAAACGGGAAAGTTCCCTTATTCTCCTCACAGGGCGTGTGACAGGGGCATGACTGGTTTCTTCAGTGCCCCACTGCCCAAAGCCCTAGAGGGAACATGCAGACAGTCAGGTCGGGGGGCGTCTAGGGTTGAGTGTTTACAGCTCTCAAAGCCCCAGTGGGCATGTGTTACAGTGCACTCTTTCAGTTTTGCCATCCACAGGTGGCTTGTATTAATCAGCTCAATTACAGCCTCTGCCTTATTGCAAGGACAGAGGGCTTTCTGTATCCCGGGGTTCTTGCCCTAGAGTACTGGAAAAATCGGATCACATGTGGGCTTGGAGGATGGGTGCAAGGTTTTATTGAGTGGAGGTAGCTCTCAGTGAGGTGGATGGGGAGGGCAAAAGGGGGATGGAGTGGGAAGGTTGTCTTCCCCTGGAATTGGGGTGCCCAATGGCTGGACTTCCCTCCGACTGAATTTCCCATATTGTCTGCGTCATTCTGCTGTTGATGGCCTGCTGGCATCTGCTGGTGTGTTCTTCTGCCAGTGTGTTCCTCTCAACATCCAGACACTTGTGTGTGCGCCCGCTAGGGTCTCAGAGATTTTATGGGCACAGGATGGAGGATGTGATGGGCCAGAGTGGTCTTGGAAAATGCAACATTTGGGTGCAGAAACAGGAGTGCCTGTCCTTACTTAGGTCCCTGGGCACAGGCCTGAGAGTGAAGCCCTCACCAGGGACCCTGCCCTTCTCTATCCAGCATTTCCCTATCTCCCTCCTGTATCACTGATATCTTTTACTATTGAGTCTTCACATCCAGAAACATAATTTGGCCTTCTGTTAATTTAGAGCTTCTTTTATTTTCTTCTGTAAAAATTTACAGCATTCTTTATATTATATGTTTCTTATTGAATTTAATTATGAACAGGTTATACTTTGTTATTATCATGGGATCTTTTAAATACATTCTAATTGGTTATGACAGGTTTAAAAAGCTACTCTTAATTTTTCTGTGTTGATCTTGTATCCCAACTAAATCCTGTGTTTGTTCTAAATGCTTACTAGTAGTGCCTCTTAGGTGTTCTAGGTGGCTACTCATAGCGTCTGATAACAATAATAGTTTGTCTTTTTCTTTCCTATATTTACACCAATTTTTTTCTCCTAACATTTAAAGGTTTTTTTTTTTTTTCAGTTTCCTGTAATGATTATTTATTGAATTTGGAAGATCTCCATTGTGGTGTTAATTTCTTAAAAGCTTAGTGTTTCTTGCTTGCTCTTATTTGTTGCTGAGGACTTAGATTAAACAGTTTATTGCTTTTGAAGTATATTTTGTCAGTCCAGTTGAGGGACTGAGTCTCAGTCCAGATGAGGGACTGCCAGTTTGTCTAGCAGTTGATACAAACTAATTACCTCTGGTAACTTTGCAGGAGCTGAAAACAGAAGTGTGACTAGTAAGGTGTGAAGGTGGCTTGATTTCTAGATATGAGGCTCTTGGTGCTTGTTGGCTGACAGACACTCTCCCTTTCTTTAGTTCAGCAGCCACTCTGGTAGTCTTAAACGTCAGAGTTTTTAAGAGGGGTATTCATAGCCCAAATCTAGGGATAAATGTAGGAGATGGAGGAAAGGGGAGTTGCCGTTTTATTGGTGCCACTGTTTAGTTAAAATACCTAAAACATTTTCTCATTCCCCTTTTTCCTGCCTCCACTGCCTTTGGATGTAGATTTATTCTGGAGTTCTGTTGGGAAAACACACTATTTTGGAATGTTTTACTTGTCTACTGAGAGGGTTCTTCGGCTATTTTGGACTATGTTGTCAATCTATTTGCTATTGCTGTGTCACTTCTAGAAACTCCTCATTGTCCTGGACTACTGGCAAAGCTTGTTTTCAATGCTGTTATGAATTTGCTAATTTATTTCCTTTGTATCTATTGTATTTATGCACAGACTTTATGTTAGATCCTTTTGGTTGATTGTTATCCTTAATTAGGGATAATGCCATCTGGACCTGTTAATTTGCTCAAGAACTGAGTGGAGAGGGGTGGATGGAGGATGACACATTACTCACTATTTAACAAAATAAAGGTTTTTTTCCATAATAAAGCTTGTTATATAACAGGTAAAAAATACAGAAAAACAAGAGGAAGAAAATGATCATTCATAATTCAGTCATGACAATCACTGCTAATATTTAGATATGTTAGCAGTGATATCATATTATATATATATATTAGATATATTAAAGGACTATCAGTCCTCTCCTGATGCATATTTAACATTCTTGTGATTATATTCTGTGCAGCATTTTGTATTTATTTTTTCCAGTTAACATTTTAACACATTTCCTGTATCATTAGGAACACTCATGATTAAATCCTTACTTTAATAATATCATAAGATAGAGTAAAATGGATCCTCCAAGGGTGATACTTACTTGTCTTTGGCCATTTGGGTTAATTTGGTATTTAGTTCTTTTAAGAAGGAAATTCGATTTTTATACATTTATTATTAAATTTTTTGAAATAAAATCTACAGTGAAATGTATAGAGCCTAAGTGTCTAATTTGATGTTTTGATAATGCTTACATTTAAGTAATCATGACCCCAATCGGATACAGCATATTTACCTGACTCACTTTTTAATTTAATTTAATTTAATTTTTGAGACAGGGCCTCACTCTGTCGCCCAGGCTGAAGTGTACTGGCACAATCATAGCTCACTGCAGTTTTAACCTCCTGGGCTTGAGGGATCCTCCTGCTTCAGCCTCCTGAGTAGCTGGGACTACAGGGGTACACCATGTCTGGCTAATTTTTTTTTCATTTTTTGTGGAGACAGGGTCTCACTATATTGCCCAGGCTGGCCTCAAGTGATCCTCCTGCCTCAGCCTCCCAAAGCCCTGGGATTACAGTCATGAGCCACCATACCTGGCCAACTCATTTTAATAATGTCTAATGATGAACACCTATAAGAAGGTTTTTCATATTTATGTACTTGGACTGTGATTCTAAAAGTGAAATAACTTGGCTTTATTTTACAAACCTTTTAGTGGACTTTACTAAAATCGCTTCCAGAAGTTTGTATCAATTTACATTCCCACCAGTAAGTGGAGAGTGTCAATCTTTTTTTCTGTGATCCCCCTAACATTTTTTGACTATCCCCCAGCAGATAAGCTGCACAGTTTCTTGTTGAAAGCAAGTTATGACTCTTTCTGTTAATATCTACTTCCACTCAATCATGGTTGTGTGTGTGTGTGTGTGTGTACGTGTAAACCATCACTGTTCATGCATTCAGTGGTGTTGTAACATTTCTCCCACAAGCAACCTTCATTGGCATTATTTATTTATGACAGTGTCTTCCTCATGAAATCATGTCTCAGTAGCTCTTCTCTGTCTTCTTTCAAAGACTGTGGTATTTCTAGTCACACAGGCTCTAAAATTCATGAGTCCCAATTAATGTCTCTTTTGCTCCAATTTATTCCAACTCTTGTTCATTCTGTTTTCCTGGCTCACAGCTCTTCCTACTCTGTCTTTCCATTTTCATTCTCATTGCCTTATTTTAGCCCTTTATGACCTCTTACTTAAAAAATTTCTATAGCTTATACCTACACTTTCTCCCTACGCAAATCTGTCTGACCCATGATTGCTAGATTAATCACTCCAGAGAATTTGTGCTTAAATATTGTTACTCAAAATACTTTAGTCTCCACTCAAAATCCTTCTCCTGGGGATGTCAGCAACATGGCAGAACAGGAGACTCCTGACTATTCCATCTCTCACAGACATACAAGTAAACACCTACACATGAATTAGTTCTCTCCAAGAGGAAGCTAGAATCCAGTTGAAAGTCTCCCACACACTGGAAGACTGAGAAAATACCCACATCCAAACAGGTAGGAAAAGCAGAGACACACTTGCACTAATCCTACCATGAGCACAACGCCTTATAATTAGGAAGGAAACTCCAACTCCCAGCTTCTTCCAGAAGGTTGGGAGTCTTGTACCACATGTATAGTGCCCAACTTTTACAGTTCCTGTGGGAGGGCTTTGATCTTAAGTTACCATGCTTGAAGAACAGTAGGGACAGTGCATTGGAGGATTTCTCTCAAGCACAATGGACAAAGGGGCTTTTGAACCATGTGAGGACTCCCAGCTACTCTAGCCCCCAGGGATCAGCCCAACTTCTAACTTCCCCCTAAAGAGGGTTCAGCCTAAGACTTTTCAAGGAACTCCCTGTGGCTCTGGCTTCTAACAAGCTGGTATCTGGGAGTCTAATAAGGAGCCTATAAGGATTAAACTTCTTTGAGTCTAAATCAGAAAGAAGGCACTCCCTGTGCCTTCTCCCCTTGCTGTCTCCTGATATAAATTCCTGCAATCTCTCATTAGAAAGAGAAGGGTGTACCTCTCCATGTCTGAAAGGAAAAGGGGGCACTCTCTATTCCTCTACCCTGGCTTGCTTTCACGATAAGATCACACAAGGCTCCCCCTACAAGGAGGGTGTGAAACTTCTGCTTGCTTGAATAGGAGAGTGGGCATCACTTGCACTTTCTTCCTTGGCTTGTTCCAGTGACGATTTCAGCCCTACAATATCTCCATGGAAAGAAGTTTGATGCCTCCACCAGCAAGAATGAAAGGGATGGCACTCCTCATGCTCTTTTTCTCAGTTTGCTCAGGAGATAAACTCCTGAAATATCTCATTGGAAGGAGATAGAGGGACCTCTCCATGACTGAAAAGGAAAGTGAGAAGTCCCTGACCCTTCTGCTCTGGCTTGTTTCAGCAATAACTCCAGACCAGAAGCCTGTCCCTACTAGAAGAGTGAGAGACTTTTGCTTGCATGAACAGGAAAGTGGGCGTTCTCTGAAATATCTTCTCTGGCTTGCTCCATCAGTAAATACAGATCTGCAGGTCCTGGAAGTAGTTTCTGCAAGCACCAAGGACTCCATCTTTTACAGTTTCCAACAAGGTACTGGCTTCTAAATTACCTAGATCTTGGAGTTAATGGAGCTCTACATTCCTGAGTTTCCTAAGTTACAGAGAACATAAAGATGACTTTTAAACATGCAAATTTTCAGCAAATATTTCCACAGGTCCAAAGTGAGAAGTCTGATCAAGAATACAAGTATCTCTCTCAGTCACTCACCTTGTGTACAGCAGAACAAGTGTGAGATAAACTCTGGCTGTCAACTTCTCTGCAAAGAAAGAAGGAACTGGAACATATCTTACACCTCAACCTCTTCAGCTGCATTCTAAGGAACTGACTTCTATCCCACTTCTCTCAAGGCAATAGCATGACTTGACACTCTCTAATTTCTTTGGGGACACTAAGAACAAAGACATCAGGTTAGATGAGTACAAGGAGTTTGGAAGCACCAGGAATCTCTGGCTGGGCTGATGGGGGAGAAACATCTTTTACATGGGACCAGTCTAACAAAATTGAGAGAGATGGTTCTTTTATCTAATGCATGGAAACAAACATGAGAGCCAAGGAAAAATGAAGAAACGTGGAAATGTGTTCTAAATATAAGATACATCTCTGGAAGCCAACCCCAATGAAGTGGAGATATGTGATTTACATGACAGGGAATTCAAAAGGACAGTCATAAAGATACTTACTGAGACAAGGAGAGCAATGCAAGAACAAACTGAGAACTTTAAAAAAAGATAGAAAATATAAAAATAGCAGCAAACAAAAATAATTGAGCTGAAGAATACAATAATGGGGCTCAAAAATTTAATAGAGGGTTTCAATACCAATCTATATAAAGCAGAAGAAAGAATTAGCAAACTTGATGACAAGTCATTAGAAGTCATCCAATCTAAGAAGTCAAAAGAAAAAAGAATGAAAAAGGGTGAAGACAGTGTAGGGGATTTGTGGGACACCATTAAGTGGAATAATATATACATTATCAGTGTACCAGAAGGAGAAAAGAAACAGAAAGGGACAGAAAACATTCAAGGAAATAATGGCAGAAAATTTCCTAAGTCTGGAAAAGAAAATAGAAATCCATATCCATGAAGCTCAATGGTCTGTTATAGGATAAATTCAAAGGGACACACACCAAGACACATTACAATCAAATTGTCAAAAGTTAAAGACAAAGAGAATATTGAAAGCAGTAAGGGAGGAGTGACTTGTTACATACATGGGACCTCTAGAAGACTGTCAATGGATTTTCCACAGAAATCCTGAAGGGTAGAAGGGAAAGGGATGATATATTCAAAACTGAAATAAAAAAAAGAACCCTGCCAACCAAGAATACTATACCCAGCAATCCTGTCCCTTAAAGGTGAAGAAGAGATAAAAACTTTCTGAGACAAACAAAAGGTGAGGGAATTTATCACCATTAGACCTACCTTACAAGAATGCTAACAATAGTCCCTCAAGCTTAAGGAAAAATTGTTAAGTAGCAACATCAAAGTATATTAAAACATAAAACTTACTGGTAAAAGTAAGTATGTAGTTAAACTCAGAACACTCTTAGATTGGAACAGTGGTGTGAAAATAAATTTTGTTTCTAGCATGAAAATTAAAAGACAAAACTATAAAAACAACTGTAGTTACACTAACTTGTTAAGGGACACAAACTAAAAATTACAAAACATGTCAAAAAAACAAATGGAGAGGAATAAAAGTATAGAGTTTGTGCAAGTGATCAAAGTTAAATCATTATCAGCTTAACAAGGGATGTTCTTAGCATATGATGTTTTATATAATCCTCATAGTGGCCAAAAAAAAAAAAAAAACAACTCCTTAGTGGATACACCAAAGATAAAAAGAAAGGATTCAAAGCATACTGTGATAGGAAATCATCAAGCCACAAAAGACAACCATAAGAGAGGAAGAGAGGAACAAGTAATCTACAAATTAACCAGAAAACAATTAACAAAATGGCAATAGTAAGTCTTTATCTATCAATAATTACTTTAAATGTAAATGAACTAAGTTATTCAATCAAAATACATCAAGTGGCTAAATGGATTAACCAAAAAAAAGACTCAGTGATATGCTGCCAACAAGAGACTCATTTCATCTCTAAGAACATACATAGACCAAAAATGAAGGGATGGAAAAAGTTATTCCATGGAAATAGAAATCAAAATAGAGCAGGGATAGCTATACTTATATCACACAAAATAGACCTTAAGTCAAAAACTATAAAAAGAGGTGAAGAAGGTCATTATATGACGATAAAGTGGTCAATTCATCAAGAAGATATGACAGTTGTAGATATGCATCCATCCAAAGTTGGAACACCTAAATTGGTAAAGCAGATATTAATAGATCCAAGGAATGAGATAGACTGTAATATAATAATAGTAGGATAACTAAATACTACACTTTTAACATTGGACAGATCATCTAGACAGAAAATATTGGACTTGAAGTATGCTTTATTTATTTATTTATTTTGAGACAGGGTCTCACTCTTTTGCCCAAGCTGGAATGTAGTGGCAAGACCATGGCTTACTGCAACCTCTACCTCCCCTGGCTCAAGTGATACCCCCACCTCAGCTTCTTGAGTGGCTGGAACTACAGGCATGCACCACCATTCCCAGCTAATTTTTGTATTTTTTTGTGGAGACAGGGTTTTGCCATGTTTTCCAGTCTGGCCTCAAACTCTTGGGCTTCAGCAATTCACCTGGCTTGGCCTTCCAAAGTGCTGGGATTACAAATGTGAGGCACTGCACCTGCCCTGAACTACGCTTCAGATCAAATAAACCTAACAGACATTTATAGAACATTCCATTCAACAGCAAGAGAATATAAATTCTTCTCAAGTGCATCTGGAACATTCTCCAGGATATATCATATGATAGGCTGAAAACAAGTCTTAACACATTTAAAATGATTGAAATAATATTGAGTATTTTTTCTGACCACAATGGCATAAAACTAGAAATCCATAACAAGAGGAACCTTGAAAAATTCCCAAATATATGAGAATTAAACAGCCTGTTTCTGAATAACTGATGGGTCAAAGGGGAAATTAAAAGAGAAATTAAAAAATATCTTAAGACAAATGAAAATGGTAACACAACATATCAAAATTTATGGAATGCAGCAAAAGCAGTCCTGTGAGGGAATTTTATGACAATACATGCCTACATCAAAAAAGGAAAAAGATTTCAAATAAACATTGGTAGAAACGGGATATCCACATGCAGAAGAAGGAAATTGGATCATTTTCTTACACCATATACAAAATAAACTCAAAATGAGTAAAAGATTTAAATGTTAAGGCCTGAAACTGTGAAGTTGCTTGGAGAAAATGGGAAAAGCTCCATGTTGTTGATCTGGGCAATGATTTCTTGGACAGAACTCCAAAAACCACAGGCAACAAAAGCAAAAATAGACAATTGGGATTGCATTAAATTAAAAAGCACAGCAAAGGAAACAATTAACAGAGTAAAGACACACCCATGAATTGGCAGAAAATATTTGCAAAAACTTAGACATCTGATGAGGGCCTGATATCCAAAATATATGAGGAACTCAAACCACTCAATAGTAAAAAATCAAACTGATTAAAAACTGAGCAAAAGATCTGAATAGACATTCCTCAAAAGAGATATAAATGGCCAACAGATATATGAAAAAAAGTTCATAATATCTAATTATCAGGGAAATGCAAATTAAAACCACAATGAGATATGACCTCACAGCTGTTAGAATGGCTATTATTAAAAAATAGGAATGATAAAGTTTTGATGAGGAGGTGGAGAAAAGGGAACTGTTTATTGGTATGTAAATTAGTATAGCTATTTTGGAAAAGAGTATGGGAGTTCCTCAAAAAACGAAAAATAGGATTGCCATATGATCCAGCAATCTCACTTCTAAGTATACATCCCCAGAACTGAAACTGATATGTCAAAGAAATATTTGCACTCCCCTGTTCATTGCAGCATAATTCACTATAGTCAAGGCATGCAAAACTCACAAAAGCCAAGGTATAGAACAAATGAATGGTTTAAAAATGTGGTAAATATACACAATAGAATACTATTTAGCCTTAAATAAGAAGGAAATTTTGCCATTTGCAGCAACATGGATACAGCCAGAGGACAGTGAATGAAATTATCCAGGCACAGAAAGACAAATGCTGCCTGATTTCTTTCATATGTGGAAGCTAAAAAAGTCGACCTTACAGAACTAGAGAGTAGAAAGGTGGTTACCAGAACCTGGAGGGATGGGGAAAGGAAAGATGTCGATCAAAGTGTCCACGGTTTCAGTTAGACTGGAGAAATAAATTTTAGTGTTCTATTGCACTTTATGGTGACCACACTAAAAAAAAATGTACTGTATATTTCAAGTTTGTTAAAATAATAGATCTTTAACATTCTCACCACAAAAAATTAGTGAGTTGATGAATATGTTACTTAGCTTGGTTGAAACTTGAATGTATACATCAAAACAAAAGAGCATATTCTATAAATATAGATGATGATTATTTGTCAGTTTTTAAAAATTGAATCTTGGCATTTAGGGCCCTCCATAGTCTTCCATTTTTATTCCTCTTTATCTCTTTGATCATATCTATATTCTAGCCAGAGAGAACACTTGTTTTAATCATATTTGACACAATTCTCTATTGTTCTCTGCTTTAGTCAAGTTTTTGCCTTTTCTGGAGTACTTTTTGCTCCTCCATGATTTAATTTTTCAAATTTTACCTTTTCTCAAAATTCAGTATAGATGTCATTTCTTTCACAAAATTTTCCCTGTTAAGCCCAGAAAAATAATCTCTTTTCCCTCTGAATCATTAGGGTACTTTATTCATTTTTGTTTTGAGTGTTATTTTCTTACCAAGAAAATATTATTTCTTTCAGTATTATGTTGAATTATGATTCATTCACTGTCTAAACCTCCTTATTGAGTGGAAATTTCTATGAGGGCAAGTTACAGGTTTAAAATTATTTATTTATTTTTTTCAATATCTTGCACACAGCAGAAAATTGGCAAATAAATGTTTATTGTCTGAGTCGTACTGGGGAGAGGAATGGAATTTGGAGCAAAGGACATAACTTATTTGAATATATTGGAAAACATACCAATCTAGCATTTGTTCTTTAAAAAAATGAGTTCACAAGTGAGATATGGAGCAAGATTTTTAGAGGTTCAAGGACTGACACATTTCTGTGGGATATTCTGGTTTGACTTCCAAATCACCTCTGGGTCAAGACACTGGAGGTGTTTTAGAGCTTAAAATAGAAACTCGGAGCTCAGTGAAAAAATATATGATCGATTATTGCTGCAAATGTATAGAAAATGGAATTAGCACATGCCCGTAGTATTTCAACCATGCTTAAAGACAGTCTTTCTGTTGCCTTAACCCCTTTTGACCACAGATGGCCGTATTAAGAAAATATTTATTAAAAATCACAGAGGTCTATTCTTCATCTGCTAAACTGGTAGATTTTAAGGATATGGTCCCTTCTCCATGGTGCTTTAATATTTGCTAAATGTGTATGTGCACACATGTGTGTGTGCACTTCACATCTTATCCGGGCATATTGGAAACCTTGTAATATAGTTTTTGTTTATTTTTAACCTTCCTCTCTACTGCCTTCCACTACCACCATTTAAATACACAAAACTGTCACTGTGTGAGATATGGCCATTATGTTGCTAGCTCTTCTGTGATGTTTATAAAATATGTCAACTCCCTATAGTGAATTGGCATTGTTTTGCTCTCCCACTTCCTATCAACGAAAAAAAGCAAATGCCCCCAAGTAAATAATCTAACTCATTAACCCTCACTGCATTACAGAGATGGAAAAATTTATCAATAATAAGAGCTGAGCATCAGGGGAAGATGCTTTATCTTACCCCAAACCTGGAGACTCATCCCGGGGGGCACCAGGTCTCTGCAGTAGCTCCCATCTCCTTGCCCATACTCTTACTCTCCACCTGCACCATTCATCTGAATAAATTAGCCTCACTGAGAGGAAGATGACAGCAAAGAGCGCACCTGCAATGTAGTGTGACTGCCGCAGCTTAGTAAGGGGTTTCCAGGGAAGCGGTTTCTAAAACACAGGGGAGGAGAATTGTCAGGGTTTGGCTCCTTGTGAAATTTGCCTGTCAGAACAGATGATGCGTTTGGGCATAACACACTCCAGTTTGTTCTTCTGGCAGTTTCTCTTCTCAATTTCAAGGCTTTCACAGTTTTGCTGCAACTTATCCTTTTAAGGGGCTCTTCTTCTCCCATTTCTCCATTGACTGTTGGTCCAGAGAGGTGAGAGATTATGTTGAAATTGTCTGCTTAGGACTGATTTGCTGTAGAATCAGGCCAATCACAACAACGGGCCCCTCCAGCATCTGCCCTCACTGCCCTTGTTTTCAGGGCACCATCCCCCCATCCTCCGGTTTGTCTGGAATTGGAGGGGGTCTGGGGGACTGATGTTCCACAAGCCATGATCAGACTAGTTCAGAGGGCAGTGGGCTTTTTCTGGAAATGACATGGGGAAGGATGTGAATTTTGGAGGTGCAGGGAGAGCAAGGAAACGTAATACAGATGTGATCATGGTGTACTGTTTGTGGGAGCTGTCTTGTCTCTTAAAATCTTGGGGGATGTTTCAGTTTGGAATAATAGGTGAGTAGTTAAGGCTAGAATATGAAGTATTCATCCAGAAGTGTTCATTGGCAAATGTTATACTAACTTGTGTCACACAGGTATGGTGTTTCTGCCCATTGAACCTCACCACAATGTTAAGGAAGTAAATCTTATTATCCTCATTCTATTAATATTGCAGTTGAAGCACAGAGAAGTCACATGGGTGGTAAGAGTTGGCACTGGGGCCGGGCGCAGTGTCTCTCTCCTGTGATACCAGCACTTTGGGAGGCAGAGGCAGGCGGATCATGAGGTCAAGACATCAAGACCATCCTGGCCAACATGTTGAAACCCCGTCTCTACTAAAAGTACAAAAATTACCTGGGCATGGTGGCATGTGCCTGTAGTCCCAGCTACTTGGGAGGCTGAGGCAGGAGAATCACTTCAACCTGGGAGGCGGGGGTTGCAGTGAGCCAAGATTGCACCACTGCACTCTAGCCTAGCCTGGAGACAGAGAGAGACTCAATCTCAAAAGAAAAAAAAAAAGAGTTGGCATTGTAATGAAATCTGGAGCTCTGAGCCTGGTCTATAGATTTTTCTAGTATCTAATCTCCCAAGAGGGTAAAATTCCATTTCTAAAGTATCTGGCCTTGCTTTCTTTAAATAATGGATAATAAGGATGTGGGGGGTGGACCTCTGCGAAGGAAGAATTTAAATATCCAGAGGGAGAGAATGCCTCTTTAGATTTGTGGTCTCCGTGATAAGTAGAGCTGCTCTTTTAATTTTATTTCAAAGTTAAATGATAGTAGTGAGTGGAATAAAGGCACCAATCTAAGAACTGTTTTCCAATTCTCTGCTTTCAGCTCTAAAACAAAGAGAATTTATCATTTGCCTTCATATACTGTGCTGTGTAGGTACCCAGAGACAGCAAAATTCCAATTAAAAGAGTATTGATTGCTCATAAATTAATGCCATCCATTCAGAATCGATGGTCACTTAATGTCTTTCAATGATTTTTATTGTGAGTCAGCTCAGCCCTTGTACTTTGCTTATTAAATGTTCCAGTATAATCGTACGCCTATTTAACATGGGTGATTCTTTTGCTATTAACATATGGTTTTCGATTTTCATCCAGTTAGCACTATTAGTCATTCCACATGAAAGTCAGTGCAATCTAACAAACTCGAACAACTTCCCTCACCTACTCTCAGAGATAATTTATGTATCCCTCATTCCTCTGAGCCCAAAGCAGGTAAACATTTCCAATTAAACTGAAGAGAGTAATAGAAGCTCTCCAGAATAGTAAAAAAAAAAAAAAAAAAAAATCCACAAAAAAACCCCAAACAAACAAACAACCTTCCACCCTACCCCCCGCAAAAAAAAAAACAAAAAAACCCAAGAACAAAAAACAAACAAACCCTCCTAGGAAACTAAAGCATAAAAATGTCATGGGAAGTTATAACTGGATCCGTAGGGGATATAATTTCATTGCCTGTAAGCAAAATCGTGATCTAATGGTTTTCGGAGACATGGGGTACTGGACATCTGTGAGGGGCCTGTGGAATCCCCCAGAGCATTGTGCTAATTAAGTAGGAAAGGGAAGCACGTTGGGAAGCCACCAGATGTCAGGCTGAAGTCTGGCAGTAAAGGGAGCTGGCTAAGCTCAAGGAACATACATTTCAGGAGACAGATGTGATCACTGTATGAGGCTTGGGTGAAATTTATCTTCCAGTTCAATGGCTGGACCAGGACGTGAGGTAACCTGTGGCCAATCAGGATATCCTTGTGACTAATGTTAATCCTTCAGACTCCTCAGATTTCATCCCACTTCTTTGCATTGGTGTCACAGCTAGAGTCCATGAAGGATAAGCAACCGAGCAGCTTCTGCCTACTTTTGCACTTCTATTCTGAAGAGAGCTGTTCATTTATTTAGCCAGTATCTACTTTTGGCATTAGGAGCTTTTGAGTGAGGTTGAGGGAGTGGAAAAGAGGGCAGAAATCCAGGAGAGGAGCGCATCAAATGGGAACATTCCTCAGGGACCAGGCTCCTCGCGTTCTGATCCTAGGTCTCTCACACATTGGTTGCAGGTCATTTAATTTCTCTCTGTTTGTTTGCTTATCTATAAAGAAATTGTACCAAATAACACATCCCTTCCAGAGCTAAAATTTGTTCTACTACAGGGTCTAGAATAGCATCCTCCAACTGTTTTGCTCATGTACTTGCTAAAAGAATTTTTTAAAAGGGTGTGTACCCCCACATTTTAAAGATGACATGCCATAAATTTAATTAGTTACAAAAGATGTAGTTTCCAGCATATTGTCTATTGCATAAGGGTTTTAAATACATGTTTTTCAAAACTGTGAATTTAGCTCATTCCGCTTATGATACATGTCACCACATCACCTAATTAACAAAGCCAGTTCTTATTGTCAGATCATTCAGCCAAATAAGACTTGTTTTCTGTCAGAAAAAGTCTGACTTTATTTTGTAATTTAAATAAATACATCAACATGCACCCTGCTGACAATCATCTCATTTTGGAACTCCAATTCTAGGATGAATAACTAATTAGATACTTCGAAAACTAGTAAGCCAGCTAGCTAAAGCAGGGATCCTTGCCATGAGTTGGCCAGCCCTTTAATGTTTCTTAATGTGTCCTTAAAGTACTGGTCCTTAAGAGCAATGTAGTCTCCAATTGTCCCTTTGTTTAGTGGCTCTGAGGTTTGTAAACAATGGGACAAGTCACTGTGTCAGTTTCAGATTGAATGAGAGATATGCTTTTCTTTTGGAAAGTGGGAGAAGGGTCATTATGAGATGGGAGGTGGGAAAAGGAGAACTAGCAGCCTGTAGATACGTTATTAGGCAAATTTATTTTAGAAACAATGCCTATGGAAGTTGAGAATCTGGAAAAGAATCTGCTTAAAATCACCATGATATGTATCCCCTGGGGAGTTTTCATGTACCCCTGCCAAGGAGTACACAGCCCGGAAGCACAAAGAATTGGTAGGGGGTAGGATACTCTCCACTGTCATTTCATGCCAAGCATTTCAATAAGGCCGGAATGGCAAGGACTGTCTTTTGTTAGGGCTGGCAGCCCCCACACATGATGCATACTCCCCTTTGAAATGAATTGGCCATCAAGCAACTTTCTATGATTGAATTCCCAGGTCTGTCGTTAGGGTATTGCCACTTTATCACCTAATATTTACTGAGAATCTAACTTGTAGGTGCTTCTGGGAACATAAAATATAATTTATGCAATTTATGAAGATTCAAATTTTCCAGAAGTCAGGATGCCTAGAGGCAAATACAGTAGTGATTAAAAGCAATGACTCTGGAATAATTTGTCCTAGGTTGGAATTCGGTCTCTGCAATTTTGCTTGTGTTACGGGGATAGCCTCTGTTTTCTCATCTGTTTAAATAGAAGAAATAATACCTCTTTTACAGTGTTTAATGTTTTCTCCATTTCTCCTCACTCCTTCGTCCATGTTTCACCTTCTCTGCAATGATTCATCCTTGTAGACCACATCACTAGAGTTCCCTTGCCAGTTAATTGGCTTCCAATATTTGCTAAAAAGTGGTACCAGGGGAGATTGGAGGGTGAGGAGAGAGGTGAGATATCTTTTCTAGGCCCTCTTTGGGCCATACATGACACCATGGCTGGATCCCTTCAAAACTACAGACAACTTTTGCTGATGGTCTTGCCTTCATATTTCAAATCTAACTCTACCTCACAGGCTTCTCATAATTTCTAGTCTCTGACCATACCATCAGAATATATTTACTGTGATGTTTCAAAGTTTTTCTTCAAAGGAACTTCCCTCTCCTTTACTCAGTGGGTTCTGGATGTGAGACGAGGCTTATATTTGGAAACTGGGCAGGGGATACCCAGTTCATACTGGGGTGGCTGCTTTACCTTTCTGATCACCCTGATTATAACAGTTAAGCACTAGTCTCATTTGCTGCCCACTTATTTTGCCTCTAGGAACTCTGTCTTCTACCGACCACGTCCTTATTCTATCCTCTGCCCTCTGTTATGTTGGCTCTGGCATTTCTACTTCACTTAGTGTGTGACCTGTTGCTTTGCCTAAGCTTCCAAGGGCCATCCTAGCAGTGTATGAGCATTGTTTCCCAGGGTCTTTGCCAGAGTGTCAAATCTGTATTCTGAGAGAGAGCTTCTGTGCTAATAAACTCTCCCTCATCCAACTTTACAATTCCCTCCTCTCCCCTTTGTCTAGCACTCTCTCAGGATTCATTTTTGGGGTCATAATCTCCAAGTACCAGCTAGTCTCCATCAACCAGAGTCTGTAGCACCTTTGGTGCTTTCACTTTTCCCTCGAATTGGTCCTTAATCACTCTTAGCCAGTCATTATCTCTTTTAATGAATCAATGGCACTCAACAGCCACCCAATTCCATCCTTATATTTGCCTTTCCCCTCAAATATCTCAAAAGCCAGACATACTGTACCAGTTAGTGCTCCTCCTTCCACTGGCATCACATCCCAGTGTACAACCAGTGAAAGGCTTAATAATTGCACCACTGAAGCATGCCTGGTGCTATCTATACTCTACCTGCCACTAGTGGTGGGGCCTCTTTGTCAGCCAGCTGGCAGGTGATGCAGCTCCAAAATCCAAATTTAGAGTCTTCTTCCTGGGATAGCTCCCGGTATCAACTCACTTAGATTGGGTTCTTTGGAAAGAGATTCTGAGATGAGGAGCTACAGGTAGAAGTAGAAAGTTTATTGGAGGCCAGGCACGGTGGCTCACGCCTGTAATCCCAGCACTTTGGGAGGCCGAGGCGGGTGGATCACAAGGTCAGGAGATGGAGACCATCCTGGCTAACATGGTAAAACCCCGTCTCTACTAAAAATACAAAAAATTAGCCGGATGTGGTGGCGGGCGCCTGTAGTCCTAGCTACTCGGGAGGCTGAGGCAGGAGAATGGTGTGAACCCGGGAGGCTGAGCTTGCAGTGAGCCGAGATTGTGCCACTGCACTCACTCCAGTCTGGGTGACAGACCGAGACTCCGTCTCAAAAAAAAAAAAAAAAGAAAGTTTATTGGAAAAGTGTTCTTGGGAGATACACTGGTAAGAAAGTCAGGGTGGCAAGATTGGGAAGACCAAGAAGCTGACCTCCATCCAATTCAATTGCAAGTGCGGCTTCAGCTGATCCCAAGGAGCCCTCTAGAGCTGAGATGGTCCTTTAAGTTCTCTCAAATGGAAGCAAGGCGGATAGACATTTATATCCCTACAGCAGCTAGCCATTAGCTGTGGGACCATTCTCTGCAGAAGGAAGTGTAACCTTGGGCAGGAGTTCTCTGTGGCAGAGCCAATTCCCAGTGTGGGATGCAGCTGTGAACCCTCAGCAATTGGGAACTGGGTGCATCCACCCTCAAAAGAGAATCTGGACAGAGTACAACAGCACTACAGCCACATTGCAGTCCAACTCTCAGCCCCACTGAGAATGCAAAAGATGAACAAGAATGTCTTTTAAACACATTTTCTTCTTTTGCTTGTCAATTTTCAGTTCGTAGCCTAGATATTTCCAGTGTAGCAACAAAGACATTTCAACAGTGGTCACAGCAATGGTAAAATTGGACACAAATAAAAATGGAAAGTTTTGACAGTTTTAGCTGCATTTAGTTAAATATTGTGTTTATGCTCATTATTTGGCATAGCTCCTGTTGTTCTTGAGAGTATTTCAGAATATGCTTATTTAATTTTCTTTCTTTGCCATTTTTACTTTATTTTTTCCACCACATTTACTTTTCTGCAGTTAACTGACAATAAAAACAGAAGTGGAGGAGCTCAGAAGTCTACCCCAAATGGGCCGGGCGTGGTGGCTCACGCCTGTGATCCCAGCACTTTGGGAGGCCGAGGCGGGTGGATCACGAGGTCAGGAGATCGAGACCATCCTGGCTAACACAGTGAAACCCCGTCTCTACTAAAAATACAAAAAATTAGCCGGGCGAGGTGGCGGGCACCTGTAGTCCCAGCTACGCGGGAGGCTGAGGCAGGAGAATGGCGTGAACCCGGGAGGTGGATCTTGCAGTGAGCCGAGATGGTGCCACTGCGCTCCAGCCTGGGCGACAGCAAGACTCCTTCTCAAAAAAAAAAAAAAAAAAAAAAAAAGTCTACCCCAAATGTTCCCCAAGCATGCATTAGTGACTTCAAATACCATCACTTCCGTATTACATTTTGTCTCCCTTATATTCCTAATGAGGCTTACCTGCTTTTGGTTCTTAGGAAAAGGTCTGGGTGGAAAATATCAGCTATTCTTGCCCTAGAGAGTCTTGAAGCAAACACTAACATCCACTGTCAAGCAAATGAAAAGTCTAAAAGATAGGACAGAGAAGCTGTTAAGCTTTACCCCAACTGAAAGTTTGAGTTGAACTAACTTGGACTTGTTCTGCTGACTGGCTGTGCAGTTTTGGTGATATTTTATTAGTTTTTCCTTCCTTCAAAATTATGCAAAGGTCATGGTCCATCATGAAGTTTTATTTTTAATGTTCTATTTCTTTTTGTTGTTATCAATCAAAGAACATTATTGCCTGAAATAGTTTTCCCATTAGATTAGGATGTTAATTGGTTGACAGAAATAATTGCTTAAAATGAAAGAACCTCCTCTTGCTGCTCAAAGCCGAGGAGCCTGATACTGTTTGTGATACAGGCCATTGGTAAATACTGTTGACTTGTGACCTGTGGTTCCCCATTCACTTGTTCTTTTTTGGAAGGAACAAGATGCTCTTCCTGCCTGGGGCTTTGCTCTGCTCAGCTATGCCACCCTCTGAAACATGTGATCTGCATTCCAAATGCTTCACTGACAGGTTCTCTATCACCCAGCACAGGTAGATCACTGTCATTGGCATCTATGTGAGTGATGAGTTCTGTTTCATCATAAATAACCTGAATATTCATGTCCTAGACTATTGGTGACACTGGAACCTTCCTATTCATGAATACAATACTAAGAACATTGCATATACCTATTTTGCTATAGTGAGAAAAGCCCTCAAATCTCACTCTCAATATTATAGTACCCTCCCACCCCTCCACCCACAATTTTCAATGTTTGATTACTCTATAAAAGGTAGATAATTATCTGAATTTATAAACAACATAAATAATTCTCAAACATTTCACACAGCAACTACAGCATGAGGGTTGAGTCAATCAGTCTTAACAGACACTCTTAAATTCATCTCCAGAGCATTTAGCGAGACTGAGAAAGAAGAAAAATTCTCCGCATTCTAACATTTTCGTCCTAGGTGAGAATATTTGCAGTCAGAAGCTTTAAAATTGCTGACAGTGGCCACCACATGTCTCCTGGGAATGTCCACATTCTCTCTGCACAGGGGTGCCTACTTTTTTATTTTTTATTTTTGAGACAGAGTCTCCTTCTGTCGCCCAGGCTGGAGTGCAGTGGCATGATCTCAGCTCACTGGAAGCTCCGCCTCCCAAGTTCACACCATTCTCCTGCCTCAGCCTCCGGAGTAGCTGGGACTACAGGCGCCCGCCACCATGCCCGGCTAATTTTTTTGTATTTTTTTTTTTTTTTTTTTTTTTTAGTAGAGACGGGATTTCACCGTATTAGCCAGGATGGTCTCCATCTTCTGACCTCGTGATCCACCCACCTCGGCCTCCCAAAGTGCTGGGATCACAGGCGTGAGCCCTTGTGCCCGGCCAGGGGTGCCTACTTTTTATAGAGAGATATATAGGGGCTAGGCCACAGTTGCACAATCCCATTTAACCAGAACTCTCAGAGCCAGAGAATATAGACAGCCCTGAAACATGAGAAGGATTGAGCATAAGCAATATTTCAGAAGCTGTTTAAACATGTCATTATCTGGCTTTTCTATTTCAGTAATTTGTAAGCAAGCTGCCTCCTCTATAAACACATCAGCAGGAAAGGAGAAAGCCATGTTAGTTATTGCATCTCTACTGCCTGGGACTTGGGGAGACAACATCAATTTTAATGCATTGAAATGCAGAAGTATCTTTGAGGGAATCCCATTTGGATTGGATCTCTTTGAGGGAATCCCTTATTTGGAATAAGACCACTGGAAAAGTCTGGGCTACTTTAAGGAAAGTGGAGAGATGTTCATTTTATAAGACTGAACTTGCACATATTTCCATGAGTGAATAAAGCAAATATTAACTAATGGTTTTTTTTTTTTTTTTTTGAGACGGAGTCTCGCTCTTTCGCCCAGGCCAGAGTGCAGTGGCGTGATCTCAGCTCACTGCAAGCTCCGCCTCCCGGGTTCACGCCATTCTCCTGCCTCAGCCTCCAGAATAGCTGGGACTACAGGCGCCCACCACCGTGCCTGGCAAATTTTTTGTATTTTTAGTAGAGACGAGGTTTCACCGTGTTAACCAGGATGGTCTCGATCTCCTGACCTCGTGATCCACCCGCCTTGGTCTCCCAAAGTGCTGAGATTACAGGCGTGAGCCACCACGCCCGGCCAACTAATGGTTTTTAGCTAACGTTTTCCAGCAAGATTTGGGAATAGAAATGTGAACAGAAGCTCAGCATAATTACTTATTGTTCTGTCCTGCTATGAGCATTACTTATTTCACACATGATTATGGTGAAGTCTTCAGGCTGAGTCTAAGCTACGCTCATCATTGGGTTCCTACACATTTGGGTGCGTCTTGAGTCCTGAAGGAGTCTTTTGAGATGGTAGCAGGGGTCCTGAGTGTAGCATGTGTCTATTACTTTTCCCTGGGTGGCCATAGGTCCTCATCCTGGGCCCTATGAAGAGGGACTACAAGACAAAAATTAAATATAAAAGAGTTGTTTTCTAAAACTTTTCTAAGGTATGTAACTCACGACAGCACTACTTTAAAGGTTTTATTGCAGAGTACAGCCAGACCCACCTGGACTTAGCTATGAGGGAAAGTTGGAAAGGATGCCAGTCACATTGTGTGGCCACTGACACTCTTGGTGTCAGCATAAATTGTGCTGTGCCCTTTAGACAAAGAATTGATGGCTGCCTGGCAACCTTTCTGTATTGTCTCTATTACTAGTGGTTCTCAACTAGTGGAAATTTTGCTTGCCAGGGGACATCTGGAAATGCCCAGAGATATTTTTAGTTATCACAGCTTGAAGGAATGTAAGTGGTTGGGGGGAGTTTTGCCCAATGAAGGGATGCATTTGCTCAGGTTGCTTGGGCTTGCTTACAGCATGGCAACCAGATTTTATGAACAAAGCCCCAAACTTGGCATTTTTATAACTAACCTTGGAAGTCACATTGATTCACTTCTGCCATGGTCTGTTGGACAAAGAAGTCACAAGGGTCCAACTACATTTAAAGGAAGAGGACATAGATACTGCAAGTTCATGGGAGGGATATCAAGATTGCATTGTAAGAAAAACAAGCATGTTGGGAGATATTGTTGTGGCCACCTTTGGAAATTACAATCTACTGTAAGTAAAACAAGAATCAATCAATATAAATTTAGGCTTGAATCACTTCTCTTTTTTTGAACGAAAGATAAAACTGTAAAGAAATATAGAGATACATGGAAGGATGATGTTAAATCAATACAAAATGATCAGTGAGTTAAAAGTTACAGGTTCTAGGAAACATGGCTGGTGAATACAATAATAATTTATTAATTTTAATGTCAGCTTCAAATTTTTGGTTCTTTGGAAAATTGTTTAGGCCCCCAAATATATAGGTCTATGTATGTATGTATGTATGTATGTATGTATGTATGTATGTATGCATGCATGTATGCATGCATGCATGTATGTATGTATGTATGTATGTATGTATGTATCTATCTATCTATCTATCTATCTATCTATCTATCTATCTATCTATCTATAGCTGCATTGATGCTGTAAGTCCAGAGCAGTTTTGCAAAATAGGCTGTGTTGCTAGAGAGATGCTATTTTCCTTGGCCTGTTTTTAAGCTGCTATCCAATAGAACATATTTTTTTTCCTGGTTGAGAAAAAACTGGATATGATCAATATAAAAAACTGGACAAGACACTGTGTGGTATTGGTTGGTAATCAGACAAAGCTTCTTGCTGTGGAGCACACCTTCCTTTGATGTCATTTGTCTCCATTTATTGGAATGAAAACTTCTCAGTGTATGAATCTTTAGCAAACAAAATGAAGAATGCTGAAAAGAAGCACGTAGCACATACACTTGAAAAATTAGGGAGAAACAACATTAGCAGAAAAATGTTCTTTCTGTTTCACCTGAGATAAGTAGCCTATGAAATCTTGTAATCATTGAAATCATAATTTTTTTTCTTTTTCTTTTTTTTTGTTTTTTCTGAGACAGGGTCTGGCTCTGTTGCCCCGGCTAGAGGGCAGTGCTGCAATCACGGCTCATCGCAGCCTTAATCTCCTGGGCTCAAACGATACTCCTGCCTCAGCCTCCTGAGTAGCTGGCACTACAGGCATGCGTCACCATGCCAAGCTAATTTTTAATTTTTTTTTTTTTTTGTAGAGATGGGGTTTCACCATGTTGTCCAGGCTGGTATTGAACTCCTGGACTCAAGTGATCAGATCGCCTCAGCCTCCCAAAGTGCTGGGATTCCAGGCATAAGCCACCATGCCCAGCCTGAAATTATGATTTTCAATAGAACTATTGGCTACTGTTAGATTTGAATTTCACAGATTGAGTCTGGTAAACTCATTGGTGCTTATTTTGCAGACTGTACTATCGGTCTCAGCATTGAACTTTTAGAGATTTCTTAAATGACGTTATGGGATTATCTTGCACATCGACATTATAATAAATTCCTTCAAGGGCAGCCCTTGACTGAAGTAATTTTCATAATTACGTTGACCTGAAAAAATATCCTTGCAAGAGACACTGTGCCCATATATCACAGAAATACAGGTATTGATCATCATGTAAAGGGAGGACTGTGCCAGTGTTGGCTGCAGAAGGTGGGAAGATCTGCAGACTCTTTTTGTTAGAAACTGTTGCAGATTAGGTTCCCCAGGAAACAGACTCTGAAATAGAGATTTGTATGCAGGTTTTTTGGAGGAGTGCTCTTGGGATCAATACTCTGGAAGAATAAAGAAAGTAGAATTGGGCAGAGGGAGAAGTTGAACTTTGATATAGATGCAACAAAGGCCTCAGCTTATTCCATGGGTCACAGTGGAGTTGGGGTAGCCCTAGAATGAACCAAATAGAGGTTAAGGGGTCAGTACCTTATACATTGATGTTGACCATCACTGGACGTGGGCTGACGCAGAAGAAGGGTCAGAACTTTGGGTAAAATGACTCTCTTTAGACACCGGCAGTTCTTGGAATGAGGCTCTGCTGAGAATTCTCAGCAATCAGTGTTTGCAGCAGGTAGGGGAATAATTGTCTCAGTTCTGAAGAGGGCATTCCTCAGCATCTACTGCAAAAGCTTATTTGAACTGCTGAGGAATACAGCACAATTAATATAAACCTAGGTTCTCTAACGTAGATTATGATGAAAGCCTTATTTTGAAGGAATACAGTTTCATTCAAAACCCATCAGCATCAAGCCCAAGATCTCTCATACTCGTAATATCATCAGGTGATACTGGTTAATTCCATGGCAGTGAAATGTTAGATTTGTGCCATTTCCAGAAGTTCTTGTGTAAGATGCTTCAACTTCTGCAGATTCACAACAGTTGTCATACTTATTGTGAGATGAATGCATCTCCAAGATAGAGATGTATGCATTCGGGATGAATTTGTTAATAATCATAAAGACAGTTTAAAGCATCAAGGATGTTTGTTTTTAAGGCCCTTTGTCCTGCTGCTGAAGGCCAAATTGGTAGCCTGGGGTTAAAGCTAAAAGGCTGTGTTGTCTGTTTTATCTCTGTATGGAAAAATTTTGACTTGCCATCTCAAGAGAGCCATCACAGATGTCTCCTAAGAAAGAACTGGTTCACATTTTGGCTTTAACACCATCAGAATGATCTGATTATAGATTCTCATCCATAAGGAGATAGTATATAGTGGTTAAAAGCATAGACTGCTCAATTCAGAGCACAGTTCTGTCATTTTTTTTTCTTAGTGTCCTTGGGAAAATCAAGCTCTGTGTTTCTCAGTTTTCTCATCTCTAAAAATGGGTATAATAATATTGTTATAATAATAGTACCTCCCTCATTGCATTTTAAAGATTAAATGATAAATATATGTGCATGACAGAGGAAGTGATTTGCAGGTGTTTGCTATTATACTGCTCTGTTTTTTTTTTTTAAATAAGAATGAGCCAGCTTTTTCTGTATTAAATTACTGTACCATTTGTCAATTTGCTGGAGGTGCACCTTTTGCTGTAAGGAAAAAAATAAAATGAATAATGTTGATTGAAACAAAAGTAAGTATTTTTGAATAATCTTGGAGTTGACATTTGAAGATTTTCCTTAGCTCTGTCCATATGGATCAGGAAAAGATGTAAAACAAACAAAAAAAACCTTAGTCTAGATCTTTGCTGAAAGAGGGTGAGATTGGGAGTTTACTTTTGTGAAGAACCTGTGTCTCACATCTTTGATGTATTGTCTCAATTAATCATCAGAACTGTCCTATGAGGTTGGCACTGTAATTTTCTCCTTTCTGCAGACAGAAACCACCCCCCGCCGACAAAAAAAAAAACAAAAAAAAACCCAAGACAACAAGAGGTTATGAGTAGAAACCAGAGCAGAGTTTTGGCTGTGAAAGAAAGTAAGTCAGTGTGACATTACTGCAATGCTGCAGAGATAGACCCCTATCATGTAATCACAGTCTGACAAGATGTGTACAGAATGCAGATGAGCTGGAGTACTTGTCACATGATGACCGGCTGCAAAGGTGTTTCTCTTGGGGTGACAGCAGAACCATTAACTTTACTTTCTCTGAAATCATCTTTTTTTTGGGGGGGTAGTTAGCTAGTTACTTCAATAGAATAAAAAGAATGAAAACTCATTTAGCGATATAATTACTAAATTATTGGGCATATGTCTCTTTAAAAATGTAATGCAAAGCCATTCTTGTGAAATAGTGTTTTTGGTGCCCCCACCCCATACACCGTTAAAGATTAAGTTGACTAAGCAAGAAAAGGTGTTAACATTTTTGTCAGAGACCCCTGGGAATCAATATATTTTTGTTCCAAGTCACCTTGTATTGTAGTTCTCTCTGGATATTTGGAGAAAGAGGAGATAGCTAGATTAAAGAACTTTTGTGGTGAAAATTACTCCACTTGAAGGCTTGTCTCTATCTTTTCTGCTTCAGAACTTTATGTTGATTTTGTGTGTCGGCTTGCATTTTTAAAAACTATAATATGGAATAGAACTACATTTAAATCAGGGAAAAAAGATACATATGTGGTTTTGAAATTTCTAAAATTTTGCATTTGGATAGTTCCTCTGCAGTTGCTCAGTTAACATATTTTCTTTTTCTATAAATAAAATGACTTGCGATCTTCTCTCTATTCTAGGAAGTCTCAAAGCTCTTCCCAAGGAGTAAATCTTGACAGAAAAAGAAAAGCAAATTTTTGGGGGGAAAATTGTGAAAAAGAGTATTAAATTATTTAAAAATAGACTGATCTGGAAATCATGGAGGAAATGATGTTTACACTGTGTTTAAAAAATAAAAAACGACTCAGTGGATATGCATGGTCCTTTGCACTTAATAAGCTAAAGAGGTTCAGATGGAGGATGATACAGTATAATTAAAATAAAAGCGGGGAATGACCACGAATCAGTCATGGTAAATCAAAAGAATAAAGACATGAAAAGACTTTTTGGTATATATCAAACCATTTTTGAAAAAGAATTATGTGGCTAGAGAGAGTAACAATGAAAAAGATATGTAGAAAAATTTCTAAAATATAAAAAATATTATGTTTACACAGCTGATAAGTTTTTATATAGTAAATATACTAATATCAGTGCCCTTCTCCTGGTTCCTTTGAATACAAGATTAATGCAAAATATTTTTTAAAAATGTATCCTCTTTTGAGCCAGTGAAAAGTGACACTTTTTTTTTAAACGAAGTCACTTAGAATTATGACCAGATGGTTAAAGAAGATAAATTTTAAGAGTTGATTTTTCAAATTTTAAAGGAAACTGCTGTTGGTTTTCAGTGTGGTTCAGTGAGCTTCATAGTGCATATTTGCATATGAAAAATGCTTCCATAATATTGTATTTAATTTACTGGCAAACGGCTCGAATATATATTGTGGGTTTACAATGCCAAAATACCCAGTTGATTTGATAAAGCTACAAGTAAATTTTGGAGTTGAAGAGAAGGGAGTAATAAATCAGTTATCTGTCAACTTGCAGAACAAAGAAAATACTTACTTACTTCCCCATCCCCCCAACTCCTTTAAACTGGTTGAATTCATATTGTTTAGACAAAATGTGATTGCATTAGTGATTAGTTATTGATTAATCATCTTATAAAGATTAAATTATTTGATTTCTTTAATTAGTTGATTTTTTAAAAATTGGCAGTGAAATCCTTGAAAAACATTAGACCTATGTAAATAGAGCCTGAGTAAATACTCACATAATATTTAACCAATATTTGGACACACTACCAAGGCATCTTGTTAAGGTATTGAACTAATGACTGAATTCTCCAACCACTGAAAAAAATGAGTGATGGACTAATTATGTAAAAATGTCTTTTATCCTGCATGTGATTAAATTGGTCTGTTATTTGAATGAAGGAACAAACCTTTCTGGTTGTACTATCCAAATCATTATCATGCAGGCACCATTTCTGTTATTTAAATGTAATTTTGTCAACTGTAGACATCATTGTTGCTTCTCCAGCATTAATTCCATTACTGCCCTGTGATAGAGCAGCTGCTGACCTGGATAATTGACATGATCTCCAGCTTCAGAAGCGGACTCTAATTGGCTCAGCCCAAAATGCAATCCCATCTCCTTGGTTCCAGTAATTGGTTCAGGAGTGTCACATGACATGAACTGTTCTAATCAGAGTGAAGACCATGATATTTATTCAAAGTTGTCTCTCCTTTTGTGTGGTGTGGTGTGTTGATGTGAGGCCTGGAATTGCTGTAGATACTTTGCTATCTAGTCTCAGGATAAAGCTGACACATCAGGGTGTGCGGAGAGATCAGTGAATTACAGAGAAATAGACGGGAGCCCTGATCAAACCATGCCAGAAGCCTAAAGGTCTTTTGAACTTCATTAGCTGATGCATTCCATTTATTATTATTCAGTTCATTTATTTTATCTCTATATATCATATATAAATATAATAAACTTATACTATGTTATAAATGTTTATTATATTTATATAACTTATTACATTATGTTATAAATATTTACTATATTTATTAGTCAGTTTGTGTTGGGCCCTTTAGTATGTACAAATGAAATCATCCTAAGAGTTTCAACGACTCAACAGCACCATGGCCAGGACCTATTATTGGTCCTTCATCTTCACTTCCCTACACAAAATCACTAATATGAGATTCTTTTCTCTTCTAGCTGCTTCTAAGTTGAGTTTGAGGTACAGCGAGGTGTGAAGGTAAAGAAAGCTCTCCATACCTTAGCTTTGAATAAACCTTCAAATATTTGGATGTAGTATAATTTATTTAACTCTTTATTTTGAAATAATTATAGATCTATAAGAAACTGCAAAAATAGCACCTAGAGTGCCTCGAATCCTTCCCTTCATTACCCTCAATGGTGAATAATATATAATCACAGTTCAATATCAAAGCAAGAAAACTGACATTGGTGTAATACTGAGCAATGTTTATTTTATTTTATTTATATTATATTATATTATATTATATTATATTATATTATTTTTGAGACAGAGTTTCTCCTCTGTCGGCCAGGCTGGAGTGCAGTGGCACGATCTTGGATCACTGCAACCTCCACCTTCCAGGCTCAAGCGATTCTCCTGCCTCAGCCTCCTGAGTAGCTGGGATTACAGGACTGTGCCACCACGCTGGGCTAATTTTTGTATTTTTAATAGAGAAAGGGTTTCACCATGTTGGCCAGGCTGGTTGTGAACTCCTGACCTCAGGTAATTTGCTCACCTCTGCCTCCCAAAGTGCTGGGATTACAGGCATGAGCCACCGCGCCTGGCCCAATGTTTATTTTTTAGTAGAATGATTTTTGTTTTGAGAGAAGTTTTGAAATAAACACTAATAATTCATTCATTCTTATAGCTGGGACATTCATTTTAGTAGGTTAGCATATATATGCTATATATATGTATATATGTGTGTATATATATACATGCCATACATATGTATATATGTTAGTACACACATGCCTTCATGCAAAGATACATATATCTATTTAGAGGATCAGAGTATTATTCAAATATTTAGATTAATACATTGTAAATAGTTGTAGCTTTTTTTGGACATATTACTAAGCACATCTGTAATTTATTTTTATTTTTTAATTTCTTTTTTTGATACATAATAATTGTACATATTTTCAGCGTACATGTGGTTTTCTCTTTGCCTTCTAGGATACCAAAACTGAATAGTTCATCACTTTATGGTTCCCTAATATTAAGTAGGGTTCACTCATTCTTTTTAATTCTTTTTTCTTTATTTTTATCTAACTGAGTTATTTCAATAGGCCTGCTTCAAGTTCTGAGATTTTTTTTTCTTCTGCCTGATCTGATCTATTGTTGAAGTGTTCAAGCGTATTTTTTATTTTACTTAGTGAATTCTTCAATTCCAGGATTTCTGTTATTTTTAATGACATCCATTATTTGGCAATTTTTAAATTCATGTGCTGAATTGTTTTTCTGATTTCTTTGCATTGTTTATCTGTGTTCTCTTCTGTCTCAGTAAATTTTTTTTTTTATTTTTATTTTTCCAGACAGAGTCTCATTCTGTTGCCCAAGCTGGAGTGTAGTGGCATGATCTTGGCTCACTGCAACCTATGCCTCCCAGGTTCAAGTGATTCTCCTGCCTCAGCCTCCTGAGTAGCTGGGACTACCAGTGCCTACCATCACACCCAGCTAATTTGTGTATTTTTAGTAGAGATGGGGTTTTACCATGTTGACCAGGCTGTTCTCGAACTCCTGACCTCAAGTGATCTGCCAGCCTTGGCCTCCCAAAGTGCTGGAATTACAGGCCTGAGTTACCACACCCAGTCTATCTCACTGAGTTTTAAAAATATCACTGTATTTTATATTCCTTTCAGTATACATACCCACCAATGGGATTGCTGGGTCAAATGTTAGTTGTTTTAGGTTCTTTGAGAATTTTCCAAACTGCTTTTCACAGTGGCTGAACTAATTTACATTCACACCAGAAGTGTATAAGCATTATACTTTCTCAGTAACCTTCTTAACATCTTATTTTTTGAGTTTCTAATAATTGTCATTTTGACTGGTGTGAGATAGTATCTCATGGTTTTGATTTGCATTTCTCTAATGATTAGTGATGTTGAGTATTTTTTTGTATACTTATTCACCATGTGTATGTCCACTTCTGAGAAGTGTCTGTTCATGTCTGTTTCCCATTTTTAAATGGGGTTGTTTGTTCTTTGCTTGTTAATTGGCTTACATTCCTTATAGACTCTTGATATTAGACCTCTGTTAATGTATAGTTTGCAAATATTTTCTCTTATTCTGTAATTTGTCTGTTTACTCTGTTGATAGTTTCTTTTGCTGTGCAGAGCTCTTTAATTAGGTTCCATTTTTTCTTGATATTGCTTTTGGAGACTTATAAATCATTCTACCAAAATGACACATGTACTTGTATATTCATTGCAGCACTACTCACAATAACAAAGGCATAGAATCAACCTAGATACCCATCAGTGGTGGTCTGGATAAAGAAAATATGGTACATATACACTATGGAATACTAAGCAATCACACATACACAAAAACAAAATCATGTCCTTTGCAGCAGCATAGATGCAGTTGGAATCCATTCTCCTAAGCAAACTAATGCAAGAACAGAAAACTAAATACCATGTGTTCTCACTTATAAGTGGGAGCTAAGCACTGAGTACACATGGACATAGTGTGTACTCAGGAATAATAGGCACCGGAGATTACTAAAGGAGGGAGAGAGGAGTGGGGCAAGGGCTGAAAAATTACCTGTTGGATACTATGGTCACTACCTGGGTGATGGGAGCATTTGTACCCAAAACTTCAGCATCACACAACATACCCATGTAAAAACCTGCACATGTACTCCCTGAATCTAAAATAAAAGTTGAAATTTTTTTAAAAAGAATGAGTTCACCTAGGATATACTGCATTTTAAAATAATTTGATTTTTAAAAAATTTAATTTTTAAACTAATAGTAAAATTAACTATTTTTGGTGTACAGTTGAAACAATTTTAACACATAAACAGATTTGAATTCCCATATTATAATCTGGATGAGAAGTTTTACTACCCTAGAAATTTCCCTTTTGCTCTTCCTTTGTAGTCACCCCTTCACCTCTCCTCCATCCTCTCAACCCTTGGCAAATACTGACCTATTTTCTGTCACTCTAGTTTTGTGTTTTAAAGAATGTCATCTAAACAGAATTATAAAGTGTGTACACTTTTGAGACTTGACTTTTTTCACTAGGCATGTTTTTGACATTCATTCAAGTTGTTGCATATAAAAGTAGTTCATTCTTTTTTATTGCTGAGTAGTATTCCATTCTATGGATGTATCACAGTTTGTTTATTCATTGATTTATTGAAGTGCATTTGCATTTTTTCCCAGTTTTTGGTGATTATCACTAGAACTGCTATAAGATTCATGTGCAGATTTTATTGTGAACACAAGTTTTGATTTCTCTGGTTTAAATTCCCAGGAATGCAATTGCTTAATCATATGGTAAGTATGTGTAATTTTATAAAAAAATGTTAAGTTGTTTTCAAGAGTGACTTTACCATTTTGCATTCCTGCCAGCAATATACAAGAGTTACAGATGGTCTGTCTCCTTGTCAAATAAAATTGTTTATTTTTAGCCATTCTAATAGATGTGTGGTGATATCTGCTAGTGATTTTAATTTGCATATCCCTAACAACTAATGATCAATGTTAAATATCTTTTCATGTTCTTTTGAATCATCTGTATACCTTCTTTGGTGAAGTTTCTGTTCAAGTCTTTGAGTTTTAAAATTGGATTATTTTCATACTGGTGAGTTTACAAGGTTCTTTATATGTTCTGGATACAAGTACTTGTTGGATATGATTTTCAATATTTTCTCTTAGTCTGTAGCTTATCTTTTTAGCCTCTTAGTGGCGTTTTTCACAGAGTGAAAGTGTTTAATTTTGATGAAATATGGTTTATGAGTTTGTTTCTTGTTGGACTAATGCTTTTGATATAATGCCAAAGGACACTTTGGCTAATTGAGGTGATAAAGATTTTCTCCAATTTTTTGAAATGTTCTATAGTTTTACACTTTGATTTAGGTCCATGATTTTTTTAAGTTCGATTTTCTGTGAGGTATAAGGTTTAAGCTGAGGTTCATTTTTTATGTATGTATGTACAATTTGTCCAATCGTTTGTGGAAATGATGATCTTTTCACGATTTGATTGCCTTTCCACTTTTGTAAAAGAAATCAGTTGGCTCAAGGGAATGAAAAGACAAACCACAAATTAGGAGAAAATATTTGCAAAAATATACCTGATAAAGGACTGTTTCCCATAATATACAAATAACTTAAAATTCAATGATAAGAAAAAATAAAGTCAATAAAGAATATATTGATGGAAAATGAACAGAGGAAAAGATGTTTTGTATCATGTATCATTTGGGAATTGCAAATTAAAACCATGAGATACGGCTCTACATCTGTTCCCTGTCACTATAGACACCTATTAGAACAGCTGAGATTCAAAACACTGAACGCAAATGCTGGTGAGGATGTGGTGTAACAGGGATGCTCATTCATTCATTTCTGGTCAGAATGCAAAGTGGTACAGCCACTTTTCAAGATAGTTTAGTAGTTTTTCACAAACCTAAATGTACTTTTATCATACAGCCTAGCAGTTGTGCTCTTGGTATTTATAGAAATGAATTGAAAACTTATATCCACACAAAAGCATGTACACAGATGTTTTTAGCAAGTTTCTTCATAATTACCAAAACTTGGTAGCAAATAATTTTTTTTTTGACAGAGTCTCGCTCTGTCACCCAGGATAGAGTACAGTGGTGCGATCTCAGCTCACTGCAATTTCCATCTCCCAGGTTCAAGCAGTTCTGCCTCAGCCTCCCAAGTAGCTTGGATTACAGGAGCACGCCACCATGCCTGCTAATTTTTGTATTTTTAGTGGAGATGGGGTTTCACCATGTTGGCCAGCCTGGTCTCAAACTCTTGACCTCAGGTGATCCACCTGCCTCAGCCTCACAAAGTGCTGAGATTACAAGCGTGAGCCACCATGCCCCAGCCCCAAGTGTTTTTTAATAGTGAGTAGATAAATAAACCGTGGTATATTCAGGAAATGGAAATTTATTCCGCGTTGAAAAGAAATGAGCTATCAAGCCATGAAAAGATATGGAGGAAACTTAAATGCATATTAGAAAGTTAAAGAAGCCCATATTAAAGTGTTACTTGTTGCAGAGGGTCCAACTATATGACATTCTAGAAAAGGAAAAACTATGGAGACAATAAAAATATCAGTGGTGCCAGGGGCTTGTGGGTGTAGAGATAGATGAACAAACAGAGCACAGAGAATTTTTAGAAAAAAAACGAATTGTCCATATATGTGGGAGTCTACTTCTGGATTCCATTCTGTTTTATTGCTTTATGGTTTTTTTGTTTTTTGTTTTTTTTTTTTTTTTGATGGAGTCCCACTCTGTCACCCAGGCTGGAGTGCAATGACACGATCTCTGCTCACTGCAACCTCTGCCTCCTGGGTTTAAGCAATTCTCTTGCCGCAGCCTCTTGAGTAGCTGGGATTACAGGCACCTGCCACCATACCTGGCTATTTTTTTTTTGTAATTTTAGTAAAGATGGGGTCTCACCATGTTGGCTAGGCTGGTGTTGAACTCCTGACCTCAGGTAATACGCCGCCTCGGCCTCTCAAAATGCTGGGATTACAGGTGTGAGCCACCATGCCCAGCCTGTTTTATGTTTTTATCCCTCCACCAATAGCATAAGACAGCTTTATAGTTAGTCAGCCTATTTCATAATATAGCTTTATAGTAGGATGTCTATAGTAGTGTTCTTGGTGTTGCGGGTTACTTTCAATTGTTCCTTTAATGTGAAGTTTTGTATCACTTCTTCTAAGTCATCTTCATCCTTTTTGTCACTACTACATTCCTTATTTATGTCAATAGGTTTACCTTCTATCAGTTCTTCTGGCTGCATATCTGGAGTTCCTTGAAAGCAACAGTGTATTAATCTGTTCTCACACTGCTATAAAGAACTACCTGAGACTGGGTAATTTATGAAGAAAAGAGGTTTAATTGACTCACAGTTCTGCTGGCTTAACAGGAAGCATGATTGAGGGCTTCAGGAAACTTACAGTCATGGCAGAAGGTGAAGGGGAAGGAATCACGTTCTTCACATGGCAGCAGGAGAAAGAGAGCAAAGGGGGAAGTGCTACACACTTTCAAACAACCAGATCTCGTGAGAACTCATTCACTATCACAAGAACAGCAAGGGGGAAGTCTGCCTCCATGATTCAATCACCTCCCACCAGGTCCCTCCTCCAACACATGGGGATTACAATTTGATATGAGATTGGGGTGGGGACACAGAGTGAAACCATATAAAGCAGTATCAACATTCTATCGTCAGCTATTTCCTCTATAACTCCATCTGTGTTGCATTCAGATTTAACTTCTTTCTGTGCTTTCATTTTTGTTGGACAATTTTCTCTTTTCATTATCCATTAAAAAAAGTCACATGGGTTTATCACTAAGGGGACCAGGAGACAACATGACTACATGCTCTGCTATCTGTGCATGAATTGCATAATGTACAGTGATAATCACTGATAGATATTAAAATAAGTTATTGATTAGTCATGTATCATGATGCATATCTGTTATTATGTAGTGATTTGTGGACTAAAATGCTGGAAGCAAAACTTGTACTTTATGAAATTATTCACATGTATACCATAGTAACTGAAATTTGAACAGAATGATATGATTTGGCTCTGTCCCCACCCAATCTCATCTTAAATTCCCACGCATTGTGAGAGGGACCCAGTGAGAGGTAATTGAATCATGGGGGGAGGTCTTTCCTGTGCTGTTCTCCTGATAGTGAATAAGTCTCATGAGATCCGATAACTATTTAAGGGGGAGTTTCTCTGCACAAGCTCTCTTCTCTTCTCTGCCACCATGTGAGACATGACTTTCACCTTCTGCCATAATTGTGAGGCCTCCCCAGCCACATGGAACTGTAAGTCCATTAAACCTCTTTCTTTTGTAAATTTCCCAGTCTCACGTATGTCTTTATCAGCAGTGTGAAAACAGACAAATACAGTAGCTAATGCAGTGTTCGGAGGGAAATTTATGGCAATAAATGCTCACACCCACAGACCAAGAACAGCTGACTTTGAACACTGTTCACACAAAGACTTTGAACAGCTCCAATATACATGACTTTCAGCTACCACTGTTTAATTAAATGTATCAGTCTCTCAACAATACTGTTCAAATTTCAGTTACTATAGTATACATGTTGTTAATAATTCCATAAAGTACAAGTTCTCTAGGGAGTTCCAAACTTTCCCACATTTTGCTGTCTTCTGAGCCCTCCAAACTGTTGCAACCTCTGCCTGTTACCCAGTTCCAAAGTTGCCTCCACATTTTTTGGGATCTTTTCAGTAGCATCCCTCTCTACTGGCACCAATTTACTGTATTAGTCTGCTTTCACACTGCTGATAAAGACATACTCGAGACTGAGCAATTTACAAAAGAAAGAGGTTTAATGGACTTACAGTTCCATGTGCCTGGAGAGGCCTCACAATCATGGTGGAAGGTGAAAGGCATGTCTCACACGGCAGCAGACAAAAGAAGACAGCTTATGCAGGGAAACTCCCCCTTATGTAATCATCAGATCTAGTGAGACTTATTCACTATCATGAGAACAACACAGGAAAGACCTGCCCCATGATCCAATTACCTCCCACCGGGTCCCTCCCACAACATGTGGGAATTCAAGAATATCAGCTACACTTGCAAATTTTGATATGCTATATTTTCATTGTTGTTCACTTCAAATTATTTTATAATTTTCCTTGAGATTTTTTTTCACCCATGGTTTACTTGGAAGTTTGTCTTTTAATTTCTAAAGGTGTATAATTTTTCCTACTATATTTCTGTTATTTCTAATTTAATTCCATTATTTCAGAGAACATTCTTCGTATGATTTAAGTTCTTTGAATTTGTTAAGGTGTATTTTATAACCCTGGATATAGTCTATTTTTTTTATCTGTTCCATGTGCATAGAAAGAAAATCTATTCTGCTGTTGTTTGGTAGAATGTTTTATAAATGTCACTTAATTACAGTTGTTAGATGGTGTTGGTCAGTTCTTTTATATCCTTGATGACTTTCTGTCTACTATGTCTATTGCTTGACGATAGAGGGGTTTTGAAGACTCCAATTATAATTGTGGACTTACCTATTTATTCTTTCAGTTCTGTCAGTTTCTGCTTCTTGTATTTTGAAGCTCTGTTCTTAGTTGCATACATGTTTAGGATTGTATTGTCTTTGGGGTGAATGAACTCTTTTATCATTATGTAATTTGCCTTTCTATCCCTGATTTTTTAAATCTCTGAGTCTATTTTTTCTAATGTTAAGTCTACTACTCCAGCTTTATTTTGATTAGTAGTTTCATGATTTATCTTTCTCTGTTGTTTCACTTTTAAATGACATAGTTCATTAAAATGAGTTTCTTGGAGACAGCATGTTATTAGACCATTAAAAAATCTGTTCTGACAACTTCCATATTTTAAGTGACATACTTGGATCACTTATATTTAGTGTAATTTATTGATGTATTTGGGTTTAGGTTTACCATTTATTATTTGTTTTATTCTATTTCTAGTCTTTGTATTCTTGCTTCGCTTTCCCTGCTTTATTGTGTCTTATCTGAACATTTAAAAATTCAGTTTAGTTCATCCAATGTATTTTTACTATTTTTTACATAGTTTATTTTATGATTGCTGTAGAAATTATAATATGCATGCTTAAGTTTTTGCAGTCTACTTAGAACCATTTTTTTCCTACTTCAGACGGGATTCAGACAACATCACATAGGTTCTAAAATGATTGCTTTTAAAAAAACTGGATCTTTGATTAACCATGTAATGCAGACCCATCCTTATAACTTTTCTTATGTCTTAGAAGTATATTACCCAACATATAGATATTGGTAAGTTAAAGAAAAATACTATTTTACTCTAAACAAATCTATTATAATATCACTACTTTAGAAATAAGCTATTTGTTAAAATAATTTGATGTGTATAGAGCAGAGGCTTATTAATATTGAATGCATTTATGAAGATAGAATTTGATTTACAGGGATTTCCCCCCTCCAAATAACTGAATAAGTGAGTGAATTAGCATACACTTAACATAGAAAATGAGTTTTCTGTGCATCAAAACGTATTCACAGAAAAACTTTCATTTGTGATACTTCTTATAACTAGTTTCTGGAAAAAGAAAATAACTGAATTGTGACTTTTTGACATAGTTAATAAAAATGTTGTCTACCTTTTAAATTCTAATAATACTTTAGAACAGGAATTAAAGTATGGCTTTTATTACAACAATATCAATTAGCATGTATGTGTTGTTTATTTTCATATTTTAATTGCTACTTCTAAACAACTATATAAAATTAATTCCTTCTTAATATGAGAAAACTGAAAAATGGAGAAGTTAAGTAATTTCCCAAGATCATACATCTTGAGTAAAAGAGGCAGAATGAAAATTGAGTAGTATGGCTTCAGAACTCACACCGTGAAGCACCATATTATCTGATCCTTAGAGGAGAGGGCAGTAGTATTTTGGTATTCTCAACTTAAGAATCTTTAAAGTTATTTTTAAAAAGAAGGGCAATATGTTGTATGTGTGTCTTTGTGTGAGTGTCAGTGTGTGTGTTATGTATGTATATTTCTGTATAATTTTTTATCACAATAAGTTTCTAATTTGGTTAAGGATTTTGTGTTGCTTCCATAATGAGAAAACGATTCTATCAGGCATTAGTGTATTCTAATGCTTTGATGTTTACTTTCAGGCTTCCCTTTGATCTCTTTACATATTGATATGTGTACAAATAGCATGGGACAACCATGTCTTGAATGCCACATCTAAGAATGGCCACAAGATTACAGTCTTAAAACTTTAATGAGCAGAACCCAAATTGGTAACATTATGCATGTGATGATAATTGCTCTCTAAAGCGGATCTTTTCTCATGCCATTCTCCATTTTTTTGAAGGCTTAATTTAAGAACACTATTCACCAGCAGTTAAATGGCTACTTTATTCTTTTCTACTTTATTTATTTCCCATTCTTTTTCAGATGTTGCTTTCTGTAAATACTGGTCTGAAAGGAAAGGTTCAGCAAATCAAATTGTTGAAGGTTGCAATGTCTGAGAATCGGAACCAGCTTTGCTGGTATAAAATATGTAAAAGGACATTCCCATTATAGAAATATACTTTTCTTATTCTCCAGTAAAAAAATAGGAATATATTAGGCACTACATTCTTCAAATAATTTGAAAATTCTACTATTCTAATACATGATATGAAATGTCTTAATAAGAAATTGAACTTAGGATGGATAAATCTTTTGTGAGAAAATGTGCCTACAGATATTAGACTTCTTTCATTCATCACTTACCTAATCCCTGTCCCTTTCTAGATGTTGACAAAACAGAAAATGACAGGTGATTCCTTTGCAGTATTTACAATGCTTTGATATTTATTTTTGTCTTTAATAATAATCATCTATGAAAATTTCTGAGACATTTTTTCCACTATCTAAACTTCAGTTTTTATTTCCTCCTTGTTCATCAGCTATCTCTCTTTTCAATTATTTCATTTTAGTATATGTTGGACTTTTAAAGATTGGCTTTAATATAAAAATGTACATAATTTCATGGTAGGAGAGTTTTCACAGATTGGGCAGAATCATGCAACATATTCTTTTAATAGGCATTTAGAAAAAGAAATCTTAGTACACATTCGTATGTACACTAAATAGTTCTAATATTTTATGTGTTTGATAAATATGATGATCCTGGAAAATACATAGCAATGGTAGTCCCAGTTAGACAAACTTTCCATTATAATTACACTGGCCACAAAGGCAGTTTGTTTACATGGCATCAAAGAGCCTCACTTGCTACACCATTGCTAAATCCTGAGCCCTAGGTTTTCATCAGTGTCAGTTATAATCCAATGAGATCAAAGGTGAAGGTGTGCCAATGAAAAATCACTCCTGACCTTCCATCATGGCAGACAGGAGGCAGGATTAGATTGCAGCTCCGACTCAGATGGACAGAGAAGCATGTGGTGGCTAGCACTGTGAATTTTAGCTCCAGAATGACTGCAGGAATAAATCATGAAACCGGAGAGGACCCACAGACCCTCTGAAGAAAGTGGATTGCTTCTGCAGGACCCAGGAGACACCCTAGATACTGTGATTGCACCAACTGTGGAAGTGGGAAAGGGAGATCTTCTGTCCCTAAACACACACCCCCCACTGGGGAAATTGAAGGTCTACTTTACAGGAGAAGATCCTGATCTTACCTGGAGCTGAGTCAATTTAGAGAGCCAGGCAAGATGCAGGGGTACAGGAAGCCATGGGAAAGCCCTGTAGGCTCGGTGGGTCCCCAAGGCCATTCTTGCCTGGCATTACCGGGATTCTTCAGGAAGGTGGCCAGAGGTGCAGGGAAAATGCCACAGGGAGAAGGAAATCTCCAGCTGCACTTTGTAACGGTTTGAACTGATTGAGAAGCCTCCTGGCCAGAACTCGTGTGAGGGTGTGAATCTGGCATGCAGACTCCACAGGAGGAAGAACAACTAAAACCCTCCTTTCTTTCATAGCTGGGAGGCAGGTAGCCTGAGGCAAGTTCTCAGCCCTGCTTACCCACTGCCTAGAAATAGACTCAGTGCTGTTAGTGGGGGCACGGTGGGAAAGAGAGCAGCCCTTCAGATTGCATGGCAGCTGGGTGAGGCCTGTGACTGATGGTTTCCCCTACTTCCCTGACAACCTGCATGACTTAGCAGAGGCAGCCATAATTCCCCTAGGTCCATAACTCCATTGACCTCCATTGAATATCACCCCCATCCCCCACAGCAGCCACAGCAAGATCCACCCAAAGTGAGTACTACATCAAGGGAATGCCCTATGGGACAAAAGAATCTGAACAACAGGCTTCAGCCCTAGACCTTCTCTGTGACAGAGCCTATCCAAATGAGAAGGCAACAGAAAACCAACTCTGGTAATATGACAAAACAAGGCTCTTCAACACCCCCAACAATCACACTAGTTCACCAGCAATGGATCCAAACCAAGAGGAAATCCCTGATTTACCTGAAAAAGAATTCATGATGTTAGTTAGTAAGCTAATCAGAGAGGCACCAGAGAAAGGCAAAGTGCAGTGCAAGGAAATCCAAAAAATAATACAAAAAGTGAAGGGAGAAATATTCAATGAAATAATATAAATAAAAAATAATCAAAACTTCAGGAAATATTAGACACACTTATAGAAATGCAAAATGCTCTGCGAAGTCTCAGCAATAGAATTGAACAAGTAGAATGAAGAAATTCAGAGATCAAAGACAAGGTCTTTAACCCAATCCAACAAAGACAAAGAAAAAAGAATAAGAAAATATGAACAAAGCCTCCAATAAGCCTGTGATTATGTTAAACAACCAAACCTAAGAATAATCAACATTCCTGAGGAAGAAGAGAAATCTAAAAGTCTGGAAAACATATTTGTTGGAATAATCAAGGAAAACTTCTCCAGCTTTGCTAGAGACCTAGACATCCAAATACAAGAAGCACAGAGAACACCTGGGAAATTCATTGCAAAAAGATCATCATGTAGGCACATTGTCGTCAGGTTATCTAAAGTTAAGATGAAAGAGAGAATCTTAAGAGATGTGAGACAAAAGCACCAGGTAACCCATAAAGGAAAACCTATCAGATTAACAGCAAATTTCTCAGCAGAAACCCTACAAGCTACAGGACATTGGGACCCAATCTTCAGCCTCTTCAAACAAAATAATTATCAGCCAAGAATTTTGTATCCAGTGAAACTGAGCATCATGTATGAAGGAAAGATACAGTCTTTTTCAAACAAACAAATGCTGAGAGAATTTGCCACTACCAAGCTACTACTACATGAACTGCTAAAAGGAGCTCTAAATCTTGAAACAAATCCTGGAAACACATCAAAACAGAACCTCTTTAATGCATACATCTCACAGGACCTATAAAACAAAAATGCAATTTAAAAAACAAAAACAAAACGCAGAAAACCAAGGTACACGGGCAACAGATAGCATGATGAATGGAGTGGTACCTCACATATCAATACTAACATTGAATGTAAATGGCCTAAATGCTTCACTTTAAAGATACAGAATGCAGAATGCTAAGAATTCACCAACCAACTATTTGTTGCCTTCAAGAGACTCATCTAACACATAATGACTTACATAAACTGAAAGTAAAGGGGTGGAAGAGGCATCATGCAAAAGGATACCAAAAGCAAGCCAGGGTAGTTATTCCTATATCAGACAAAACAAACTTTAAAGAAACAGCAGTTAAAAAAACAAAGAAGGACATTATATAATGGTAAAAGGCCTTGTCCAACAGGAAACTATCACAATCCTAAACATATATGTACCTAACATTGGAGCTCCCAAAATTATAAAACAATTACTAATAGACCTAAGAAATTACTAATAGACCTGAGCAACACAGTAATAGTGGGGGACTTCAATACTCCACTGACAGCACTAGACAGGTCATCATGACAGAAAGTCAACAAATAAACAATGGATTTAAACTATACCTTGGAAAAAATAGATTTAACAGATATATACAGAATATTCCATCCAACAACAGCAGAATACACATTCTATTCAACAGCCCATGGACCTTTCTCCAAGATAAAACATATGATAGGTCACTAAAAGAGCCTCAATACATTTAAGAAAATTGAAATTATATGAAGCACTCTCTGAGACCACAGTGGAATAAAACTGGAAATCAACTTCAAAAGGAACCTTCAAAACCCTGGAAATACATGGAAATTAAATAACCTACTCCTGAATGATTATTGGGTCAAAAAATCAAGATGGAAATTTAAAATATTTTTTGAATTGAATGACAATAGTGACAAAACCTATCAAAACCTCTGGGTTACAGCAAAGGTGGTGATAAGAGGAAAGCCCCAAATGCCTACATCAAAAAGACTGAAAGAGCACAAAGTGAAAATGTAAGGTCACATCTCAAGAAACTAGAGAAACAAGAACAAACCAAACTCCAAACCAGTAGAAGAAAGGAAATAACCAAGATCAGAGCAGAACTAAATGAAATTGAAACAAAGAAAAACAATACAAAAGATAAATGAATAAAAAAGATGGTCCTTCGAAAAGGTTAATAAAATTGATAGACCATTAGCAAGATTAGCCAAGAAAAGAAAAGAGAAAATCCAAATAACCTCAATAAGAAATGAAACAGGAGATATTACAGCTGACACCACAGAAATACAAAAGATTATTCAAGGCTAATATAAACACCTTTACACGCATAAACTAGAAAACCTAGAGGAGATGGATACATTTCTGAAATGACACAATGCTCCTAGCTTAAATCAGGAAGAATTAGATACCCTGAACAGATCAATAACAAGCAGTGAGATTGAAATGGTAACTTAAAAATTACCAACAAAAAAAAGTCCAGGACCAGACAGATTCACAGCAGAATTCTACCTGACATTCAAAGAAGAATTGGTACCAATCCTATTGACACTATTCCACAAGATAGAGAAAGAGGAAACCCTCCCTAATTCATTCTGTGAAGCCAGCATCACCCTAATACCCAAACCAGGAAGGGACATAACCAAAAAAGAAATCTATAGACATATATCCTTGATGAACATAGACGCTAAAATCCTTAACAAAATACTAGCTAACAGAATTCAACAACATAATCAAAAAGATAATTCACTGTGATCAAGTGGGTTTCATACCAGGGATGCAGTGATGGTTTAATAAGTCAATAAATGTGATACACCACGCAAACAGAATTAAAAACAAAAATCACTTTATCATCTCAATAGATGCAGAAAAAGCATTCAACAAAATCCAGCATCGGTTTATGATTAAAGCTCTCAGAAAAATCGGCATACAAGGGACATACTTCAATATAATAAAATCCATCTATGACAAACCCACAGCCAACATAATAATAAATGGGGAAAAGTTGAAAGCATTCCCTCTGAGAACTGGAACAAGACAAGGATGCCACTCTCATCACTCCTCTTCAATATAGTACTGGAAGTCCTAGCCAGAGCAATCAGACGAGAGAGAGAAAAAAAAAAGGGCATTCAAATTGGTAAAAAGGAAGTCAAACTGTCACTTTTTGCTGATGATATGATCATTTACCTCAAAAACCCTAAAGACTCCTCCAGAAAGCCCCTAGAACTGATAAAAGAATTCAGCAAAGTTTCTGGATACAAAATTAATGTACACAAATCAGTAGCTCTTCTATAAGCCAACAGTGACCAAGCGGAGAATCAAATCAAGAACTCAACCCCTTTTATAATAGCTGCAACAAACAAACAAACAAACAAACACACACTTAGGAATATACCTAAGGAGGTGAATGACCTCTACAAGGCAAACTAGAAAACACTGCTGAAAGATATCATAGATGACAGAAACAAATGGAAACACATCCCACTCTCATAGATAGGTAGAATCCAGATTGTGAAAATGACCATACTGCCAAAAGCAATCTACAAATTAAACACAATTCCCATCAAAATACCACCATCATTCTTCATATAGTTAGAAAAAACAATTCTATAATTCATATAAAACCAAAAAAGAGCCCACACAACCAAAGCAAGAATAAGCAAAAAGAACAAATCTGGAGGCATCACATTACCTGATTTCAAACTACATTATAAGGCCATAGTCACCAAAACAGCATGGTACTTGTATGAAAATGGGCATGTAGACCAATGGAACACAGCAGAGAACCCAGAAATAAGCCCAAATACTTGCAGCCAACTTATCTTCAACAAAGCAAACAAAGACATAAAGTTGGGGGAAGGACAGCCTTTTCAACAAATGCTGCTGGGATAATTGGCAAGCAACATGTAAGAGAATGAAACTGGATCCTCATCTCTCATCTTATACAAAAAAATCAATTCAAGATGGATTAAGGAGTTAAATCTAAAGCCTGAAACTATAAAAATTCTAGACGACAACATTGGAAAAGCCCTTCTAGACATTGGCTTAGGCAAGGATTTCATGACCAAGAACCGTAAAGCAAATGCAATAAAAACAAAGATAAATAGCTGGGACTTAATTAAACTAAAGAGCTTTTGCATGGCAAAAGGAACAGTCAGCAGAGTAGACAGACAACCCACAGAGTGGTAGAAAATCTTCACAATCTATGCATCTGACAAAGGAGTAATATCCAGAATCTACAACAAACTCAAACAATCCCATCAAAAAGTGGGCTAAGGACATGAATAGGTCATTCTCAAAAGAAGATATGCAAATGGCCAACAAACATGTGAAAAATGCTCAACATCACTAATTATCAGGGAAATGCAAATCAATATCACAATGCGATACCACCTTACTCCTGCAAGAATAGCCATAATCAAAAAATAAAAAAATGGTAGATGTTGGCATGGATGTGGTGATCAAGGAACACTTGTACACTGCTGGTAGTAATGTAAACTAGTACAACTACTATGGAAAACAGTGTGGAGATTCCTTAAAGAACTAAAGGTAGAACTACCATTTGATCCAGCAATCCCACTACTGGGTATCTACCCAGAGGAAAGAAGTCATTATACAGAAAAGATACTTGTACACACAGGTTTATAGCAGCAAAATTCACAATTGCAAAATCGTGGAACCAACCAAAATGCCCATCAATCAATGAGTGGATAAAGAAACTATTCTGTTGGAACAATTAATGGAATTATCTCTTTGAAGAGTCCCAGACTGAGTCAAAAAACCATATATATATACATGTATATATATATATATGTGCATACATATATACATGTATATATATGCGCATACATATATACATGTATATATATGCGCATACATATATACATGTATATATATGCGCATACATATATACATGTATATATATGCGCACACATATACACACATATATGTGCACACATATACACACACGTGTGCACACACATACACACATGTGCACACACACATGCATACATATATACACATATGTGCATACATATACACACATACGTGCATACATATACACACATATGTGCATACATATACACACATATGTGCATACATACACACACATATGTGCATACATATATACACACATATGCGCATACATATATACACATACATATGTGCATACATATATACACATACATATATACATATATACATATATGTATGTACGTATATATATACATTTATATATCACAGTTTATATATGTGTGTGTGTGTGTGTGTGTGTGTATATATATATATATATATATATGAGATGGAATACTACTCAGCCATAGAAAGGAGTGAATTAACAGCATTTGCAGTGACCTGGATGAGATTGGAGACTATTATGCTAAGTGAAGTAACTCAGGAATGGAAAATCAAACATTGTATGTTTTCACTACTATGTGGGAGCTTAGCTATGAGGACACAAAAGCATAAGAATGATACAACGGACCTTGAGGACTTGGGAGGAAGGATGGGAGTGGGGCGAGATATAAAAAACTACAAATAGGGTGCAGTGTATACTGCTCAGGTGATGAGTGCACCAAAATCTCACAAATCACCACCGAAGAATTTACTCATGTAACCAAACACCACCTATACCAAAATAACCTATGGAAAAATAAAAAATAAAAAGGAAATGAATTTGTAGCAACAGTCCAAATTAATAGCTACAACAGAAGTGTAGTTTCCAGGTAGACCAATGGATAATACATTCCTTTACTTGCAAGACAGCCTGCCTATAATGCAGAAGAAAAATGCAATAGTTGGGATAGGCTAAGTTAGCCTGCGGCAACAAGCAATTCCATAACTTTAGTGGCTCACAACGGAAAAGAGTATTTCTCGTTGGCACTGCATATCTATCAGCTCTGTTCCACGTAGTATTCACTCAGGCTGTTGAGGCAAAAGGAAGAAACGATCATGAACTGCAGGCGCGAGGCACTAAAAGGAGTTGGAAGAAAGAATATTTGGGGAAAAGTAATATAGTGTATTAGAACAATTAATGGAATTATCTCTCTGAAGAGTCCCAGGCTGAGTCAAAAAACCAGGTTCCACTTCTTTCTTGGCTGCCTAATTCTTAACACTTGGACAAATTTATCTTGAACCTCTCTGAGCTTCATTTTCACAATCCAGAAAATAAGGGGATGGGGTCCCATGACTCTTAAGGTGCCTTCCAGCTTGGAAGCTGTGTGATCAGAGGCTCCTGATGGCTAAAATAGGGACCCTTTCACCAGCTAGGACCTGGAACTCATCACCAAAGTTTTTCTCTAAAAACTCTTCTGAAAGACAAATATCACATGTTCTCACTTATATGTGGAAGCTAAAAAAAAATAAAAAAAATAAGAAAATAAATTAAAAAATTGAACTCATGGAGAAGGAAGTAGAATGATGGTTACCAGAAGCTAGGAAGGGTAGCGGAGAGGGGGTATAAAGTGGGGATGATTAATGGGTACAAATTACAGTTAAATAGAATGAATAAGATCCAGTATTCGGTAACACAATGGGGTGACTATAGTTAGCAATAATTTATTGTATATTTAAAAATAAAACAGTGAAATTGAAACAGCCCTAACACAAAGAAATGATAAATGCTCGAGGTGATGGATACCGCAATTACCCTGATGTGATCATTACACACTGTATGCCTATATCGAAATATCTCATGTACCTTATAAATATACATAATTATATTCCCATAATAATTAAACATTTTTTAAAAGAAAAAAGCTACTCCTATATACATTAATTTATCTGACTTTAGCAAAAAGAGCTAGGTTTTTTGTACAAGTGAGATAAAAATTTCATTTTGAACAAAGGTGGCGAGGTGGCCAGGCATGGTGGCTCATGCCTGTAATCCCAGCATTTTGGGAGGCCAAGGTGGGTGAATCACGAGGCCAGGAGTTCGAGACCAGCCATGCCAACATGGTGAAATCCTGTCTGTACTAAAAATACAAATAAAATAGCTGGGCATGGTGGCGGGCGCCTGTAATCCCAGCTACTTGGGAGGCTGAGGCAGGAGAATCGCTTGAACCTGGGAGGCAGAGGTTGCAGTGAGCCGAGATTGCACCATTGCCCTCTAACCCAGGCAACAGTGAGAGACTCCATCTCAAAAAACAAAAAAAGGTGGAGAGGTAATCTCTGACAGAGATAGCTAATCTGATCTCTGATCTTGTTTTGATAAAAGCCTTGATTGCTAATAATAGTCACATCATTTTTTTCATGTAAATTTTTCCTCTTTCTGGTGTCATCAGAACTTTCAGCAAACATACCCTTCTTCACATGATTTTCCAGTGTACTTCTGGTTCATAGACTTAATCACACAATATGAATTATTCAAATCAGCAAGAATTATGAAGGAGGAAGCAATCTCAATATTTTCCTCTTGTTCTCAGAATAGTGCACACTTTCCCACCTCTGTTTTGAAGAGAAGATGGAAGATGTGGATATTAAATCCAACATTGCACACAAATACTATGGCAAGGCAGTTAGTCAATAAGGATTGAAAAAAATACATAGGAGTGTAAATTTTATCATTTCCTTTGACCATTATTTAAATTATTCAAAAATTAGCTGACAGTATTTTTATTAGATGTAAATTTTTTCTTTTAAGAGTTGGAAAATTTCAGACCACAGGAGAAGCACATACAGGCAGATTGAAATAATTAACACATAGTTTAGACAACCTTTGCATGCTTGCATAGCCCAGAATATGTTAGAATGATGCTTTCCGTTGAGAATAGTGGATAAGAGATGATTGCCATCTGGGAGGAGATGAAGACGGGGAGATGGAGAGACAGATAGATGAACAATTAATTTGACAACTATAGATATGTCAGGTTGTATGGGAAGGCAGAGCAATTAATTTAATCCCGACTGAATAGCTGGGAAGGAAAAAGAGGAAACATTGTGGAGAAAAGCACAAAAGTCTGAATGCTTGTGCCAATGACCTAGAAGTAGAGAAGAATCCAGTGTGCCTAGAAAATAGAGTGTCGGATAGAACAGTAGGAGGGGCCTAGGCGATGCGCTGTGAAGACGACCCTGGAGGCCACGCTGGTGAGTTTTCGCTTTTTTGAAAAGGATGAGATGTAGAAAGCGGGGTGGATGAGAGACTTTATCACTAATGGTCTGTCTCTCATTGGTGAATAGATATGAGTTAGTTTTGATCAAAATGCTGAATTTGATAGACAAAAATTTATTGTTCAAAAATATCTGATATGGAATATAGTTTATATCAAATCTTTTATTATTTTGAGACAGAGTTTTGCTCTTGTCGCTCAGGCTGGAGTGCAATGGCATGATCTCTGCTCACCGCAACCTCTGCCTCCCGGGTTCAAGCGATTCTCCTGCCTCAGCCTCCTGAGTAGCTGGGATTACAGGCATGCACCACCACATCCGGCTAATTTTGTATTTTTAGTACAGATGGGGTTTCTCCATGTTGGTCAGGCTTGTCTGGATCTCCCGACCTCAGGTGATCCACCCGCCTCGGCCTCCCAAAGTGCTGGGATTACAGGTGTGAGCCACCGTGCCCAGCCAGCTTATATCAAATCTTATTTTACATTGGACTTCATGGGTTTTCACCTCCCATCTCCTCCCAATATGTTACTTCCAAATAGTGATTTATTAAAAAAAAAACCAACTCTACAAATTTGCTTCTCTGACTGATTCTGTGACATTTGCCCATACGCACACATACAAATAAAACAAAAGAAAATTGGGCGTAAGAAAATATTTTTTCCATACTAGGTTTTGAGAAAAAATTGAAACAGATTATTCAACCACTATATACAAAATTGAAGCAGCAAGATAATTTCATGCAAAAAATTTCTCCTTATCAAGACATTTTATGCTTTTAAGGGAAATAAATATGTGTTCTAAAGCCATAACTTTGTCCTACAGAGAATTTGAAGAAATCCAGTTTTTCCATGATGATGTTATCCAGAATTTAATTACATAATTAAAGAAGATTTGCTATGATTAGGAAATATCAAGGCATTTAGAACAAGATAAATTGTAGTTTCAAAAAAGAAATTCACACCCTTCTATAGATGCTCCAAGGCTTTTATGCACACGCAGAGGTTTAGAACAAATTCATTCAAGCACTTAAATGGTAAATAATCCTAACGTGAATATCAGTTCATTCCTAAAACATCACTGTTTTTATGGAAGTTTGAAATAAGATTAAACCAATTTTTATTTAAGACCTATAAACGGTTTTGATTAAACAACTAAATTCTCTTTCAAAATAAAGCTAATGGCCACAAAGAATGATATGTATGTAAAGGAAAATCTTCAGCATTCTTTTGCAGCTGTGTACTGCTTGGCTGGTGGAGGGCTCTAATATGAACTTGGACCTCTGCCGATGGGCTTGCTGCGATGCATGATGTACAGACACCTGCACTGATAGCCATGAGATTCATGCTGTTGTATCAATGTCATACCTCACAGGCCTAACAAGTAAGTACAAACCTAGGAAGTAAGAAAAACATTCACACTGAAAAAAGACTAGCTGGGGATCTGATATTTCTTAGTTTGTAACCTGGACAGAAGTCTCCCATACAGAACTCCGCTGGCAATCCAGATTTGGGCATCATCTTTTCAACAAACATTTGAGTTCCTTCTACGTTCTAGTGAGGAGGAAGTTGTAGACAGCTTGGGCAAGGCTCCTGCTGTAAGATAGTGTATAAGACAGACATTGATGAAATAGTAAAGAGGCAAATAAGATCATTACAGATTGTGATCATTGCTATGAAGAAAATCAGCAAGTTGATACCTAAGAGAGTAACCAGGGCAGGGCCTTATAGAGAAAGTAATAGGAAGAGTAAATGAAACGATACAGTTGAGGTTAAGATTTAAGGACGTGAATGTGCTCGACATCCAAAAAGCCATGAAAAAAGAATTCCAGAGGAAGGGCAAAACTCTTGAAGAGAAAAGGAGCTTTCATTTGTTCAGCAAATGCTGTTATGCAAAACCTAAGTGTAATGACAAGGAGCGAAGAAATTCATGATCTGATAGCTTTTGTTCAGTATCTATCTTGGCCATATCTTGAGACTATGGAGTGGCATTGATGGCACCTATATTTCTATTTTATTTTTATTTTTTATTATACTTTAAGTTCTAGGGTACATGTGCACAATGTGCAGGTTTGTTACATATGTATACATGTACCATGTTGGTGTGCTGCACCCATTAACTTGTCATTTACATTAGGTTTTTCTCTTAATGCTATCCCTTTCCCCTCCCCCAACACCACAACAGGCCCCAGTGTGTGATGTTCCCCACCCTGTGTCCAAGTGTTCTCATTGTTCAATTCCCACCTATGAGTGGGAACATGAGGTGTTTGGTTTTCTGTCCTTGTGATAGTTTGCTTAGAATGATGGTTTCCATCCTTTTTTGTGGCTGCATAGTATTCTGTGGTGTATATGTGCCACATTTTCTTTCTCTCTTTTTTTTTTTTTTGAGAAGGAGTCTCGCTTGGTCGCCCAGGCTGCTGTGCAGTGGCATGATCTTGGCTCACTGCAAGCTCTGCCTCCCGGATTCACGCCATTTGCCTGCCTCAGCCTCCTGAGTAGCTGGGACTACAGGCGCCCGCCACCATGCCCAGCTAATTTTTTGTATTTTTAGTACAGAAGGGGTTTCACCATGTTAGCCAGGATGGTCTCAATCTCCTGACCTCATGATCCACCTGCCTTGGCCTCCCAAAGTGCTGGGATTACAGGCATGAGCCACCACGCCCAGCCTTCATGCCACATTTTCTTAATCCAGTCTATCATTGATGGACATTTGGGTTGGTTCCAAGTCTTTGCTATTGTGGATAGGATGGCACCTATATTTCAACTTCACTTTTGTAGCTCATGTGTCCTTTGAGGCAGCTTGATTTTTAAGAATCAGGTGATATTAGCTAGAACCTCTTCCCACTGGGGGTAAAAGATTGGGAGGGGGAGCAGCACAGGCAGGAAACACAGATAAAAGTGTGGCTTGCATTTTTTCTAATCTTTTCTGGCTTGGAGTCTTTAATTTTGCCAACAAAATGCAGGAAATGACATATTTAGCCATTTTGAGAATTCTTATCTTTTTCCTCACCTAGTTGCTCCCAGTGAGAACTATCAAGGACACAAGGCATTTGTGTAAGTTGTCAATATTACCGAAGACATAGGGTAATAGAAAGGGAGGTTACTGCTCAGCTTTATAGCAGATGAACTGTTGAGCTGAATATTTCACATTCTGCTTCTGTGGAGTCCCTTGAGCATTTCCGTCAACTCAGATTCTAGGTTTCTTTCCCATCTCTTTTCTTCTTCCTTTTAAAAAATTAAAGAAGTTTTAGTTGATGAATAATAATTGTATATATTTATGGGGTACAATGTGATGCTTTCAGATATATATACACACATCGTTGAATAATTAAATCAAGCTGATTAACATATCCATCACCACCTACTTAGTATTTTGTGTGTTTGGTGAAAACATTTAAAAGCTACTCAACAATTTTGAAATATACAGTATATTATTATTAACAATGGCCACCATGCTGTGCAATAGTTTCAGTTAGACAGGAGGTATAAGTTTTAGTGATCTTCCCCTTTAACTGCTCCCAGCAACTCCAACAAAATCCTGCTTAGCAGCCTTCAGAGTTGCCAACATTTACTCCTTCTTTGAGGGCTCAGCATTGCCAGTTGGAATGATGGTAGCTGTTGGCTTGGTGTGACTTGAAAGCCTAGCCTGCCCCAGAGTGTTTCCATCAGTGGTCAGACAACAGCATCTGCAATTCTTACTATTACAGCCCTTCTTCTGTCTTACTCATGACCTCCAGAAGAGCCCTGAGTCTGCTGCCCAGAAGAAGAAAACCTCATAACCAGTTTTCATGCCCCATCAGCCATTACAATTTTTTTTTTAAGGGAAAAGTAATTCTTCAGGTTGGTTGGAGAGTAGAGACAAAGAAGGGGGGGAATGGAAAAATAGCCCAAGCTTCTACCAGGAAAGCAGCATGATCCATGATGGGTCAACCCTGAGGGCTAGGGTAAGAGTGGGAGTATGTTTAGATATAGGACAAGGTGGCTTTGTAGGTATAGAATGGAAGCAGGAACTCCAAAGGATAGGTTTGTGCATGCGTGCGGTACATACCGTGCAGAGGAGAAAAGATACTGGCTTCAAGCTTTGTGTATGGCTCCCTCTGATCCTATAACCCAGACTGACTCAGTGACCTTGCCTGACCTTAGAGAAATTTTGCAGACGGACTACCTCATGAGCTCACCAAAGCAAAGTAGCTTGGATAGTTCTATATTTTAGCTAGAGGCAAGAATCTGTACTAAATATAAAGGTTTGCTGCCTTGTTTTTTATTTGCCCTTAAGAATTTTTATATTCAATATAATCTATATTTTTCCCCCAGAAGGACTCAGTAGATTACCTCCTTATTACTGATTTATTTAAAATTCCAGTTTTAGCAGAGAGAGGTTTCTCTTTAGTCTTTCCACAGACAGGTAAAATGCCAAATTAAACATGTAAGGAGTCCAAGTAAAAGGAATACTGATTAATCGGTATCTTATTTATCTTTGGAACATTTAGCAATCCTCTTTCTTTAAATAGGGAACTTATGGGCCGGGTGCGGTGGCTCACGCCTGTAATCCCAGCACTTTGGGAGGCTGAGGCGGGTGGATCACGAGGTCAGGAGATCGAGACCATCCTGGCTAACATGGTGAAACCCCGTTTCTACTAAAAATACAAAAAATTAGCCAGACGTGGTGGTGGGCGCCTGTAGTCCCAGCTACTTGGGAGGCTGAGGCAAGAGAATGGCGTGAACCCGGGGGGCGGAGCTTGCAGTGAGCCGAGATCGCGCCACTGCACTCCAGCCTGGGCAACAGAGTCAGACTCCGTCTCAAAAAACACACAAACAAACAAAACAACAACAACGACAAAAAATAGGGAACTTGTGAATCATTGACATTGGGATGTAATAATTTATATATACATTTATGACTTACTTTTAGGATTTTTAAAATTATGATTTTATCTTGATTTCCACCTTAGTTTACAAATTTTGGAAAAGCTGGTATTGATTTCTTATATATATTTATTCAAATCATTTCTGAATTTATGTTTAAAATGTTAAAGCATACTGAATTGTATAAAAACAAAATAAAAAGTGCCTTGAATCCTTCTATCACTACCCAGAATGATCCACTATTAATATATTGGTCTACTTTCTTCTTGTCTTTTTTCTATTCAGGTATATTAGTGCGTATATAAATATACACACTAACATACTTAAAAGGTGTATCTATTTATACCTAAAACAAATTTGTAATATTCTGAATAAGTAGTTTTAAATGATGCTTTGTCACCTAACAATTGTCATTGGGTATTTCTCATAAACATGAATTTAAAGCATCCAGAGAATAAGAACGTATGGAGGCCCCATATTTTATTTTACCACCCCATGCTGTTGGGCATTCTAGTTGTTTCCCATTGTTTGTTATTTACTATAATATTATAATGAATATTTTTGAATATAAAATTTCTATTTCCCTTTGAAATAATTAATGGGTCAAAGGGCATGAATGGCTATTTAAAAAATACATTTGATGCATATTTTAAATGTACCTCTGGAAGGAGTCTATCAGTTTCTCTCTTCACAGTGTTTCTCTCTTCATAGTTTCTCTCTTCATAGCATCATTTCATTGTATTCTCATGGATACCGGGTAATATGATGCTATGAACAACTTGGCCAGTTTTCTGGGCAAAGCTGTCATGGTTTTTAAAATTGTTTTTATCTTTTTATCTTCGATTGCTACATTATTACCTCCATAAGAAATATTCTTTTTCCTTCCCCTTTTTAAGTCTTAAAAAATAATCACAATACTTGCCTCATAAAAAAATTGGGAAACACAAATGTGCATAAAATGCTAAGTACCTATTAGGAATTATTGTTTTTAAGCCATTATGGTGACAATGAAAAATCTTCAGAAATGATAATCAGTTGCAAAGAACATACCCTATGCTTTGATATCCTAATCTTAGACAGATGCTCCTGGTGCCCACGTTGCCTTTATTCAGCTCTCTTCTGATTTTAACCACAGTGTGGTAGACAGTTCGTGAAAGCTCATATTCTTCTCTTCCTGCCAGGATGTTGCTGGAAGCTCTTGCAGCTGTCTCTTACATTCTTCCCCAGGGTCTTTTTCAACAGAGATCTCGCAGCTGGCTTGAATTTTGCTGTCTAAAGGTGCAGGGATGGGGAGGGATTAATGCCTAGAGGACATCCTTCAACCAATGGGAGATGGGAGGTAGTGAAAAAATATTCCAATTTCCTATATTTCTGGTAGACAATTCTGGGAGGCATTCCATGTATGCTTCTCAGAGCTTCTGGCAGAGTCCCACTCTTGTTGCTTACAGCAGAAACCTCAGTAAAGCACCATATAATGTCTTTTCTCTCTTTGTGTCTGACTCTCCTCCCTTATTTCTGTTTCCTAGGAGCAGTTTGGAAATAAACTAACTGCAACCAAGTCTTTGTTCTAGGCTCTTCTCCGAGGGAAACCCTAACTACGATATCGTCCCTTTCCCTTTTTCTCCAACAATGCAGAGTTCTTTCCCCTTCCCTTGGAGAACACTCAGTTAATTAACTCAGCCATTGCATATTGAGGGTCAATCCTATGCCAGGCACTGCTTTGTGGAGGATGCGAAGACAGACTCAGATTCTGGCCATCTTGGAGCTATATTCTAGTGGAGCAGGCAGAAAATGAGCACAATAAGTAAGCAAGATGTTAGACTTCAGAAGTGCTAAGGGGAAGAAAGGAAGAAAGGTAGGAAATGTCTGGGGAAAGAGGTGCATTGCAATTTTAGATAGGATGGCCAGGAGAGGCTTTATTGAGAAGGTCTCTTTTGCGTAAATATCTGAAGAAGGTGAGCCACATCAAGATATGTCGGAAAAATATTCCATCTGAGGAAATGGCAAATGCCTGAGCCCTAAGGTAGGAGTACTTCTGGAACACTTAGGAATATTGAGAAGACCAGTGTGGATGAAGGGAGGTGAAGGAGAATGAGGTGCTATTGCCAGAGAGGAAGCAAGGTGATAGACAGATCACATAGGAACCTTAAGGTCTTTGGTATTTACCTTAAGTTTTAAAATTTATTTATTTATTTATACTTTATGCAAATCAAAAGTGACAGGGAAGCAATGACTTTATCTATTGGAGTCTTAAAATTGATATATAATAGTTGTACAGGCCTGGAGCAGTGGCTTACGTCTGTAATTCTGCACTTTGGGAGGCCAAGGCAGGCGGATCCCCAGGTCAAGAGATCGAGACCATCCTGGCCAACATGGTGAAACCCCGTCTCTACTAAAAATACAAAAATTAGCTGGGCATGGTGGCACACGCCTGTAGTACCAGCTACTCGGGCGGCTGAGGCAGGAGAATCGCTTGAACCTAGGTGGCGGAGGTTGCAGGGAGCCGAGATTGTGCCACTGCACTTCAGTCTAGCAACAGAGCGAGACTCCGTCTAAAAAAAAAAAAGTTGTACATATTTTTGGGGTACATGTGATGTTTTGATACCTGTGTAATGATCAAATTAGGGTAATTGGATGTCCATCACTTCAAACATTTATCTTTTATTGGGAACATTACCATTCTTTTCTTCTAGCTATTTTGAAATATACAATAAATTATTGTTAGCTATAATTTCCCTATTGTGCTATCAAATACTGTAAATTATTCCTTCTATCTAACTATATATTTTAAGTTTGATGGAGAATTACTGAAGAATATTGAACAGAATAATCTCAAGGTCAAAAGGATTATTCTGGCTGCTATAATAGTCTTCAGGAGAACAAGGGTGGAAGGAGAAGCCAGTTATGAATTATCGCAATAATCCAGGAGAGAGATTATGGTGATTTGAACCTGAGTCTTAGCAGTGGAGGTGGTGAGAAGCATTGAGTTCTATATATTCTGAAGCTGGAGTTGACAGAATTTGCTGATGGATGGGGTGGAGAGAGTGAGAGAGGTAAGGAGGCATAGACAATTCCAATGTGTTTGGGCTGAGAGACTAAAATAATTATGTTTGCCATTTACTAAGTTGAGGAAGCAAGCAAGAAGAGAAGATTGGAGGGGTGTATGGGAGCTCAATTTTCCACATATTAAACATATTCCCTATTTATTACTTTCCAGGAGGAATGTCAAGGAAAATAGGTGATTGCATATATGAATCTGGATTTAAGAAACAAGGTCAGGGCTAGATATGTAAATTAGAGAGTCACTAGTATGTAGATGATATTTTGAAACCTTGGAACTGGATGAGATTTGCAAGGGAGTATGTATAATAGAGAAAAGAAGAAACTCAAGGTTGATATATTAATTTTCTAGAGCTGTCATAACAAAATACCACAGACTGGATGGCTGAAACAACAGAAATTAATTTTCTTGCAGTTCTGATGGCTGAAAGTCCAAGTCAAGGTGCCAGCAGGGGTGATTTATTTGGAGGCCTCTCTCCTTGGCTTGCAGATGGCTGCTTTCTCAGTGTGTTTTCACATGCTCTTTCCTCTGTGTGTGCATATCCCTGGTGTCTTCATCATCCTATAAGGACACCAGTCATATTGGATTAGGGCCTCTCCCTTATTCCCTCATTTAACCTTCATATTACCCCTTTAGAGGCTCTATTCCCAATACGGTCATATTCTAACATACTGGGGGATAGGGTGTCAACATACACATTTTTAGGGGGAACACAATTCAGTCTATAACACGTGGATATCTTGGACATTCTGAAATTAGAATGGAGGGGAGATAAGAAAAAATAATCAAATAAGACTGAGATGGAGAGGACAGAGAGGTTTAGAGAAAAAATTGGAGATATATGAAATAAAGAAAGTACTTTGAAAAAGAAAAAGGAAACAATTGTGTCAGAGGTTGCTGCTATGTCAAGTAAGATAAAGACTAAGGATTGAATATTGAATTTAGAAATGTGGAGGTCACAGTTACCTTGATAAGATTAGTGAGTGGTAGAGTGCTGGGGGTGAGCGTCTAACTGGAGTGGATTCAGGATTAAATAAAGAAAGAAAAGCCAGAAGCAAGAAATAAAGACAGCTCTTTCAAGGAGTTTTTAAAAACCAATTGCCTAAGAACTTCATGTTGTAGTCTTTAATTTCAGCCTTATTAATGGAGAGGGGCAAGATTGGTGAATTCATTGACATGCAGGAACATGGAGTAAGCTTCACAAAATTAGGTAAAACTTGGACTTCCCACTCTAAGATGGTGTGGCGGGTAGAATAGCGGTCTTCTGAAAATGTCCATGCCCTAATCTCCAGAACCTTGGATAATCTTTGCTAAGCCTTATACTCTTAACAGAGAAATACAGAGACTTAAGATGGTTAAAATGAACTCTCTCTACGGGAAACATCCAACAGAGACATGTTACTGCCCTGAGCTCTCTAGAGGGACTCTTTCTCCTTAACTTTGCTTAAGCCTGCCAAGTTAGCTTTCTTTTTGATTCTGTGAACTAAACAGAATCTTTCCAACAAAGTCTTTTGTTTACCTAAGTCGGCCAGAGTTGCTTATAAGGAAAGAGACCTAAGTGACACACTGTTCCTTCCATTTGGAATGCCTCACACAACCCAATTTCATTTCAGTTTCACTTGCTGTGTCCCATCTATTTTACTTTCTGGACTTGATAGTGTGATGGTTAATATTAGGTTGTCCACTTGACTGGATTGAGAGATGCCTAGATGGCTGGTAAAGTATTGTTTCTGGGTGTGTCTGTGAGGGTGTTGCCAGAGAGATTGACATCTGAGTTGGCGAACTGGGAGAGGAAGATCCACCCTTAATGTGAGTGGGCACCGTCCAATTGGCTGTCAGTGCAGCTAGAACAAAGCAGGTGGAAGAAGGGGGAACAAGCTCCCTTGCTGAGTCTTCTATTTTTCTTCCCATACCAGACACTTGCTCCCACACCTGCCCTTAAACATCAGACTCCTGGTTTTTCAGCTTTTGGCTGGGACTGAAGGCTGCACTGTCAGCTTCCCTGGTTTTGAGGCCTTCAGACTTGGACTGAGCCACTACTAGCTTTTTTCTTTCCCCAGCTCATGGACAGCCTATCATGGGACTTTGCCATGTCGTCATATAAGCCAATTCTTCCTAGTAAACTCCCTTTTATATATACAAATATTCTATTGGTTCTGTCGTTCTGGAGAACTCCAATACAGATGGGGTTGTCTACTTTACCTTTTTCCTGGAGTCTTTTCTTTACTGATTGACTGGATGGCAAGTAAAAAATAGCTCTAATTTGTGCAGGTGCAGTGGCTCAGGCCAGTAATCCCAGCATTTTGGGAGGTCAAAGCAGGATGATTGCTGGCATCCAGAAGTGTGAGACCAACCTGGGCAACAGAGCAAGACCCTGACACTACAAAAAAAAAAAAAAATTAGTCAGGCATGGTGGCATTTGCCTGCAGTCTCAGCTACTTGGGAGGCTGAGGTAGCAGGATCTCTTGAGCCCAGAAGTTGAGGCTGCAATGAGCTGTGATTGCTCCACTGCACTCAGCCTGGGTGACAGAGTGAGACCCTGTCTCAAAAAAAGAAAATCGCTCAAATGTACTACAGTGAACTTCCACTGTTAGAACTACAGTTGGATTTTTCTCTCCTAATACCTATTCCAGCCCCGTGTGGTAGGGAACCAGGAAACCAAATTCATATATCCTGCTCTCTGCTGATACAGATAGCTATCAAAAGGCCGTAAGTTGAACAAAATGCCTTAGCAAAATGAGAGCAGTGTTAAATTGTTCTGTTTTAGAGTGGTGTGTATATCAGAAGTTGATTATCACAATAATTCTCCTTAATAAACAACAAACCTCAGTGGTTGATAACAATAAGCATCTATTTAGCTTATGAGTCGACGGGATTCAGCTGATCAGGCCTGGGTTTGACTCTTCTCATGTGTTTACTGTCAGCTGTAGGTTCAGTAGGTGACTCTGCTGTCCTTGGGTGGGCCCTCTCACAAATCTAGGTGGCATCTAAGGTGGCCTTGGCGGAGATGACTGGGGCAACTCAGTTCTGATCCTTGAATCTCTCATCTTTCTCCTGGGACGAGAGGGGCAGCTTGGTCAAGTTCTTATGGCAGTAGCAGAGGGTAAGAGCAAGCAAGCTCCACCATGCAAATGTCTCAGGTCTCTGCTTGTGCCACACTTGTCAGTTGTCTCCTTGGGGCAACTCAGGTCATTCTAGCTCCAGAGCTCCCAACCAGTTGGCCAAGACTCACTGGACCTGCAACAGAGCTCACCTATTCCCTCTGCCCAATTTTGCTTCTCCGAAAGCAAGTCCTATGGCTGAGTGCGGAATGAGAGAGCACCATTGAGCTATACGCACGTGGTATAGAGACAAGGAAGACTGACAAACTGGGACCATTATTACCTTTGATCTATCACAGGGTAACTTTTCTTATTTCTTTTTCTTCTGTATTTGTGTTTTATGATCTTTCTACAACAAATACCTGTAGCTTGGTTCATAAAGAAAAGCTTCCAGGCAAGAGCAGATTGAAATAATCAAAAACTTAGGAAAAACTGCATAGTATACACACTTGGCTATCACATTGGCTAAAGTACTTAGTAATCTATTGAAATTTACCAAAGCAGCTGACTTGATGAATACTTGGGTTATTCTCAAACTTGGTTAAGTACCCCCTTTCCTTTTTCTATTCACTGTGGCTAGAGCTGATAAATGAATGCTGAAATGTATATTGCTCTTATAGACTTGAATGTACTAGCAGCATTCTTGCTGGGATTAAGTGTTGCATGCTGTCCTGACAGAAACGAAACTCAATGACTTGTCTATTTCTGTAAGCTGAATACAGTGAGTTTGGAATGTTGTACAACTCTAAGACTGTGCACCAAAATGCTCAGGACTGGTGTGTTCCCCGTTGCAAAAAGCTTACATTCAGGTGAAGGAGAAAGCAAAATAAATAAATAAATAATTAATTAGATAGCTACAAATGGTGGTAACTTTGTGAAATAAATTAACAAGAGAGTAAGACAGAGAATGATAGGGGAAGGTACCTCTTTTAGATGGGTGATGTGGAAAGACCTCTCTGGTGATGTAGCTCCTTTATTTTCTTATTTTTGCATAAAATTTTTAGAGTGTGAGGCATCATCATGATTTCAGAGACATGAGGCATGTAACTTGGGACAAATACATGACTGTATTTGGTTGAAGATGTTTGTCATTTTTGCATTGTGCCCTATGGCTAAAATGTTCTGATTTTGATCATGAAACAAAATTCACCACAGTTATGGTTCAATTGTCAAGGAAGAAAGAAATACTACATCACCAGAGAGGTCTTTCCACATCACCCATCTAAAAGAGGTACCCTCCTCTATCATTCTCTATCTTACTCTCTTGTTAATTTCTTTCACAAAGTTACCACGATTTGTAGCTATTTAATTAATTAATTATTTATTTATTTTGCTTTCTCCTTCACCCGAACGTAAGCTTCTTGCAGCGGGGAACACACTAGTCCTGTTGATAGTGACACTCCTAGAGTCCAGCACAGTGCCTGTTTATTATATGAATGAAGATGCACCGTCATTGAAATATTACACTTAGGAACCATATGTATTAATTACCCAATTCACCTATTTAAAAAACTCAATGGTTATAAAAGTAACAACACAGTTTTTTTCCTGCTAAAAATAGACACTTGCATGTCTGCTAGAGGCTCCGTTTAAAAATACTTTCAATCTACACTTGGTTAATTATAAATAATATTCACTCTTTAGTAGTGGTGGGGGTTGTATGATCAGAATCAGAAGTGCAGGTGATTCTAATACATTTATGAAGAAATAACTCTCTGGGATTCATGGTAATTGATGTACTGGCACGGTAAACTTTCCAAGGAATGTTGATTCTGAAGAAAATCTGCAGCTGGCGCAGTGGCTCACGCCTGTAATCCCAGCGACTTGGGAGGTTGAGGCGGGAGGATTGCTTGAGCCCAGGAGTTCAAGATCAGCCTGGGCAGTATAACAAGATGCCCATCTCTTTAAAAAATTAAAAAATTAGCTGAGCATGTTGGTGTGTGCCTGTAGTCCCAGCCACTCAGGAGGCTGAGTGAGAAGATAGCTTGAGGCCCAGGAATTTGAGGCTGCAGTGAGCTATGATTGTACCACTGCACTCCAGCCTGGGTGACAGAGGAAGACTCTGTCTTAAAAAGTAAAGGAAGGAAAATCTGTAACTCACAATCTATTCAATAAGGTACTGTTCCGTTGTTTGTATTGATTATATGGGCAGACTTAAGAGAATGTGTTTGTGTGCAGGCAGTGAGGTAGTGTTTGCATGTGTTTGTGTGGGTGTGGTTAAGATTATGTGAAAACAGATGAAAAGGTTACAATAAGAAAACATTAGAAAATCCACTGATTCTTTTTTCTTTTTTTTCTTTATATACTTTAAATTCTAGGGTACATGTGCACAACGTGCAGTTTTGTTACATATGTATATATGTGCCATGTTGGTTCGCTGCACCCATTAACTTGTCATTTACATTAGGTATTTCTCCTAATGCTATCCCTCCCCCATCCCCCCACCCCATGACAGGCCCTGGTGTGTGATGTTCCCCACCCTGTGTCCAAGTGTTCTCATTGTTTAATTTCCACCTATGAGTGAGAACATGTGGTGTTTGGTTTTCTGTCCTTGGGATAGTTTGCTGAGAATGATGGTTTCCAGCTTCATCCATGTCCCCACAAAGGACATGAACTCATCCTTTTTTATGGCTGCATAATATTCCATGGTGTATATGTGCCACATTTTCTTAATCCAGTCTATCATTGATGGACATTTGGGTTGGTTCCAAGTCTTTGCTACTGTGAATAGTGCCACAATAATCATATGTGTGCATGTGTCTTTATAGTAGCATGATTTATAATCCTCTGGGTATACACCCAGTAATGGGATCACTGTGTCAAATGGTATTTCTAGTTCTAGATCCTTGAGGAATTGTCACACTGTCTTCCACAATGGTTGAACTAGTTTACAGTCCCACCAACAGTGTAAAAGTGTTCCTATTTCTCCACATCCTCTCTAGCACCTGCTGTTTCCTGACTTTTTAATGATCGCCATTCTAGCTGGTGTGAGATGCTATCTCATTGTGGTTTTGATTTTCATTTCTCTGATGACCAGTGATGATGAGCATTTTTTCATGTGTCTGTTGGCTGCACAAATGTCTTCTTTTGAAAAGTGTCTGTTCATATCCTTTGTCCACATTTTGAAGGGGTTGTTTGACTTTTTCTTGTAAATTTGTTTAAGTTCTTTGTAGATTCTGGATAGTAGCCCTTTGTCAGATGGGTAGATTGCAAAAATTTTCTCCCATTCTGTAGGTCTCCTGTTCACTCTGATGGTAGTTTCTTTTGCTGTGCAGAAGCTCTTTAGTTTAATTAGATCCGATTTATCAATTTTGGCTTTTGCTGCCATTGCTTTTGGTGTTTTAGTCATGAAGTCCTTGCCCATGCCTATGTCCTGGACTCATTTTTTTTTTTTCTCAAGGAACAAAAAAGAACAGTCAAAAGCACCTTGTCATTGTTTAAAGCTAATTTGTTTTAAGCTATGGTGTCTCTTATTCAAGAGTGAGAAGTTTCAAGAAGCAATTTAGATAATATTTTTTCTTAGTCTTAATTTTGATCTAAAGTTTTCTGATCAACAGTACCCAAATAATATTCAATGCTGGGTAGTGACCCAAAGATTTCTCACAGAAAGCCTGGACAGTTAGCACCTTGGATAACCCGAGGCTGTTGTTCTGTTCCACATTTCCTCCTTGAATTTCCACATTGAGGAGCACAACAGAAATTTATTTTCTCACAGTTCTGGAGGCTGGAAATCTGAGATCAAAGTGTCTGTAGGTTGAGGGCCATAGAGGAAGGATCTGTCCCTGGCTTCTCTCGTTGACTTGTAAATGCCCTTTTCCCTGTGTGTCCTCATATCGTCTTTCTTCTGTATATTTCTGTGTTCAAATTTCCCCTTCTTGTAAGAATATGAGTTGTATTGGATTAGGTCCCACCTAATGGCCTCATTTTGGCTTACATACTTCTTTAAAGACCCTGTCTCCAATATGGTTACATTCTCAGGTACTAGGGATTAAGACTTCAACATATGAATTTTGGGGGTCTCACAATTCAGCCCATAACAACCTGTCTTCATCAGAGTCTGTTTGCCCTCAGGAGCCAATTCTAAATACAGTGATAAAATAAGGTTCATGACCTCTTTAGCAGGAGGGAGTGGCCTAAGTTAGTCAGTCTGGGTTGAGACTCCAAGACCCACATATCCACAGAGATGGGATCTTCTCCAAGCCCTTTTGAATTTTCTAAATCTTGACATCTGTTCCTTCTCATCGGTTTCTGAACGCATGTTCCAGCTTCCATATATTGTAGTCTATCTGGGTGGTGACTAGGTAGTTTGCTTAGCTGTTAAAAAACCTCTCTCTCCTTGGGTAGATGCTTTCATCTAGGGTTGAACATCAGAATCATTATAGAGGTGCTTCAGAAAAAAAGACAAAGAAAAGATGTACTTTTATTCAACCAAGTAAACAAACAAACAACTTTACAAATGAGATTCTGACACAAATTCTAATTAAAGACCAATACCTCCCCTACTACCAAATGTTGCCTGAGATCTTACACCAAAAAGAGTGACTAGCATTGTCACTTATGTGTTAATGAGCAGCACCACCTTCAAGAAGTTGCTACTGGAGTCACCACTTAGATGGCAATTAAATATTAACAACAATTAAAGTTGAGACTAGCTTCACCACCTCCCTATGCAATTAAATAATAATGACTGTTAACTACATGCCAATCATAACTCTACAAGGTAGATATTATTATTATTTTATATTATATTTTTGAGACAGAGTCTCACTCTGTCACCAGGCTGGAGTGCAGTGGTGCAATCTCGGCTCACTGCAACCTCTGCCTCCCGGGTTCAAGCAATTCTCTTGCTTCAGCCTCCTGAGTAGCTGGGAGTATAGGCCCGTGCCGCCACACCTGGCTAAATTTTTATTTTCAGTAGAGATGGGGTTTCACCATGTTGGCCAGGCTGGTCTTGAAACCCTGACCTCAGGTGATCCACCAGCCTTGGCCTCCCAAAGTGCTAGGATTACAGGCGTGAGCCACCATGCCTGGCCGGTAGATATTATTTTTAATCCCTGTTTTTCAGATAAGAAAAATAAGTCTTAGGATGTCTGTCTTAGTCTGTTCAGGCTGCTGTAACAAAATACCATAAGTGGGGTAATTTATAAATAAAAGAAATATATTGCTCACAGTTCTGTAGTCTAGGAAATTCAAGATCAAGTCATCAGCAGATTCAGTGTCTGGTGAGGAATTTTGCTCTGCATCATAGATGGCACCTTCTTGCTGTGTCCTCACGTGGCAGAAGGGGCAAACAAGTTTTCTCAGGGTTCTTCTCTAAGGGCACTAATCCAATTCATGAAGGGTTTGCCCTCATGATCCAATCACCTCCTAAAAGTCCCACCTCTTAGTACTATGGTGCTGAGGATTAGTGTTCAACATGTGAATTTTTGGAGGAAGGAAATATTCAGACCATAGCAATGTCTAAGTAGATTATTTAAGTCACATAACTAGTAAATAGTTCACATAGTGTTTGAATTTGGATGTGCCTAAAATTTAAGCACAACCTTCACCACCTTGCTATACTGCTAGCTGTTTTCCTCTAGCTTGTGTCTATAGCCAAGTGGTTAGTCCTAACCTAGCTAGGCTAATTTCTGACATCCAGCCCCACCTTGCCAGACCATTTGGAATCAGCATGTCTTGAGGAAAACGCCTCCATGATATGACACAGCTACTGACTCCTGTAAAAAGTCTAGCCCTCAGCTTCTGCTGTTCTTTTGTGTTCTTGTGTCTGGCTTGCTACATTTTGTCCTACTGCCTATGCTTTGCATTTTAAAGACTGTCTTCTAAAACACCTACAAAATTTTCAGGAGGACTAAAATTTTCATTTCCAAAATACTCAATGAGTATTTTATATTATAATTTAAAATGCTTTCAATAGTCAGCTCTTAGGAAAATCTGGCTCTTAGTGCAGAAATGGAGGATGTAGCAGACATCTGTTCAATTACAGTATTGATAATAGAAAAGCTTTTAAAAATCTACACCTCATAATATGTTAATGCAGGGAAATACTTCTTAGCAGTTTTTATAGAATCTTGTCTTTTGCACAATAAAAGGCAATTCTCCATTTCAATGCAGATATTGAGTAAATGAAAATTGCCTTTTTAAATTTGAGAGGACAGAAGAATAAAGATATTTGGCTTGAGATAATTGCTTACACTGTTGGTGAAAGCTAAAGTTGTTTCTTATAATGCAATAATGACTGCATTTTAAATAACACAGATGAGTTTCACTCTATGCATAGATAAATAGTTGTATGGAAATCAAATTTTCATAAATGAAATTACACTTTAAAAACACAATACTCATAAGTTACTTATAATTTTTGTAGCAAAATTTTTTTGTAAAAATAATTGCTCAGTATTCACTATATAACTTCAGCTATTTAATTATGGTAAGAAATTTTTTTAAAAGGAGGCAGAGCATGATGGCTGAATAGAAGCCTCCACTGATAGTCTTCCCTGTAAGAACACCAAATTGAATAACCATCCACACAAAAAAGCTTCTTCATGAGAACCAAGAGTCAAGTGAGCAATCACAGCACCTGGTTTTAACTTCATATCACTGGAAGAGGCACTGAAGAGGATGGCAAAGATAGTCTTGACTTGCTGATGCCATGTCTTCTCCATCCTCTGGCAGAGAGGCATCTGTGCACTTGAAGTGGCGCTGAGAGAGCATCTGTGCACTTGAAGGGAGAGAGAGTGTAGTGATTCTGGGACATTTAATTGGAACTCAGTGCTGACCTATCACAGTGGAAAGCAACCCTGGGCAGAACTCAGTCAGTGCTGATGGAGGGAGCATTTAGACCAACCCTAGCCAGAGGGTAATCACCCTTCCCAATGGTCAGAACCTGAGTTCTGGCTTCTGGCAAGCCTTGCCACTGTGGGCTAAAGTGCTCTGGGGTTCTAAATAAACTTGAAAGTCAGCCTAGACCACAAGGACTGCAATTCCTGGGCAAGTCATAGTGCTGTGCTGGACTCGGAGCCAGTGGACTTGGGAAAGCATGTGAAATGCCGGGTCAGCCTAGGGACTCCTTGTACCACCCTTACCCCAACCCTAGACAGCACAGCTCACACCTCTAGGAGAGACTCCTTCCTTCCACTTGAAAAGAGGAAAAGAGTAAAGAGGACTTTGACTTGCAACGTATATACCAGCTCAGCCACAGTAGGATAGGGTACCAGGCAGAGTCTTGAGGCTTCTATTATAGGCTCTAGCTCCTGGATGACACTTCTAGACACACCCCGAGCCAGAGGGAAGGATCTAGTCCTGGCAGGATTCATCATCTGCTGACTAAAGAGTTCTTGGGCCCTGAGTAGTCAGCAGTGGTAGGCAGGCAGTACTTGCATGCGCCTTGGGTGAAACTCAGAGATGTATTGGCTTCAGGTGTGACGCAGCACATTCCCAGCTGTGGTGGCTATGGGGAGAGACTCCTGCTTGAGAAAAGGAGAAGGAAGAGTAAAGGGGACTTTGTTTTGCAGCTTAAGTACCAGCTCAGCCACAGTGGGGTAGAGCACCAAGGAGGCTCTTGGGGTCTCCAATTTCAGGCCTTGGTTCTTAGATGGCATTTCTGGACTTCACCTGGATCAGAGGGAAGCTCACAGCCCTGAGGAGAGAGTCCCAGGCCTGGCAGCACAAGCTGATTGAAGAGCCTTTGGGCCTTGAGTGACTATTGGTGATAGCCAGGCAGTACTGACTGCTGGCCTGGGGTAGTGGTGGCCATTGAGAGACTCCTCTGCTTGTGGAAGGGGGAAAGAAGAGAGGGAAGGACTTGGTCTTGCGGCTTGAGTGCCAGCTTAGCCACAGTAGAAGAGGGCACCAGGTAGATTTCTAAGATTTCTGACTCGAGGCTTTGGATCCTGGATGGCATCTCTGGACCCTCTCAGGGCCAGTGGGACCTTGCTCCCCTGAAGGGAAGGACACAGCCTGGCTAGTTTTGGCAACTGCTGATTGTAAAGCCCTAAGGTCTTGAGTGAATATAGGTGGTAGTCAGGCAGTAGGTACTGTAAGCCTTGTGCAAGACCCAGTACCAGGCTGGCTTCAGGTCTGACACAGTGCTGTTCCAGTTGTGGTGGCCACAGGGGCTTGTGTCAACTCTCCCCTAGCTCTGGGAAGCTCAGGACAGAGTGAGAGAGACTATTTGATTGAGAGAAAGTAAGAGAAGACAACAAGAGTCTTTACTTGGTAATCAGAATTCTTCTGGATCTTGTTGAAGATAAGGTGGTATCTCTGCAAGAGCCACCGTGTTACTTGAGTAAGGATGCCCCCTAATGCAAATATGGCTGCAGTGACCAAAACCTTAGATTATAACACCTAAGTCTCTTGGAATATCCAGAAAGCCTTCCCAAGAAGGATGGGTACAAACAAGCGCAGACTGTGAAGATTACAATAAATACCAAAGTCTCCAATGCCCAGACATCAATGAACATTCACAAGCATTAAGACCATCCAGGAAAATATGACCTCACCAAAATCAACCAAATAAGGCAGCAATGACCAATAATGGCAGAGATATATGACCTTTCAGACAGAATTCAAAAATAGTTGTTTTAAGAAAACGCAACAAAATTCAAAATAACACAGAGAAGGAATTCAGAATCCTATCAGATACATTTAGCAAAGAGATTAAAATAATTAAAAAGAATCAAGTAGAAATTCGCAATTGAAGGCCGGACACAGTGGCTCACACCTGTAATCCCAGCACTTTCGGAGGCTGAGGTGGGTGGATCACTTGTGGTCAGGAGATCGAGACTAGCTTGGCCAACATGGTTAAACCCCACCACTACCAAAAATACAAAAATTAGCTGCGTGTGGTGGTGCATGTCTGTAATCCCAGCTACTTGGGAGGCTGAGGCATGAGAATTGCTTGAACCTGGGAGGCAGAGGTTGCAGTGAACCAAGATCACACCAATGAACTCCAACCTGGGGGACAGAGTGAGACTTTGTCTCAAAAACAAAACAAAACAAAAAAAAGCAATTTGCAATTGACATGCTGAAGAATCCATCAGAGTCTCTCAGCAGATTTTTTTTTTTTTTGTTAAATTTTTAATTTTTGTGAGCATTTAGTAGGTGCATATATTTATGGGACACATGAGATATTTTGACGGGGCACTCAGTGTGTAATAATCACAGGGTAAAGGGGCATCCATCATTTCCGGCATTTATCCTTTGTGTCACAAACAATTTTATTTATTTATTTATTTATTTATTTATTTATTTATTTATTTAAGATGGAGTCTTGCTCTGTCGCCCAGGCTGGAGTGCAATGGTGCGATCTCCACTCGCTGCAAGTTCTGCCTCCTGGGTTCATGCCATTCTCCTGCCTCAGCCTCCCAAGTAACTGGGAGTGCAGGCACCTGCAACAATGACCGGCTAATTTTTGTGGTTTTTTTTTTTTTTTTTTTTTTTAGTAGAGACGGGGTTTCACCGTGTTAGCCAGGATGGTCTCGATCTCCTGATCTTCTCGTGATCCACCTGCCTCGGCCTCCCAAAGTGCTGGGATTACAGGTGTGAGCCACCACATTCGGACTTCTTTAGTTATTTTTAAATATACAATACATTACTATGGGTGTAGTCACCCTGTTGTGCTATCAAAATTGTAAATCTTAGTATCAAATACTATATCTTATTCATTCTATCTGATTATATTTTTGTATGCCTTAAGCATGCTCACTTCCCGCCACTCCCCACTATCCTTCCCAGTCTCTGTTAACCATGATTCTACACTCTATCTTCATGAGTTGAATTGTATTCATTTTTAACTCCCACAAATAACTGAGAACATTTATCAGCAGAATTGATTAAGCAGAAGAAAGAATTAGTGAGCTTAAAGACAGGCTACTTGAAAATACACAGTCAGAGGAGACAAAAAAAAAAAAGAATAAAAAAGATGAAGCATTTCTACAATAGCTAGACAATATCTTCAAAAGGGCAAATCTAAGAGTTATTTCTCTTAAATAAAAGGTAAAGAGAGATAGAGTAGAAAGTTTACTCAAAGGGTTAATATCAGAGAATGTCCCAAACCTAGAGAATGATATAAATATTCAAGTACGGGAAGGTTATACAACTCGAAGTAGATTGAACCCAAATAAGACTACCTCAAGATATTTAATGATCATACCCTTGAAAGTCAAGGATAAAGAAAGGATCCTAAAAGCGGCAAGAGAAAAGAAACAGGCTGGGCATGGTGGCTCACACCTGTAATCCTAGCATTTTGGGAGGCCAAGGTGGGTGGATCACTTGAGGTCAGAAGTTTGAGACCAGCGTGGCCAACATGGTGAAACCCTATCTCTACTAAAAATACAAAAATTAGCTGGGCGTGGTGGCACATTGCCTGTAATCCCAGCTACTTGGGAGGCTGAGGCAGGAAAATTGCTTGAACCCAGGAGGCAGAGGTTGCAGTGAGCCAAGAGCATGCCACTGCACTCCAGTCTGGGCAACAGAGTGAGACTCCATCTCAAAAAAAAAAAAAGAAAGAAAAGAAAGAAAAGAAACAAATAACATACAATGAAGTACCAATACATCTGATAGCAGACTTTTCAGGGGAAACCTTGCAGGCCAGGAGACAGTCGAATGACATATTTAAAGTGATGAAGGAAAGAAAACTTGTACGCTGGAATAATATATCCAGTGAAAAGATCCTTCAAACATGAAGCAGAAATAAAGACTTTCCCAGACAAACAAAATATGAGAGACTTTATCACCACCAGAACTGTCTTACAAAAAATGCTAAAGGAGTTTTTTAATCTGAAAGGGAGATTAATGAGCCATAATAAATCATCTGAAGGTACAAAACTCACTGGTAAGTACATAGAAAAACACAGAATAGTATAACATATTGTGCATAGACTACTCACATCTTAAGTGGAAAAATATGAGTGTGCATATGAGTACATAAACTAATCATATCTTAAGTAGAAAGACCAAAAGATGAACCAATAAAAAATAATAACTACAACAACTCTTCAAGACATAGACAGTACAATAAGATATAAATAAAAACAACAAAAAATTAAAAAGTGGAGGGACAAAGTTAAAGTGTAGAGTTTTTATGAGTTTTCTCTTTGCTTGTTTGTTAGTTTGTTTATACAGTCAGTGTTATTAAAATAAAGGGCTATAAGACATTATTTGCAAGTCTCATGATACCCTCAGATGAAAAATATATAGCAAATCACAAAATATAAAAGCAAGAAATTAAAACATACCACCAGAGAAAATCACCTTCACTAGTATGAAGATAGGAAGGAAGAAAGAAGGAAGAGAAGACCACTAAACAACCAGAAAACAAAGAACAAAATGGCAGGCATAAGTCCTTACTTATCAATAATAACATTGAATGAAAATCAACTAACCCCTCCAGTCAAAAGAGTTAGAGTGGCTGAATGGATGAAAAAATAAGACTTAACAATCTGTTGCTTACAAGAGGAATACTTCACCTATAAAGATGCAGATAAACTTAAAGATTTTCTGTGCAAATGTAAACCAAAAAATAAGGAGGAATAGCTATGCTTATATTAGACAAAATAGATTTTAAGACAAAAACTATAAAAAGAGATGAAGAAAGTCATTATATATGATAAAGGGGTCAGTTCAGCAAGAGGATATAACAATTTGAAATATATCTACACTCAACACTAGAGCACTCAGATATATAAAGCAAATTTCATTAGTGCTAAAGGAAGAGCTAGATCCCAATACAACAATAGCTGGAGATTTCAACACTCAATATTCAGCACTGGACAAATCTTTCAAACAAAAAAGTCAACAAAGAAACATTGCACCTAATCTGAATTATAGACCAAATGGACCTAATCGATATTTACAGAATATTTTCTTCCAACAAATGCAGAGTACACATTCTTCTCAGCATATCGATCATTCTCAAGAATACACCGTATGCTGGATCACAAAACAAGTCTTAAAACTTCAAAAATTGAAATTATATGAAGTGTCTTCTCTGACCACAATGGAATAAAACTGGAAATCAACAACAAGAGGAATTTTTGGAAACTATACAAACACATGGAAATTAAACAATAAGCTCCTGAATGACGAGTGGATCAATGAAAAGATTAAGACAGAAATTTAAAAATGTATTGAAACAAATGATAAAGAAAACACAAAATATCACAATCTATGGGATACAGTGAAAGCAGTATGATGTGGAAGGTTTATAGCTATAAGTGCCTATATTAAAAAAGTAGAAACACTTTAAATAAGCAATCTAACAATGCATCTTAAAGAACTAGAAAAGCGAAAGCAAATCAAAACCAAAGTTAATAGAAGAAAAAAATAAAGATCAGAGTAGAAATAAATGAAACTGAAATGAAGAAAAAAATACAAAAGATCAACAAAACAGAAAATGGTTTTTTGAAAAGATAAAATTGAAAAACCTTTAACCAGACAAAGAAAAAAAAAGAGAAGACCAAAATAAATAAAATCAGAGATGATGAAAGAGACATTACAACCAACATCACAGAAATTCAAAGGATTATTAGAGGTTACTATGAGCAAGCATATGCCAATAAATTGGAAAACCTAGAAGAAATAGATGAATTCCCAGATATTACAACTTATTACAATTGATCTGTGAAGATATTCAAAACCTGAGCAGACCAATATGTAATGAGATTGAATCTATAATGAAAAAATTTGTCAGCAAAGACCAGAATCCAGTGGCTTTATTATTGAATTTTATCCAACATTTAAAGAACTAATACCCATGCTACTCAAACTATTCCAAAAAATAGAGGTGGAGGTATTACTTCCAAACTCATTCTATGAGGCTGGTATTCCCTGATACCAAAACCAAACAAAGACACATCAAAAAAAGAAAACTACAGGCCAGTATCCCTAATGAACAATGATACAAAAATCAAACACTAGCAAACAAAATTCAACAACACATTAAAAAGACCATTCATCATGACCAATTGGTATATATTCCAGGAATGCAGGGGTGTTTCTACATACATAAATTAATCAATGTAATATACCATATCAACAGAATGAAAGACAAAAACCATATGATCATTTCAACTGATGCTGATAAAGCATTAGATAAAATTCAGCATCCTTTCATGAAAAAATCCTAAAAGAACTGGGTATAGAAAGAACATACCTCCACTCAATAGTAGTCATATATGACAGACCCACAGCTAGTATCATACTGAATGGGGAAAATCTGAAAGTCTTTCCTCTAAGATCTGGAACATGACAAGAATGCCCACTTTCATCACTGTTATTCAACATAGTTCTGGAAGTCCTAGCTAGAGCAATCAAAAAAGAGAAAGAAATAAAGGGCATCCAAATTGGAAAAGAAGAAGTCAAATTATCCTTGTTTGCAGATGATATTTTCTTATATTTGGAAAAATCTAAAGACACCACCAAATAACTATTAGAACTGATAGACACATTCAGTAAAGTTGCAGGATACAAAATCAACATACAAACATCAGTAGGATTTCCATATGCCAACAGCGAACGATTTGAAAAGAAATTGAGACAGTAATCCTATTTAAAATAGCTGCAAATAAAATTAAATACTTAGGAACTAAGTTAACCAAAAAAGTGAAAGATCTCTGCAATGAAAATATAAAACGCTGATGAAAGAAGTTGAAGAGGCACAAAATATTGGAAAGATATTCCATGTTCATGGATTGGAAGAATCAATATTGCTAAAAGGTACATACTACCCAAAGCAATCTATATATTCAATGCAATCCCTACAAAATACATATGACACTCTTCACAGAAATAGAAAAAATAATCTAAAGTTTATATGGAACCACAAAAGACCCAGAATAGCCACAGTTATCCTGAACAAAAAGAACAAAACTAGAGGAATCACATTACTTGACTTCAAATTACTACAGGTATCGTAACAAAAATGGCATGATACTGGCATAAAAACAGACATTTAGACCAATGGAACAGAACAGATATTCCAGGAACAAATCTACGCATTTACAGTGAATTTGTTTTCAACGAAGGTGCCAAGAACCTACACTGGGGAAAGGACAGTCTCTTTAAAAAATGGTGCTGGGAAAACTGAATATCCATATGCAGAAGAATAAAACTAGACTCCTATGTCTTGCCATACAGAAAAATTAAATCAAAATGGATTAAAGAGTTAAATCTAAGTCCTCTAATTATAAAACTACTGCGAGAAAACACTGAGGAAACTCTCCAGGACTTTGGATCTGGCAAGGATTTCTTGAGTAATACCACACAAGCCCAGGCAACCAAAGCAAAAATGGACAAATGGGATCACATCAAGTTAAAAATCTTCTGCACAGCAAAGGAAACACTCATCAAAGTGAAAAGACAATGCACAGAATGGGAGAAAATATTTGCAAGCTATTTATCTGACAAGGGATTAATAACCAGTATATATAAGGAGCTCAAACAACTCTATAGGAAAAAATATAATAAATCAATCAAAAAATGGGCAAAAGATCAGAATAGACATTTCTCAAAAGAGGACATACAAAATGGCAAACAAGCATATGAAAAGGTACTCAACATCACTGATTATCAAAGAAATGCAAATCAAAATTTCATGAGATATCAGCCCAGTTAAAATGTTTTTTATCTAAAACACAATAACAAATCCTGGTGAGGATGTGGAGAAAGGGGATCTTTGTACACTGTTTGTGGGAATGTAAATTAGTACAGTCACTATGAAGAACAGCTTGGAGTTTCCTTAAAAAACTAAAAATAGAGCTACCACAAGATCTAGCAATCACACTGTTAGGTATATGTCCAGAAGAAAGGAAAGAGATCTCTGCATTCCTATGTTGTTGTTGTTTTTTTAAATTTATTTCCAACTTTCATTTTAGATTCAGTGGGTACAGGTGCACATTTAGTACAGGGGTATATTTTGTGTTGTAGGGGTTTGGCGTCCAGATTTTTTTGTCACTCAGGTAATAACTATAGAAGTCAATAGGCAATTTTTCAATCCTCAGCCTCCTCCCACCCTCCCTGCTCAAGTAGGCCCTGGTGTCTATTGTTCCCTTCTTTTGTGTTCATGTGTACTCATTGTTTAGCTTCCACTTAGAAGTGAGAATATGCTATATTTAGTTTTCCATTCCTGGGTTAATTGACTAAGGATAATGGTTTTCGGCTCTGTCAGTGTTGCTGCAAAAGACATGATTTCATTCCTTTTTATGGCCAGGTGGTATTCCTTAAGGTATAGGTACCACATTTTCTTTATCCAATCCACTGTTGATGGGCATTTAGGTTGATTCCATGTCTTTGCTATTGCAAATAGTGCTACCATGAACATACATGTGCATTTATCCTTATGATAGAAAAATTTATATTTCTCTGGGTATGTACCCAGTAATGGGACTGCTGAGTTGAATAGTAGTTCTGTTTTAAGTTATTTGAGAAATCTCCAAAATGCTTTTCACAGTGGCTAAACTAATTTACATTCCCACCCCCAGTGTATAAGCATTCCCTTTTCATTTCAACCTTGCCAGCATCTGTTATTTTTTGACTTTTTAGGAATAGCCATTCTGAGTGGTGTGAGATAGTATCTCATTGTTGTTTTGAATTGTATTTGTCTAATGATTAATGATGCCAAGCATTTTTTCACATGTTTGTTGGCTGAGTGTATGACTTCTTTTGAGAAGTGTCTGTTTGTGTCTTTTGCCCATTTTTAAATAGGGTTGTTTGACTACAGTCAATAATAATTTGTTGTACTTTTAAAAATACGTAAGAGTATAAGAATAATTGGATTCTTTGCAACACAAAGAAAGGGTAAGTGCTTGAGGTGGTGGATACACCATTTTCCCTGATGGGATTATTATGCATTGTGTGCCTGTATCAAAATATCTCATGTACCTCATCAATATTCACATCTACTATATACCCCCCAAAATTTAAAAAAGAAACACATACAATATACATATAAAGTACACATATATATCTTATATAACTTTGGGAGAAAAATAATACTTAAAAATAATGTTTCTAAAAATTTTAAATTTCTAAAATTGTAAATATAAATGTTTGATATTTGAAAAATAAAGGTATTGAATTACATGAACTAATAATATATCATTATGACTCGAAGTGGGCAAAGGCTAGCAACCATAAAAGGAGAAAATAGAAAACAGCTTGTTAACTTTAGTTAAGGACAATTTTATACTTTTATTCAAACAATCCTATGTAGGGTTCAATGTCTTTCTTAGGAAGTTTTGGTTGAACAGTTTTGTCCTCTATACTGTGCTATCATATTCCATAAAGTATTTCTGTTGAAAGAATTTTCAACTCTTTACTGAGTCAAAAGTTGAATGTCATACTCTCTTTCTTTAAAATTGATCCAAACCAGTTCTCTGTCATGAATTAAGATTAAAACTTTCAACGCTCTATCCTATCTTTTGGTTAAATAAATGAATGGGTGATGAATAAATATAGGGTGGTTGCCATGGCAAATCTTTAAAAAAATTATCTAATTATCAAAGTCAAATCAGATTTTTAAAAGTAAAAAGGTCTTTTACATCTGTAAGACACAAAGTACATGTATATTGTTATTGTTCTTAACTAGCTAGAGATTAGATATTACATTATCTCAAATTTATTGTAATAAATAAATGGAGAGTTGCATTCATTTTAATTTACAAACATTTTAGTGGGTTCAATGGTGGTCCCCCCCAAAAGATGTGTCCATATCATAACACCAAGGATCTATGAATGTGAACTTATTTGAAAAAAGGGTCTTTACAGAAATAATTGAGCCTCTAACTGAGAACATCCTGGATTTTCTGGGTGGCTCCTCAGTCCAATGACGAGTTCCTTATAGCAGAAGTAGAGACCCAGAGATCCAGAAGAGAAAGCTATGTGATGACAGAGGCAGAGCTTGGAGTCATGCAGCCACAAGCCAAAGACCACTTGGAGCCACCTGAAACTGCAAGAGGCAAGGAAGAGCTCTTTTCTAGAGGGAGTGCAGCCCTGGGCGTATTGCCCTAGTAGCACCTTGATTTTGGACTTCTGGTCTCTAAAATTGTGACAGAATAAATTTCTGTTGCTTTCAGGTACTAAGTTTTTGGTAATAAGTTGCAGCAGCCTTCGGAAACTAATACATATATCAAATAGGCGGAGGACCAGTATGCCAAAGAAAGGAAATGATTTGTTGGCTCTTCATGCTGAGTAGGGAGGAAGAAAACAAGCTATCCAGTATGTTCATCTCCACTGCTCTCCTCTAAAAGGAGATAAGTCTCTACCAGTCTCTACTATCAAGATATAAAATCTTTAATTGTTAATTTTTTATTGAGATATAACATCTATCATATAAAGTACCAAAATCTCAGGTGATACTTTTTGCATATATATTTATGTATTAATATGTTCAAGTTTCTACACACACATACAATTGTGTAACAGTAACCACCACTCAGATGGACACAGAACATTTCCAGCATAAAAGAAAGTTCCCTAGAGTCCATATCCTGTCAAAACCTACCTATCCACAATAGCCTCTGAAAACAAATACTTCGATTTTAATACAAAAATTAGCCAGGTGTAATGATGCATGCCCCTAGTCCCAGCTACTTGGGAGACTGAGGTGGGAGGATTGCTTGAGCCCAGGAGGTAGAGGCTACAGTGAGCTGTGATCACATCACTGCACTCCAGCCTAGGTGACACAGTATTTGTGACAGGGTCACCTGTCTCAAAAACAAAACAAAACAAAACAAAAACTCATTCTATTATTAGCAGAAATGGGATCATACAGTTTGTATTTCTTTGTGTCATTATTTGTCCGTAATGTGTTATTTGTCTGTATATGCTCATTATTATGTCTGTAAAAATCATCCATGTTAATTGTATTAATCAATAGGTCTTTTTCTGTTTAATTAGGGAGGTGAATATTCCACAAAATATTTACTCTTCTCTTAACAAACAGTTGGGTTGTTTCTAGTTTTAAGCAATTGTAAGAAAATTGCTAAGAATATTCTGGTCTTATATCTTAGTGGACATATGTGTTTATTTTTCTTGGGTATATATGTAAGAGTGAAATTATTTGGCCATAGGGTAGGCATATATTTAGTTTTTATAGTACTATTAAGAACTGTTCCAAAATTATTGTATCAATTCACACTTCCATCAACATGGTATGAGAGTTCCAGTTGCTCCACATTCTTGCTGACACTTACAATTGTTTGCCATTTAAATTTTAGCCACTGGTGGGTGTTTAGTGGTATCTTATTTTGTGTTTTAATTTGCACTTCCTTATTGAATAATTATGTTGCGCATCTTCCCTTATGCTTGGGCTATTTTAATAACCTCTTTTATCAAATTCCTGTTTGAGCCTTTTGCCCATGAAACAATTTTTTTTGTCCTTTATATTATTGAAAATTCCTTTCTGCTTTAGTGAATCAAGGACATAAATAGTCAGTCTTTCATGGGTAGAATTTAATTTTTCTGTGCATTGGTCTATTCCCAGAGAGCTTTAAATCTTGCTTAATTGTGCTCACCTTTTTATACATCATGGATTTTGACTCTGGTTCTTTCGTTTTTCCATTTCATTTTAGTCACCAAAATGCTTAAAACTAGAGATCAACTTTCTTAGCTGCAAAAGCTTCTAGCCTTTCAAGAAGTTCATACTTTATGAAATTGCACATTAAGCATTTATTTTTCAGACCATTTTTGAACATTACTCCTAAATTAATAAAGTATTCTGATACTGCTTTAGTATTGATTACAGTAAAAAGGGTTTGAAATATAGCTGTTCTTTATGCATAAAATACCCAGCTAGGACCAGTACTGCCAGAGAAAAACATCGTATTGAATGGCCATTTCCCTACCTAAAAGATGTCTCAATCTGAATTTATTTGGCTACACTAAAGAATGCAGTATATTTAGTTTTCCATTTGCATAATGTGTTTGTGCTATAGATAATATTTTAAATTGAAAAGTTTGTTTTAAATTATTTTTACAATGAAGACTGTTTTCAGCTCTTTTTATATTGTGCATAGTTTTTTTATGTAATCTACTAGCATGTGTTTTTTGTAGACTGTTTAATGACTGGATATCTTCCTCCAATTTTTGAAGTACAAAACCAGTGTATTTTACTTGTACACTGTTTTAAAATCTATTAAAATTGTCATTTGACTTTTTTCTGTTAAAATATACTTTCTGAATACAAAGCTATTATTACATTGTCGGATATCAGAATGCATAATCCTTTGGATGAGTATATAAGTTATACATTTCTGCAGATTGATCAATTAAATATTAATTTATAGTAATATAATAACTGTAATATTATTATAGTGATGGTATTGTTAATAATAGTAATTGATGAGAGAATAAAAGATTTATATCTTTTATTGTTAAAGTTGGACACCAAAAATTAATGTTAGACAGCTGCCCTACCCTGCTCCAACTGCTCAGAATTTCCATTCTTCATCCAGTGGGATTTTGTAAACTCCATAGAGACTCTTCCATATTTTTTTCTACTTTTAAGTTGTTGTTTATTTATTTCCTTAACACATCATATATGTTATTAGAGAATAAAGCAATCGTAAGTAATTAAGAGAATAAACTGTTTCTTGGTTGTTAGAAATATCCTGGGGCCAAGAGACTCATCTCCTATTTAAAATAATGTATTGTGAACATTCAGTATTGTGTATTATAGAAAAATAAATTCCTGAGGAATAAATAATTTGCTTTTAATATTAAAAAGCTTTATCTTCCTAACTAAAAAGGTTGATACTAAAAAGCCAGAACCCAGATTTTTCCCCTTCTAGCTTTTTTTTAGTGTTTTTTTGTTGTTTTAATGGGGAGAAAGAGAGAAATTGCCTAATACTGATTAAAGCATATGGCCTTATCTTAGGAGCAGTCCCAAGGTTTTGACAAAAAATATAAAACATTAAAAATAGGACTTTATGTGCTACTTTTTTGGGCTTGGCTGGAGGACAGGACAAATACACAGTGGTTTTATGAGCCCCCCTGGTGTATAATATTTATCTTATTTGCTCTTCATTTATATTTAGTGCATGTTGTAAAACTGTGTAAGGCTATGAGGTAACTTTAGAAGTTATAATGGGCAACAGCTCTTAATGGAGACTTTTCAAAAAATTTTTGTTTACAGATTCACTTTGAAGAGTATTAAAGACACATTCAGCTGAATAAAGCAGACTCTATGTATCATAGGCTTAATTCATACATGTAATAAAATCTTTCCATGTGCTTGCAGAAATAACACAAAGATCAATAACCGGAAGGAAGCCAGAGGGATGAAAATGCATGGTAGATGAAGATTGTTTTGCACAAGACAAGAGAAAGAATATTTAAAGCTTGCTGACAGATTAATATGGTCTGCTTTACATTTTGTCTGCTATATTACAAAATAGTTGCATCTATTCTCAGAATTTTAATCAAAGCCACTGAAGGAGAAAAGTGGGCATTTAGAAAAATGAACCTACTGTTTGGCTAAGGATCTTCAGCAAAGTAGTACATTCTCAATAGCATGTTATTGTTCGTTATTTCACAAAGACCTCATCTTCAAGTTTTGTTGGGCAACTAGATGTGTAGCCTGTGAAGTTCTGATAAATAATGATGGTACATGATGATACCAATTTCTTTAATTCTTGCCTTTAAAAGATGTTGCAACATAAAACAATACAATAACTGGTTCTTGATATATTTGGCGTTTAAAAAATACACACTTAGTGGAAATCACTCTAGACATTTAAAAGTAACGTTGACCTTATGAATATTTGCATATGAAAAGTGAAAAGGATCATCTTAAGTGCAGTAGTGCCCCACTGATAGCATGAGTTAGGACAGTTGGTCTGGATGGCCTTGTGAGTATCTCCTGCCTTCATCACCCCTCCACCTGTTCTTCCCAAAGCTTTGCAAGAGATATCAAGAGACTTGAGAAAATATTTGCAAGACAAGGCAGAATCTTTGGTCAAGGACATGGAGATTGGGCAGGCTAAGTTTAGCAACTCAACTTTAGTGATCAATGGCAAATAACACCAGGCCTCTCCATGTTAAGAAGTGATTGTGAATTTGAGATGCCAGAGAGCTCATGCTTGGTTAAAGGAGCAACTATTGCTCAATTCCAATGTATGATTTTCAATCAATTTCCAAGAATTTCCTTGTGTTTAGGTTCTAAACAGTCTACTGTTAAAACCATGGGTACACATTGGATGTTATGGTAATACAAAGGAAATGGTTAGACAGTATACCCATTTATGGAAGTTCCTGTGGTCCACCTACAAAACACAAGTTGACAATCACAGTGGCTGCTGTCGTCAATCCTGGGCTGTTGTGCGCTGCAGTATTTTCACCCTGGCCATTCAACACAGTTCATGGACATCATGTCTTTCCACTGATACTTTTTTAAAGATAGTTTTTATATAACCAAATCCTTATTCCGTTTACAATGAGGTGCTATAAATGAATTACCTGAAATTATATGTTTGTCTGTTATCTTTCACTATTTCTACTTCACATTAATTTTTAGCTATAAAATTGATAAACCGATGCTTAGTAATATCTCTTTCCTTCTTTTACTCTTTGGTTTTCAAATTTTATTTCAATGCCAGAGAATTTCATTTACTAGGAACAATGTATTACAACACATTTAAAAATAAACTACTTAAATTTGGATGCCAATAATAACAATACAACTCAATGGAACTTGAGTTGTTAAACTCAGCCTTCCTGCAGTTTGATAATTGTATTTCAGAGCTACCTCACCATGAATTCCTTGCAAATTTTTTCCCTGTAGACAAAATTAAAACTGAATTCAGGAAGTTCCAGGGGGCTTTGTACTTGTTGTTAATAATGTTATTGCTTTATTGATCAACCGTGTGGGTAGAATAGGCATAATTTTTAGCACACTTAACCTATTGTCAAAGTCAAGATCCTAAAGCCTTCCAGCAACATCATAAACTTGGTTTTAAAATATCCCTTTTGAAAACATTCATTGAAAGAGCACCTGCTGAGAGTCAGGTAACAGGAAGAGTTATAAAGATGTATAATATGCATTCTCCACCTTCACAGTCTAGTGAAGGTGATGGTGGATACAATTTAAATGCAGTCAGAAAATAAAGGTCATGTAATATAGCATATTTCATACATTAATAAATGATTTTATACTTTGAACAAACTCATTTCAATATTTATTTTAGTTTCTAACTATGTAACAATTTCAAACAACTGAGTATTTTCTCTTAACACTGAAATTTCTAATGTCTTATGTACTGTCAATGTGAAATTCATAATACTGACTCCACTTATCCCCCGTGCTGGAATGCTTATATATTGAATAGTGTTTGGATTTGACAATTACATTGGTAATTGTCTTGATTCCAAGGAAAGCATAGAAACATTTTTAAAAATGTAAGATAAAAAAATTTAGGAGATAAATTTAATCATTTCTTATGTTTTTACAGTCATTGTCTTTCACTGGCTCTGAAGTGAATAGCAACAAACATCCTTTACTCCTGGTCTTGATACTAGTTCTGACTAGGATGGGGAGGAAATTGGGAGTTTTTTAAATAGTTTCTCTAGGAAGCAGAATGTAATTATAACAGGTACTGTCCTGGCAATCTTTGTACTTGAGAAACCTGTGAATACCTGTGTTGAAGTAGCCCAGATCATGGGGTTGGTTTTGTGCCACCCCCATGTGGCTTTGTGCCACTCTGTCTTTGGCACTCCAGTGTCCTGTAGTGCCAGAAACCCAATCCTGAATTCCAATCTGTGGGACCAAGACCCTGATATTTTCCTAATGGTGCATATCATCCTTCCCATATGACCGGCAACCTGTTACCCCTCTCTGAGCATCATCAGGAACCTGACTTGTCATGTATCCTCCTCTTTGGCCCATCCCATCTCTTTTTCTTCTTTTTCTTTTTCGAGACAGAGTCTTACTTTGTTGCCCAAGCTGGAGTGCAGTGGTATGATCATGGCTCTCTGCAACCTTCACATCCCAGGTTCAAAGGATCCTTCCACCTCAGCCTCCCGAGTAGCTGGGACTACAGGTGTGTGCCACCACACCTGGCTAATTTTTGTATTTTTTTGTAGAGCTGGGGTTTCATCATGTTGCCCAGGCTGTTCTTGAACTTGATCAGCCTGCCTTGGCCTCCCAGAGCATCTCATCTTTTGGACTGGACCTTCTTGAGTACTTGGACCTATGTGAACCAGGCTGACTCCCCTATCTGACTTCGAAAAAAAAATACGTTAATTTTTTGGCTACTCCTACAAAAGGGTTGAGTATCCAGTACTCTTTAATGTGGAATTCTCCTCCCTTCTCTGGGTGATAGTGAGGCCATCGTGTTCTGTGTTGTAACCTGTCTGAGACTCAATAATATTTGCGTAAAAGTCCACAGTATTTTAGAGCTTTTTAGAACAGAATTAGAACCCTGGAACTACCAGTTGAGTGGATCTCCCAGGATATCATGCAGTCTCACTGCCACAGGACTACATTAAGGAAATGAGCAAAATTGCAAGGTCAAAATCATTTGGCAAGGAATTCTTTTCCTTTGCTTACATCTAATTGGTCTCTAGCCATGAGATATGCTCATATAGAATTAACTTCAGATTTTAAAAATATGGGAAATGTGAGTTCTGGTTTTAATTGCTTCCTTGGCAATTAAACGTCTCTACTGGGAAAATATAAAGTTAAATACATAGTTACTGCAGGTATCATCATTTTGGAACTTGACAATATTGTGCACACTGAAGTGATCACAGTTGAACTCACATCTCTTATTTGCGTTTCGGTACCTTTTCACACAACTTTTCGTCTCGTAAAAAGGTGGTCGTTGAAAATTTTGAAGCATGACTTGAAAGCTTTACAAATTATTGTTATGACTTTGAGAAGAAAAAAAAGTGGAAAATATTTTTAAATTAGGAAACCCATGGCTTTAAATTAAAATTTTGGGATTCTCGTCCTTATAGCACTGCTCTTGACTAATCTAAATACCTATAATAATACTGGGTTTAAATGTGAGCCCTTCTCTGGCGCACAGGGGGAATTGATTAGAACGATTAACTAGAGGCATTTTCCTTGGATTTTATTCTTGGCTCCAACATAGATTTTATTGGATCCTCTTCCTAAGCCACCATCCATTGTGTTAGAAACATATATCACTCACTGTAGCTAGGCAGCTGTGAAATGAAGCATGGGATCAACTCTGTTTTTCACTCTGTTGAGGAAAAAAAATCATTTTTAAACCTCTTATTTCACATTCTTATAACTTTTGGGGAAAAACATTCTACCCCCCTTGGAAGTTATAGTTTCTCAGTGTCATTTTCAGACCCGGGTGATCCCCTCTTCTGACACACATATAATTATGTTCTACATTCTGAGGATTTATTGAGTGTATTGCCAACTGGTCTTTAAAATACATTCTTCAAATCCTGCTTTTGCTTGAATAATGTCATCTCTATCTTCAGCATATATTAATAACCGGAATAGTAAAAGAAATTTGCCTAAGAAGTAAGTTATATTTAAAAGCTATTTGATGCTATGTATATGATATTACCTGGTGATATGGTTTGGCTCTGTGTCCCCACCAAAATCTCATCTTGTAGCTCCCATAATTCCCACCTTTTGTGGGAGGAACCTGGTGGGAGATGATTGAATTATGGGGACAGATCTTTCTCATGCTGTTCTCATGATAGTGAATGGGTCTTATGAGATCTGCTTGTTTTAAAAGTGGAGTTGCCCTGCACAAGCTCTTTTATTGCCAACTGCCATCCATGTAAGATGTGACTTGCTCCTCCTTGCCTTCCGCCTTGATTGTGAAGCCTTCCCAGCCATGTGGAACTGTAAGTCCAATAATCCTCTTTCTTTTGTAAATTGCCCAGTCTTAGGTATGTCTTTATCAGCAGTGTGAAAATGGAGTAATACATCTGGCATTTAAAAAAAGTACTATATTTATTGCATATAAGTGAAAATTTATAAAACTAACTATATTAGTAAGGATAGAATAGGTTAGGCTTCTATGAAAAATTAGCCCTGGAATCTGGTTTAAGACATACAATGAAGGTTAAAGACAAAAGCAGATTTATGTAATGATCATATAAATTCTGTTAAGGCTCAGGGAGCTTTTCAGAGTAGCTCCTCTCTCTGTGTGATGACCTCTTTCTCTGTGATGAGAGGTGAGGTCACTTGCTTCTTGTGGTATTTCCATTTCAACACATGGTTTCTACAGTTGCCTGTTATAGAGAAGATAGGTTCTTGAATGTCTCAGCCTGGAGCTGACCTGAATTTCTTCTACTTAGTTTTCACTGCCTAGAACCAGGTTTCTCAACTATGGCTGGGGTGAATAATTTGTTTTGGGGGACTCTCCTTGCACTGCAGGATGCATGCCAGCATCCCTGGTGTCTATACACCAGATACCAGAGGTGTCCCCTCTGGCTGTGATAACCAAAGATATCTCTAGAGGTTGGGGTGAGGGCAGCAGTGAATGGAAAAATTGCTTTTGGTTGAAAACCGCTGAACCAGAGGTAGTCATTTAGTTCTAACTGCAAGGTTGTTGGGAAGAGTGGTCTTCTTGTGTTTACAGGAAGGTGAGGAAAATCAGACATGGATATGCACTAGTAGACTGCAACATATTAGCTAACGGAAATACAGACTTTTCATCATTTCACTATGTATCTAAACATATGAAAAATGTTACTGTGCTTCAATTTTAACATAAAACAAAACAAATAATACTGCATGTCCAAAGTAAATTTAACAACTCTGAGCAATGAACTAAATTTTATTAAATTGTAGAAAGAAACATTTGTAGTAAAAATACATTAAAGGAAACATTTAAAGAAGTTGAAATAATAATTATTGTATTTGACTATAGGAGGCTTAGGAAAAACACTAGCAAATAATTTAAATATGAGCATTAGAAGGAACAAACTAGTGTGACTATGAAAACTTGTTTAGCATCTCTGAACGTATGTTTAATATTGAATATAATTTGTTATTAGCCATTAAAACAACCTCTTCTGGGATAGCCTAGTTCAATGTATACTTGTTTACACATGTTGACCTTGGTAATATGCTTTGTAAATGTGTTGTCAAGTTGTATTTATTAGTCATGGACTAAAGAATATCTATTAGTCACAGGATAATTAGAATGCTTTCAGTTATAAGGCTAGAAACCTAGTGGAACCTTCTTCTGGCAGACACACAGAGAGAGAGAGAGAGAGAGTGAGAGAAAGACAGAGAGAAAGGAATTTTTCAGAAAGAGTTTTTGTTTTACAATAACAAAGCTTTGTTTATTGTTCATGTTACATTTTGGCTTTAGCTCTCCTCCACATATCTTCTCATTCTGGGGCACAGTTTGAAGGAGCAGCCCCTATCTCAGACTTGTGGAAGAGGAAAAAAATAATCATAGAACAAGCTGATGGATCTTATGGTCTCTACTTGGGCGTATCATATATTCCTTCTGCCCATATTCTATCAATTAAAGCAAACCATATGGCCACGCATGCTGTCTGTCAAAGGGTGAGAGAAGTATCTCCTTCCACAGGGAGGTGCTGCCAGTGACATGACCATAGGAGGGATATAGGTCCTCTTACAGAGAGGACAAGAGATAATTGTGAACAATAATATCATCCATTACAGATGTTGAGATGGCTCACTGAAGATAGGGACAGAACTAGAACTGGGCACAATTGCAGTCGTCTCTGCTTCTCTTTGTTTTAGCCACATTCTTTCCAGCTATGAACAGGAAGTCAACAGCAGTCCTAGATTTATACTTCCCCAATTAGCAAAATAAATAAATAAATAAAATTAAACTAAAATGAAATGACTTCTCTTTGCTTTACAATAACATGACTGACTGGCCATTCCCATGTGTCTAAAAGTAGGGTCGCTAAAAGTAGAGCAATGAGATTTCATCTGGTCCATAGTCATCTGGTCCATAGTCTGGATGAGAAATATTTCCCTAAAGGAGAATATCTCCCTAAAGGAGGGCAAGCAGCATAACCTGCTGCTTATGAAGAAGGTTCTTGCTTCTCCTTCTACTTCCGCCATGACTGTAAGTTTCCTGAGGCCTCCCCAGCATGCAGAACTTTCTGGAGGCTGAAAAGTTCAATATCAATCAAGATCTTGCAGATTCAGTTCCTTGCTGAAGGCCTTCTTCCTGGCTTGCAGATGAGTGCCTTCTCACTGTGTCCTCACGTTGTGGTGAGAGAGAACTCTGCTTCCTCTTTTTCTTATAAGAACACCAATCCTATTCGATTAGGGCCTCGTCCTTATGACCTTATTTAATCTTACCTCCTTAGTTCATTTGTCTTACTGTAATACAATACCATAGGTAATTAAAAAAAAAAAGGTACTGGGAAGTCCAGAGGCTGTGTAAAGGGGTGACTTCACCAAAACGCAGTAGGACAAGGTATAAACAGACAATATAAAAAGGTGAGTTTTTTCATCTTTCTTTAAGTTTGTGCTTTCCTATTTCCATAGTTATACAAAAAGTTTTGTCATAATCAAAGGGTAAAACTTGCAGAACTCAAAAATCAATTATGGGGAAAAATGGTTTCCCACGTGTTACTTGTAAACCTACGAATAGGGATCCAGAACAGTAACAGCTTGTTACTGCATTAAAGTAGTAATATTGTTAACTTGGCAAAGAAGAGAACTTTAAGTTGCTTTATTCTTGCTTCCAATTACTATTGATTTTTTTTCAAAAACTCTTCTGATGTATTGAGATTTTTTAATGTAGACGGTTGAAAAAAGATCAGTGAACCAACAATTATATATTGTAGCCATTTGTAGGTATGTCAGAGATAGAAAGAAGCTCAAATTATAATAATTGACTTCCTACAGCACATTTGGTAATGTCTGGAGATATTTTGGGTTTTTAGAATCAGAAGGGAGAATGCGATTGGTATCTAGTGGGTAGTCTTATAGATACACATCCTACATTATACAGGATGGCCCCTCATAACAAAGAATGATCTGTCCCAAAAATGTCAATAGTAGTATCCAGGTTGAGAAATCCTGCATTAGGGAGTTCTGTTGAGATCAGGAAGCTCTGGACTAGGGTAAAATGAAAATTAAAAAGGATATAGATACCAGAAATGAACCCACGTGGGTGTGTGCCTGATTGGGTAGAGCCCATAAAAGGCTTGTCCTGAAATTTTTCCATCATCATCTTTTTTTGCATTTAAATTTCAGTCCATAATTGGCCATGCTTTCTTTAATTGAATGAATCCTAAGAACACTATTAGAATTAGAAGGAATCTTAGAGGTAATCTAGATCTTGGGCAAGGAAAAGTCAAAATGTCTTCAATGGCCAGACTAGTGACCAAATATGTGATATGGTGAAGTTAAAGAGAGACTCTGTCAACTGAGAGGGCCTAAAATAAACAATATTCTGGCAGCAGTAAACATGCCTGTACTCAGATCTTGATTTCCAGTCCTATTTTCCAATAAAAGGAACAAGGCCTCTTGGAGAAATGCCTGATTCTAGGACTGGGGCAGAACATATGAAATAAATATCAGTCTGGAGCATCTTAAGGTGCTGGAAGTAAAAAAGTCCTTAACAAACAAACCAATCTATATTGATAGGGTATGTCAAAGGAGAACAAGAGCCAACAGAAAGAGCTGCAAATAGCACTACAATAATTTGAGCACTAAAATAAAGAAGTATTGGATTATAACCCATGGATAAAATAAATATCCATGAGTCTATACTGATATAAATAAGTGATTTTATAAATTAATAAATAGGGGAGAAGAGACAACTCTCCCATGCAGAAGATTTTCAAATATAACTCCCCACATCTTATGTGTGAGCTGCACAGAGTTATTTCTTTCTAATGTGTATGGTGTGGAAAGATGAGGGAGAAAGTAACTTTACAGTGGAAAATCCTGACTACATTAGCCAGAAGATCAAGGTCAGCATCAAAAGTCATAAATCGTGTGGATAGCATGTACCCTTGATATGATGTGATGAAACTGTTACTTCCTCTGCATACCCCTCAACTCTAGTCTACTTATGGGAAAAACATCAGATAAATTCCAATACATGAGCATCCTACAAAATACTTTGCCAATACTACTCAAAACTGTCAAGGTCATTAAAAAACAAGGAAAAGTCTGGGAAACTGGCACAGCTCTGAGGAGCTGAAGGAGACCTGATGACTAAATGTAATGGGGTATCATGGATAAGATCCTGGAACAGAAAAAGGATATTAGGTAACAAATGGGGAAATCCAAATAAACTATAAACTTTAGTTAATAATAATGTATCAATACTAGGTTATTACTTGTAACCAATGTACAAAGCTACTTGTATTAGTCTGTTTTCATGCTGCTGATAAAGACTTACCAGAGACTGGGCAATTTACAAAAGAAAGAGGTTTAATTGAATTAAAGTTCCACGTGGCTAAGGAAGCCTCACAATCATGGTGGAAGGCAAGGAGGAGCAAGTCACATCTTACATGGATGGCAGCAGGCAAAGAGACAATGGGGAAGATGCAAAAGCCGAAACCCCTGATAAAACCATCGGATCTTCTGAGACTTATTTACTACCATGAGAACAGTATGGGGGTAACTGCCCCCATAATTTAATTATCTCCCACTTAGTTACTCCTACAACCTGTGGGATTTATGGGAGTACAATTCAAGATGGGGTTTGGATAGGGACACAGAGCCAAACCATATCACCACTATAAGATGATAATCATAGGGGAAACTGTGTGCAGGGGATATATGGGAACTCTGTCCTATTTGATAATTTTTTCTTTAAAACTATTCAAATGTCATCTATTAATTAAAACCAATTAAAGGGAGGGGTAAGACCTAAGAGATCCTAGAAAATGAATGCCCTGACTGTTTAACATTTTGCAGGTTGATTAAAAACAATGGAATTGACTTGCAATGAAAGTCAGTCCATAGATGCCCAATTTGTAATCTCTAATCTAGTCAACCTCCTTTATTTTGCAGATGATAGGACAAGAGCCTCATCATTAGTAAAGGGTTTACAGAAGTTGCACGATGATCAATTGCAAAAATCAGAAACCTGGAAGCCAACTGAACTTCCTGGGCAGCACTCTTTTCTCTAAGTAGCCTCTGCTGTGGGTGTGCTGCTTTGCTAGAAAAGGGTGGCAGTTATTAGTGACCAGTTACTTTTTGATCTTCATGTTTAGATATGTGTGACTAGACTGACACTGAAGCTTATTATACAAAACAAAAATAAGAAAACAGAATTTTACACACAGCAAAGTTCTTAGAAGAGCAATTTTAACAATTGTCAAATATTTTTAAGAAACAAAGGAATAGTACTTCTATAACTTGTCATGAATTTTGCAGCAGCTAAAATTGGTGGAGCAGTAAGCTTATGTTTTTTTGTTTTGTTTTGTTTTGTTTTGTTTTTTACAATGGTGATGAGATTAGGATAAGTGAGAATTCTGGGGATTTAAAAAAATCTGGTGTTGTTTGAATAATACAAGATAAACTATTTAAGTAGGAGTCATAAAATGCAGACTAATTCCTAACTTAGCTGAGCTATCACCTTCATGACTTTGGATATGAGCAGAGCCTAAGAAGTGAGAAAAATGATGCCAATTTAAATATTCTTATCTAGAATACCCTTATGTGGTTGAATACTCATATTATTAATGCACTTTAGATGAATTGATATTCTTATAAATGCACAATGAGTATAGAATATAAACATAAAATATATTCTTTAGTGTTATTCATCTTTTAACATGGGAATATTCTATATTAATCATCAGTTTGAAAATTTACTCTTTTAGTTTGAAAAATTGGTTCTAGTTTTACAGATTTTTTCCAAAGTTAATTATTTATTTCTTTTTAATGGCACAGTTCATGGAAAGAAAATGTGGTATTTTTTTTTTTTAATCATCAAATCAAACACTTGGAATTTCCCAGACCGGTCTAAGTTCCCATTTTCTTTCTCTTGTTTTAAAATGGGTAGTAGTTTTAAGAACACTTGTTACAGATTACCTCACTTAATCCTTAATACAATCCTCAGAGGAGGAACCATTATTTTCCTGCTTTAAATATGTGGACACTGAAGGTGACAGTGAGTGAATTGCTGTCTGACTCCAAGTAAGATCGTGTATTTACCCTCTATGTTCTATTGGCATATACAACAGATGTTTACAAAAATTAAAAGCTGATTACATCGTATCTACTTCAAACCCTGCAACAACTCCCCAGTCCTATTAGGAGCAGGACTCAGGGAAGTCTTCTATGAACTCCCTGGTGCCCATCAACAGGCCCAAGAGGAGCCTGGATGGCCTTGATTTATGGCCTTGCTGTTCTTTTTACTTTATAGAATTGGTCATGCTTTCAATTATGTATTTGATTATTTGTGTAATATCTTTTATCACATAGTCTGTAAATTCTCTCAGGACAAGACCACATAATTCACTGTTGCCTCCCTGCTACCTAGAACACTCTCTGGGACACAGTAGACCATGAAGAATAGTCACTGAATGAATGAATGGGAAAGGGTAATTTATTTACATATGACAATATAGCATTTAAATGGCATAGTTTAGACCCTTACCCTGCCTGTAGTCCATGCAAGATACTGACATAGTAAGTTACCTTGTTACTTTAGTAATAAATGTCCTTGGATAGAGCTCTGGATAGATTGTTCTAAACTGAAGTCTATTCTTCAGTCAATGACATGATAGTGGAGTGTATGTATATCAAAGTTTATTGACTATTAAATTATGGCAATTTGAAATGTGTATTTACTTTCTTAGAAATTCTGTTTGCCTTATTTTGTAAAAAATAGAGTGGAGTTGATGGTAATAAGAGGAATAAAAACTGATCATGTCTGCTAGTTGTGTGCAGGGGATGGGGAGAGGAAATTCAGAAAGAATTAATCTCCTTCCTTGGTAAAGTACATGTAGTGGGTTGAATAGTTGTACAGTATAGTCTCCAAAATTCATGTCTACCTATAACCTCAGAATGTGAACTTATTTAGGAATAGCATCTTTGTTGATGTAACAATTAAGATGAGGTCATATCAGATTGGCCATAATTCCAATGACTGGTGTCCTTATAAGGAGAGGTCAGAACACAGAGACACACACAGGGAAGACGGCCATGTGATGATGGAGGCAGAGATTGAAGTGATGCAGCCATCTAGCCAAGGAACAACAAGGACTGCCAGTGGCCACTGAAGGCTAGGAGAGAGGAAGAGAATAGATTCTTCAGAAGGGATCAGCCCTTCTGACACCTTGACTTTGGAAGTCTAACCTCTAGAAGTGTGAGAGAATAAATTTCTGTTTTATACCATCCAGTTTATGATAGCTTAAACATCAGAAATTTGTTATGGCAGCCCTAATTCCAAGGATTCTCTACTAGGAAGCTAATGTATTATGTTTGATCTCACATAATTTAGAAACATCATTAGCTATAGCCTGAGTAGAAGGCCCCCACATCCCAGCCACAGGACCTGATGCCCACTCCTCTCTTGCTTCACCACACTGCACGCTCTCATTGCATCCCCACCTGAAACGAGAGTTCTCCTTTCCCATCTGCAGAACCAGCCGACGGTGGGCAGTGATAGCCATGGACCTTCTGCACAAGTCCAAGGCTGCAGAATCTGCACGATATGAACAAGGGACCCAGGCGATTGGATTTCACTATTTATCAGAGAATGGTGAAATTTTTCAGGGAAAGGGACAGGATGTAAAGAGGTTTAAGAGAGAGGACTGCAAGGAGTGAGTGGGAGGACAGTCAGGGGACAGAGCGCTCTTCAAAGGTATCCTATTAGGGCCTACACTTGAAGACTTACTAATGTTTTGGCACATGGGTATGATATCATATACCCACCCTCCCCTTAACAGTTTTGGAACGAATCCTTGAAATTAAAACCTCTTATGTGGTTGGCACACGGTTGGGGAAAGGCAGATGAGGGGTATTCTGTACAGGCAGGGGGTTAACCACTCCTGGCAGCTATCCAGTGGGAAATAGCAATTCTTCAGGTTTAAACAATGGTAGATTTGCATTTCTCTGATGGCCAGTGATGGTGAGCATTTTTTCATGTGTTTTTTGGCTGCATAAATGTCTTCTTTTGAGAAGTGTTTGTTCATATCCTTTGCCCACTTTTTGATGGGGTTGTTTGTTTTTTTCTTGTAAATTTGTTTGAGTTTATTGTAGATTCTGGATATTAGCCCTTTGTCAGATGAGCAGGTTGCGAAAATTTTCTCCCATTTTGTAGGTTGCCTGTTCACTCTGATGGTAGTTTCTTTTGCTGTGCAGAAGCTCTTTAGTTTAATTAGATCCCATTTGTCAATTTTGGCTTTTGTTGCCATTGCTTTTGGTGTTTTAGACATGAAGTCCTTGCCCATGCCTGTGTCCTGAATGGTAAAGCCTAGGTTTTCTTCTATGGTTTTTATGGTTTTAGGTCTAACATTTAAGTCTTTAATCCATCTTGAATTGATTTTTGTATAAGGTGTAAGGAAGGGATCCAGTTTCAGCTTTCTACATATGGCTAGCCAGTTTTCCCAGCACCATTTATTAAATAGGGAATCCTTTCCCCATTGCTTGTTTTTCTCAGGTTTGTCAAAGATCAGATAGTTGTAGATATGCGGCATTATTTCTGAGGGCTCTGTTCTGTTCCATTGATCTATATCTCTGTTTTGGTACCAGTACCATGCTGTTTTGGTTACTGTAGACTTGTAGTATAGTTTGAAGTCAGGTAGTGTGATGCCTCCAGCTTTGTGGCACATATACACTATGGAATACTATGCAGCCATAAAAAATGATGAGTTCACGTCCTTTGTAGGGACATGGATGAAATTGGAAATCATCATTCTCAGTAAACTATCGCAAGAACAAAAAACCAAACACTGCATATTCTCACTCGTAGGTGGGAATTGAACAAAGAGAACACATGGACCCAGGAAGGGGAACATCACACTCTGGGGCCTGTTGTGGGGTAGGGGGAGGGGGGAGGGGGGAGGGATAGCATTGGGAGATATACCTAATGCTAGATGATGAGTTAGTGGGTGCAGCGCACCAGCATGGCACATGTATACATATGTAACTAACCTGCACATTGTGCACATGTACCCTAAAACTTAAAGTACAATAATAAAAATAAATAAATAAATTAATTAATTAAAAAAAATAAACAATGGTAGAAAGTGGATCTACCATGATTGATAATAACCCATATGAAGAAAAGGTGTGGTCAAGGCCACAGATTTTCTCTCCAGAGTACATGTCTCAGGTGATGCTCTGAGGCACGGAAAAGGGAGTATCTTCCCCCATGGGTTTTACTTTTGGCAAACACAAGATAAAACAACCTTCCAAAGCATGTGAATGTTACCTAGAGTCAAATAAATCATTCTTACTTTAGAAAGACATAGTTTAGCCAATAAAAGAAATGCAAATCAAAACCACAGTGAGATACCATCTAACACCAGTCAGAATGGCTATTATTAAAAAGTCAAAAAATAACAGATGCTAGTGAGGTTGTGGAGAAAAAGGAAAGCTTATATACCGTTGATGGGAGTGTAAATTAGTTCAGCCGTTGTGGAAGACAGTGTGGTGATTCCTCGAAGACTTCAAGACAGAAATACCATTTGACCAAGCGATCCCATCATTGGGTATACACCCAGAGGAATTTAAATCATTCTATTATAAAGACGCATGCACACATATGTTTGCTGCAGCGCTATTCACAATAGCAAAGTCACGGAATCAACTTAAATGCCCATCAATGATTGTCTGGATAAAGAAAATGTGGTACATCAGCACCATGGAATACTATGCAGCTATATAAAAGAATGAGATCATGTCCTTTGCAGGAACATGGATGGAGCTGGAGGTCATTATCCTTAGCAAATTAACACAGGAACAGAAAACCAAATACCACATGTTCTCACTTGTAAGTGGGAGCTAAATGATGAGAACACATGGACACATAGAGGGAAAAAACACACACTGGAGCCTTTTGGAGTGTGGAGGGTGGGAGGAGTGAGAGGATCAGGAAAAATAACTAATGGGTACTAGGCTTAATACCTGGGGGATGAAACAATAGGTACAATAAAAACTCCATGGCACACATTTACCTATGTAACAAATCCGCTCATGTACTCCTGAACTTAAAATAAAAGTTAAAGTAAAAAATAAAATAAAAAAATTTAACCCTAAGTTAATTCCATGTTTGTATCCACTCTACTAACTAATGACTGTTCCTAGTAATTACTTGTAGCACCTTCATGACTTGGAAATTGGATAAAGTAATTTTTGTCAAAATCTATATTACCTGGCACCTGTCACTTGTGGCCAGGTTGGAGGGAATAGAGTTTTGCAAAGAAAAGAAAAGGTTCCCCTCCAATAAGTTAAGTGAATGTTTTCAACCACTTATTGTTTTCACTGTCCCATGGCTGATGGAAAAGACTGAAGAAATATGTGCCTTACCCAAAGGGAAAGTCATGGCTGTCTTTTACAGTGTCAGAACTTGATAGGATTTTTAATGTTTTCTCTATTACTGGTTGAAGCAGAGCATGAGTGGGTGATGGAATAACTTATAAAATACAGGAATAAATCCATCTAGCCCAAGAAAATCACTGAAGAGCAAGATATAATCGGCGTGAATATTTCCTCCTCTAATAACTGAGTAAGGAGTTTATTGATTGAGAGAAGGCAGAGTAAAACAAATATTTTCAAGAATATTTTCAAAAGATTTCATGTGATGATGATTTTGAGTATTGTATATCTGCTTTGTCTGGATAGCTGACATCTCCCATTTTTCAAAAGCTGTGTATGGGTTGGTTTGTGCTAATCAATTCTCTTTTCACACCCGTCCATTTGTCATGTACAGGTTTATCCATCTTCGGATTTTCCAAGGATTCTCTTTACTCACTCTGGCTCCATAATGCACTGTCCTTAATAAACAAATAATCTGCTACTGACCCACCATGAGTAGCTTTTCCAGTGGCGGTAAAGAAAGATGCTTAAATTAAAATCCATAATTTCCAAGACAGTTATTTAGGGTTAAAGCTGTAGCTTTGCACCAAGCAAAGGGGCATTTTTTATGCAAAAGTCAGATACTGAGCAACGTGTGGTGAGTTCTAGTCAATTGTTCTTTGATTTATTCATCCACTCATTTACCAATTTATCGGTTATGTTCTAGGTCAGTGGTTCTCAAACTTGGCTGAAATTATAATTACTTGTTTGTCTTAAAAGAGGATGAAACAGTGAGGTTTGAGTACCTAGTTCCAGGGATCCTGATTTAATTGTTCTGACTTGAGTCTGGGCATCTGTCACTTTAGAAGCTCTCTTGTGTTTTCAGTATATAGCCAGGTTCAAACATTATTGTTCTGTGTGCTGGATACAGTGGTGAAACATACGGATGGTGGTCTTGCTCACAAGAAATTTATGTTCTGGTGTGAAAATGAAGGGCCATAGACAGATGAGTAAGGTGAATTCATATAACGCTAGGTTCAGTGGAGAAAATAGAAATAGGTGAGAAGGATACAGAGGACCAAAAGGGAGCTACTTTTTAAAAAGAGTGGTTCATAGGGGAGATGAGGAATGAGCAGAAGCTTTAATGTGTTTATTGTGCTCAAGAGAGGAGGAGCAGAGAAGAAACATTATTTCTTTAGAAATAAATCAAAACATATACACTTCATCCATTTTAGTGATAAGAGCTTCATTATTCTTACAAAACTAAGTCTTGGGACTTTCTATGTTAATAAGTCAATTGGGGGTACAAAGATGAATAAGGAACACGAAACTTTCAATCTAGTACATATGTAATTAACAAGTTGGATATAATTTGGAACATGCTAACGTGGTGGTAGTGACGTGAAGGAGCTTTTGATCCATCGGTGGGTTTTAGGGTTGTTTTACCATATTCAAGGACTCCTCACTCAGCCTGTTTTCTATTTAGCATTCCTTTCACCTTAATTTTGGCTCTTGCCTTTTATATTTTAGAAGGGTGGTTTTAAATGGAATTTAGAACTGACGAGTGTTAGGCAATTGTACTGATCTTTGGGTAGAATTGATCAAATGAGTAATTTAGGACAAGAACATTCACTTCTCTTTTACTGTGAACTTTGCTAGGCACTGTGGTGATTCAAAATGAGTTAGATGTAGTTAGTTAGTTCCCTGGGTAGATTTAAGGAAGAGTAAATAAAACAGAAAAGAACGTAATCACAATGCAAAATTAAAAGTGCAATTATAAGGAACACAAAGAGTGAGTGGGCGAGCGGAGGAGGGAGTGAAGAACTTCAACTGATAGTAAACCTGGTATTGACATCCAGGCTACCTCAAGGGGCCGGTGCTGGCTCTATTCATACTTATTCCCCAAAATGGTATGACCAGGATGGTGTGGTTTTCGATGAAATCTGAGTCTCAAGGAGCTAAATTAGGTCATTAGTTAATTAAAAAAAAAATCTTGGGAGCCAGTTAAAGAAATGCTTATCTCTAAATAATAAATATATTCATTCTGATTTTCTTTCTAGATGGTCTTTTCTTTTTGTTGCACTTGACTTTCACTTCAGAAGCAATTCTGGGTGATTTTTAGTTGTTCATTAACATCCCAAGGTAACATTCTGTGTTTAGCTTTTACAGAAACTAGGAAAAGGGCTTATAGAGAAGTAAATACAGATGAAAACAGGAGCTGGATAATAATAGTAATTTCACAGCACCTTTCCCCCAAGGTGTTTAAAACATTTTGCAAAATACAAACAAGGATACTGAGAACTCCCAGGGGAAGGTGGCAAAAATCATAGCCTCTATTTATAGATGAGTCTTCCCAGAGAATCTCTGCGGAAAAGAAAAGTGAGGTGATATGATGATTTTATAGCTACCCTAAAAATATCCTTGACGGAAGAGCCTTCTTATGAGAAACCAAATTTTGTACACAGTGACTGTTGGTAATAGACACATTTATTACTGATTATAACAACAGCAAACCTTCCATATTAATATTGAAGTTTTAATATTAATAGCAATATTAATATTTGCTATTATCAGTGTCATTCAGTACTTGGTTAAATGATAAACTTCCAGATTGAATCTTAATTGTGCATACTTCAAAGTTTAACCCTCTTACTTGGAGTTATTCTGTATTTAATATCTGATTCCACTGTTTTTTGAATTGATTTTACCCTACCAAGCTGACTGTAAGGTCAATGTGAGAAGGGGACTCTCCTAATACACAGATTGGTCTTAAGAATACAGTCCTTTTTTTTTTTTTTTTGAGACGGAGTCTCACTCTGTTGCCCAGGCTGGAGTGCAGTGGTGCAATCCTGGCTCCTTGCAACCTCCGCCTCCTGCGTTCAAGTGATTCTCATACCTCAGCCTCCGAAGTAGCTGGGACTACAAGCGCCCGCCACCATGCCTGGCTAATTTTTTTGTATTTTTAGTAGAGACGGGGTTTTACCATCTTGGCCAGGCTGGTCTCAAACTCCTGACCCACCTTGGCCTCCAAAAGTGCTGGGATTACAGGTGAGGGCCGCTGCGCCCAGCCCAAGAACATAGTACTTTTTGAATAAAGCAAACTCTTTTGGAACAAAATGTTGAACCAGTAGAAAACAAACAAACAAACAAACAAAAACTACATTCTTTTTCCTCTTATGAGACCACTTACAATTACTTATCACACCAATGGTTCTGGTCTATGTCCTTTTTAAGTTTACCTTTTAGACTTTTAGAGATTATTTTCCAGCTAGTTAAATCACTCTCTAAAAAGAATTCCTTTGACATACAAACCCGAGGAGTTCTTATGGTGGCCTGGTGATGGTTTTTAGTACCTGCCGGTTCCCTTCTCACTTCCTGTGATGGCCATTACAATCTTTTGTACTCTAGTTAGTATTCTGTCTCATACTAAATCCCTTCACTCTCAACAGGCAGCCTTAAATTTTTCCATGTAGACAATACTGAGATCCCAGCCTTGTACTCTTTAAACTTCCCTTCTTTCCTCCTTTAGATAACTTTCTTTCGTTCTTCCCACTTATGAATTTAGCATCCCTGATTCAGAAATCTGAGATCTGAAATGGTCCCAATCCAAAACTGTTTTAGCCCTGACATGACGCCACAGTGGAAAATTTTATACCTGAATTCAGGTGATGGGTTGCAGACAAAACTTTCTTCCGTGCACAAGATTATTAAAAATAGTGTATATAATTACCTTCAGGCTATGTGTTTGTGTCGCAGACAAAACTTTCTTCTGTGCACAAAATTATTAAAAATAGTGTATATAATTACCTTCAGGCTATGTGCATAAGGTGTATATGAAAAGTAAAATGAATTTCATCTTTATACTTGGGTCCCAATCCAAAGATATCTCATTATGTACAGTCACATGTCACTTAATGACAGTTATACATTCTGAGAAGTGATTTTTTTTTTGAGTTTACCTTTTAGGCTTTTATAGATTATTTTCTAGCCAGTTAAATCACTCTCTAAAAAGAATTCCTTTGACATACAAACCCAAGGAGATCTTATGGTGGCCTGGTGATGGTTTTTAGTAATTGCCAGCTCCTTTCTCACTTCCTGTGATGGCCATTACAATCTTTGGTACTCTAGTTAGTATTCTTATACTAAATCCCTTCACTCTCAATGGGCAGCCTTAAATTTTCCATGTAGACAATACTGAGACCCCAGCCTTGTACTCTTTAAACTTTCCTTCTTTTTTTTTGAGACAGCGTCTCACTCTGTCGCCCAGGCTGGAGTGCAATTGTTGGGCGATTTTGTAGCTGTGCAAACATCACAGAGTGTACTTACATGAACCTAGATATCTTAGCCTACTACACACCTAGGCTACCTGGTATAGCCTATTGCTCCTAGGCCACAAACCTGTATAGCTTGTTACTGTATTGAATACCGTGGACTATTATAGCCCAATGTTAAGCATTTTTGTGTCTAAACATGACAAAAATAGAAAAGGTACAGTAAAAATATAATATAGTGTTCTGGGACCACTGTTGTATAAACGCATTCTGTTCCTAAACAAAATGTTATATGACACGTGACTGTATATGCAAATATTTGAAAATCTGAGAAAAATCTGAAATCCAAAAGACTTCTGATCCCAAGCATTTCAGATAAGGGATACACAACCAATATGAGATTTTTTTTTTCTTTTTATTGTGTCTTGAATTAATCTTGGATTAACCAATCACCTGCCCCTGAAGCTAACTCCATTATCATTTACCCTCTTCTTAGCAATGATAACATCTTTCCTCTGGACTCCCTTCTAAGATCACAGCTTTCTACATTTTAACTCACCTGCTCAAGTACTTCTAACTCAGCCCACTGTGACCTCCCACGGATTGATGACACTTCCCTGAGTAATCATCAGTACCTCTGGTCTGTCTCCAATTCCATTGTTTTCCTGATCCATCTCGTTAATCATTCCCTTGCAAACAGTCCTCAACCTCCACGCCTCTTTACCTGTACTTTGGCTTCCTCATCTGTAAAATGGGGATAATAGAAGTGCCTATTTCATGGGGTAGGAGGGTGAGGGTTTAATGAATTTATAGAAAATGCTTGAAACAATGTCTGGTACATAGTTAGCCTTGCATAGGTGATTATAATAATGAGGCTGATTATTGCTACTACTTAGGAGCTTCAATTGCCTCTCAATTGCCTATAGTGATAAGACTTGAACTCCTCATCTTGGCATTCATGCTTTTTCTTTCCTACCCTCATCTTCTTTACTCCCACTCCATATACCCCATGCCACTGCATTTTGAGTCTCTCCTTTCTTAAAAGACCGTTTCATATCTCTGTGCCTTTGCGTCTTCTGTTTCTTCTTCTTAGAATGACTTCTAGTACTCCTTTGTCTAGCTCATTTCAGTTGATCCATTAAGACCTGCATTAGTTATCTATTGCTGCATAACAAGTTAGCCCCAAAATTAGTGATGTAAAACAACGGTAAATATTTATCTCATGCAATGGTCCAGGAATTCAAAATTGGCTTGGCTTGGTGGTTCTGGCTGAGGGTGTCTTGTGCAGTTGTAGTTAATTTGAAGGTTTGGTGCTAGCTTTGGGGTTCTGCTTTGAGAAGGTGAAGTTCTGCTTTGAGGATTGCTCTCTCACATGGCTGGCAAGCTGGTTGGCTGTTGTCAGGAGGTCTCAGTTTCTCAATGAGTAGACTGCTTCTTAGGGCTGTTGAGTATTCTTACAACATGGAGGCTGGCTTTTCTTAGAGCAAGGGGAGTGCAAGTAGAAGTAGAAATCTCTTTTATGGCCTACTCTTGGATTCCACACACTGTCATTTCCTCAGTATTCTACTAGTCATCCAGGCAAGCCCTGACTCACTGTGGGATGGGACTCTACAGAGGCTTGAAAGCCAGGAAGCCAGACTGCTGGGGTCCAACAACTTTTCTGAGATCTTCTCTCATTACCCGAGGCAGATTTGTTTACATTTATCTTTTTGGTGCCTCCGTGAAAGCACTTGTAGTGTTCTGGAGTTTATTTGTGTGCTTGCTGTTTACATCTGCCTTCTTCACAAAATTAAGAATAATGGGAAGGCAGAGGCTATGCAGTTTCATGTCTGTTTCCCCTGGCCCTATTTGTAGCCCCAAAGTGGAGATCCAACAGGTGCAGATTTCATTGAATCAAATCATTACATATTTCTGTTCAGGATTGAAAATCTATCTTCTAGGCTGGGTGCAGTGTCTCCTACCTGTAATCTCAGCATTTTGGGAGGCTGAGGTGGGCAAATCACCTGAGGTCAGGAGTTCGAGACCAGCCTGGTCAACATGGCAAAAACCTATCTCTACTAAAAATACAAAGATTAGCTGGGCATGGCACCTGTAATCCCAGCTACTCAGGAGGCTGAGGCAGGAGAATCACCTGAGCCTGGGAAGCAGAGGTTGCAGTGAGCCAAGATTGTGCCATTGTACTCCAGCCTGGGTGACAGAGTGAGACTCCATCTCAAAAAAAAAAAAAATCTGTCTACTAGGATAATAGTTTCCTAAAATGAAAAACGCTGTGTAGTCACTGTTGCTTTTTTTCATCTTGAGACTAAATTATATTATGTACTCACAATTCCTCTTCATTTTTTTTAGAAAGAAAAGCTTCCATTATGTTCAGGTTATTACTTGAGTGAAAACCTATAATTTTCCTTTCCTGTGAAAAAGAGCCAATCTTCTAGTACATGATATTGTCTACCTTCATTTTGTACAGCTCAAGTGAGATTGGTTGGGTGAGGTCTCTCCCACAAAACAACTATTTTGTCCAGTTCACTGCAAAAGCTCAATCTTCCTTTTCTACTTGAGACTTTGTGAAATTACAGTTTCATTTATTTTTAAAAAAGATAAAAAGTAAAGAGTGATGGAAGTTCTGTGGTCAGGTATTTTCTAGACATGTTTTATCAAAGAGTAGAACAAGCAAATAATGTGTTTCTCTTGAGCCTTCAAATGCTAAAACTAATCACCTGAATAAGAATAGGTCTGAGATTTAATTCTAGTGATCAGGATTGGAAGTATACTCTCAAGCTTTTACCTTTCACTCTAGTGAGCTGAAGTGAATTCATTTTCAAACCTGAACACCTGTTTACATAACACAGCCTTAACTTAAAGACGCAATTTACTTTTGCAAAAGAAGAAGCAGGACTACAATTCATCCATTCAGTTACTCAACAAATATTTATCAAATACCTAATATGCACTCAGATGGGTTTGTTAGTTTTCCCAAATTTGAATATTACATAGGTCCACTTTAACTTACATTTCACATTGGCAAAGAGAAAAACAAAATGCACCTTGCAGAATTTTCACTGTGTGCTTCTTTCTGTCTTGATTTTCTTTCTCTCACTGTATTCTAGACTTATTTTTCAGGATTAGTTTCAAAGCTCTCCCTATTAAGACATACCTTGCAGTCCAACATTATGTAGGGGAGATATGATGAGTAGATTCATTCAAGAGTACCCTCTTCCATGCCTTTCTGTACTATAGAAGCCTCTAAGAGAAGTACCTGTGTCATCAGCTTCCCTTGTAGATAGAAGTGGCCATGTGGCAGAGTGTAGATTAATGAATTATAGGGAAAATTACTGCAAAAAGCAGCGATTTGCCTTCTTTTTCCTCTCTTTCTTCCTGCTTGCAATGACAAATAATGCTAGGTAGGACAAAGAGCCTCTTTGTGACTCCGAGGACAATAGTCCCACACTAAAGATGGCAGAGCTGGGAAATAGAAGGACCCTGGTTCTTTGATAATATTATTAAAAAAATACAGCAGCCCAGACCATCTCCTTCTTGATTTTTCTACATTACAAAAATAAATTCTTTAAGCAACTATATATTGAGTTTTCTGTTACTTGTAGCTGAATGAATACATTTAACTGATATACTCTTTAATTACATTCACTCCAGACTTTGTTGAATTTAAAGTGCACTCTCTTTAAGTTTAGGGTGTTGGAAAAAGCCCAGTGGGTTGGATATCCTCCCATACTCCTTCCTGTCCCTCCCCCCTTTCTTCCTTACCTCCTTCCGCTTTAAATTCTACTGTTAGACTACAACTAGAACTTAATGTAATAAATTCCTCTGAATTTTTCTCTTGAATATGTTATGTATTTAAAAAGATGTCTATAATTATGTATGATATTTTCCTAAAGCCTTATATAATCCTCTAAAAGAGTATGCTTGCCATCTGTATGGCTTCATGGTTGATTTTCTGTCATGTGGGAAAGATGAATCTCCAAGACTTAGTTAAAGGTTTCACAGAATAAATATGAATAAATATACAAACATATTTTCAAAATACTTTGTGTTCACACATACTTTGTGTGTATAGCATTGCCTATTGTTTTCTCTGGAGATAATAAGTTGATATTTGTTGACTATTTGTCCAAATAGTAGTGAATCTTGGTGGTGTACAATAAACATTTCAAGGACCAAGGCTCCAGTTTCTAGTTTTATTCTATTATGAACTTGAGAAGTTGTTTAAGCTTGTGATTTTTTTGAGACAAAGTTTCACCCTATCGCCCTGGCTGGAGTGCAATGGTGTGATCTCAGCTCACTGCAACCTCTGCCTCCCGGGTTCAAGCGATTCTCCTGCCTCAGCCTCCCGAGTAGCTGGGATTACAGGCATACACCACCACACCTGGCTAATTTTTTGTATCTTTAATAGAGACAGGGTTTCACCATGTTGGCCAGGCTGGTCTCAAACTCCTGACCTCATGATCCGCTGGCCTCGGCCTCCCAAAGTGCTGGAATTACAGGCGTGAGCCATCGTGCCCAGCCTAATCTTATGATTTCTAAATAGAAATAAAAATATTTGACTTAGTCTCCCTAGTAGGTTGTTGTGAAACTCAAAAAAGGAAATAGATTGGAATAATGTACTATATAAATGCAAAATATACTATTATTAATTGTTACTAAAAATTCCAGAGTATGAATGCCAACATTGCTTCAAATTAGGGTTATTTATTTGCTATGCATAAGCATAGATTTTAATGTTTTCCTATACTTTCCATTTGGAGGGTTAAGTCAGTGAGGACATTAAAGATTGAAGGGAAAACATACATGTTTCCCCCACTCTACTTCCAGCTCCATTTCGGAGGTGAATTTCTTGCTGAAATTAGTGTGCGGGGCAGACAAAGCATGGTGAAAACATTAGCCTATTCCTTTCCAGGCTATGATTAGTCTACTAAGAAAATCTACCTCTTGTGAAGTCTCCAGCTTTCAGGAATTACCACGAGAGAAAAATGTTCTGGGGGAGAGACGGTCTCTCACAAAATGAATGCATTGAACATATTCACCTGTATTAGGAAATAGAGAAGCAAGGATACCAGTTCAAAGGCAATGAAACCAGCCATAATCATATAAGAAGCCAAAACATCAAAAGAGAAAACTTTCTTGCTAATTTTTCACTGCTTCAATGATACATTCTAGCAAGGTATGTGGGGAAGAAAAAACAAGTCTGGAGTTGGCACTCCCCGCAGCTGAAGTTTCTCTAAGTAGACTGTGATGGTTAATTTTATGTGTCAACTTGACTGGGTTAAGGGATACCCTGATAGCTGGTGAAACATTATTTCTGATTGTGCCTATGAGGGTGCTTCTGAAAGATATAAGCATTTAAATTAGTAGACTGAATAAAGAAGAGCTGGCCTCACCAATGTGGGCAGACATCATCCAATCTATTGAGGTCCCAGCCAAACAGAGGCCTTCGACTGCGAGTTACATCAACTCCCCTGGCACTTAGGCCTTCGAACTGGCCTTTCTTGGTTCTCCAGCTTATGGACAGCAGATCATGGGACCTCTCAGCCTCCCTAACTATGTGAGTCAGTTCTCATCATAAATCCCTTATAAATCTATATATCTTATTGATTTTGTTTTTCTGGAGAATGCTGGCTAATACATAGGCTATAAAAAAGAAGTATATTCAAGATAGAGGTCTTACATGTTGACCCCAAAATCATATAGATACAAGTGCTTCCTGGAGGACAGGGAAAGCCAGCATGTGACCTGACTTACAACACTGTTAAGTCTGGAGAAGAATAGAATTTCCTCTTTTACAATGTGTATTCCAAAGCCTCATGACCTCTGCCTGAAAAATCTGCTTTTATGTAGGGTCTCTCTGGCCTATGAATAAATTATTATTCATATCATTTATTCAGATAATTTTACACTGGGTTGCCAGTGGATAAAGTAAGTTTTTTGTTATTAGTCATGCTTATTTTTGTGTTAAGTGTATGTATATGGACTTAGAATGTGGTATACTAAGAAATCTAGCAGGGCTTTACAGGAGAATATATTTAACTGGATCATCCTTTCAGATAGTTCCTATAGTTTATCTTATTTAAAAATAAAATATTATATATTTTTCATAGGTTACATTTTAAAAACATGTCTATTAAAAGATTAAATCACTATATGTCAATTGAATAAGTGATTTTTAATGAAATTAAGCTCCATTCATTTCAAACTCTAATATATTTACATTTAAATTGCATTTCAGAAACAATGAAAAAAACTGTCTGAACAATATATTATGAAAGGACATAATTTTAAAATATCAATATATTTTACTTAATTTCTTTTTTTTTTTTTTTTTTTTTTTAAGACAGAGTCTCGCTCTGTCGCCCAGGCTGGAGTACAGTGGCCCGGTCTCTGCTCACTGCAAGCTCTGCCTCCCGGGTTCACACCATTCTCCTGTCTCAGCCTCTCGAGTAGCTGGGACTACAGGTGCCCGCCACCACACCTGGCTAATTTTTTTTATTTTTAGTAGAGATGGGGTTTCACCGTGTTAGCCAGGATGGTCTCGATCTCCTGACCTCGTGATCCACCCGCCTCGGCCTCCCAAAGTGCTGGGATTAGAGGCGTGAGCCACTGCGTCTGGCCTATTTTACTTAATTTCTTCTTCCAAATTCCATTCTTACAGCTGATCTCTTCCCTGGTTTGGGCCACTGTAAAGATTTGCTTTTTCATGTAGACCTCATACAAGAGTGTATTAGTCTGTTTTCATGCTGCTTCATAATTTATCCATGCTTCATAAATTATCCATGACTGGATAATAATTTATCATGCTTCATAAATTATCCATGACTGGATAATTTATAAAGAAAAAGAGGTTTAATGGACCCACAGTTCCATGTGACTGAGAAAGCCTCACAATCATGGTGAAAGGCACCTCTTCCACGGCAGGCAAGAGAGAATGAGAGCCAAGTGAAATGGGAAACCCCTTATAAAACCATCAGATCTTGTGAGACTTATTCATGAGAACTGTATGGGGGACACCACACCCATGATTCAGTTATCTCTCACTGGCTGTCTCCCACAACATGTGGGAATTATTGGAGCTACAGTTCAAGATGATATTTGGGTGGGGACACAGCCAAACCATATCACAGAGTATGCATGTTCTTGCTCAAAGGAAAGAACCTAAACATTCTTTACTCATAATATGATATTTGGAGCAGCTTCATAGTAGATTTTTGTACTTTAGCATCGGGATGTCTCAGTGTTTGTTAACAACTAATAAATGCTCCGTATAGGTTAACAGGAATGCTTAGACTATAAAAATTGAAGAGAACCAACCTCACTTCAATTATTATTGTTTTTTACATGTAAAGGATTGTGTCTTTAGTAAATATCTTTTCTATAAGTCACTATAAAGTTTACATATTTTCTTATGAGTCCTCAGTTCTCTCAGACAGTGGCTGGTGAATAAACAATACTCCACAGGAAAGAATAAGTTATGATTTTGGGGGGCTGAATCAAACTCTTCCCAGATAACCTACACAAAATAAAATTATAATGACTGAATACATCTAAACAATTTATCATAATTGATAACTGGTTTTTAAGAAATTGACTAGATTCAGTTGGCTTTTAACATAGAATGTTATTTGACTAACAGAATCAATTATTTTTCTTCCCAAAGTGACTTGGGATATTTGGGTATAATTTTTGTGACTGCCATAAAAGCTAGACTTGGAATTAGGGGACTCTATATTAAACTAGAAGAGAAAGTTTTGACCCCAAGAATAGTGATAATATTTGAATCATGCATGCTTCTTTTTAATTTTTAATTATTTATGCATTAATTGAGTATGCAATTCACCGCATATGCCAGTATTTTTTTTTAATTATACTTTAAGTTCTGGGGTACATGTGCAGAACGTGCAGTTTTGTTACATAGGTATACACGTGCCATGGTGGTTTGCTGCACCCATCAACCCGTTATCTACGTTAGGTATTTCTCCTAATGCTATCCCTCCCCTAGCTCCCCAGCCCCCACAGGCCCTGGTGTGTGATGTTCCCCTTCCTGTGTCCATGTGTTCTCATTGTTCAACTCCCACTTATAAGTGAGAACATGTGGGGTTTGGTTTTCTGATCTTGTGACAGTTTGCTGAGAATGATGGTTTCCAGCTTCATCCATGTCTCTGCAAAGGATGTGAACTCATCCTTTTTCATGGCTGCATAGTATTCCATGGTGTATATGTGCCACATTTTCTTAATCCAGACTATCATTGATGAACATTCGGGTTGGTTCCAAGTCTTTGCTATTGTGAATAGTGCTGCAATAAACATATGTGTGCATGTGTCTTTATTGTAGAATAATATATAATCCTTTGGGTATATACCCAGTAATGGAATTGCTGGGGCAAATGGTATTTCTAGTTCTAGATCCTTGAAGAATTGCCACACTGTCTTCCACAATGGTTGAACTAATTTATATTCCCACCAACAGTGTAAAAGTGTTCCCATTTTTCCACAGCCTCTCCAGCATCTGTTGTTTCCTGACTTTTTAATGATCACCAATCTAACTGGCGTGAGATGGTATCTCATTATGGTTTTGATTTGCATTTCTCTAACGACCAGTGGTGATGAGCATTTTTTCATGTGTCTGTTGGCTGCATAAATGTCTTCTTTTGAGAAGCGTCTGTTCGTATCCTTTGCCCATTTTTTGATGGGGTTTTTGCTTTTTTCTTGTAAATTTGTTTAAGTTCTTTGTAGATTCTGGATATATTAGCCCTTTGTCAGATGGATAGATTGCAAAAATTTTCTCCCATTCTGTAGGTTTTCTCTTCACTCTGATGATAGTTTCTTTTGCTGTGCGGAAGCTCTTTGGTTTAATTAGATCCCATTTGTCAATTTTGGCTTTTGTTGCCATTGCTTTTGGGGTTTTAGTCATGAAGTCTTTGCCCATGCCTGTGTCCTGAATGATATTGCCCAGGTTTTCTTCTAGGATTTTTATGGTCCTAGGTCTTAGGTTTAAGTCTTTGATCCATCTTGAGTTGATTTTTGTATAAGGTGTAAGGAAGGGGTCCAGTTTCAGTTTTCTGCCTATGGCTAGCCAGTTTTCCCAACACCATTTATTAAATAGGGAATCTTTTCCCCATTGCCTGTGTGTGTCAGGCTTGTCAAAGATCAGATGGTGGTAGATCACACATGCTTCTTTTGTCAACTTCAGATCTCTTGTTATATTCTTGGTGATGATGATGTCAGTTTTACTAATTACGTCAAATCTGAGGTTCCAAAGCAGCTTTAAGAGAGACTGATATCTATGTGTGACTGCTTCTCTACTTCTGCAATGGAACATTTCAAGTTGTTGTTTTAAGAAATTCCTAAAATAGAATTTTACCCTACTGATTTATTTACCTCATTGAAGGTAGAACTCAATGGCTAGTTTTTTTTTCCCGGCATAAACATGCACACACAGTTAGATAACTTTATGACACTTTTTTTTTCACTCAACAAAAAGTTACTGAACTTATGCTAGGCCCTTGGCCCTTGGCAAGATTCTGGGAATATAAATACAAATAAGACCTGGTGCTTGCCCTTAAAGAACTCATTGTTTAGCAGAGGAAACAGACACTTAAATGGTTGACCATAATATGCAATAATAAGTGTTGTAAAGTATGAACAAAGTGCTAGTCATTAAGAGTAACAGCCGTAAAGCCATATGTAGTTTTAGCTATATATAGATATAGCTCTGAGACATGAATACACATTAAATTCTTTCAAAAAAAAATCCCAGGAGGCTGAACAATGTTATACAATGATGCTTAACATTTTTTTTGGAACACATGCCCTCCACAAGGCACATATTAATTGTCTACACTCAACAGAATTCAAAATAAAATAGTTATAAAAATAGAACAATGAGAAAAAGAACAGAGAAGTCTCTGTAATTTTGCAATAGGTGGAGGTAAGATGAGGGTAACTAAAGAGACAGTGTTTTAGGTAGCCATATGGGTAGAAACCTAGACAAAGGCAAGTGAAAGATAGAGACTATTGATCTTGGCAGGGAAGGTACAGTCATCGTGATGTCTGATGGTCTTGCCAAAAGCTACAATTTCATGGCTCAGTAGGATTAGTTGGGCAGGAGAGTTTGAAGATACATATATAAAGCTTTAGAAGAGAGGGAGTTATATATTTTTGAAGATAGTAGATAAGTAACATTAGGACATCTGAGCAGATTGTAACATTTTCTGTGGACTATTGAATTTTTCACTGTCTACATTTAGTGGATTTTTAGAGGACGGGGCAAAATATGTTATCACGTCTAATCCATAAATAAGATATGGACAATCCTTTGCAGAATATCAACCGTTGCTTCACATTGTCGTTGAAGACAACTGCATGAATACTAGTCTTTGTTGCTAGCTGTGATGAATAATAGCTAAGAAAAATACAGAACCCCCAAAACACAGTCTCTGTGTTTCTTGACATCCATGATGAGCAGCATGAGAAAAGGTGGCATGAATGGCTGCTATAAGGGCTTCCTAGTTCTCATGCTATGTCCCACAAACTATGATTTTAAATTAAAGATTAATTTCTTTGGTTTTTGCATACCAGGAAAGTCACATTTTCCTCAGTATACAAATAGCCCTGTCCTAATCCTGTAAGTTTGGGAAAGAAAAGTTAAAGGGGGAGGTGGGAATGTGATAAGACAATTCATCCATTCATTCATTTATTCAACAAACATTCATTTTGGAAGGTTCAATGGCATGTAGGTCTCAATGGAGTCAAACATTTCTGGATGTAAATAACTAGAGAAGGGGGTTGGTAATGATGGGAGATGGTGATTGGAAGAAAAGTGATTGTTGAAGTGAGATTGTGAGTGGAGTGTTGTTATTGGCAATCACAAGACCTAGGGCAGTGCCTTCTAGTATTTTTTTTTCTATTGTGGTGCATATAGAAAGTGAAAATATTTATATAGCATATCTGGCTGGGGGCTTTAGGTGCTCCCATCCTGCTCAGCATCTGTGAGGGGCCAAAGAGCTCAACACCTCATGGACATGAGTTGGAGAGTTTGCTTGGTGCTATGACCATGGGAGTGGATGGCTGGGCCAGAATGATGAACCAGGAACTGAGAGGCCAAGGTGTTGGAAAGCTTACACACATAGAAATCAATCACCAAGGATTAATGACAGAGGTCATGTAGGAGACAGCAACAGGACTCAATCAAAAAATAAGATCTTCAAAGAGGGCTGCAGACAACAGCAACAAGGAAGGATTGCTGTCTGATTGTATTAGTCTGCTGGGGCTGCCTTAACAAATACCACAGGCTAGGTGGCTTAAACAACAGACATTTATTTTCTCACAGTTCTGGAGTCTAGAAGTCCAAGATCTAGGTGTTGGCAGGGTTGGTTCCTTCTGGGACCTTTCTCCTTGACTTGTAGATGGCTGTCTTCTCCCCTTTTCTTCCCAGGATCTTTCCTCTGTGTATGTTTGTGTCCTAATCTCCTCTTCTTATAAGGACATGAGTAATATTGGAGTAAGGCCCACTCTAATCATCTCATTTAACCTTAACCACCTCTTTAAATATCCCATATCCAAATCACATTCTATGGTACTGGGAGTTAGGACTTCAGCATATGAATTTGAGGGTGGGGGACATGATTCAGTTTATAACAGCAATGATATGAGCCTTAAGGTTGGGGAGGGTATAGGGAAGAGGGAGGGAGAATTCTCTGAAAGGGGCAATAAAGAGCAACAAGGCCACCTACTCCACCTCCAGACCTAGGAGGGAAAATAGCCATCGCTAAAGAGGGAAGCAAAGAAAACCATATCCTCGGGGGAACAAAAAGGTGAAGGGAAGATTAGGAGAAGAGGGTGACATTCTAGGGGATTTTATGCCTGGGAATATGGTGACACATCTCACACTTTTCTGACTCATCCATGTTGCATGTAGACACAAAATACACCTAGGAAATGGAATGTCTTATATGTGCTTGTGAAAAGTCTTCTTCTGCTCCTCCACCCAGGCTCATTCAGGGAGTCTCTTCCTTCCCAGGGCCCCTGAGAGTTACACTTTGCACCATCTCAATGGTGCAGTTCTCTATAAATATGCTGATATCTGCACTTTCTGAAGCTTTCAAGGTGTAAAAATAGTGTTGTTTCCTCCTTTTGTGCACAATGAGCCTGAATCACACTGGGCTTCTTAAAGAAATGGGGGTAGACCCCTCCTCTGCTTGGAAATGTGCTTTGTCCCCTGGACCTTAGTCTCAGGGGCCCCTTGTGAAAACAGTGCCTTCCTCCATCTTTGGCCTGTTGCAGCTCCATTCATTTCTTGCAGGAGTGGTCTCTGCACCCAGGCTGGATAACAGACACGGTATAGTCCTCCTCAGTGGTTCTCTTTTTCTCCAGGTCATTATCTCTGTCTCTTAGGTGAACATGAAGCCTTTAGGGCAAATTAAATCATAAAGACTGAGATATCTTGGGCCTACAACCAGTTCATCAAGCATATATAGTGCTTGATCCCTAACAGCAGATCCAGCTTGCTCCTCTGCTTGGTCTCTGTTCCCCTGCTACCCTCTTTCCACCACTCAGGTCTCAGTCAAACACTACCCCTTCTCCAAAAGACCTTTCCTGACCACTTTGCTGAAAGAAGTACCCCACTTCCCCTCCACAGTCATTCTCTATCACAGGAACCCACTTTATTATCTCCCTGTGACAGTCGTTCTCTGGAATTATTTTGCATTTTTCTTGCTCACGTTCCATGACCCTCGCCCCATTAGGATAGCTCTTGTGTCTGGTTCATCAGTGCCTAGAACAGTGCTTATCACATGTTATTTGTTCAACAAATATTTATCAGATGAATAAATTGATGGTTCATTCATCGGAAAGCAGTGAGCAGCACTGGCATGGCCTTTGGTTTTATCATCCAATTTTTTAGTGAAAAAATGGTTTTTAATCTGATCTATTTTGAGCCCATTTTAGTTTCATTGAAAGCCAATTTGCATTTGAACACTTGATCTTGCTAGAGTGAAGCATACTCTAAGATTGACCTGATTTACTCATAATACACAAAAATCAGTAAGTCCTGAGACTTTGTATTATTTCTGTTTCATCCGTGGCATTCATTCTGCTTTCTAACTAACTTATCATAAGTATCTTTTGGTTGTCTGCCAGTCAGTAGGCCAGGGGATCTGGAAATATTCTTCGGGTTGCCATTCTTGATGTTCCAGCACCCAGAGGCAAATGGACACTGATGTGCTTGACAAGAGCCTCCTTTTGTAACCCTATCAGTAATTGCCCTTCCTATGTGACCCAACGGGGGTTTAGGTAGGATGTGGGCTGCAGCGCTAACTCTGATATCTCCTTGGTGGGTTGGGGAGCCTACCATTGCCACTTCATTCTAATTCATGCCCCTGGTTTTTCCATACAAGCCTAACTCAGAGATACTGCAAATTCATTTCCAGCCCACCACAATAAAGCGGGTGTTGCAATGAAGCAAGTCGTGGAAATTTTTTGGTCTCCCAATGCAAATAAAAGTTGTGTTTACACTATGCTATTGTCTATTAAGTGTGCAATAGCATTATGTCTAAAAAATATGCATACTCAGCTGGGCATGGTGGCTCATGCCTGTAATCCCAGCACTTTGGGAGGCCAAGGTGGGTGGATCACCTAAGGTCAGGAGTTTGAGACTAGCCTCGCCAACATGGCGAAACCCCATCTCTACTAAAAATGCAAAAAAAAATTAGCTGAGCATGGTGGTGTGCACCTGTAATTTACCCCAGGTACTTGGAAGGCTGAAGCAGGAGAATCACTTGAACCTGGGAGTAAAGGTTGCAGTAAGCCAAGATTGTACTACTGCACTCCAGCCTGGGTGACAGAGTGAGACTCTGTCTCAAAAAAAAAAAAAAAAAAAAAGCATACCTCAATTAAAAAATACTTTATTGGTAAACAGTGCTAACAATTATCTGGGCCTTCAGTGAGTTGGAATTTTTTTTTGCTCAAAGAGGGTCGAATCTTGCTGCTGAGAGCTTTCAACTGGATTAGGCTTTGATTTATGGGACTGTTGTGGTGGTTTGAGCTTCTATCCATACCACTCAGACTTTCTACATATCAATAATATGCTACTTCACTTTTTTTTAATCATTCATGTGTTCACCAGAGTAGCACTTTTAATTTCCTTCAAGAGCTTTTCCTTTGCATTCACAACTTGGCTGTTTGATGCAAGAGGCCAAGCTTTTAGCCTATCTCTGTTTTCCACATGACTTTCTCACTAAGCTTAATCATGTCTAACTTTTGATTTTAAGTGAGAGACATGTGACTCTTTCTTTCACTTGAACATATAGAGGCCATTGTAGGGTTATTAACTGGCCTAATTTCAGTATTGCTATGTGTCAGAGAAGAGGGAGGCCTGAGGAGAGGATGAGAGATTGAGGAATGACTGGTTGGTGAAGGAGTCAGAACACACACAACATTTACCAGTTAAGTTCACTGTTTTACTGGGTGTCATTTGTGGTGCCCCCCAAACAATTACAATAATAACTCAAAGATCACTGAGCATAGATCACCATAAAGGAGAGAATAATAATGAAAGAGTTTGAAATATTGTGAGAATTCCAAAATGTGACACAGAGACACACAGTGAGAAAAATGGTGCTGATAGACTTGCTCAATGCAGGGTTGCCACAAACCTTCAATTTGTAAAAAATGCAGAGGCTATGACATGCAATAAAGCAAAATGCAACAAAACAAGGTATACCTGTATTTGCTTTTGGCCTTCTTTGCCTTGCCTCCAATTGAAAATTTGGATAATGACCTTGTCTTTCATGACTAGTTGACAGCAGGTATTGTGGACAACTCCCAGTGACTCAGTCCATCCTGATTAATTTAGACTTTGTTAACAATGGAACTGTGTAGGACTGGACTTGAGTTTATTCTCCATACTTTGGATTTGATGTTTTTTTTCATCCTCAGGGAGCCAGTTATCCTTCTGTGAGTATCTCTCAACTTCACTTACTTTGGTGCGATCTAGGCCCTTCATCCAGGCTTCATCTCTTCAAAAGAGTTCCCAGCATGTTTTCCTGCTTATGAGTTATTCCAGTCACAAATTCATCCAGCCGTCTCCTATAGAAACAGGTGTTCATAAAAATCAAATGCAGAGAGATGTCAAAGATAGAATACATTAAAAGAATATAAACTTACAGCTTATTTTCAGAAGATTTACCTTAATGGGATGTTAAGCTTTGTTTAGGTATTTAAATAACTGGAGTAAAATTCAATGTTATGCAGACATTTATCATAAGAATATCAATAATCAAATTAAGTCCCTGAATAATAAGAGCTACATGCTCTTATTAAGTTAAATTATGGTCACTCATTCAATCTGTTTCCCCTCACCAACATGAAAATGGGCTTTTCCTGTTTCATAGAAAACTGAACAATTTATTTCAGTCATTGATGGAGTAGGTCAGTGTTTATCTTCATGAGTTGATATTAAATATTCTCTAACTATAAAAATTATTAGTGCTACTGTAGCAAAGAAGCATTCCAAGATAAAGAGAGGGAAAATCCCATAGCCAAATTGGAGTTAAAGTAGTAGGATACAGATAGTATCATGTGCCCAAAGTCAAGATATTCATTCATTCTGTGGATGCATCATATGAAAAAAGTCCAGGAAGGTAGTCCTGAAAGTTAGGGTCTTAGCCAAGGGGCAACCATGTTTCTTTTGTTTCTGACATTATATACATATAAGAGCACCTTTGGGTGAATATTTCACTATAATAAGTGTAATAATTATTAATTCTCAAGACTGATTACAATGCAAGTATCATATTGAATCATTGTATGAATATAAAATATTTAAACCAAATAAAATATATTAGTCATACATTTAAAAATGTTAATCAAATGTATTTGCCTAGATTCTTTCAAATTGGAAAATTTTTATAATTAATAAACCACTTTAAGAATTGTAAAATACTGAAGCAGATGCTCATCACTCACTGTGGGTCCTGTCTGTGGAATGAAATGCAGTTCTTTCTGCTTTATTCCTGTTGGTGGTTTGTTTAGCTTTCTTCAAGAGGGAGACATAAAAAATAAGTGAACCACTGACATATTGGAGTTACGACAGTTGCCTGTTTTGACCTTGACTTCCACTATAATATTAGGTAATTAGACTAAGAGGAGTCTTTTAAAATAACATACATCAAGCAACATGTGACTTGATATTGACAGGAAATGTTATCTCTTGTACCTATGAATAGGAAGTTATTTATAAGGAATAGGGTAAAAGGAGTCTTCATGTCCCCAAACATCCTTCTGCAGTAGCCAACCATGGGATCTGAGATGCCGCTGTTGTAGATGCTTTCCCTGGGTGCTGATTTCACAGGTCTTGGTAACACCATGAAATGAAATAGCACCAAGGTTTAACTTGGAGGCACAGGTATTTCCAAATACCGGGAACTCAGAAATCTCATCTTATACTTTCTGTTATTCCTTATAACACCTAACAACATGGTAGACTTGCAGTATATGCAATATTGAAAAAAATGTAACAATGAAACTCTTTACAGTCTTTGCAATTATCAAGACACTAAGAAGTTGACTATGTTATAAAAGAGAAAACCTTTTGACAAATTGTAAGAAAAAATAAAAGGGGTGTCTGCATTAGGTAAAATTCATTCACTTATCCATTTATCAGGCATTCGTTGAGCACATAACCGGTCCTCAAATAGCAAATATACAGTTGCACTACAAGGAGGATAGGTACTACCTTAGCAGTAGGCTTGTGCAAGGCTGACATTCAGGTGGTACTCACAGGAAAGCCTGTACTAAATGTTAAAATTAAAGTACCTCTTTACTGGTTGATAGTCACTGTTCCACATCCTCTAAATGACTCTTTGTTGCCCTGGCTTCTCTGAACCCTTCCTGATATGGTTTGACTGTGTCCCCACCCAATCTCATCTTGAATTGTAGTTCCCATAATCCCCACGTGTCATGGGAGGGACCAGGCGGAGATAATTAAATCATAGGGGCAGTTTTCCCCGTCTTATTCTTGTGATAGTAAGTGAGTTCTCACAAAATCTGACGGGTTTATAAGTGACTTTTCTTCCTTTTGCTTGGCACTTCTCCTTGCTGCTGTCATGTGAAGAAGAATGTGTTTGCTTCCCCTTCTGCCAGATTGTAAGTATCCTGAGGTCTCCCCAGTCCTGTGAAACTGTGAGTCAATTAAACCTCTTTCCTTTATAAATTACCCAGTCTCCAGTATGTATTTATTAGCATGAGAATGGACTAATACAGTAGATTGGTACTGCAGAGAGTGGAGTGCTGCTGTAAAGATACCCAAAAATGTGGAAGTGAGTTTGAAACTGGGTATCAAGCAGGGGTTGGAACCATTTGGAGGGCTTGGAAGAAGACAGGAAAATGTGGGAAAGTTTGGAACTTTCTAGAGATTTAGAGGGCTCAGAAGACAGGAAGATTTGGGAAAGTTTAGAACTTCCTAGAGACTTGTTGAATAGCTTCGACCAAAATGCTGATAGTGATATGAACAATAAAGTCCAGGCTGAAGTTGTCTCAGATGGAGATGAGGAAATAGTTTGAAACTAGAGCAAAGGCGACTCTTATTATGCTTTAGCAAAGGGACTGGTGGCATTTTGCCCCTGACCTAGAGATCTGTGGAACTTTGAACTTGAGAGAGATAATTTAAGGTATCTGGTGGAAGATATTTATAAGCAGTAAAGCATTCAAGAGGTGATAGAACATAAAAGTTTGGAAAATTTGCAGCCTAATGATGCAGTAGAAAAGAAAAACCCATTTTCTGGGGATAAATTCAAGCTGACTGCAGAAATTTGCATAAGTTACAAGAAGCCAAATGCTAACCACCAAGGCAATAAGGAAAATGTCTCCAGGGCATGTCAGAGACCTTTGGGGAAGCCCCTGCATCACAGGCTGGAGGCCTAGGAGGGAAAAATGGTTTCCTGGGCTGGGCCCATGACCCCCAAGTTCTGTGCAGCCTTGGGACATGGTGCCTGGCATCACAGCTGCTTCAGTTCCAGCCCTGGCTAAAAGGTGCCAATGTACAGCTCAGGCCATGGTTTCAGAGGATGCAAGCCCCAAGGCTTGATGACTTACATGTGGTATTGAGCCTGTGGGTGCACAGAAGTCAAGAACTGAGGTTTGGGAACCTCTGCCTAGATTTCAGAGGATGTACAGAAATGCCCAGATGTCCAGGCAGAAGTCTGCTACAGGGGCAAATCCCTCATGGAGAATCTGCCAGGGCACTGCAGAAGGGAAATGTGGGGTAGGAACCTCCACACAGAGTCCCCACTGGGCCACTTCCTAGTGGAGATATGAGAAGACGTCATTGTCCTCCAGACCTCAGAATGGCAGATCCACAGACCGCTTGCACCATGCATGTGGAAAAGCTGCAGACACTCAAAGCCAGCCCATGAAAGCAGCCAGGATGGGGGTTGTACCTTGCAAAGCCACAGGAGTGGCACTGCCCAAGGCCATGGGAGCCCACCTCTTGCATCTGCATGACTTGGATGTGAGACATGGATTCAAACAAGATCATTTTGAAACTTTAAGATTTATTGACTGCCCTATTGGATTTTGGACTTGCAAGGGGCCTGTAGCCCCTTTGTTTTGGCCATTTTCTCCATTTTGAACAGGTATATTTACCCAATGCCTGTACCTAGGAAGTAATTAACTTGTTTTTGATTTTACAGGCTCTTAGGAGGAAGGGACTTGCCTTGTCTCAGATGAGACTTTTGACTTGGACTTTTGGGTTAATGCTTCAATGAGTTAAGACTTTAGGGGACTGTTGAGAAGGCATGGTTGTGTTTTGAAATGTGAGGACATGAGATTTATGAGGGGCCAGGGGTGGAATGATATGATTTGGGTATGTCCCCACACAAATCTCATTTTGAATTGTAGTTTCCATAATCCCCACATGTTGTAGGAGGGACCAGGTAGAAATAATTAAATTATGGGGGTGGCTTCCTTCATCCTGTTCTCATGACAGTGAGTTCTCACGAGATCTGATGGTGTTATAAGGAGCTTTACCTCCTTTCCTTGGCACTTCTCCTTGCTGTCACCATGTGAAGAAGGATGTGTTTGCTTCCCCTTCTGCCATGATTGTAAGTTTTCTGAGGCCTCCCCAGCTCTCTGGAACTGTGAGTCAAGTAAACCTCTTTCCTTTGTAAATTACGTAGTCTCAGGTATGTCTTTATTAGCAGCATGAGAATGGACTAATACACTTCCTTAGGATTCCCTGTGCTTCATTTTGGTCCAGTAATTAAGATTTGACATCTAGTACACTACTCCAACCCCAGCACAATTCTGATTGGTTGGTACCAACCTGTTCTTAATTATTTTAAATATTATTACCCCTTTGTACCTGCTGGAAGAGCAGTGGTTCTCAAGCTTCTGTTACTCTTTAGGATCAAAACAGCTGACTGAGTTCACCCAAGAACTCTCAAATTATAACCCTCCAGGTGGGGTCTGCAGGCTGGTTAAGAATAGTTGTGTTAGAGGAACATAGCTGAAGGGTATGGCCTGTTACTTGGAAAGGGACTCACCAGTTACATAATGAGACCTTTGTCTGGGGAAGGAGCAACTCTAAGCCAGTGGGTCTCAATCTTGGCTGCCCATTGGAATGAATAATAAGGAAAAAAACCCCAATACCAGGATGTTATTCCAGAGATTCCAGTTTAATTGGACTGGAGTGTGGCCTGGGCACTGAGTTGTTCTTTTTTTTTTTTTTTTTTTTTTAAACACTTCCCATCCATTTTTATGTGCAGCCAAAGTCGAGACCCACTGCTTTAAGCAGAGAATAAAGCAAGTTAGAACATCTAGCCTTGAAAGTATGTATAAATGGACACAGGAAGGGGAACATCACACTCTGGGGACTGTTGTGGGGTTGGGGGAGGGATAGCATTGGGAGATATACCTAATGCTAGATGACGAGTTAGTGGGTGCAGCGCACCAGCATGGCACATGTATACATATGTAATTAACCTGCACATTGTGCACATGTACCCTAAAACTTAAAGTATAATAATAAAAAATAAAATAAAATAAAATATAAACTTTAAAAAAAAAGAAAGTATGTATAAGTGGCTTGGAAATAGAAGAAAAAGGATATATTGATAACATGTGTGTGTGTGAGACAGAGAGCAAGAGACAGGGAAAGAGCATGTAAATTAAATTAACTAAATAAAGGGATATAGTATAAAAGGACTCAAAGACAGATTTTCTTAAGGTTTTCCTAGATCCTAGTAATTGCATTATTATCATTTGGTTTTCTTTAGTGTGTCTCCCAGTGATTGACAGATTGGGCAATTCTGATCATAAGGATTCTGGTCTCTAAGTGTCCAGAATGTATAGAGCATTATAAAAACAGCTTAGCTTACTAATTGCAGCTTCCTTCCCTCTTTGCAGCTTCTTTTCCTAACTCTGCACTGCAGGCCCAGTATATTTTGTAACCCCCCCAAATCTCATTTGCGGCCAGAATTGTGACATCAACTCTTTTTTTTCTGGTGTGGTTTGGAATTAAATCATGGTGAGAACTAATTTCAGAACCCTCGGGCGAGTCATGGCTGTTTGAGCAACTCTTAACTTTGCAGCTTTCATAAGTGCTCATTGTCTAAATGTATGCCCATTTCTTGGAACTGAGCTTCTATTTTGAATCTAACTTTGTATTGTCAATACCCTCTAGGCAAATACCACCAGGAACACACCTATAATCAAACAAATTGAGTTTATGATTTGTTGCAGAAGGAGAACATATACTGTAGGAAACTATGGGGTGTCTAAGAGAGCGGGTGTTAGAAAGACCTTCTTACAGGATTTGGGCTTTGGTTGAGTGATGTCAGAGAGGGTCCACAAAGCAGGTGTTCACTCTCGATTGAACGCTGTCAGAAAGTGGGGGCAATTCTATAATTGGGTATCTTAATATATCTTATTTATAGAGATGGTAGATTAATTATAAAGTAGCAGTCACACATTTTGGCTAAGAGACAAAATATCTGGCATTTTGTGGGTAGCATAGTGACCTTGGTTTTATCTTTCCTTGGATAAAATTATGAAGTGGACTTGTTTTACCTCACTTTATCATGGTCTCAGAGTAAACTCGTTTGACGTTGGCATTCTGTGAGATTGTTTAACAGGAGAATAACTTGACATAACTGTGTGTGCTACACCAGCTTCTGGGGGCCAGGGCTGCCTTTCCCCTACTACTTCTCAGTAGTGTGCATGTTTTTGTTTTTTTTGACAAGGTTTCACTGTCATCCAGGCTGGAGTGCAGTGGTGCGATCACAGTTCACTGCAGCCTTGACTTCTTGGGTTCAGGTGATTCTGCCACCTCAGCTTCCTGAGTAGCTGGGATTACAGGCATGCACCACCATACCCAGCTAATTTTTTTGTAGTTTTCGTAGAGATGGGGTTTTGCCATGTTGCCCAGGGCTAGTTTCAAACCCCTGGGCTCAAGTGATCTGCCCACTTTGGCTTCCCAAAATGTTGGGATTACATGCCTGAACCACTGTCCCCAGCCCTGCATGGTTATACTGCCCAAAATCCCAGTTTCTTTCTAAAACTAGTGTTACAGCTCTTTTACTCCCATGGTTAGACAAGTTCTGAGTTCTTGTCCCACAACTGAGAAGAATGAGGTACACAGACATCAGAAAGTGAGTAAGGCAGAATAGAATTTATTGAGCAACAGAAACACTCTTGACAGTGAGAGGGGACCCAAAGGTGTGTTGCTAGCCATGAGGCTAAGTCTAGGGATTTTTATGGGCTTGAAATGGGGAAGTGCATGCTGGTTGGTCTATGAGTATGTTTGAAAAAGCACCATTCAGAAATAGGCACAATAGTGTAGATGACCTTTTGGGGAAGGGTATGTCTACATAAAATAGGTGAAGGAAAAGGACCAATTTGGAGAGAGCATGCCAAATGGAAATGGGAGCTCTCGATCTGGTTCGTGGATTTACACTTTGGTTTTCAGGCTTTAGATTGTCCTTGGCTTGAAGGTTGAGTTTCACTGGGGACCCATCCCTTTTTGCCTAGGAATTTACCTGCCATGGTGATGGTGGTTCTGTAGCCACTGCAGAGGATGGGATAAAGTTCTGAAGGCCTAAAAGCTGACCTCACACTGCAGCCTGCCACTTTGGTTCTATCTTGTCAAGCTTCCTTCCCAATAACTGAATGGGTCCCACTGTTACCAACTCTTGCTTCCGTTGAACTTGTTCTGACAACCTTACTGAACAAGCCAATGATTCTGCTGGCCCAGCTTGTTCAACTCTGGTAGTTGCATGAAGCTAGTTATGGTGACCAGAATTTCTCTTCTTTTCAGCACATCACCACCTTCTGCTAGCTATGCAATGCTCTCCATCCTACAGGACTCACATCCAGGTGAGTTTGTGTGAGAAGAAACACTTATTTTATTTTATTTTTTGGGACAGAGTTTCACTCTTGTCACCCAGGCTATAGTGCAATGGTGCAATTTCAGCTCACTGCAACCTCTGCCTCCCAGGTTCAAGTGATTCTCCTGCCTCAGCCTCCTGAGTAGCTGGGATTACAGGTGTGCACCACCATACCTGGCTAGTTTTTGTATTTTAGTAGAGACGAGGTTTGACCATGTTGGCCAGGTTGGTCTCGAACTCCTGACTTCAGATGATGTGCCCAACTTGGCCTCCCGAAGTGCTGGGATTACAGGCATGAGCCACTGTGCCTGGCCTGAAACACTTACACTGAGTCAAATTTGTCTCTTTAAACCTCTCTTCTAACTTTGTTCTGTTTCTGCATGACAGCCCTTTAGAATTTTTATTGATTACATGTTTGCTGAATGAATACATCGTCTCCAAAATACCAGCATTTAGTAATATGTAGCCTTTTCTTTTGTTTAGGAAGCTTGGAATATTAAAAACAAATGTGAAATATATGAAAAAGGAATAAGGAGGAGGCATGGAGTAGATGTGAAAGAAAGAAGGCAATTTTAGAAAATGGAGTTCATGGTAGACAAACTTTCTTTCTTTTTTTTTTATTTGAGACGGAGTCTCGCTCTGTCACTCAGACTGGAGTGCAGTGGCACCATCTCGGCTCACTGCAACCTCCGCCTCCCAGGTTCATGCCATTTTCCTGCCTCAGCCTCCCAAGTAGCTGGGACTACAGGCACCCGCCACCATGCCTGGCTAATTTTTTATATTTTCAGTAGAGACAGGGTTTCACTGTGTTAGCCAGGATGGTCTCCATCTCCTGACCTCGTGATCCACCTGCCTTGGCCTCCCAAAGTGCTGGGATTAAAGGTGTGAGCCACTGTGCCCGGCCCATGGTAGACACACTTTCAATGAAAAATGAGAAACAAAGGGAGTCATAGGCATTTACAGTTGCCTAATCTTTCTAACTCAACTTCCTGCTTGAAAAAAAATTTCCTGTGACTCTCTGACATAATTACACAGTCACCCAGGAATGCTGGATGGTCACATCATAGGGAATATTAAACAGAAAAACAATAATAAAAAGAATGTGTATAACAGGAAGAAAGAAGGCAATATTAGAAGCATCCCTGCAAAGAACAGATGCAAAGATTTTTCCATTGTTGTGGAAAGGAACTTGAAATGCAAAGACAAGGCCAAATGACTCGCTCAAGGTCACCTGGGACCTCAGGGCAGAATGAAAGAGTAGATTATTGTCATGCTGTATCCACCAGACCATGATGTCTCAGTAGCAATGTACCTGCAGGCTAAAGTCACATGTCACATAGTTAGCACACTGCTCCCTGCCAGACTTGAAGATAGCAGAATCACTGTTTTAGGAGAAAGATTTAAAGCTGTCATTAATGAATCCAAGTAGCTGTTTTTGTAAGTACATAAATATCTCTAGTATGGAGAGGCAGAATTAAGTCTTGATAGCCACCTCACAAATGTTGACTATAAATGTTTGGTTAGTGACAAGTCTAGCTAAAAAGGAAATAGAATATTTATGAACTGTCATGAAAAGGAATCTCTGCAAGGCTCACATTTAGACAACAGTGCAATGAAGGCAATCTTATGAGTTATTCAAGAGAATCGTCTTGGGAACTGGCTCTATGGTAATTCTGAGAATTACCTATATAAATAAAGTCAAATTGGGAAGGTGGGCCGTTCTGTTTTTACATAGAAAAAATCATTTGAGTTTCTAGGACACTGTCTAAGATGTACTAAAATGGAGATTATCACTTGCTTATTTTCTTGAAAAACCATTAACATAGTACAATACAACAGAAGAGTAGTGGCCAATAGATTCCAAACCAGAAGGAATGTTTATGGAAGCACACACACACACAAAAAGACTCCACAACTTACTTACATTACTTTTATAATATTCCTAATTATTATAGTGGTTTGAAAGAGGTCAAATGTTACATCTAAATATAAAAGATTAGACTTATAAATGACAAGATTGTACTGACCCCAATATTCTATAGGGTTGAAAACAAAATACAATTGACCTTCATGATACACCTGATATAATGCAGGTCTTTGTTGTACATCAGATTACATTCTGCCTGTCTTGAAATAATAATGGCATTCTTTATGAAGCCATTTGATTAACTAGAATCATGAGCTTTGCAGGAGGAAATGAATAGTGGCAAGAATGACTTGCTTTCTGAGTAAACATAGCCTAGGGAAATGTTTTCCTGGGAGAGCACTCTCCATTCTCCACCTCCCCTGGTGTGTCCTCTGACTAAGTAGTTCTTCCCGTACTGCATCGCTGCCCAGAATATTCTGAAGACAGCCTCCCACCCCACCCCACCTCATCATGCTCTTCCAGGACAGCTACAGGAAGAAAAGGAGATAACAGAATCTAATGATGTCCCATAAGATCTCCAGTCAAGGTGTGAACATGAAGCTCCAGTGAGTAATGTGGTGTCTCACATCTATAAATGCCTTATGTGTGACTGATGCATTCTTGAGACATGTCCAGGACAAGTAGAATTAAGTCTTGATGGCTGCCTCTGATGATCACACCCTCATCAGCAGTCTGATCTATGCTTTGTTTGCAAACCCGGACCTTGTTGTGGCCTGCAACTCCCCACAGGCTCTCTCCCCAGCTGTCAAGCCTCTTCTAAAACACACTTCCCCTTTAGAGAGGGCCGTCTTCACTCATGTTAGAACCTGACACTCCGAGAGACTTTCCTCTCACCAGCTGGTTTTGACTGTGGCAGAAATGTTGTTGACATAGCAGATGGTCTTGATATTTCTGAAAACCGGCAACATCTTTGCCATGGCCACCCCCACACTCTTGGCTACTGTTTCTCCTTCAAGTAGTTTGGGTCATTTTTAGCAAACCTGTATGTTCCAATATTTTTTCTTAAATATCAGAACAGGGAACAGTGTAAGACAAAAGTCTCCTAAAATATAGACCAAGGCAGAATATGAGGGCTGTTTTGCAGAAAACCCAAAAGCTGAAATAAATTCTATTTTTAATCAGATTCTTTGATGAATTAGAATGAGCAAAAAGTGAGCAGATTTTAAATATTTGTGGTCTGAAATATCAGGCAGTAAGGTATGGCTAATGGATTGTGCTATAAGAAGTAGAGTCTGATATTCATGATGTTTGAAAGCCTCTTAAAACAATATACCAGTGAGTAATGTTTATCCTTATTGAACACAAGGTGACTTGAGAGAAGGGTAAGTGCAACTGGATTAGAGATTATTACTTAGTAGTAACTCTAGAGCCAAAGCAAATCTAAGACACCGTAACAATGTGATGACCTGGGACCCAATCCAGTCATCCTGAAAAATTAAAAGCAGACTGATTTATTATTTCCTTGCTTGCTCCTTGCAGGCAGGCACTCTGAACACTCTCTTAAACTCACTAGATAATGGTATAAACAGCTCTGCTTCATTTCGGAGATATCTGTACAATTTTAGAAAATGCTTATTCTCCTGGAAAGGACTTTCACACAGATGGGAAGTAGGCATGAGCACTGCAGGCCCTGCCAGGTTCAGTCAGCTTCTTGAGTCAACATCACTATCCAGGCCTGTAGCACTCATGATTGAGAGTGTCATTTGGATTGGCTAACAAAGGACAGTTGAGAACTCTGCCTCCAAAATGTCACAGTTAAAACACAGCTTACTAGATACAAATCCTGCCTTCTCATGGTAATATCAATGATCCGTACAGCAGTGAAATGTGGAGCTAATTGATTCCTTTGAATGCCAAAAGCAGGGTCCTAAGGATAAGAACGCAGTGGAGTCATATGGATGGATGGGGTATATAAAAAGGATGGGAGGAATTTGTGGAAGTGTAAACGTGGCATGTCCCATGTAAGGCAAGCTGAATGAGGAAAACCAATTTGGGTGTCAGGTGTATGGTGGGGTGGGATGGCAAGAAGACTCACGCATGGCACAAGACAGCAGAGAGGGTAATGGGTAATGCAGGGATTGTCATGAGAAGCTAGGGGTGGAGAAGCACTGGGTATATGATGTGTTATAATTTCTAGTTCCTTCCTGTTTTGTTGATTACATTAGTAGTGTCTCCAAAGGAACACAATGCTTGAAATAAAAGATTCTTTTCATAATGGAAAATGACTTACTTATAAAAAATATTCTGTAAACCCTACCATCAATCTGGCTTATCTCCAAGCACAGAAAAGCAAGATAATTAAGAGAACTGAGACAATGTGAAAAACAGTTAACGACTAGATGAAACGGACACCAAACCAATCAGAAGAGACGTAGAGCTAGATTCTTTGCTAGATCATTGGGAGGTCAGGAGGACCCAGCAGTGGTATGGGAGGGGATTTGGGATAATTCTAAGGGTACCAAAGCATTTCAGTATTTTAATACACAGTCACACCAGCTAAATACAAGCCCTGAAGGTAACCAACATTTCTTATAAGTCATGTCTTATAATAGAAATATTTAATAAAGTTTTTAGAGCCAAGGAAAGAGCCATATCTGAGACCCTTCTCACTTGTTAAAGGCTCCTTACTCATTATCAACCTACATCTGTCAACCAAATGAAACAAAGTATAAAATAAGAATCCTCCTACATCTTTTCTCGTTAATGGAAGACAGTAGCTTCAAGGAAAAAGTAAAGATTCAGCAAAGGGTTTAAATACAGGCCACATTTAACATAGGTCCAGTTGATTTGATCCTTTCAGATCAGCCTCTGAATTCTTGTTGTTCACCAGTAAATACATATTTTGTGTTAGTCCATTTTCATACTACTATAAAGAAATACCTGAGACTGGGTAATTTATAAAGGAAAGAGGTTTGATTGACTCACAGTTCCACATGGCTGGGGAGGTCTCAGGAAACTTACAATCATGGCAGAAGGAAAACGAGAAACAGACATCTTCTGCACAGGGCAGCAAAGTGGAGGTAGTACAAGCAAGGGAAATACCAGACACTTATAAAACCATCAGATCTCGTGAAACTCACTCATTATCTCAAGAACAGCATGGGGGAAACTGCCCTCATGATCCAATTACCTCCACCTGGTCCCGCCCTTGGCACATGGGGATTATGGGATTTACAATTCAAGGTGAGATTTAGGTGGGGACACAGAGCCAAACCATATTATATTCAGAACAGATGTTGAGCCCAGCTGTGGGAGCAGTAATGGCCTGTGAGCCAGATTGTTACTTGGAACTTTAGGACCCTTGACGGGTTTGAGAATAGTGCCAATTCTTCTAGGATGTGTTTGGGTTTCAAAGCATTTTGAAAATATTTGGTAGACATGTGCAAACATACCAAATGTGTAATTGTCCCTGAAAGCAGGCATCTAATTGACTATTTAGTGACAACATAACATGGGCCTCATTTCTTAAGAAACAGTAGGTGGTCAAAATTTTAGGAGAATATACTCCACAGAAACTCATGTAGCGTAGCTCAGTGATATGCCTATGAATCTTGAATATTAATTTTTCTTTCCTCATGAAAAATGCATCTATCCATATACGTATAAATATTTTTTCTTTTTTAAGCAAAATACTTAGTCAACTTGTAAAAGAATAAAGAATTCTATATAAAAGTTTTAAAAATTGCTTTAGAACAACGTCAGTTGGAAAAAAATTCATAATTTTTCATAAATACATTTTCTTTGTATTTAAAGCAAAATATTTAACAAAGTATGCCACATATGAAAAATGTGTATGAAGAGGTCGGGTTAGTCTCAAAGTAATCTGATGGTAAATCATGCCTATCAGAGGTAGATTCCAATATCAGAAAAAACTGTTTTCTAGGCTTTTTATGCTTCTATTTCACAGACATCCCACCTGAGTTCTAAATTTATTTCTCAAAGAAGCCAAGCTCCTGAGAGAGAAATGATACTGTAAGGTAAGAGTTCAGAAGGAAACACACACAGATACACCCTGACAAATCACACTGGCTGTCATCCCACCACCATGTAGTCTACTAGGATTTCAGGTGGGATGAGTAAAAATGTAGAATTAAAGTGATTCTTTCAAGATCATAATAATTAATAATTCCTAAAATAGAATTTTAAAATTCATCTTTTATGGGCCTGTATTTTTGCCTACTGTGGTATTACAGATATCCGCTTATACCCCTCTTGCATTTCACCAAAAACACTTTGGTTTTGTACTGTGGCAGACAATCTAAGGAAATACATTTTATCTCTTCTACCTGTTTTTTCCTTGCTCTATTTCAAGGCAGAATTCACGATTTGAAATTCCTTGCCACATGGATGTTAGTCTGGCAGAAAACATAAGCAATCTTAAATCCAAAGCTTTTTTTGGCTTTATATAAAAATCTCAGCCCTTTAGAAGAAATGGAGTTCCAAAGTTGGTGAGAAGGGGAGTGGTTCTGAATGCAGGGAAAGAGTTGAGTCAGAATGGGAAAGGGAGGAAGGACCTCAAGCCCCGCAGTCTGGCAGTTCCAGGGAGAGTGATCAGGCCTTAGAAAGGAATAGTTCGTGGTTCCCAGCCTTACCCAAATCCCCAACCCTAAGTGAGACACAGAGGCTGTGTCGCTAGACATAAAGAGACCATAATAGATGTATTCAGTAGTAGAGCAAAAAATTCAAGGATCTTAGATGGATCCTTCTGCTGTTTTATTGTTTTCTTTGCCTTCTCAGTGCCTGATCTGAGAGCGCGTGTCTATATGTGTGGGTGTATGCACCTTATGTGTGTGCGTGCATGGTGGTGGGATTTAGAGGATGGGGCCAAGCATGAGTAGGAATTCCAACGGAGTGAGTCACAAAGTTGAACTAAGTTGATTTAAAGAAATAAAGACATAATAGTCTTTCCATATCAAAGTATATGGACTAAATTGATCTCGGCCATAGTTGACCATTAACGATTATACATAAAGAACCAAATTTCCTGGTTTGAATATAAGTGGAAGCCATTGATTTTTCTAGGAAGTTGAATACATTATGCTTATCATGTATACCTTCCAAAAAGTTACCTCATGTCAAATTGTGCACAAATTAGATCTGTTTCCTAACTTGCCGAATGAAGTTGTTTATGGTTTTGAAACCTTTCCCCTTGGAAAGGTGCAGTGGACGTTACTCTGCCAAATCTCAAAATGCACTGATTCACTCCACAGATGTTTACAGCCAGTGTTTACATGTGTTTACCAGTGTTTACGTGTCTTCCATCAACCAAGCACTGACCTTGGCTTTGGAATATGATGCTAAATGGCATACAGTCCAGCTCCCAAGGTACTCAGAAGCCTGGGACAGGGAATCTACTTCACCCTCAAATTTCTTACCCTATGGAGGAATCCTTGTATTTAACAGAGACCAGCCAACAAACAGTGCCCCATACTGGAATGTCAGAATGGGAAGGAGAGAGAAGATCACAAGCGTCTTGTGTTGTGAACCTCAAACCCTGAAATCTGGCAGCACCAGGGAAGAGTCCTCAGAAAGAATGGCTCTGTGGTTCCCAAACTCTCCCAAATCCCTATTCCCTAAGTGTAACCAAGTGAGCCAAGCAAATGGTCATCCCTCTCACTTCACCTGGAGGTAAATTTGTGCCTGAGGCCGATTACCGCTTCCTGTTCCCCATCATGATGTCAAAATGCAAATGGCAGGTATGATGAAGATGAGCATATGATAGAAATAAGACTGTATTTCACAAAAATATAATCAAATCTTTATATTTCAAAATAAGCTTACAGATCTCCACCTAATATGACTTCAAGTAAATTTACATTATGTGGACCTACCATTTCCTAAGTATTTGCTATACTGCTCCATGGCTCTGTCAAATGTCTCTTCAGACTCTTAGATGGGATTATTGCCATCTACAAATAACTTCTGCTTTTTTAAAAAAGTCATTCAACAAACTTTATGAAACCACCAGGAACTGGATCAGGTGGTGGGGATTAAGGATGAAGGCCACGCTCTCTGCTTATCTTAAACTCAATAGCTTTCCTTGATTATATCAACATTTTTTCAACTCCTTTCATTTAAAGAATACATTTTTTTTGAAAAAGCATTTAGTTATGATTCAGAAATATAGCAATATAGTGAGATAAAGCTTATATATGTGTATATATATGTGTATATATATGTATATATATATACATATGTGTATATATATATATACGTGTGTGTGTGTATATATATATATATATATATATATATATATATTTTTTTTTTTTTTTTTTTTTTTTTTTTTTTTTTGAGACAGAGTCTCACTCTGTCTCCCGGGCTGGACTGCAACGGCACGATCTGGGCTCACTGCAAACTCCACCTCCTGGGTTCAAGCGATTCCCCTGCCTCAGCCTCCTGAATAGTTGGGATTAGAAGTGCGTGCCATCACAGCCAGCTAATTTTTGTATTTTTCCTGGAGATGGGGTTTCACCATATTGGCCAGGATGGTCTCAGTCTCTTGACCTCGTGATCCACCTGCCTTGGTCTCCCAAACTGCTGGGATTACAGGCGTGAGCCACTGCACCTGGCCACTTATAGATATTTTTTAGGAGGTACCCTAAGCCAGACTTTTGCCCTGAAGACTTTTCTACTCTGCAGTGTTTATTTTTCTGTTTCAAGATGTCTGCAGCAGAAAGAATAATGCAAAATTTCAACATCAGTGTTATTCTAAAAACAATCATATGAAAAATTCAGGTTCCTTCAATAACGACTACCTTGAAAAATAAAAAATTCAGTCACGCAGTTGGTTTTTTTAGTCTTGAGAATATCAAACTGTGTGTGACTGACTTTCACTAAATTGACTAGTCACTGTTGAATGACATGCCCCTTAGCTAGGACAGCCTGGAAAATTGTTTTCAAAGCTTTTGGGACTCTTTCACTCCAATTTTTAGCACAGATTCAAGAATATCTACTTAGCTACCAGGCATCTTCTAGGGTATAGACATTTCTGTACAAAGGACTGATCACCCTCTTCACTGAGCCCTCTCCAGAGTGGGACTTCAGTTGCTTAGTGTAAGAAAACTAGTCTTTTAAGTCACTTTTCATTTCCTTATAATTCATGGGTTTTCTCACTTCAGTCCCTGTCAGAGGTCAGAATGTTTTCCCTCCATTCTTCAGCATCTTCATTTGCCTACAATTATTGTTCAAAGGTAAGTTGGAAGCTGTCCATAGGAAGAAATGTATGATGTAGTACATGACACAATAGTCATGTACCTTATGTGGTTACTGTAGCTTGCAGAGCATCAGTCTTAGTAGGTGATCAGTAACTGGTTGTGGAATAAATAAAGCAATGATTGAATGACAATATAACTGAAGAATCAATGGGCAATGCATATAGGAGTTACTAAGTGTATTCGTCCATTCTCACATTGCTATACAGATACTACCTGACACTGGGTAATTTTTAAACAAAAGAAGTTTAATTGACTCCCAGTTCCACATGGCTGAGGAGGCTTCAGGAAACTTGCAATTACGGAGGAAGGTGAAGGGAAGCAAGGCACATCTTCACAAGGTGGCAGGAGAGAGAAAGAAGGGAAAGTGCCACACTTTAAAACCATCAGATCTCCTGCGAACTCCTTCACTATTATGAGAACAGCATGGAGAAACTGTCCCCATGATCCAATCACCTCCCACTAAGTCCTTCCCACAATACGTGGGGATTACAGTTCGAGATGAGATTTGGGTGGGGATACAGAGCCAAACCATATCACTAAGTAATCCGATACCATAAGAATTACTTAAATATTTTTTACCACATTACGTTTTTTTCAAGTAAGAAATGTTTTCAATTCTGATGTTAGCCAACTTAGGGTGTCTTATTGTTTTCCCCAGTGACCAAGCAGAAAACAAAATGCTCAAAAAGGATCAGAGAAGAGAGTTCAACAAAGGGATTGTTTACAATCATGTGGGTGGGGTTAAGTGCAGTATTACATCAAAGAATAGTGCAGTACTTTGGAGTCAGCAAAAGCTGGAGTGCTGAGGGGCAGGGGGAGGAAGCAGTTAGTGACTGGAACATAGAGTGGCTGCATTAAGAGGGCCATCCAATAAGAAGAGTGTCCTTGGGTGGAAGGCCAGAGCCAGCTTGTGATGACTTGCCAGGAAGGTTGCTGTTGGAATAAAAGTGCTTACATCATTCTGCACTAAACTTTCAATTTCCTGGCAAGTATCTTCCATTGGCCAAACTGAAAGCTGGAGGGCAAGGAAGCTTGTTGGTGCAGTCCCTAGAAGTTGAAGTCTTGGATTTCAAAGGAGGATAGCGAAGGTTGGAAAGCGAATCTGGCGTGGGGGGTGGGGCAAACCCCAAATATCCAGGTGCCTTCTCTATTTATTAGCTGAGGTGGTTAATTGGTGGTCTTCCAAGTATTGACAGTTTCCTTCCAATCTTTATTTGTGCAGGATAATATCTCTTTCAGAGGTAGGGAAAACATGATGGAAAGCATAAATTTCAACCATGAAATTCCATGCCCCCTCCCTCACAGAAGGTATTGTGACAGAAAAGAAATGTAGAACTTCAATTCACTTTATAAGTACCGCGTGCTAACCAATTGTGCCACTGGAGCCACAGCACTCAATTTATTTTAGATTCCTAGTTAGCATAATTTGTAGAAAATCAAAGCTAGACAGTAGTGATGTCTCTCAAATTTGTTTGACAAGAGGTCTAAAAATTGTCCATATGTGTATTAGGCTGCTCTTGCATTGCTAGAACAGCACGTATGAATATCCCACACATGGATATCCCAAGTTTTAACTTCAGAGGCTGAATATGTCTGATCGCATTGCAGAACACAATAAATCATCTTGTCTCAGAGAAAATCCTATAATTAGGTAATTGGCATTGATACGGTTGACCTAAAAGGGAATTGTGGAGTAGAGGTTTGCTTGCAATTTCTTTAAAATACCTGAGTCTGGGTAATTTATAAAGAAAGGAGATTTAATTGTCGTAGTGTTCTGCAGGTTGTACAGGAGGCATGATGCCGGCATCTGCTTGGCTTCTGGGGAGGCCTCAGGGAGCTTTTAGTCATGGTGGAAGGCAAAATGGGAGCTTGCACAGCACATAGCAAAAGCAGGAGCAAGAAAGAGTGTGGTGGAGGGAGGTGCCACAGACTTTTAAATGACCAGATCTCATGAGAACTTATTCACTATGGCAAGGACAGCAACAAGGGGATGGTACTAAGCCATTCATGAGAAATCTGCCTCCATGATCCCATCACCTCCCACTAGGCCCCACCTCCAACAATGGGGATTACAAATCGGCATGAGATTTAGAGGGGACATATATCCAAACTATATTAATACAATCTTTTGCCATGTATATTTAGAAAGAAAAATGTCTTCAATTTCTGTTTTGAAAAAATGCATTAGTTTCCCTAAAAGTGCAGCCTGATACATAGATTTTTAAGTACATCTCTAAGGACATGAGGCAAGCAGGATGACACAGGGGAAGAAACTAAGGAAAGGTGTGGTTACAGCTGACCTGTGGCCTCAGCCTGATGCCATAGGGAACTCTGGAGTGTGAGCGGTGCAAAAAATTATCCTGCAAGGAGGCTGGCCACATAATCAGTCCTTAGCTGCAGCTATTCCAATGATGGTGGAAGCTTGGGCCTCAGCTATGTCCAGGAAAAGGGGCTTTCCTTGGCCAAGGCCAATTATGCAGAAGACAGTGTATCCATGAGCCACTGAAAACCCACACTTACGACAGCTTGGAGATGGGTGCACAGATGCACTAAAGGAGATCTGGGCAGGGCACAACATCTACTAGATATATATAAGTTTGTAGGCAGAATCCTCCTCACCCATGAATATCACCAGGTTTTAACTTCAGAGGCTGAATATGTCTGATCATATTGCAGAACACAGTAAATCACCTTGTCTCAGAGAAAATCCTATACAGCAATTAGGTAATTGGCATTGATAAGGTTGACCTGAAAGGAAATTGTGAAGTAGAAGTCTTGTAATACGACAGTCTTTTGAAGCCTCCCATTAAAAGCCCCCTACCACCTATCATATTTTTCCCCCTCCTCATGGCTTACTCTACCTCCTTTTTATGCCTTTCCACTCATCCAGAGGTTGTTTTGAGACCCAGTCCTACCTGGCTTTACTATCACAAGAGTACTGATTGATATGGTTTGGATTTGTGTCCCTGCCCAAATCTCATGCTGAATTGTAATCCCCAGTGTTGGAGGAGGGGCCTGGTGAGAGGTGATTGGATCATGGGGGTGGGCTTCTCCCTTGCTGCTCTCATGATAGTGAGTGAGTTATCATGAGATCTGGTTGTTTAAAAGTGTGTAGCACCTCCCCCCGCCCCTGCTTCCTCCTGCTCCAGCCGTGTAAGATGTGACTCCTTCCTCTTCACCTTCCACCATGATTGAAAGTTTCTTAAGGACTTCCCAGCTATATTTTCTATATAACCTGCAGAACTGTGAGCCAGTTAAACCTCTTTTGTTCATAAATTACCCGGTCTGGGGTAGTTCTTTACAGCAATGCAAGAAGGAACCAATACACTGATACTAAGATGTTAGCTGAGATGGTAACTGATAAGATTTAATCAGGAGGATGTTAAAATGTTTACGACATATATACTAACCAATCAGTAGTAGCCAATCAGACCATTCTATGGTTAGAGCTTCCTTACTGAGCCACGTATTAACCATTCGTTCATTGCCAAGTCATTAAGAGATAGAGTCACTGGAGGAGGTACTGAGACAGCCCAGGTAGAGTGGAAGGGCACTGGGTTTGGGGAGGCTCAGGGCATAAGCTGATTAACCTGCTGGAAAGTATTTCATTATGGCTATACCAGTACCTACTGACTAAATATCAGCCCAGAAGAGTTGCTTCCGATATAATACGTTTTTATTGTTATTGTTGTTGTTGCTTTAAGTAAATCCTAAATAACTGTGACTTTGAATCTTGGCAGTTCCTGGAATCACAGAAGTCAGAAACTCATAAGACCGGTCCCAGATACAATTATAATCATAGCTGTAACTTAACACTAAATCAAGATTATCACGAAGCTTTTGCATCTAGTTTAAAACAGTAAGTTAAATAGGAACATAGAAACATACTTATTGTTGGAGGTCATTATTTTTTAAAATTGTGTTTTTTCTTCAACCTTTAAGTTCCAGGGTACATGTGCAGGATGTGCAGGTTTGTTACATAGACGAATGTGTGCCATGGTGATTTGCTGTACAGATCAACCCATCACCTAGGTATTAAGCCCAGCATCAATTAGCTATTCTTGCTGATGCTCTCCCTTCCCCTGTTCCCCCTCACAGGTTGCAGTGTGTTTTGTTTCCCTCTATGTGTTCATGTGTTCTCATTGTTCAGCTCTCACTTATAAGTGAGAATATGCAGTGTTTGGTTTTCTTTTCCTGTGTTAGTTAGCTGAGGGTAATGGCTTCCAACTCCATCCATGTCTCTGCAAAGGACATGATCTCATTCTTTTTTATGGCTGCATAGTATTCCATGGTGTATGGGTACCATATTTTCTTTATCCAGTCTATTATTGAAGGGCATTTGGGTTGATTCCATGTCTTTGCTATTGTGAATAGTGCTGCAGTGAACATATGAGTGCATGTATCTTTATAATAGAATGACTTATATTCCTTTGGGTATATACCTGGGAAAGGGATTGCTGGGTCAAATGGTATTTTTGCCTCTAGGCCTTTGAGGAATTGCTATACTGTCTTCCACAATGGTTGAACTCATTTATATTGCCATCAACAATGTAAAGGCATTTCTTTTTCTCCACAACAACAGCAGCATCAGTTGTTTTTTTTGACATTTTAATAATTGCCATTCTGACTGGCATGAGATGGTATCTCATTGTGGTTTTGATTTACACTTCTCTAATGATCAGTAATGTTGAGCTTTTTAAAATATGTTTGTTGGCTGTATGAATGTCTTCTTTTGAGAAGTGTTGTGTTCATGTCCTTTGCCCACTTTTTAATGCGGTTGTTTTTTTTTTTTTTTGTAAATTTGTTTAAGTTCCTTGTAGACTCTGGATATTAGGCCTTTGTCAGATGGATAGATTGCAAAAGTTTTCTCCCATTCTGTAGGTTGTCTGTTGACTCTGATGATAGTTCCATTGGCTGTGCAGAAGCTCTTTAGTTTATATACTTGCATTTTGATAGAAAGGTAGATATAAGCTTTCTAACAAGCTGTAACCTTGAAGAAAATGGACAGTAGGCAATCTTAGCTGGTATGTAAGTAATCAATGCTTTTTCTGATCATAACTTTAATGCACAGTAATTTAATGGACAGTACTGCTAATTTATTTTTTTCCAGCATCATTTGTACAAAGTCTCCTAAAATCCATCACAGTTGAGAACAGTCTAGACAGTTATTATGACACAATCAAAAGGAAAGCTGGCAAATAAAAAAAGAAAAGTGAATAGAAGAGCTGATTAAAATAACAGTATAGTTTATAGGAGGCTTCTCTTAAATTTGTGTTTTGCAAATTTCAATTTTTGGAAGGCTCAAATCACATTAAAATATTTTACTACTACAAGTCAGCTTTCTTTTATAGGTCTAAAGAGGAAAGAGGGAGGGGTTGCATTTACTTCTCCATAGAAAGATTTCAGCAATCTAATTAAATAAATATTATAGCAGTGCATTTGAATAGTTTTCCCATCAGTGAGGAAAGAAAATGCTCTATTTCCCTGAAGTCAGACATTTATGTCACAGTTGAAGAAGGGCAAGTCAACCATCACAGAATGAATAGTTTTGTCAAGTCGATATCTGATTTGATGGAGTCGAGTTTTCTTAATGGGAACTAAAACTGTGAAATGCACATTAATCCACTCTCTGCACACCATCTTTCCCTTTAAGGTTCCAGAAGAATTCCTATTTCCGTTTTAAAGCCATCTGCTATTGCTTTTTGCCAGTGAGTATGTGGATAGATAATTTCTCAGGGTGCAATTAGAGGAACGTGAAGAAACTACTTCATGCCATAAAGGGAGCTGAAAAAGCTAAAGCATAAATGGCAACATCTGCATGAGGTATGGAGCCAGGGAGGAGACAGAAGCATGCAAATCAGTCGCGCACTCTCAACAGAATTCCAAGGTCCAAAAAACAATCTGGGAAGATGTTTACAGAACACAAACTCATCCACATCAAAGGAGTAGAAAAGATGAATAATTGGTCAGGTGCATTCCTGTGGCAAGGAAAGGCAAAAGCAACTCAATCAATTCTGAAAAACAAAACAAAACCAACCCAGGATAAATGAAAAGACTAGTTGAAACGTTCTCATCTTGGATTTGAAATGACTCAATTGGTTAACATGTAATTTCATTAAGTCCCAAATCAAGGAGATTGTCTTTTCGTCACTAGGATCATGGTTTTGTTCCTTTTAGTCTCCATGTCACGTACCCCTCTTGTAAGACCTTGGCAAGTGAGTGTTGCAGCAATTTTTTTCCGGAAGGTGGGCTCCACTCCTTCATATGGGAAAGTCACAAGTTTGGCTAGCGGTGATGAGATTTAATTTCACTAAAAGCTTATAGCTGAGGTTGTGTTCTCATATTCAATACAAAGGCTGTCTTCTAGACAATTAATGTAACTCTTACATCCTCTTTAATTTGGCTCTAAAATATCTCTTTCAATTACTATAATTCTCTGATAACTTCTAACTTCCGGATGGACTGCTTGAAGCATTTTTCCCTACTTCAGAATAATGTTGGGAAAGTTCCTCATTAAGTCTTCGTTTTAGTTGAAAATCCAGAATAATGCACCCTTGGTCTTATCTCACATATTTTTGTCATTCTGACCTCAGTGCACTGCAATCTTTGGACTTCAAGTCCCAAGCTAAGAATTAAGCCAGAGGCAGGAGCATCTGCTCATGTTATTTTTGAATCAATGGCAGCCTCTCCTCCTCCTCCTCCTCACACCTACCTACTTTTCCACCTCTTGAAAGGCCCAATTCAACACCCATTTCCCCCTTAAAGCCTTTCCTAATCACACTAGTATTTATTAGCTGCACTGAGCTGCTCACAGCTGCACTTGTGAGCCTTCTCACCTACTTCATGGCTGGAGTTCTCACTCTAGCCTGATCAGCAACACTGGGAAGGCTTGTAAACCACAGATGGCTGGGCATCATCCCCAGGGTTTCTGACTTAGTAGGTGAGGGACGAAGACCAAGAATCTGCATTTCTAAGAAGTCCACAGGTGATGCAGATGATGCTTGTCTGGGGCCATACTTTGACGATCTCTGCTGTAGTGAATGCTTGCTACATTCTTACTCGTCCATTAAGACTCCCCTCTGTATCATCTTTCCCTGTCAGAATTAGGCCTCTCTCAACCTATACCTCTTAACTCACAAATTATCCTACCTCGATGAAGGCAGGCTAGCAAGCTCAGACAGCTAATGCAGCCAGGAAGTTTGCAGATGTATGCATCTGGTGAGACATCAGACATCGAAAATGATCCATGATCTTCCCAATGGATCATAAACATGCTCACAGAGTAGACACCCTGTTGAGACAGGGCTACATGGTGACCAGGCTTGGGACAAGACAGAGATAAGGCCACACTGCTAACAGAAAAAAGGCTAAAGATCCCTCCTTCCGTTTGCTCCTTTGCCCGCGACAACTCAAACCTCAATTTCACCTTCCTGCCTCCCTCCTAGATAAAAATTAGTAAGCTAATCAGTCACAAAAAGAAACCCCACCTTTTGACGGCCTCCAATCCAGGCCTGTTTCCAGCTTTCTTAAACCCTCCTACACAGATGCATATCCTTGTAGGAAGCGCCTCCCGACTTCCTTGAGAGGACCTGTATTTCCTCTGCTGTGTGTTTCTCCTGGGCTGCAGCAGGTTCAAGAACATAAACTCTTTCGCCCCAAGCTCTGTTCCTGCTGCTCTCTGCTCACTGGGCTGTGCAGACAGACAGTAGGGATGATGTGCCCCTCCTGAAGGAATTCAAAGTAAACACAAATTTAACATTGTGCAGGACAGGCCACAGGGACTATGAGCATGTTGGGTAGGCAGAACATTACCAGCTTGCAGGCCTTGCTGAAAGGCTCAAGACCTCAAGGCCTTGCCGAAAGAACCCTATTCTAAAATCTCTGACTTCTCCAACTCTCATCAGTTTTTCTCTCTCTTCTCCGACACCCTGAGAGTTGGGTATGAAGAAAGCAGCAAACATGTGCATTGTTCCTTAAGATGTACAATGCATGTTTACAACCCTTGCCTCGTTTAATTTTCATATCTGTAAGCTAGGTATAGTAGATCCAGTTTAAAGATGAGGAAACTGATCCTCAGAGACATAGGTGTTAGAACAACCTCACATCAATAAAGTGACCAACTTCATACAGTAATTAAGTAAAGAAATCAGGGTCTGAACTGAGTTTCCTGTGCTCTTTTTGCTAGACCACGATACCTAAACCTCCTGGGAGCAGGCAACTGAGCAAAAAGATGCTCTCCTATGCTCTCGGGTGTTTTATTTTCCTTCCCATCTAGACAATACCATCCTCAGTTAGAGACCACGTTATGTATTTCTCTGGCATCCTGCCTAGCTGGATCTAGTGGAATGCTGAGCACATAGCAGGCCCTCAGCAAGGAGTCACTGACTGATTGAAACTCATAAACCTTTCTCACAAGGAGACAGAGGGGAGAGGCTGTTTTAAAACAGAGGAACTTTTCTATCTTTGTTCCAGCATTGCAATACTAGAGGCTGTTGTTACTTTAATTCTTCAGGGTGCTCGGTATTAAAGCATTTTTCACACTTAGAAATGTTTATTTTCCTGTTATGGTTTCTGCATTGAAAAAGGTTGGGAAGTTCAAACTTCAGTTCCACGTACGTTTTTCTGAAGTTTCATGAATATTTAGAAAATGCATGTAGAACATGTGGCAGACACTGTGCTGTGTGGTCCATATCCCCCCTTTAAGGAAAGACTTGTTGTCCCAGCTGTTGTGAGTGTTGTTGGCACCAGCCTTCAGCCATCAGCTTCTCAGGCACTGCCTGAGCTACAGTGAGCTGCCTTGCCCAAGGGTGCACCCATTTCTGGAGTGGTCCAGATCCAGGGACTGCTCAGTGAAGATATAAAATCCTGGCCATCCTGGCCCAACTCAGGACAACACTGAAGGGGCAGGACTTCAGAGCTAGTCCTGGAGTTGGTTGAAGCTGTCGTTGAGTCAGCATCATGACTCAGCATTTTTCTGCTACATCCTGCTCCCTTTTTCTCCCTCCCTTAGGTGTCGAACCCAAGGGCTCTTCTCAGCAGAGTGTCTGCATGCCACACTCTGCTTTAGAGTCTGTTCCCTGGGGAACACAACCAGAGACTGAAATAATTGGTGGGCAGTGGGGAGCACAAAGGGCTGTTTTTGTTTCATGTGAAGACGATGAGCATGCTATGAACCCCGAAGAGCTGTTGTATAAGCAAGTAGAATGTGTTTGGCTGTGGTGTGGTAAAGCTGACTGTGTTACACAGAGAGTGGGTGGGTGTGTCTGTGGCTTTGCTCGGCGTTATTCATGCCTCTGCGCCCTTAGGGTGATAAATGGGTGGCTGCACAGGCTGGAGAAGGGCTCCTGAAGGACCCTCAGACATTCTCAGCATTTGCCCAGCGGCTGAATGTCTTTCCACGCCTTCTCCCCTTACAACTAAGTAGACAGCTTCCTTGCTTTTGTAATATTTGTGTAATCTTGATCATTTGCAATACGACGAATAGGGCAGATGTGCAACCTTACAGCTCTCATATTTTCTCCTAACATTGCTGGAAATTTCTGAACTTCTGATTGTGTTCATGACAAGACATTTTTCTTTCATTTTCACCTAAGTTCAAGCCTGGTTTATAAGGATTTTAGGTGGTCATTGGTTAACCCTGGGGATCCTTTATTCTTCCCTGGAACTAAGGTAGAGACCTTCCTCTAATGAGCATAGTTTTGGCTGTGATGTCCACAGGGGCAAGCAAGCACTCCATTTGCTGCTTTGAGTGTCCTGTCACTTAGATAAATTTCAGGGCAATCCTTGGCCCCAGGCCTTCCCCTGGAGTTTTCTTAGCAAGACTAATTTGATATATTACCTCCACAAATCCTATCAGCCCTACCCGGTTTAGGGCTGAGGGTGAAGATAGTTTATAGGGGCAATAACAACAGAAATGTCCTCTCTGAGACAGGCAAATAATTTCCTCTCTGCTCCAGTCCAGTACTATTTCCCTTAATCTTTTTAATGCCTGGGAAGCTCTTGCTTCCTTCCTCTGTCCTCAGAGCCAGTTTTCTCTCCTCAAGGTTAATACCCTGAAAAGCGAGCAAGCCTATTGTTTCTGCTTCTCTGGGCAGGCAGCACATTTTCTATAGTTTCATCTGTCTCTATATTAAAATGGCTTAGGGTTGAAACAAATGACTCATATTCACTGGTGGTCCAGGTTAAGTGAAGGCCCTAGGTTATCTCATCAAAGGGTTCTTTTTTTTTAAATTTTATTATTATTATACTTTAAGTTTTAGGGTACATGTGCACAATGTGCAGGTTTGTTACATACGTATACATGCACACGTATGTTTATTGCGGCACTATTCACAATAGCAAAGACTTGGAACCAACCCAAATGTCCAACAATGATAGACTGGATTAAGAAAATGTGGCACATATACACCATGAAATACTATGCAGCCATAAAAAAGGATGAGTTCATGTCCTTTGTAGGGACATGGATGAAGCTGGAAATCATCATTCTCAGCAAACTATCCCAAGGACGAAATACCAAACAAATTGTTCTTTAAGACAGAATCAAGCTGCTTATCCAAGCCTTACTGGCTTCTCTTCTCCCTGGGCAGGGATGCTAATTACCACCAGCCTACTTATCTGATTTGTGTCCTGGAATGGCCCAGTCCTCAGTATTTGTTGGCACCTGACTCAGCTGGGTTTCTGCTGGATTCTCCCTTCTCCCACAGGCCTGCAGGCTTCATATCTTACCCTTCTTCCTACACTGAGTAGCTTGTCTTTCCACCTTCCCTTCCCTGCCATGAAAGAGACTTCACCTGAATTTCTGGACCTCACAGCAATCAGTAGATGTCTTCTCTCCCCTAGTACTGCATCATTTACAGGAAGGAGGTGCTAGATCTGGATAAGGCAAGCCCCTTCTTGAAACTTGGGAGACTTAAATGAAACCTATTTTGGCCAGGCATGGTTGCTCATGCTGGTAACCCCAGCACTTTGGGAGGCCGAGGCAGGCAGATCACTTGAGGTCAGGAGTTTGAGACCAGCCTGGCCAACAGGGCAAAAATCCGTCTCTACTAAAAGTACAAAAATTAGCCAGGCATGGTGGTGGAGACCTGTAATCCTAGCTACTCAGGAGGCTGAGGCAGGAGAATCACTCGAACACGGGAGGCAGGGGTTGCTGTGAGCTGAGATCGCGCCACTGCATTCCAGCCTGGGGGACAAGAACAAGACTCCTTCTCAAAAACAAAAACAAAAATTAGCTGGGTGTGGTTGTGGGTGCCTGTAGTCCCAGCTATTCAGGAGGCTGAGGCAGGAGAATCACTGGAACGCAGGAGGCGGAAGTTGCAGTGAGCCAAGATGGTGCCACTGCACTCTAGCCTAGGTGACAGAGTGAGATCTTGTTTCAGAAAAAAAGAAAAAAAAATTCTATTTCATTTCACTATGTAATCAGTGCTTCCATTCTCATACTGTAAGAAACCTCCTTTTCGGCTTAGAACAGTTTTTGAATTTAATATAGAACATTCACCATTCTGCCCTACCTGTCCAACCAACCTTATGGGTTTTTTGTTTGTTTTTGGATGAAGACATGTTTGTGTTCTGCTGCCAGTACTTACACTGAAAAAGGACCAGGACACCCTCAATTGCTTACCCTCTGCCTGTAACCAATCCCTCCAGGATTCTACTATTTTTTTTTTCCAGAGTTATTTTTGGTGAATGTATAATGAATGGAATGTTTTGATAACTTTATGGTAATCATCCATGTGGTACATAGATAACTAGAACATAAAACTTTAATTATAGAGTATTCTTTTACTATTTACAATTTTCCCTCCCCTTCCAACATTCATTGAATTGCTAATAGTTTCTGTGAGAAAAAATGGTATGTGTGGTTGAGATTCTTGACTTAATTCACTGCCTTTTTAGTAGTCCCCTTTATTTTAGCTATTCATGTCTAGATTCAAATGCTGTCAGGAATTTATGTAAGTTTTTAAAAAGTCCAAGAAGGTATATTTTAAAAGGAAGTTGGGGCTGGGAGTGGAACACCTTTGATCTCTTTCTAGCTGTGTGATCTGTTCAGTGTGGCCTTGGTCCAGTCTCTAGTCTATCTGGGTGTTAGTTTATTTGTGAACAAAATGAACATTTTGTACCAGATGATGCCCAGATTCCTTCCAGGTTTAGTATTCTTTTTGTATCTGTGATAAGGGTCAACATTTTAAAGTGTTCAAGTCACATTTGAACCTGCCATTTTTAAAAGCATTGCAATCTCTTTCATTCAGAAATAGTCTTTCCATACACACACGCTGATTAGAGAACTGCTTGAGGGACAACTCTCAAATGAGACTCAGATGGGAAAGTACAAATGGGAGGGGAGATTTGAGTTTCAAAAAATTGAATGAACATTTCATAGGTTGTTAGCAGATATCACAGATAGTAAGCAGATAGAACTCTGAATGCTGGGAAAGGAAAAATGACTAAAACAAAGCATTGGGTAGATTTCCTGTTTCTAAAAGTGGTATGATTGTAAAGGTTGTACATTGATTCTTCCCACTGCAATGAACTCTGCTAAGAATTTCTTTGCACCAAATGGCAGCCTTGTCACCTTGACCTTAAATCCTTCCCATAATCCTTTCTTAATAATATGCTTGGTAGAACATATTATATATGTAATGTATGTACTTTAGTTACCAAATCAGATATATATACATACACACACACACACACACACACACACACACATATTATATGCATTAGATACCTCTGTGTTTTGGTAGCTAAATTACAAGTATAACATCCTGTTATTTATACCGGCTAGAAACAGAAAGCTTTCCGTGGAATAGAGAATTGGCTTTCACAGACATTTATTTTTCATGTCACATTCTTCTTCTACTCTTGCTTCTAATCTGAATCCAGGCAGATCCTCTTTTTTGAACTTGTGATAACTAAGGACATTTGTTCCTTTCTGTGTAATCGCTTCAAACCTTATAATCCAGTTGAGAATGCCTGTCTGACATATTGAGCAATAATTAATTCCCTTAATAGCCATTTCCATGAGCAAGGCTTTCTCTTTTCCAGACGGTTTCTATTAGTCTGGTCATGTTTTTTTCAACAGCTGCCTACAGCTTTCATGCCTTTTCTTTTCATACCTGATTTACTTCTGCCTGCTATTGTCTTCTTTGCGGCTTTCACTTTACTCCTAGCCCTCTGTCCTCTGTCCCTAATCTTATTTCCAATGTCTTAGTCTCCAGTTCGATAATTCACATTTCCTTGTCTCACTGATTTCTTCTCATTCAATTATAATTTTGACATTTCTAAATATTGTATTTGTATTTTTTTTTGGTAGAGATGTGGTCTTGCTACACTGCCCACGCTCATCTTGAACTCCTGGTCCCAAGTGATCCTCCTGCTTTGGCCCTCCCAAAGCACTGGGATTACAGGCATAAACCACCATGCCCAGCCTATTTATAATTAATATTGCTCCAGTATAACAGTGGAGCAAAGACATATACAATAATATTTTGAACCTACTTGTATAGAAGAGACATTGCTTCCATGGACTCTAGAAGAACAAGCTTTTTCTCTAGTCCAAAGGGTTGATTATCTAAACTAGATAATATTTTGAAGGTACCTAGCTTAGGGTTAGACATCTGGAGAGTACTCTGTAAATGGTGATTCCATTTCATCCTCATTGTGGAATTTCATAAACTACAGCTGGCAGACCAGGGAAGATATGTGCTCAAGAAAGTGCTCTTCCCTGAATCCCTCACGTCATATTGTTAGTGCCTCTTCTGCTTATTCACAAGACCAGTCATCATAGAGGTTGGATTTGAATCTTGTATCTGTATATAATAGAAGCCACATTCAAACTATGTGAAGCAAATGTGGACATGGGAAGATATTAAGGAGTCTCTTGCAATCCAAGGTCTAGGATTCAGGGATGCCTGCAATTAGGGCTAGCGACACCCTGAAGACTTTCTCACTCTGTTATTTCTGCACATCTATTTTATTCCTCTTTCCCTAAAGTCTTGCTTCTCATTCTCCCACAGCTTGAAACAAAGACTGACATTTCTACAAACCAGGCCTTCCAAGAGAGATTGGCTTTCATTTCCAGGTTCAACATCGCCCTGGAAGAAATTGGTTCTTATTCATCTTGTGTGAAGTTCTCACCCTTAGACTTATCTGGAAGGTTGAGGTTTTGGGGGAGATAATTACACACATGAACTCTGAGACACCACATTCTCTTGGTTCTCTTTGTGTCCTCCCCCCACCACCATCCTTCTTAGCTCCTTTGCTGAATCTTCCCCATGTTACTGTCTCTAAACACTGGGAACTTAACACATGAATCTCTCCTCCGCCTATATTCACTCTCTACACCATTTTATCTAGTCGTATGGCTTTAAATATCATTTAAATGCCGATGTTCCCCGTGGTGATATCTTTGGCTTTTTCTGCATACTTGAAGTCTGTACTCACTCATCTGCATACTTACGTATAGAACAGGGGGGTAGGAAAGAGCACAGACCCTGCAATCATGATGCCTGGGTTCAAGTCCTGTCTTCATCAGCCAACTTATGTGACCACTACAGATTACTTGCCTTCGATGTGCTTCGTATTTCTCATCTGTAAAATGGAGTTAACAGGGCCAGGCGCGGTGGCTCACGCCTATAATCCTAGCACTTTAGGAGGCCGAGGCAGGCAGATCATGAGGTCAGGAGATTGAGACCATCGCGGCTAACACGGTGAAACCCTGTCTCCACTAAAAATACAAAAAATTAGCCGGGCGTGGTGGCGAGCACCTATAGTCCCAGCTACTCAGGAGGCTGAGGCAGGAGAATGGCATGAACCTGGGAGGTGGAGCTTGCAGTGAGCCGAGATCGTGCCACTGCACTGCAGCCTGGGCGACAGAGTGAGACTCCATCTCAAACAAACAAACAACAACAAAAAAAATGGAGTTAACAATAGACCCTACCTCAAAACATTTTTGTGTGGATTAAATAAAATAATGTATACGAGTCACTTAGAATGGGTCCTGGCACATGGGAATTACTATATAAATGTTTGCTGTCATTATTTCCAGGAATCTTGAACATATAAAATCTAAAATCAAACAATTATCTCTCATCTTTCTCTCACCTTCAGACCACAAAGAAAATAACTAATGAAATGCTCTTCCAGACATTTAATTTTCTTCCCTCAACCTCTAGCGTTTCCTCTCCATTCTTTACTCTCAGATTTTGATCTTGCTTCTTATTTCACTGAAAAAAAAGCCCACTTTTCCTACTGACTTTCTCAACTCAAACAAAAACAATGAACTCTCTTTCTCTAGGTATACACAGCAAAATCACTGGTGTCAGAATTGGCCCATTTTTGTGGGGCATGGCGGCTAGTTGCCTGTAATTCCAGCTACTCAGGAAGCTGAGGTGGGAGGATAACCGGAGGCCAGGAGTTCCAGACACCTGTGTAACAAAGTGATACTTCATCCCTTAAACAAATATAGAAAAAGTAAAAAAAAAGTCAGCATTGTTCTTTTTAATATCTCATGTCTAATCTGTTAGCAGATCCGGTTCTCTACAGAACTCAATAATTTTCACCACCATTACTGCCCCACTCCAAGAAATGTCCAGTCTCCTCTTGATTGAACAGTTTCAAGCAGATAATTAATCTCCCAGTGGCCATACTTGCTCCTTTCCATTCTTTTATACTTAGAGCAACCCAGCTTTCTTTACTAAAGTCTCACCTCCTCGAGAGCAGGAACTTTTTCTCTTTTGGCTCCTGTTATCTTCCCAGCACCTAGAAAAGTGCCTGGCATGCAGTAGGTACACACACACACACACACACACACACACACACACACACACAAAAGTTCAATGAAAGAACCCACTAATCTGTAAGTTTATTGCCAACCCAGCTTCTTGGTTTATCAATTATTGTATTTCTTGACCATAATGCTCTGTCAAGCAAGGAGCAGGTGCTCAAAATGTATTTGTTCAATCAATCCCTGAGTTACTACGGAGGAATAATACAAGCACAAATTCCTCCTTCTACTTCCTTTCACATGTTGTCTTTTTGTTCTCCTCATTGTAAGGGCAACATAAAAACTCAAAGGAATAAATCTTTCTCGAACTAATAAAGGCTTATTTGTAAGGGTGACGAGCTGCAGATCAAGGTGGATTAAACAGAGCTGGAGGCAGGGGTTCCATTGAATAGAAACACAGAAGCAGAGCTGCCTGGGAGACTGCATGCAGGGAAATGATGGCAGGAGCTCTCTCCATGGGAGGTTATAGCAGCTCTTGATGGAGGAAAATGGGAATCTGTGAGTTCTTAGAAGCTGAAGAAAAAAGATCCTGGAACTTTACCATAGTAAGTAATAGCTTTGTTTTTTCTTCTTTCATTTATTCTTACCTTCCCACTTACTTCATTCCTTCTTTTTTTCCTTTCCTTTGTCATACTTGTACTGAAATTAAGAATTTCAGGGTTTTGAACTAGAGGTCTATGAATTCTGACCACATACTGGCCATTTTTTTTTATGGGAAAGTTCTTTAAAGTTCAGTTTCCTTAACTCTAGAATGAACCTAAAAATACCTTTCTCAGAGCTTTATTCGAACAAGAAAATGAGATGATATATAAACAACTCTTAAAACATTGCCTGTTTTAAAATAAGTTTAAATATTTATTTAAAAAGTAAATCCTCAGTCAATAAAGGAAATTTGCCTCTATTAATGTTCCTTTACTACAACACATATCTGATTAGTTATTGATATGGGTTGGCTGTGTTCCCACCCAAATCTCATCTTGAACTGTAGTTCCCATAATCCCCACATGTGGTGGGAGGGACCCGGTGGGAGGTAATTAACTCATGGGGGTGATTACTTCCATGCTGTTCTCGTGATAGTGAGTTCTCATGAGATCTGATGGTTGTATAATGAACTTTTCCCCTTTTGCTTGGCACTTCTCCTTGCTGCTGCCATGTGACGAAAAGGTATTTGCTTCCCCTTCCACCATGATTGTAAGTTTCCTGAGGCCTCCTCAGCCCTGTGGAACTGTGAGTTAATTAAAACTCTTTTCTTTATAAATTATCCAGTCTCAGGCAGTTCTTTATAGCAGCGTGAGAATGGACTAGTACAGTTATTTTACTTTGTTGATTATAATCCTAAAATAACTTTTCAGAGCACCCAAAATAAGTTTAGACTCCTCACTGCAGCTTCCATGAACTTCATAATCTGGCTACCTCTGGTTTCATCTACTTAACCACCCTCATGTGCCATCTCTTCACCAGACACGTGGGAAAACTGTGGTTTCCTAAATGCCCTGTTGTATCCTCAGAGTACCCGCATTGTTGTCACCTCTATCTAGAATGTCTTTCTCCTTTTTAGAAGATTCCTATTCATTCTTTAAAACTCAGCTCAAACCTCAAAAGCTCCTAGATAATGATCACTTTCGCCGCAGTCTCATTCAGAGGCTCTTCCACGTGAATGGGAATAATACCTTTGGTGTACCCCCATCCACATAGTGCTACATTGAAGCTTTCTCGGATTGTTCTATTAGTGTTTTTTGGCTTCACTGTATCCCCTTGCCCTACAATCTAGTGCCATAAACTCCATAGGTACAAGAACTTCATCTGTGTCTTCACCTCTTCAGATGCCTGACATGCATGCAATGTGGATAAGCTGAGGATACAACAGGTTGTTCAGCAAACCACAATTGTCTCATGTGTCTGGTGAAGAGAAGGCATGTGAGGGTGGTTAAGTAGATGAAACCAAAGGTAGGCAGAAGCCAGTTTATGAAGTTCATGGAAGCTACAATGAGGAATCTGAACATATTTTGGGTGCTCTAAAAAGTAATTTTAGGATTATAATCAACAAAGTAAAATAATTAATAGAAGGGTTTCTTTATTTATTGAAGATTTATTTATTTTAAAAACAAATGGCAATGTTTTAGGAGTTACTTATATAGCATCTCATTTAATTCTTCTAACAAACCTTTAAGAAAAATATTATTAGGTTCATTCTAGAGTTAAGGAAATTGAAGTTTAGAGAACTTTCCCATAAAAACTATGGCCAGCGTGTGCTCATAATTCACAGACCCCTAGTTTAAAATCTCAAAATTCTTAATCACTATTCTACTTGTGGCTAGAATAGAGACTGAAATGGGAGAGCAGCACAGTAGATGCGGAGAAATGAATTAGTATGCTATTTCACTAAACTTGGAGGAAAATGATGAGTACAAATAATGGCAGTGAAGAATTAAGGAAAAAATGACTTTGATACAAATAAAGGAGATAGAATTTATAGAATGGTGACTACTGGATGAGGAAGGGCAAGTGAGAGGAGAGTGTTTAGAGTGGCTGTGAGGTGTATGGCCATGGCCACTGAGTGGCAAGCAGGGCCATTCACAGAGATATAGGCGGATCAGGCTTGGGAGGGGCTCAGATGCATTGAGTGTGAGGGTCCTGTAGGACATCAGCAGTTGTATATACCGGGTTGAAGCCCAGTAAGGGATCATGAGTTATAGGACAACCATCTGCACATACACAGATAAGCTGGCTTAGGGATGGTTAGTGGACTGAGTAGAGCCAAGGGCTTAAGATGGAGCCTTGGAAACCTAAACATTGACAGGAAGAAAACCTATAAAAGGAGTCTGAAAGGGAACAGAAGGAGAAGTGGGAATAAAGGTAGAAGAGACTGATATCCTAGAAGCTAAGGAGGAAGGATTCTGAATCAAGGACATGTCCAACAATGGTAAATACCACGATGAGGGCAAACAAGATAAAAACAGAAATATGTTTTCTTTATTTCATGATATCAGGGTCATTGTTCAACTTATCAAAAGAAATGTACTCAGGGTTAAGGAAGCTGGATCTATCTGGCAGATGAAGGAGTAGATAGAAAGTAAGGGATTGGCACAGCCAAGGTGTATGAAGGTATGGCAAGGTCACCGGAGCAGGACAGGGGTCAGGGGACGATTATTGGGAGGGGACTGTGGAGGTGATGTGAGAGAGGATGGACTCTAAGGAAATAATGGAAAGATTATTCTTGGATAACAATTATGTTGAGAGACCTCAGAGATAGATTACTGACTTGTTTCAAATTGGTGTGTGAGGTGAGGGAGAAGAGATGCTATCTATATCTTTTTCAGCTTATTTAGGCTTGCAACCTGGACAAATACTGCTACATCTTTACATGTAAAATAGGTTTTCTTTCCTTTTCATTTATTCCCTGTTTATATCCCTTTCTTTCTACCTACTAAAGCACAGGAGCTTGGAGAATAGAAGCTCTGATCTTAACTCCCCACCAACAAATTTGTTTTTCTTCACTGAAGTCGATTTCTTCTTTCAGCACATTAGTATTAACAGTCCCCATGACAATGCTACCAGGAGAAGATTTTGAGCAGGGTTAGGATGCTCATTTGATACTGCACTGTATCCAGAGTTATCAACATGTCAAGTTGACTTTCTGTTTCTGTAGCCTTGATCCTTCCTTTAGAAACAGGATAGATCCTTTATACTGACTTTAGTTACACTTGATTGAAAGACTAAGCAATATAATATTTTGAGTATTTCAGTATAGGAATCACAAAACAGAGTCTCCCTTTCTTAACTAGAACAGGGACACAGGTATTTATAATCACATAGAGGGACCATGGTGAATATTCCCTTTGTGTTCAAAAGTGAGGCTTTAAATAAGTGGCAGCTTATTCATTTCAGATGCATTTTATTGCAGTGGAGGAAGGAGGAGAAGCAAGTGAAGACAATGAAGGTAAGATGGTTAGGAAGCTTCAGATAGCGTTGTTTCTTTATACTTCAGGGGCAGAGGATGATGGAAGACGTAGGATCTGACGTTGGTTCTGCCCTTTGGAATTTGTACGTAGGCTTTAGCTTTTCCCAACAATAAGCACGGCAATCTGCAATTTCTTCACATCTGAGTGGCAGTGACTTCACTCATAGGTAGTATCAAATGGCCTGCAACCAGTGGCATTTGCTTATTCTGCCAAGGTATTATGCCAACACTGCCTGGAATCTATGCTCATTATGGTAAGCATAACTTAGACCAGTTGGTCACCAGTGAATGTGTAAGAACTCTAGAATCTCTGACACTGTCTGCTGTGAATACTCAATGATAGTTAAAAAGTTGCTACTGACAGGGTGGAAGCCTGCAGCCAGTCAATCAATGAGTAGTATTTTGGAGCCTTACTTAGCTAAACTTAACAAATATGTGAATAGCTGTGGTGAGTTTTTTGTTACACGTTAGGATTGAGGTTTGACTGCTCTCCTGTTTTCCCCAGAAGCCCAGGACAATGAAGTCACTGGTTATTTGCACATTTGCACCATTTCACTACTTATTAAAAGTAACAACTGAAATTTGTATTATTCCTTCTGTTCATAAGTTATTTTCCCATGTTATCTTATTTGAAACTCAAAACAATGTTAAGGAGAATAGAATTATTCTTGCAAATTTAGAGATGAGAGAAAACAAGCCTCAGGATGCTCCAGTGCTGTAACTAAAATCACAGAACCAGTAAGAGGCCAAGGGGAAACTTGGTGCCTGTCTTGTTGTTCTTAACCTGGAGTCAGGAATCTTTCAGAGTTTTGTGAGCCAGTGAAATCAGTAGGTTTCTGGGGTTAGGAGTTCCAGAACAAAGAGATCTTGGAGCTTGATGGAGAATGGGCTTCTTAGTATTGGTCATTGTTGAGATCAAATGCAGTAACAGTAGCAACAAATAGCTTTGCCATTCTGGGGAATCTTGTGCCTCAAGGAATTGCAAAACCCTTCAGCCCTAACCAGGCTTGGATAAAGTGTGTTCTTAGGTCTCATCTAGCAAATTCTATTTTATGCGGGGCACGGAAGCTTAAAATATTTATTTTTGCATATTTTACATAAGCAGGTAAAAGAAGATGAAAACAAGCACAATTGAAAGAATAATCAGTTTGTTACAAATTTTTTCCTATAATTCAAGCATAGAATTTCTTTTGTAAGTCAATCTTCTAAAAGAAATAGAAGTTTTAAAATAAAATAATATTTTAATATATGACAATTTAGGAGGAGGCAGAGCAAGATAGCCAGATAGAACCCTCCAGCGATCATCCCCCTGGAGGACATCAAATTGAACTATTCACCTAAGAAAGCACCTTCATAAGAATCTACATCATGGCCATTAAAAAAGCATTGGTTAAATAAATATCGATACTTCCACATTATGAATCAATACAGAGGTTTTTTGTCTGTTTGTTTTGTTTTATTTTGGCCTGCCTCTGCTGCTTAGGCTGGAGTGCAGTGGCACGATCTCGGATCACTGCAACCTCCACCTCCTAGGCTCAAGCCATCAAGTAGCTTAGACCACAGGCATGCACCACCGTGCCTGGCTGGGATCACAGGCATGTACCACCACACCTGGCTAATTTCTGAATTTTTTTTTTCTAGAGGCAGGATTTTGCCACATTGCCAAGGCTGGTCTTGAAATCTGCTCAGCTAAACCTCCTAAACTGCTGGGGCTACAGGTGTGAGGCACCATGCCTGGCCTCACTGCAGAGTTTTAAAACTTGATAGTGTTGAAAATATCTAATGAAACAGAAACACATATACAATTAATTTTTATGTTAAAAAGCAGCATATACAGCACTGTGTGTGTGTGTGTGTGTGAATGACACAGATAAATACAAAATCTTAGTAGTAGCTACCTCTGGTTCAGAGATATGCTGGTTGGATTTTCTGAGAGGTAGACAGTGTGATAAATTGAAGAGTGCGATAGGATTATTGGGGACTCAACAAATGGTGTTGGGCAAACTGAGTATCCACATGTAAAATAATGAAGTTAAATGTTTATCTTACATTATATACAAAAATTAACTCAAAATGGATCAAAGACCTAAATGAAAGACCTAAAACTATAAAACTCTTATAAGAAGAAACATAAGGGAAAAACTTGATGACACTGGTTTTGACGCCAATTTCTTGGTTAGAAAGCACAGGCAACAAAATAAATATAAATAAATTGGACTACATCAAAATTAAAAACTTTTGTGCATGAAAGTGTATAATCCACAGAGTAAAAAGGCAGCATATGGAATGGGAAAAATATTTGCAAATCATATGTATTAGTCTGTTCTCACACTGCTAATAAAGACATACCCAAGATTGGGTAATTTATAAAGGAAAGAGGTTTAATTGACTCACAGTTCTTCAGGGCTGGGGAGGCCACAGAAAACCTTACAATCATGGTGGAAGGAGAAGTAAACATGTTCTTCGAATGGCGGCAGCAAGGAGAAGTGCCAAGCAAAAGGAGAAAACCCCTTATAAAACCATCAGATCTTGTGAGAACTTACTCACTATCATGAGAACAGCATGGAGGTAACCACCCCCATGATTCAATTACCTCCCACTGGGTCCCTCCCACAACATATGGGGATTATGAGAACTACAATTCAAGATGATATTTGAGTGGGGACATAGCCAAATCATATCATTCCACCCTGGCCTCTCCCAAATCTCGTATCTTCACATTTCAAAACACAATCATGCTTTTTCAACAGTCCCCCAAAGTCTTAGCTCATTCCAGCATTAACTCAGAAGTCCAAGTCCAAAGTTTCATCTGAGACAAGGCAAGTCCCTTCTGCCTGTGGGCCTGTAAAATTAAAAGCAAGTTAGTTACTTCCTAGATACAATGAGGGTACATGCTTATGTTCCAAATGGGAGGAAGTGGCCAAAACGAAGGAGCTACAGGCCTCGTGCAAGTCCAAAATCCAATGGGTAGTCATTAAACCTTAAAGTTGAAAAATGATCTCCTTTGACTCCATGTCTCACATCCAGGGCATCCTGATACAAGAGGTGGGTTTCCAGGGCCTTGAGCTCCATTCCTGTGGCTTTGCAGGGTACAGCCCCCTCCCAGCTGCTTTCATGGGCTAGCTTTGAGTGTCTGTGGCTTTTCCAGGTGCACAGTGCAAGCTGTTGTTGGATCTACCATTCTGGGGTCCAGAGAATGATGGCCCTTTTCTCACAGCTCCACTAGGGAGTGCCCCAGTGGGGACTCTGTGTGAGGGCTCCAACCCCACATTTACCTTCCACATTGCCCTAGCTGAGGGTCTCCATAAGGGCTCTGCCTCTGCAGCAAACTTCTGCATGGACATCTGGGCCTTTTCATACATCCTCTGAAATCTAGGTATGGGTCCAAAACCTCAATTCTTGACTTCTGTGCACCTACAGGCTCAACACCACAAAGCTGCCAAGTCTTGAGGCTTGCACCCTTTGAAGCTATAGCCTGAGCTGTACCTTGGCCCCTTTTAGCCACAGCTGGAGCAGCTGGGATGCAGGGCACCAAGTCTGGAGGGTGCACACAGCAGGGGGGCCCTGGACCTGGCCCAGGAGACCATTTTTCCCTCCTAGACCTCTGGTCTGTGATAAGAGGGGCTGCTGCAAAGCTCTCTGACATGCCCTGTAGACATTTTCCCTGTTGTCTTGGTGGTTAGCATTTGGCTCCTCATTACTTATGCAAATTTCTGCAGCCAGTTTGAATTTTTCCTTAGAAAATGGGTTTTTCTTTTCTACTGCATCATCAGCCTGCAAAATTTTCAAACTTTTATGCTGTGCTTTCTCTTGAATACTGTGACACTTAGAAGCTTCCTCTTCCAGATATACTAAATCATCTCTCTCAAGTTCAAAGTTCCACAGATCTCTAGGGCAGGGGGAAAAATGCCTCCAGTCTCTTTGCATAGCAAGAGTGACCTTTACTGCAGTTCCCAACAAATTTCTCATCTTGATCTGAGACTACCTCAGCCTGGACATTGTTGTCCATATTACTATCAGCATTTTGGTCAAAGTCATTCAGCAAGCCTCTCAGAAGTTCCAAACTTTCCCACATTTTCCTATCCTCTCCTGAGCCCTCCAAACTGTTTTAGCCTCTGCCTGTTACCCAGTTCCCAAGTCACTTCCACATTTTCGGGTATCTTTACAGCAGCAGCCAATTCTACCAGTACCAGTCTACTGTATTAGTCTCTTCTCACACTGCTAATAAAGACATAATCGAGACTGGGTAATTTATAAAGGAAAGAGGTTCAACTGACTCACAGTTCCACAGGGCTGAGGAGGCCTCAGAAAACTTACAATCACGGTGGAAGGGGAAGCAAAAACATCCTTCTTCACAAGCAGCAGCAAGTAGTAGTGCCAAGAAAAAGGGAAAAAGCCCCTTATAAAACCATCAGATCACATGAGAACTCACTCACAATCATGAGAACAGCATGGAGGTAACCACCTCCATGATTCAGTGACTTCCTACTAGGTCCCTCCCATGACACGGGGGGATTATGGGAACCAAAACTCAAGATGAGATTTGAGTGGGAACACAGCCAAACCATATCATCATATATCTGGTAAGAGATAATATTGAGAATATTAAAATATTCTGAACTCCTACAAATTAACAACAACAACAATAAAACCCTTGAATAATAAATAGGCAAATAAATGGAATAGACATTTTTCCAAAGATGTTATACAAATGGCCAAAAAGCATATGAAAAGATACTCTACATCACTAATCATTAGAGAAATAAAAATCAAAACTATAAAGAAATACCACCTTACCCCCCACTAAGATGATTACTATGAAACAAAAAGAAAATAACAAGTGTTGACAAGGATGTAGAGAAATCAAAACCCTCATGCACTGTCGGTGGGAATGTAAAATGGTGCAGCTACTAGCTACTATCATAAACAGTATGGCAATTTCTCAAACAATCAAAAATTACTATATGATCCAACAATTCAATTTCTGAGTATGTTCAAAACAATTAAAATCAGGGTCTTGAAGAGATTTGCACACCCATTTTTACAGCAGCATTCTTTATAATAACCAAAAGGGGAAAGCAACAAAAGTGCCCATGGACAGATGAATAGATTTAAAAAATATGGTGTAGACACACGGTGGAACATTATTCAGCCTTAAAAAGAAAGGAAATTCTAACACATGCTACAACATGAATGGACCTTGAGGAGGTTATGCTAAGTGAAACAAGTTAGTCACAAAAAGACAAATGCTGTTTGATTCCACTTACATGATGTACATAGAGTAGTCAAATTCATAGAGACAGAAAGTAGAATAGTGGTTAACAGAGGCTGGCAGGATGGGAAATGGAGACTTGTTTAATGAATATAGAGTTTCAGTTTTGTGAAATGAAAAAGTTCTGGAGATTTGTGGCACAACAGTGAATAGACTTAACACTACCAAACTGTACACTTAAAAATGATTAAGATGGTAAGTTTTATATTAGGTGTATTTTTACCTCAATTTAAAAAAGAAAGATTATTGGGGAGTTATATCCATGAAAGGAAAGGGGAAGAAAGAGGAATTATCAGACTGTGATGCAGGCTTGACAGTCTCTACTAGGCCAGTGGGAACTCAGGAGCAAAGGTTATCTGCCAGAGGGGGCCGCAGCGGACGGACATGGCTAGGCCTTTGCATCACTTCCTTGACTTTGGCCTTGCATGCTTATTGGCTGGGGCTGTTCTGAAATGAGCAGGACCTCAGCTTGAACACTGAGGCAGTTGCTGAAGGAGAGAACAGGTGGAGGCCATCTGACAGTGACATTCCTCAAAGCTGGGCAGCACATTCTTCCTTGAAGGGGTCTGTCTGACACACCTCCGTATCTGCCACATGGGAATAGGGTGAGTTTTATTTTCCTTTAGTTTGTATTTCTGTGTATTCCACATTTCCAATAATGAATGAGTGGCTTTTTAACCACAAATGAAATAAAAGTTATTATTATAATATATAGCAACCAACAATCTTAACTATTGAACAGTTGGTTAGTTACTTATTAACTGTCTGTTTCAGAAAGTTATGTGCAGACCCCTTCCAAGTAAACACATTCCATCCCAATAAATCAAGGCGTTATTAATCCTCCCGTGCAATTGAAAGAAAATGATTCTTCTGCAGCATCAGTTGATATTTGTCATTTTGAAATATACATAGGCAGTGGACATCAATTTCAGCTATTGCCAATGTTAATTTTATCCTGTATCTCTACCAGAGTGTAAAAGACTGGATCCTTCCAACAATATTAGTCACAGTGTATAAACCTTGGAAAGCATTATTTTATCATCTTTTGGAAGAATGGAGTTCTCACAGCAGGCTTAAAGCAGTAGAGACTTCCAAAGGGGGTCATGGTGGAAAAAAGGAAGAGAGTCGACTATCATCCTCCAATAATGCCGGTAAAAAAACTTGTCAGATCCTCACACGAAAGGGACCTTCTAAGAACAAGATGCAAGTAGAATCATCAGAGTGACGGCTTTTCAAACTTTAAATTATTTATGGGTTATGTACTCGGATCCTGGGCAGGCTGGTGTCAAGAGAGCTTCATCCAGAAAAGAATAAAAATTTCCTGATTTTACTGATGGAAAGATGAACTGAGGGAGCAAGAAAATTATACAGAGAATTTTACAGACCCAAAGGCTGAGAGAAATGTAGGGCTGCTGGGTTTCCTACATCAATCTGGAATAACTGCACTGAGATGTTGGGAATTCATCCATGCAAAATTACTTGAGTAGAAAAATTATTTTCTACTACAAACCCACAAAATAGAGGATCAATAAACTGCCAGGAGATAGAAAACACTGAGTAATCACGTGTATCAAACTGAAGAGCTGTTGCTGCTGTATACTTCGGAGACTCTGCTGTATGTCTAATTAAGCAACTGAAATGATTTTTGGACTATAACATGTACTTTAAAAGTGGAATTTGAAGGGCAACTCTGTCTTTTCTAGGTTTAACCTGTGCAAGTATGAATCTTGAGTCACCAGTGGTGAGACTCAGCAAAATCTCTAGGTAATGATTCAACTGGGTTAGGACAAGGCTGAACCGATCACGGATTCGTTTAGCAAAACATGCAGAATCGTCAAGCTCTCTTAACCTTGTTGGGGATTTAGGAGGTATTTTTGTTTTTGTTTGTTTGTTCTCATCTTGTTTTTGTTTTGCATGCTACCACCTGCAGCTGTTAGAGCAGTGAATAGAACCAAAATTGGGGAGTTTAGCTTCTAGCGCAGGGTGTGCTGGTGGTAGATAAGCAATAAATAAAATGAATAAGTAAATTTGAATCAGTTGATATTTAGAGTGCAATTAGGTACCATGGATAAAAATCATGCTATGAAAGATGTATAGGGAAAAGGGAGGGAGGAGAAGGGAAATTTGAAGTCAGTAGAAGAGGGAAGGCCTTGATGTGAAGGGGACATTTGAACAAAGACTTGAAAAAGGCAGGAGCATGCGGTGTGAGTATCTTGGAAATGATTGCTGCAGGCAGAGGAAACAGCAAATGCAAAGGCCCTGCATCACTCAGAGCAGGAGATCGATGACACAATCAAATTGGATATTGTGAAGAGAGTTTTTAAAAGTGTTAATTATAAACCTGTGAGCAGGTTATAGGGAAATGACAAGGGGCAGTATAGTATTTAGGAGACGAAGACAGTGGGGTGCTATCATCATCACTAAGCCTGCCTGAGTGGCAGGAAAGTAGCTATTAGAATTTAGAGTAAGAGACAGCTGTGTTGAGAGTCTGCCCACCAGGAGCTGTGACCCTTAGGCCGAGGATGTGGCATCTGCATAAACACTGCAGGAAAGAAGCACTGGAGTAAAGACCCACTGACCCCACTCTTGTCCCTTCCTTACATCTTCATCTGAGCTCCCCATTGGACGAAACCGACCTGGAAGCAGAGGTCCGGGGAGAGAATTGAGATGGGTCATAGAGTTTATCCTTCCAGGGCATAAAACAGGCTTGAGAAGGGTGGAGAGTGTCTGTGCCTGGAAGGGCAAACAAAAGGCATCTGGCACAGCTCTAAGCTGAGATCATGGCTGATGTGAAGAGGAGTAGCAAGGCTGTCACTGTGATTATAGAGGAAGGATTGAGGAGGGGAATATCAGGAGATGAGTTCAGACAAATTGCAGAGTAGAGTTTCATGGGCATTGTCAGGCATTGAGAAGTCCTTAGCTATCACTGTGAGTCAAATAGAGAGCTGTGGAAGAGTTCTGTGTGAGGCGATGATGTGAGCAGACATCACTTAAAAGTATCTCCCTGGCTGCTGAGTTAAGAACAGACTGACGTGGGGCAAGGGTGGAATCATGAGACCAAGGAGGATGCTTTTGCCTAATTTGGGCGAGAGAGAGTGGTTTGAACAGATGGATGCAGTGGAGGTTGTAAGAATGGAGAGGTTTCTGAATACATTTTAAAAGTAGAGCCAATCAGATTTGCTGATAGATTGAATTGGAGGGAGGTGTGTGAGGGAAAGAGAGGAGTCAAGGAATCGAGGATGACTCTGAATTGGAAGCATGGAGTTGCCATGGATTGATTTGAGAACACTGCGGAAGGAGTGCAGTTATTGAGGAAAACTCAAACATTGGTTTTGGATATGTTGAGCTTGAGATGTCTCTTGGGATGTGAGGAATAGGCAGTTGGCTTTATGAGTCTTGACTTTAAAAGAGAGATTATAGTGAATTCTTATAATTTTATGATGCCTCGGCATCAATTTTGAGTGTAAGTTGGACCTTCATATGCCAACAACAGGGCTTTGTCACCTGTGACACAGTTTACAGTTCTCTGCCTTCTCCTAGTCTCTCACTGTCATCAATACAGCCACCTCCTGGTAACCACCTCCCTATGGGAGAGCTAGATACAACCTCCTTGACTCACCACACTATTTTCCTATTTATGAAACAGGGTGGATCTCTTTTTCCTCTGTCTTCTCAAACATACACTCTTTCAAAACCCTCTGTGGCCTAACCTTTCTCTGGCGATACAAGTCATGCTTGGTTTAACCCCCAAGCCCAGCATAGACAGTGTGGCTATGCCACAGTGATCACCTCTCAGTCACAGTGTACCTCCATGGAACTCATGCCTGCTTGCTCAAACCTATCAATTAGAAATCCCCTTGGTAAACCTGCTTGGGGAATGCCCTGGACTTCGGTAAAGGCATTGGCTCACAGGTCCTTTTCTCTCTCTCTCTTGCCGCCCACTCACTGGTTGAGTGTGTATGTCCTGGATGACTACCCCCTTCCCATTGGCCCTGAGAGGCATGCTGCCCTCTTCATTCTGGGATCTGTAATTAATAAACTGTTTCTGCATTTCATGAGTTTTGTTGTGTTGCATCCTCTGTGTCTCACCTAACTAACACACTTGAATCTAACTTCTTTCCTAGTCAGGGGTCTCTTAGAGAGCAGTGATCTTAGTAGGAATAAACTGATATAGGTCAGACAAAAGCCACAAGGGCATCTTGCAGTATAAACAGGTTTCCTGTGAAAGAGACACCTGGTAGCAAGTCAGACACTCAGGCATTAGGTCATCCACTGGGATAAAGAAGTATCACGGGTGTGGTGGCTCATGCCTGCAATCCCAGCACTTTTGGAGGCCAAAACGAGTGGATCACCTGATGTCAGGAGTTCGACACCAGCCTGGCCAACATGGCAAAGCCCCATCTCTACCAAAAATACAAAAATTAGCTGGGTGTGGTGGCGGGTGCCTGTAGTCCCAGCTACTCAGGAGGCTGAGGCAGGAGAATGGCTTGAACTTGGGAGGTTGAGGTTGCAGTGAGCTGACATCACAGCACTGCACTGCAGCCCAGGCAACTAAGACCCCGTCCCAAAAAACAAAACAAAACAAATGAAACAACAACAACAACAACAACAACAAAGGAAGTATCAAGTGAAAGGCACATTGTAAACATCCACGACCCCCTTCCCTGGAGCCCTGTGAGGGCAGGGCTAGAATTTATAGACACACTCCAGAGAGAGAGAGAGAGAGAGAGAGAGAGAGAGAGAGAGAGAGAGACCTCAAGAGCAAATCAGAGGAAATCACAACAACGTCTTCCTGGGAGATACAAATTTTGTACATGTCAGTGTATAGATGATATTTATCATTTATAATCTTTGGATGAGATGAGACCCCTGAGCGAAACAACGTCTTCCTGGGAGATACAAATTTTGTACATGTCAGTGTATAGATGATATTTATCATTTATAATCTTTGGATGAGATGAGACCCCTGAGCGAAAGAGTTTGGAAAGGAAATAGAAGAGGATCAAGGACTAAAGCCTGGAGACTCCAACTCTAAGGAGGAATCAAGAAAGAACCACTAAGAAGGAGCTGCCCGTATAGGAGGGAGGAAACATTAAAGAGAAGAGAAGGTGGCTTCCTGGAAACGACATGGCAAAAGTATTTCTAGGAGAAGAGAGTGATCAACAGTGACAACTGCTGCTGATCGGCCAAGTACAATAAGGACTGAGGCTTATCCATTGGATTTGGCAGCATGAGGTCATCAGTGTCCTTGACACATCCAAACTTCATAGATTAATGGGGGCAAACCTGATTAAAGCAGGTTTAATGAGAATGGTAATGGAAAGATATGCATTGGAAATAATTAGTGTAGATTTCTTTTAAGAGCATTTTGCTAGAAAAGTGAGCAGAGAAATAGGGCAGTAACTGGAGAGAGAAGTGGAGTCAAGGGATTTTCTATTTTCTTTTTTAACAGGAGCTAGAACATGTTTTAGGAAACTGGAAATGATCTAGTAGAGAAAAAAGACTGAGAATTCAAGAGAGAGAAAAAAGAATTGCTGCAGTAATGTCTTTGAGGAGGCCAAAGGGAGATGGATCCTAGTGTTCAAATCAAGGGGCTGGCCTTAGATAGAAGTAGGTCCATTCATTCATAGCAGTGGACTTTAAACTTTCACATTGAAATCATCTAGAGAGGTTTAAAATTTCTTTAGCATGCATCAGACTCACTCAGAGGACTTATTAAAATGCAAAGTGGGTGTGGTGTCTCACACCTGTAATCCTATCACTTTGGGAGGCCAAGGCTGGTGGATCACTTCAGCTCAGGAGTTCTAGACCAGCCTGGGCAACATGGTGGAATCTTGTCTCTACAAAAAGTGCAAAAATTAGCCAGGTGTGGTGGTGCATGCCTGTAGTCACAGCTACTCGAGATGTCAAGGTAGGAGAATCACTTGAACTCAGGAGGCGGAGGTTGCAGTGAGCTGAGATCACACCACCACACTCCAACCTAGATGGCAGAGTGAGACCCTGTCTCAAAAACTAATAAAACACAAAGTGCTGGGACTCACCTCCAGAGTTTTTGATTCAATAGGTCTGGGTGGATCTGAGAATTTGCATTTCCAACATCCCAAGTGATGCTGTTGCTGATGGCCTGGAGACCACACTTTATGGATCATGGAAATACGGTAATAGAAGGAAAATAATAGTGTATGGGGCCATGCTGGCAAGTGAGACAATGTAGTGGTGGTGGGAACTTGAGAAAGTTTCCTTCTGATTGTTTAAATATTCTCAGTAAAGTTTTTTTTTTTTTTTAAAGGTAGTTAATGGGGAGAGAGAGAGGGTGGGAGGGTTGAAGATTTGAGAAGAGAAGAGAGGTATCTTATAATCATGTAGTAAATGAGAATGTGAGTGGACTAGGAAAATGTAACATAATTTTTGGGCCCATTGGAAGTTGGAAGTCATGAATTGACGGTAAGAGCAACCAGCACTTTTGTGCATTTTCCTCTAGCAGTATTTAGTTGCAGAGATGGAAGTGTAGTGACGGTGGAGAGATGAATTTGACCAGGGTTCAAATGCTATGAAGTGAGACAAGCAAGGGATTGAGAGTGTTTACCAGGGAGGATTTATAATGACTGAAATGGAATTTAGGTTTTGATGAAGACCAAAAGGAAGAGTTTAGAACAGTGAGGGACAGTAAATGGGGTTAAGTTAATAGAATGAAGTTTTTTTAGAGCCAAAAGATTGCTGTATGTTAGATAATTGAATCCTTGAAACTGAAATTTAGGAGAAGTTGCTTTTATTTATCATGTCAAGGTCCAGTTTGTGACCGTGGGAGTTTGTGGTTGAGGAAGGGTTGAGATCAAGATTATGGACAAGAGGAGTTTAATGAGCCGAGAGTCCAGGGACTTTGAAAAAATCATTTATATGGGTATTGACGTTACTAAGATTCAAGATTAGAAGCAGTTTGTGGAGAGTGGCAGTAAGCTGGATGCTAAGGTTTTTGAGAAACAAAGGCTTCAAAGCTGGAGCTTTCAGGAAATATGGAAGAAGAATGGTCTGGAAGTGGCAATGAGAAGCACGGAGGGAACTTCCGAATCTCCCATCCAGGGTCTGGGGATTGTGGGAGAAAACAACCACTGCTTGAGAGGGTTTCAGGGGCATCACACCCCTAGGGAGACCCAGGTTTCACTTAGAGGAAGAAGGCCAATAAAGCCCCTAAGGACACGTTTAGGTGGTTGGGTGTGCTAGAGATGTCTGACCTGAATTCCAGAGGGCACAATATAAATTTCGGGAGTGGAGGATGACCCAGGGACTGGGGCAGACACAGGGATACAGAGTTGTGGGGACTAGAGTAGATAACTGGTCACCTGGGAGTTGGAATTTCTTAGAACAACTGATTTAAGTAGTGGGAAGAACCATAATTTGATGAATCCTGGTGGCCTCACAAAAGAGTGATGTTGAGTCTGAATGTTGAGAGGTAATGAGAAGGGGGGCTTGGGACACCCCCTCAGTACGTCTGAGTGAGATGTAGAGGCTAGGAAAGGGTGATCTTACGCTGAAGATATGAGATTCTCTCAAGTCTCCTGAAGATAGAATCTTGGATATATGGAGAAGGGATGTTTAATCTGGGGTGCATAGCATAAATTATTTTAATTAGAGGAAATAATCTTGTAAGTGTTGCCAGTATCAGAGAAGAGAAACTCAATTACATGGAGAATGGATACGGTATCTTGGAGAAGGCTTGCTCTTTATTCTGGTATATAAAACATAAAGAAGATGAAATACAAATGTAGAGGAATTATCATTGTCTACCTATCTCTTAATTAGTTAATTCAGTTTCATTCTTCTGGCTTTTACAGAATGTCTTTTAAAGGTGTTTCTTGTCCAAATTGCACTACACTTTGTGAACATGACCATTGAGATTTCTTGGCAGAACCTTGATCTGTAGATAACCTCAGATATTTTATTTAAATGTTATTTTATTTATTTCTATAAGCCTTAATTTCTCTGGATTTGGTAGCATAAAATTGAATCCAACTAATATTTATTGTTTCTGGTGTGGGCAGTAATTAGTTATGTCCTCTGGGAGAGGAAGAAGAACTCTAAGATGCTTAGTAGCTTAACTGAAACTAAATTTTGCTTTGCATTTCTTAATATTTTTTCTTGATGAACATTTCCAGGGAGTATCAAAAGTACATCCTGAGGTCAAATTTTTTATGGCCATTATTAAAATTAAAATTTATAATTTAAGAAAAAGCCTGTACATTTGGAAAGCCCCACCTATGCACATTACATTGGTTATAGGGCAGAACTAATTTTGTAGCTGTAACTAGAAAATATAGAATATATAAACATCTTTATTTTCCATCTACCGCCACATAACTCTCCTGGAAAAATGGTTTTATACTTACTACCTACATTACCATGATCTGCTACTTTCTGTTGCACCTACTCTATGTGGGTACTGTCCCAAGCTATACTCTACATGGAGATCACTAGTGCCCTAGGTTGTCCATTTTTAGTTTCTATCTCAATCTCCACATGAACACTGTTTAGTCCTCATCTTGTCCTGTCACTATGTTTGAGTCTGTTGATAACTTTTACCATGTTGAAATATTTTCTCCTGTTGCATTCTTGCACCCCACATTCCCCAGGTTTTCCTGCTTCTCCACTGCCATTTGTTATTGGACCATTTTGCTGCTACTTCTCCTCTTTCAGATCCATAAAAATGTTGTTAAAGACCCAGGCCTCAGTCTTTGGTCCTCCTGTCTTCTAATCCACACTCATAGTTTGAGTGCTCTCATCCAGTCCTGTGGCTCTACAAATTATTACGGTGGTGTTTCCCAAATTTTTATTTCTAGTCTCAAGCTCTCCCTGAACTCTAGACTCACATATTTAACTATTTGACATCTCCATTGAGATGCCTAGTGGGCATCTCAAACTTACTATGTTTCTAAACTAAATGCTGGTTTCTTCTTCTCTTCAATTTTCCATATTTTAATAAATGAAACCACCACTTATCAGAGTGCTCAGGCTCAACCTTGATGGTATTTTTCTTTTATACCCAAGACACATTCATAAATCCTTTGGCTCTGCTTCTGAAATACACCCAAACTCCAACCACTTTCAAGCAGTGCCTCAACATTATCACCCTTGCCAAAACCATCGCCTTGACTGCCACCAAAAGCCTTATGATTTATCTTCTACTCTTGTTCCCCTAGATCTAATTTACATACAGAAAACAAAGTGACCTTTTAGATATGTCAATCAGATTATGTCTCTTTTTATCTTAGAACACTACAGAAGACTTTCCATCCCATTAACTATAAAATACAAAGACAAGAACTTACATTTCCATCTTGTTTTCTATAATGTTACCACTTTTCCATGCACCCCAGACACACTGGTCTCCTCTCTGTTCCTTGAACATACTGAGTATGTTTTTACCTGGGTCTTTGCCCTTGCTATGCCCTTTGGCTGTAATGCTTTCTCCCAACATATACACAGGCTTCCTTCATAATTCCATTCAGGTGTCTGTGCACATGTCGTCTACTTAGGACTTCCTGGACCATCTTATTTAGATAGCAAATCCCCATCCTTCATTACTTGCTACCTTTCTACCGTGCTTTCTCATTCTTCTTCCCTGGCTTGCATTATACTTTCTATTTATCTGTTTTTTTTTGTTTCTCCCAATGGAATGTAAGCTTCCTGGTATCAGGGTCTTTATTTTATTTCTCTGCTGTGTCTGGGACACCTAGACCACCTAGAACCCACGACAAATTAAGTTATTGTCAGTGAGGTGAGTCAAAGTTGCATCTACTTCCAGAAAGAGTTTTGATAGTGGTAGTGGTAAGTATTTGGCAGTTGGCCTGAAGTTGTTATTTTGTTCTAAGAATTGTTGCAGACTAAATGAATATTTCTGATAAGGAAATGGAAAGGAAAATTTGAATACTCTTATATTTTCATGTTTTCAATCTTATGGTGGTGAGTCAGGCTTGTAACAAATGCTCAACACATTTTATTTAATAAATGAATTAAAAGAATGAATACAAGTATGCATATATATATATGATATACGCTGAGATCACATCACAAATTATTATATCTCCAGACAATTTCTTTTTTTGCAGGGACTATGCCATAGTGTCAGAAGTCCTGTTTTATGAGGCAAATAAAATACATTTCACTTTGCATTATTTGACTGTTACAGAGACATAACATTCTATCTCTATGGCTTCACTCTGTTTAAAAGCAAGAAACTTTTTATAACTGAAAGAAAAAAAACAAGTGCACTTTAATTAACCAAAGACATAACCTCTTACAAATATACTAAAATGTAATTTGAGAACCATTTAAGTCAAAAATCATCTGCATTTTTCAAACTTTCACACACCACCACATGACAGGAATTTTTTGAAAAACTACTTATCCATAATAAAGATTGCTCCAAATATAAGCAATACAATTTATTCAATTTTACAGTATTGCATTTTTTCATTCTCATATTTTCATCCTACTAAGAAATTAGGGTTTGACATTTTTGGACGTGAAACTCTATCCTCCTTTTCTGTGGTGATTATGTTAAGTTCTTCTCCCTCTCTGCATTTCACAGAGCATACAGGAGTGTGGTCAGAGAAGGGGCTTGGAAAGAGCATATGTCAAGTTGTCAGAAAATGTGGTTTTCAGTTTCCATTTTGGCATCTTAGCCATGTGACCTCGAGACAGGCACCTAACCTCTGTATGTCTCTAACAAGAGGGTATCAACAGTTGGTCTTTGAGATGCCTTTTGCCGTGCAAGTCCCTGGATTTATGGAGGTCTCCTCCGTTCATTCGAGGGTGGGAGTTCCTCTTCAACATTGCACTGATCAAATCAAAGTAAAGTGATTTAAAATCATGTAGAATCCTAGACTTGACTTCTCTTTTCATTACCTCATTATATTACTTAACTGTATTCCTATCCTTGCATTAAAAAAATTAGTTCTTATCAGGAAATCACTCAATTTATGTAAGATATAAGTAGCATTCAACAAGAGTTGGTTAATTTAATAAATGAAGATGAATGGAAGAAATGATGTCGTTTGTCTGAATTTAATATGCTGGACTTAATATAGTTAAGAAGAGTGTAGGACAAAACAGGTTTTATTCTTATAGCATGCTATTGTAGAGAGAGAGCATTTTAAGCTCTATTTGATAATAATATGCATTTACATGATAAAATTTTTATTCAAAATCAATTTTATTGAAGTATAATTTATGTAAAATATAATGCACACATTTGAAGTGTACAGTTCTATGAGTTGTGACAAATGCGTAACCATATGTTATGCGTTGAATTGTGTCCCCTCCAAAAAAATGATGTATTGAATTCCTAACCCCCAGTACCTCAGAATGTAACCTTACTTGAAGATAAGTTCTTTACCGAGATAATCAAGTTAAAATGAGGCCATTAGGGTGGGCCCTGATCCCATATGACTGATGTCTTTCTGAAAAGGGGAAATTTGGAGATGGAAACTTGCACTCAGGGATAACACCATGTAAAGACTGGACTTATGCTTCCATAAGCCAAGCAACTACTGGAAGCTAGGAGAAAGGCCTGGATTGGATTCTTTTTTAGCACCGTCAGAGGGAGCATGGCTCTGCCAACACCTCAGTCTCAGGCTTTTGGCCTCTAGAACTATGACACAATACATTCCTACTGTTTAAGCCACTTGGTTTGTGGTACTTTGCTATGGCAGCACTAGGAAATGGACATACCATGTAACTACCACTCTCTAAATAAGATATAAAATATTTCCATCACCCAGAAAGCCCATCTCCACCCCCTACTCCAGGCAATTACTGATCTGATTTCTATCACTATAGATTAGTTCTGACTGTCGTAAAATTTTATATGGATAGGATCTTGCAGTGTGTTCTCTTTTGTGCCTGGTTTCCTTCATTCAGCATACTAGGTTTTGAAATTTATCCATGTTGTTGAGTGTGTCGATAGTTCATTCATTTTTATTGTCAAAATAGTATTCTCTACTTTCCCCAAGTTGTTGCAGCTCAATTGATTCTAAGTGGGTGGGTCTATTTCTGGATTGTCTATGCTGTTCCCCAACTATTTTGAAACACTATTTTATTCTGTTATTCTAAAAATAACATGAGAATAAATAAATAGTATGCTATCCAAATAAATTATAACTGAAACTGAACTCCAATCCTAAAAGAGATGGTTTGACCCAGCAAGTCAGTAAATCACAACAAATTAATGTCAGCACATCAAGGAGGCCATTTGAAGGTATCGTTTTGCCTATTTAATGAGATCTAAATATTTGAAAATGTTGACATATGCTCCAGTTCTGTGAAGCTCCTTCGTTTTGTTTTATCTTCTCTCATTCCTGTGCTTTACCAAAATCCCTCATGCCCAGGTGCTGAAAGTGACACATTAGGTATTTATTATACAATGTGGAGCTTATCCTTAGCTTTCCTCCCACTTCCATGCAGATAATGACTCTTTTTTTTTTTTGAGACGGAGTCTTGCACTGTTGCCCAGGCTGGAGTGCAGGGGCGCGATCTTGGCTCATTGCAAGCTCCGCCTCCCGGGTTCACGCCATTCTCCTGCCTCAGCCTCCCCAGTAGCTGGGACTACAGGCGCCCGCCATCATGGCCGGCTAATTTTTTGTACTTTTTTAGTAGAGACGGGGTTTCACTGTGTTAGCCAGGATGGTCTCGATCTCCTGACCTCGTGATCCACCCACCTCAGCCTCCCAAAGTGCTGGGATTACAGGCGTGAGCCACCGCGCCCGGCCAATAATGACTCTTATACCCAAAAGTTGCTGTAAAAATTTTTTTAACAGGTGGCACAAGACCTTGGCATTACTTAAATCATTAATTTTATGTTCTCTAACATACTGTGCTCATTATAATCATGTAATTCTAAAACTTATTCCCTGTATATATGTACACGTGTGACTTTTTCTGTGCTCTTTCAAATCATTTGGGATGTTTTTGCCCTGTTGTCTAGAGGGCCTTACATGGATTTACATTTCTTCTATAAAGAATTCATAACAGTCCCAGTTGACAGTGACTATTCACTTGGTCTACTGCACCAAGCACTGTAAAGAACACATAATGGGCCCACTCTGAATGTTTGTTGAAAGAGTAAAAGAAATCAGCAACCACAGCAGTGTGCTATAATTTAGATTTGGTAATGTTTTTCTTCCTAACTCTAAGTTCTGCAAGAACAATGGTTTTATTATCTACAGCAGAAAGACCTTTTACATGAAAAGCTAATCTTTAGGATGCAAAAGATAGGATCATTCTAATTTTTTTTTTTTTTTTTGAGATGGAGTCTTGCTCTGTCACCCAGGCTGGAGTGCAGTGGCGTAATCTTGGCTCACCTCTGCCTCCCAGGTTCAAGTAATTCTACTGCCTCAGCCTCCCGAGTAGCTGGGATTACAGCCATGCGCCATCACTCCCAGCTAATTTTTGTATTTTTAGTAGAGACAGAGTTCCACCAAGTCAGCCAGGCTGGTCTCGAACTCCTGACCTCAAGTGATCCGCCTGCCTCAGTCTCCTGAAGTGTTGGGATTACAGGCATGAGCCACGGCGCCCGGCCAATGTTTTTTTAATGGGCTTCCATTTAAGAAAATCTCACCTGGCGAAAGTTACAAATAGTCCACTCTGATTCAAGAGGAGGATGCATGGTGAAAAGTGTTAAGATGTTGTCTCCTGTCTCCTGGAGGTGTGATCTAGGGTCAGTGTCTGTAGATGTGGTGTTAGTCTGTAAACAACAGAGGACAGTTAGAGGGCTTTAAACAGAGACAGCTGATTGGAGTTGGAAGCTGGACTGGATGAATGCAGGACTGAAAGAAGGAACCAGTTAAAAGAATATTGTAAGAGTTTTGCGTATTTTTATCTAGAAGAGGGAATTGAGAATAAAAGAGAGAGAGGCCAGAATGAAAATATATCTAAAGATAAGTTTAGTGAGCAGTTGGTTGTAGGGGATGGGGGAGAGAGGATTCCAAGACAATTTAGAATTTCAAATCATATTCTTGCTAGTATTCCCAGTTCTTCTCCATCTCACTTTCCTCTGTCCCCTTTCCTTTTCGTAAGTGTAAAGAAAGCCATAAGGCCAGAACAGTGACTTCAGGATTTGTCTCCATTAGAAGGAGACTTCGACAAATAATAGACACTGTAACTGTATTATGCAGACATTTAAAATAAGGTATATTTATAATGTTTCAGTGTAGAATCAAGTGAGTTTAAATTCTATACACAAGGTCAAGTAGACTTACTGGTGGAAAATCAGGTAAATATCACAATTTTGGAGGAAGGATAAAGTAAAATGTACAGTGTGAGAGGGATATGAAGAGGAACAAAGGGAAAAGGCTGTTGTAATGTCTTAGTGGATTGAGCCAGTTATGCTAATCTTCTGCTGATGATTAGTATGCAGACAATATTTAACAATTGCTCTTAATAAGCAGCATTTCTTTCTTTTTAAATTTTTATTATTTATTTATTTATTTTTTGTGAGATGGAGTCTCGCTCTGCTGCCCAGGCTGGAGTGCTACGGAGTGATCTCAGCTCACTGCAACCTCTGCCTTCCGGGTTCAAGCAATTCTCCTGCCTCAGCCTCCTGAGTAGCTGGGATTACAGGCATGCTCAACCACGTCCGGCTAATTTTTGTATTTTTAGTAGAGATGGGGTTTCACCATGTTGGCCAGGTTTGTCTCGATCTCCTGACCTAGTTAGTGGTCCACTCACCTTGGCCTCCCAAATGCTGGGATTACAGGCGTGAGCCACCACACCCAGCCAATAAGCAGCATTTCTGATGAGCTTGATGGTCCAAATATTTTTTGGCTTCTCTGTACTTTGTCATATTTTACTAGGATTGAAAAAGATGTTCAATCTGGAAGTAGCATATTTCTGTAGGTTTAGGTAGAGAAATAAGGAAAAAATGAAATTAAATAAAAAAGCTTTCTCCTATTATCCTTATGTAGTCATAATGGTAGTGTACATTTCTAGCACTTTATACTCCTCACATTTTACTTTTTTATTTTATATTTGTGATAAGACTGAAAGGCAACATTATTACCCTCATTTGCAGATAAAAAAATTAAGCCTGAACATTTACATAATGTCTAAGATTTTATAATTTATGAGTGGCTTATCTGTATCTTGACTTTTGGTTTTTTAACTCTTTGTTCAATCTTATTCCAGTGTGTGTGTGTGTGTGTGTATGTGTTTGTGTTTCGGGGAGGGCGAGGTGGTGGGGATCATTGGAGGATTTATAGAAATAGCATCCTTTGCTAAGCCAGTTGCCTCTCCTGTACTCCATCTTACACATCTGGAATTTAATGGCAGCAGTGAGCATTATTATTGAAAGTGAGTTTAGCCAAATTTGATAACCCTCAGACCCTGCAGAAATTTTTAGTAGGTTCCTCCATTGTTCCTTATTGGACAAGTCTTGGATGTGTATGAGTTTACTACTTAAATGTCTGGTTGGTCTCTGGGGTAATTTCACATACCTCATTCTTCTGGCACTTGGCAGTGAAATGCTGGAACAAGAACTTAGCAATGTGTGCCTTTTGTCAGAATTTTTAAGAATGAGGTCATAATGGAAAAGCAAACCCACTAGTTCCCCTTTCCATGGTTTCCTGCCTCAGCACTGGTGCATCAACTTCATGACACCTGTTTAGGTCCCAGTGTGACTGTGTCTTGTCCAGACAGAGCTCAGCTTTTGCCCTCACTCAGCAGACTGCCACCCTGACATGGATGGTTCCCTTTGTCTCTCCCTTCTGCTCTGCTGTCCTGTTCCACAGGAGGTGCCAATCCTGTCTCTTCAGCAGTTTCTAGCTCCAGCAGCTCTTAGCTGTTTGCCCCATGACTGCTCTCCTCTTTGTTGCTGCTACTTAATTTGCCTCTCTTCCTGTCCTCTGTTCTACTCCAAACTTCCCAATCTGCATGACATTCGCTATCCAGCATGTGGTGAGCATGGGTCTTTATGCTCTTTTTAATTTAAGAATTGCCCAATTTTGGAAACACTTGAATCCTATCCTCTGATACTGCCCTTGGGGAAACAGCCACTGGACAATACTTGCTATCAGACTTTTCCTCTCCTCCCCACATTTGACTATCCCTTTTGTGAGGTCCATGTCCATGTCTTGGCTTAGAATGAGGATCTTACTTTCCTAAAGGCTGCAGCATGGCTACTTTTAACCTTCTGCCAGGAAAGGAGGATCTTAGCTCCTCATAGAGCTTGTGTTTATTATTCCCGGTGCTTGGCACTAAGGATTGCAGAGCTCCAATAGAAAGTGTGAATTCAATTCAAACAATATTCTTGGTTTATCTATTGACTGACAGCTGTCAGGAGATCCAATCCTTACCCCATAGCCTCTGAAGACATCATGTGAGGCTGAAGATCCTGGTTTATTCTGTGAGTGCTTTTTTCGTGTTAAAATTATATAGTCCATGTATGTTAAAAAAGATTGCGTGAAATTCTACTTTGGTCATTAAGTATTTGAAGATAGTCAGAAGTGTTAGCAATCTCATTCTCTTTCTGACTTAATCCTTTCTCTAGCCACACTGTGGCACAGCTGATACCAATGTGAGGAGAGAAACCGAGCTACTGCATTAGCACCACTTGTTCCACAACAGGTTTCAATAATAAATCAAAGCTAAGGGAATCGAAGATGAGAAATGCCATGTTTAGGATGATAGGGTCATATCCCAATGTTAGTGAGCATGGCCATAGTTTGGGCTGGAACTTCATACCTCGTGCTGGAACCTCCAATAACAAGCTAGTGGGAGAATTGGGAAGCCAAGATTGAGAGGAACCAGGGATGGTGGCGAGGGTGGCTGTTAGCACAAATTATGGTGCTCAGAGGTATTTGGCCATCTCAGCATGATCTAGGCTGGCCTAGATTCCCCGTCAGGAGTGGGTGGAGGGTTTGCAACAGGGAGAGAGAGCCCAGCCTGAGGGATGTTTCATAGAAGTTGAGAGAGTAGTAGAACTCACTATCAGGTGGGAAGCTCAACTGGTTCAAAGGGAATTTTGACCCTCATCAAGGAATACAAACATAGGTTACAACCCCCATCTGAGAATAGGGGAAATGTTTGTCAAGTTGTCAAGGCCATTGTTAAGAGGTCAGAGGGTTATAGCAGGATTTCAGGCCCAGTATAGGAATAAATTCTCAGTGAGGAAGCAGCTGGCCAAGGCTCTCCAGGCCCATTAGAAGGCAGCTGTTACAGTTCCTTATAGAAAGTCTATCTTGGTTGAAATTGAATCAGTAACTGGGTGGAACTGAATTTTTTCATTGAAGGAACTAATAACTGCAGGAGAAGGAGATATGAAAGGAGTGACTGGTATAATATTGTGGTGGGAAGGGTGATCAGCTCCCTTGGTTTGAGTGGACTGAGGGGGTTCCTGGGACAAAGGACTTAGAATTTTAAAACTGGGACAGTCCTGGGCAAACCACAATATGATGGTCAGCCTGTGAGGAAAGGTATTTGATAGTCTTGGTCAAATGGCTGGGCAAGTGTTGCTTAAGGTTAAAGAAGAAAAACAAACAAAAACTGTTCATGTTGGTAAAAATGTGAAATGTAGAGTTGGTAGTAATCTGAGTGGGAAATGAATATTCACTTCCTACTGTACAGATACATATTCAATTATAGAATCTTAAAATTTCTGAATTGAGAAGAAAGTTGGATATTATTTAATCTCTCATTGTGTGAATGATAAGGTTGAGAGTCAGGGAGATTCAATAAATACTGAAGTTGGATTAGCTAATTACAGGCATACATTTTCTGACTCCAAATTCTTTGCTTGCCCTCATGGATTTTTTTGTGTAACACCTGAAGATTCTTCCTCATTCCTCTTACCACGCATAGGCTAGTTTTTTTTTTTTTTTTTTTTTTTTTTTTTATACTTTAAGTTCTAAGGTACATGTGCACAACGTGCAGGTTTGTTACATATGTATACATGTGCCATGTTGGTATGCTGCACCCATTAACTGGTCATTTACATTAGGTATTTCTCTTAATGCTATCCCTCCCCCCACCTCATGACAGGCCCTGGTGTGTGATATTCCCTGCCCTGTGTCCAAGTGTTCTCATTGTTCAATTCCCACCTATGAGTGGGAATATCTGGTGTTTGGTTTTCTGACCTTGCGATAGTTTGCTCAGAATGATGGTTTCCAGCTTCATCCATGTCCTACAAAGGATATTAACTCATCCTTTTTTATGGCTGCATAGTATACATGGTGTATATGTGCCACATTTTCTTAATCCGATCTATCATTGATGGACATTTGGGTTGGTTCCAAGTCTTTGCTATTGTGAATAGTGCCTCAATAAACATACAAGTGGATGTGTCTTTATAGTAGCATAATTTATAATCTTTGGATATATACCCAGTAATGGGATCGCTGGGTCAAATGGTATTTCTAGTTCTAGATCCTTGAGGAATCACCACAGTGTCTTCCACAATGGTTGAACTAGTTTACACTCACACCAACAGTGTAAAAGTGTTCCTATTTATATATTATTAGTTCTTTTCTCAGAGTCAGTAAGCCTTCTTCAAAGATTATAGTAAAATCTACAATAGAACTATAAGGATAGCAAATGGTAATGCTTCTACAACTATTACTGTTACTATTACCAGTAATAACATTGTCAAAATCTTGCCAATGTACCATAATGTAGCAGTCTCTCGTTGTGAGGTATCACTTGGAGTTCTTTGTCTCAAAACCAAGAGAATTAAGGAGCGTGGACACAAAGGGTGAGGCTGAGGTGAATGTTTTTTATTTTTATTTTTTGAGACAGAGTCGCACTCTGTCACCCGGGCTGGAGTGCAGTGGTGTGATCTCAGCTCACTGCAACCTCTGCCTTCCGGGTTCAAGTGATTCTCCTGCCTCAGCCTCCCAAGTAGCTGGGACTATGGGACTAAAGGCATGTGTCACCATGCCGGGCTAATTTTTTTTTTTTTTTTGTATTTTTAGTAGAGACTGGTTTTCACCATGTTAGCCAGGATGGTCTTGATCTCCTGACCTTGTGATCTGCCTGCCTCGGCCTCCAAAAGTGCTGGGATTCCAGGCATGAGCACTGTGCCCAGCCAAAAGTTTAATAATTGTAAAAAGAAAGCTCTCTGCTATGGAGAGGGGAGCTGGAAGACGGTTGCCATTTTTACAGTTGAATACAAAGGCTTTTATAAGAAACCGATGAGGGCTGAGCAACTTATTTGCATAAGGCACAAATTTCTGGTAGCTCCACCCCATCCTCCTAGTGCATGTGTGTGTCCTTAGCTTGGGTTACTCCATATTGCTTTGTATCCCTCACAGCACATGTGTTAAGAGACAGAATTTTCCATTGCAGGCATGTCTGGGCAAGCCACCTGGGTAGCTTTTCTTATCTGTGCAGCTGTGGGCATGTCTTAGGCAAGGCCCCCTGTGCAAATTCCCTTATCTGTGCCAGAAGTCTGTTATTTTGTTTTAAAGAGTTCAACCGAGGACCCACCCTAACTGCCTGCCTGATCATTTTTCTCCTTTCTCCTCTCTCAGCATCACTGCCATTACCACCATTACTGTAGTATGAGGGGAATATCAGAAAATGTTTGTTTCATCCCCATTTCTGAGGCGGGTTGAAATAAAGAACACCATGAATTCAAGGAGTCTAGCAGTACTTCTTGGCTATTGGATCTCTCTTCATCATTTCTACTGTAAATCTTTGAGATGGATACTTAGCTCTGGAGTCAGTGAATTTACTCTTTCCTACATGTTGTCATTTTGATTACTGGCTGGGCTATAAATCATACTCAGACCATGCATCCCTGAAGTAGGAAAAGAAGTAAAATACTGCATAGTGACCAAACTTCAACCCCAAAAACTGTTACAAGAGAATTCCATATCTACAGAGTGAGTAAAAATGACAAATAAGTAAGTCTTTAAGCTTCAAAGTTTAAAGGAACAGATCAATTTCAAGTGGAGGGCTAGCTTGTCATTTCTCATTCTGTGTATTGTCAGGTCCATGATGTCTAGCATACCCAGAGTAGCTCCTTGGGGATTGTCTGCTGCTGAGAGTCACAAATAGAAGAAGGATGTTTCGAACAAGTCCATGAATAAGATGTATTCATGCTTTGAAGGTGCTTCTGGAGAGTACTAGAAAAAAAAAACCAATCCAGATTCTTCACTCTTTCAAATTAATGCTAGAAGACCATCCCTGAAATAGCTCCTTGGTATGTCATCTGGCCCCTTCAAGATTGGTTTGAGAATAATCTTGATCCGGACTACAAATTGAAAATATAAATTCATATTTTGGCTCTTGAACTTATACAATTACCAAGTGGCAGCTTACATAATTAAATGTTATCAGCAATGATTTTGGGAACGGGCTGATTTTTTTGCCCAACACAAGGCCTTGACTATTTTGGAATTGAATAAATATAATTTTTTGGAAAAAACTCCTATTGTTCCCAGGAGAGCAATGGATTTTTGGAATGGTGAAGAAGGGTGAGAGTTGTTACCAGGGGCCAGAAACTACATATCTGAGACTAAAAGTATATTCTCACCTGCTAGAATCAGGTCATAGGAAGGTAAATTAACATTTCAAAATTCAATGGTTTATTTCTAGGATTCCAGGGAATATTTTTGTCAACCACCCCTGAAGCTTACTTTAGTATGGCAGATCTTCAGGTAGTGCTAAAATGTCCCTCTACGAGCAGTAGATAATCCCTATGAGGAATTTTCTCTTTTTTAATTTGGATAATGTCACCTGGATCATGCTCTTATATAAGCACCAAATCAATGTTATATAAGTGGTAACAACCAAGAGTTTCAAGCTTCAATAAATATAAGGTTTATTAAATGCAAACTAAGTGAAGTTCATTGCTTTTGCTACTTAATAATTGCTTAGCCTAAAATAGTCACCATTTTTTTTTTCTGGTATAAAAGACCTTTCACATACTTGCTGAACACAATTAAAAATTAGCTTCATGAAAAACTCAAATTGAGATGGTTAATAAATCCATTATTGGGTACTGGGAGATTGCTTTTTCAGATGGAGTTAAGAGTTTTTCTCTATGATATATTGTTTTCAATAAAGAATCAGCTCCTACACTAACTATTCCAATATCCATTATGAATGAAAACATAATAAAACATATCTTGTCAGATTAAGAAGCTCCTGAATCAACCTTCGGAAGACAAAGTAGGGCTTCTGCATAAACTGGTTATATTACATAGGGTAATGCCAGCAGGCAATCTTAATTATGCTTTCTTCTAGCACGTGATGATATATCCTGCAAAATATTGTGGGCAAACACTTGTGAGAGGAACCAACAGTGCAATTTTTAGGGTAGGTGCATTGCATAGTGGTTCTTTGCTTTTCTGTTAGGCTTAAAAACACCTAGTTTTGTCATTTTCTTCAATTTAATCCAACTCATATTAGATTTTGTAATTTTATCAAGACTAAATTCCTATCTAATCAGTAAAACATAGAAAGTAAAAAAAAAAAAAAAACGTATCCTGTAGTTTGGTCTTGTGCAAATAAACCACCTTCTTTTTGTGGGCACAATGGAAGTTGAAAATCTTTATGTATTTTCTTGTACTGTCACACCATGTGAGTCAGGCAGATCAAATCCACCTTCTAGTCTCAGTTTTCCCATGTGTAAAATGGAAAAAATGCAGTTAATACTACTTTTAGAAGGATGCTGCAAAAAAAAGCAATAAAATTCTGTAATGTAATATAAAATATTACAGCCATGTTTTAAGTACAAAAAGATTCTTGAAAGTTTTCATTGTAAGTCTAGATTATGTGAGTAGAAAATTAAATTCACTAAGTGAACTGGTTATTTGAAATTTCATTGATTAGTCTTCCTATAAAAAAGACTTTCATATCTCATGCTTGCTTAAAACATAGCAGAGACCATCAGAAAATGAAGCCATTGTATTTAGAATAGAATTAATGTGAGGATACAGTTTCCACATTTTTCCCTTCAAGTTGTTCTGCATCTTGAATGAACACAGTTCTCCAATTAAACATGAGGCTGGAGATTGAGAAGAGACTTTCCCCTTAAGTTAGTAAGTTTCCAGTTCTTAGTCAAGTCCAAGCTCTGCACTTGGAGTTAATCATTTTGATTGGTGACCTAGTCTTGGCAGAGGTGTGTTTTGTCTTTTACCACAGATAGCTCAACTATCCTGACTCACAGAGAGCTTACTAGAATACATCATGTTATACCCTGTAGAATTCTAGAATACTGTAGTATTCATAATCCTGGTGCGCTTTTATCACCATGTTTTCAGGAAAAATTTTAGACTGTGATTAAATGAACATGCTAACCCAAAACAAAAGCAAAACAAAACCCCCACTGTGGCATATACATGTGAGTGAGGGGAATGGGAATCGACCCTTGTTTATTATTGACTGTTGTACCTAAAACTATACGCTAATTCCTATGAGTGAACAGAATATGGCATTGGTATCTCATGTAGTTACAAAGAGTTGATTTGATTCAAACTTGTTGATAGGCAGAATTATTGTTGTGGATTTGGTAATTAGACATAAATGGGAAGTCCTAAAGACCATGTTTACTTAAATCACAATGTGTATGCTCACTCTATGGTGAATGCAGAAGAGGACATTAGCAGGTGTGGGGGGCCGAATTTAAAATGGTCCTGATGACCTTTGCTGCTGGCCTCACTCCCATGATTGTGGTACTTTGTGTGGAAAAATGGAGATTATCAGGGTTGGCCTAATCTAATCATGGGTCATTGAAAACCAGAGATTTCTCTGGCCAGTTGCAAAAGGAAATATAAGAGGGATGTGAAGTGTAAGAAGGATTCAATATACTGTCTTTGAAGATGGAGGGGGCCAGGTGCAGAGACCAGAGAGCAACCTCTAAGAGCTGAGAGTGATCTCTGACAGCCAGCAAGGAAATGAGACCTCCACCCTGTGGCTGCCATAGAACTGGATTCCTTCAACCACCGGAACAGGTGGATACTCCTTCAGAGCCTCCAAATAAGAGTCAAGCATGGTCAACATCTTGATTTCAGCCTTGTGATATCTGAAGCAGAGAACCTAACTGAGCCCACCTGGACTTCTGATCTATTGTTCTGTGAGCTAATAAGTGGATTATAGTGGTAAGCTGTTAAATTTGTGATAATTTGTTACACAACATAAAAACTAATACAATGGGAGTAGATCCAATTCTTTAAATGGGCAATACTGTGTTGAACAAACGACTTGACAGAAAACTAGGACTTTAAGAAAATTTTAGAAAGTCATCATATTTCAGCTTTATGTCTCCTAGAAAAAAAATCAATTATTGGAATTTCCAGTCTGGACTGAATAGAGGCTTCTGAAAGTTTTGTGTCATTGCTTCAATAACAGCTCAGCAGGACTGACTTTGATTCCTGTTCATGGAATATACACGTGGAAGAATGAAAAATCTAGCAAGTTTTGGTGGCCCAGTTCTTCAAATTTTCCTATTCAGTCATCTTTAGAGACTGACATATGCTCTTCAGCTACCTCTTTGCTTGTAGGGGATTGTAACAACTGCTCTTATAAATTTCCTGTCTGTAAGTTGCTGAAATTCCACAAAAGGGAAAAAGAGATAAGCTCAAAATAAAAAATAATTCCAGGCAATACAAATCTTGCCAATAGCTGACTAATTGTGAGTTTTGTAGCCAAAATTCAGTATGGCACTAGAAGCAGATGGGGCTATTTTAAAAAGAGGCCTACCAAAATCAAGGAATTCTTCCTCTGAAGTGACCACAGAAATCTTCCTGGAATGTTCTTCTAGACCAAGCCTTCTGTGTAACATTTCACAGAAGAGCAAAATGCCTTTGTCTGTTAGTTTCGTAGTCTGATGTATGGCACACACTTTTCCACCACTTTTGAGCTATAATCAGTTTGAGGGCACCAGAAATAGCTTCTAACCAACAGTCTTATATTCCAACATTTTTGTCATATACTGTCTAAAATGTAACCAGATAACATGATGATTGCTTTCTGAAATACTAATACTATTTCCTATATAAAAGGCATCTTTTATGGGCAGATAATCTATGACAAGCTTACATTTTTTAGGTAATTTCTCAAAATGACAACCCTGCTATATCTGTTTTCTAAAAATCAAATTGTATGACTGGAATCAGCTTCAATATTTAGTTCTTATCATTAAGATGTTATAACATCAATGAAAGATAATTGCATTTCTTTTTAATTTTTACTTTAATTTTCAAATAGGCAATATATTCACATGGTTTAAAATTTAAAAGTCATAAAAGAGTATTCATGGAAAATTCTCTCTTCAACCTTATCTTCCAGCCACCGAGGCTCATTTTCTGGAAAGCACAGTGCCACTTATTCCTTAGGTGTCCTTCCAGCCTTAGTCTATGCTACTTATACAGAAATCTACATGTCCATATAGATAGATGTACTCTGGCTGATGGCAGAAGGAAATGTAAGAGGGATGTGAAGTGTAAGAAAGATTCAATGTGCTGTCTTTGAAGACGGAGGGGGCCACATGCAGGGACCAGAGAGCAACTCCTAATTGCTGAGAGTGATCACTGGCTGACAGCCAGCAAGGAAATGAGACTTCCACATTGTGGCCGCCATAGAACTGGATTCCTTCAACCACTGGAGCAAACAGATTCTCCTTCAAAGCCTCCAAATAAGAGTCAAGCACGGTCAGCATCTTGATTTCAACCTTGTGTGATCTGAAGGGGCCCCACTGATAAGCTTTGTGGAATGTGTCTTAGAGTTGCCTGTTTTGCCATGTGGTGTTAACTCCCTCATGCCTCCAGTGCTGCACACGTATCAGAATGGCTGGGCAGTTTCCACAGGTCTACCAGGCAGTAGCAGCGGGGAAGCCCTAGAGCAGGATTGATAGCTGAGTGGTGCATCTGAGGAAAGGTGCTGTGAGGCTACACCTGTGATAATAAGGTAGTTGTTGAGTGACAGTTGCATTAAAAGACTTTTAGCCAAAAGAACACGAGAAAAGGCACAAGAGACATTCAACACATGGACCATTTTGGTATGAGTATGCATAGCACCATGAGCGTTAAAGAGGGGGTAGGAAACTGTTACTGATGCTGAAATTCTAGCACAGATTCAAATTTTCATACATTTCTGATTCTAGAAAGCGACTCATTTTGAAAATATTTACTCCATGGACTGACATTTCTTAGTAGTTGCTAGTAGGATTTTTTTTTATTGTCGTAAAATATGCATAACAAAAAATGTACCATTTTAATCGTTTTTAAGTATGTGAATTCAGTAGTATTAAGTCTATTCACATTGTTGTGCAAATTAACGGGCTTTGGTTGGAGAAAATTGTGGTAGAAATTTTCAAATTTTGGTCATGTTGAAAGTTGCTGGTTTATACTTTTTTTTTTACTTATGTCCTGATATATCAAAAAATGTATGACTGATTTCTTTTTGTAAACTTGCCTTCTGCTGATGCCTTGTCATGAAAACTAGTGATGATTATTACATCTGGAATTCTACACCTGTGGAAATGGCTAAAAAATTCTAGGAGCAAACATAATTTAAAATGGCCATTTTTTTAACTCATTATTTTGAGACGTGCCAATTTGTGAAGTATCTGGACATGCATTGTTGGTATTGTGAATAACTTGGACAAAACCAAATTGTGCAAAAGTCTTTCTCCTAAGCACGAAGAATGTTGGGTTGATCCACAACGGAGTTAGCCTTGGATAAGCTCGTCACAAAGTACTGTCCAACTTCAGATTGTACCACTGACAAATTGATGACAATTAATAAGAATAGGATGGGTCTTTTGACATAATCCTTAGAAAAAAATATATCTTTGGACCTTTTACTCAGGTGTCTGCTCATGCAGACACCGTTTTTCTTTTTAAAATTCACTATTCCTTAAAATACACCCTGAAAAAATACCTAGTTTCCAATAGCTATTTCTAATGAATACTAAATACTAGAATACTGAATTCTAGGACATTAAAACATTTCCTCTCAAGAAGCATTTGAGCCTTCCTCTTTTTAGTATAGATGGAAGCTTCTCTCTAATGGTGCCACATTGCACATTTGCAAACCTATGTTTCAGCAATGTCACATCTGTGATTGTTGGTACACACACCACACACACACACACATTCAAATCGCTGAAGTGGATTCAAAGAACCAATGGCCTTTAGGTCAAGGTTTCTAAAGCATCTTGTCCCAGGAATTTTAAGCATCTTGTCTCAGGAATTTTACATGTGAAAAAATTTACTCATCTCACACGTTCATGTTAGCAGTCTAATCTTCTAAGACCTCTGCAGGAAATAACTTACTACTATGTTTTGTGAACGTGAAGACTTTCTGAAAGAATCCATGCATGGCATTTTTGACTTTGCAAATAGAACATAATTCTTCAATGGCATGTCTGAACTAATCTGAGGATGTTAGCCTGAGGTTTCCTGTGTTTTATCAAGAGCAAAAAGAATATAGTTCACATTATGACAAGCATAGATATTAGCAGTGTCCAAGTTATTTTTGTGTTGTGTCCTCTTGGATTAGAATATTTATTCTGGTCATTGAAATATCAATAAATTCAGTCAAGAAAAATAATTAGAAGAATTTATTGTAACTGTATATATAATGCTTAAGGCAGTGTTTGTCAGCTTGACCCTATTGACATTTTGGGCCAGATTATTTTTTATTGTGGGAGCTGTCGGATCTTTAGCAGGATTCTCATGTCTACCGGCTAGACGCTGATATTTTCTCCCCAAGTTGAGACAACCAGAAATGCCCCCTGGACATCGCCAAACATCCTTTGGAAAGCAAAACACACACATTTTAGAATCACTAGCTTAAAGGAATATACACTGAGAAACATTGACTTAAGGCATGCTTTCTAGTCTCAGTATCAGCTGCAAAAATCGATGACGTACCCTGGGAATGAGGGGCTGTACCCCTGTTGAAATATGAGAATAATTTCTTACCATTTACCAGTTAGGTGCTATACTCAGTCCTCCAGATTCTTCTCCTACTCTACCCTGGCTCCTCCCCAGGGACCATTTTCCACCTCCCAACTATGCAGAAACTCCAGGACTAAGTCTGACGTGGCAAGGGGCCTCCAGAGTCTGTTAAACTTTCTATTACATTTTATCGTCTTACTCTGTATTAATTTTATTATTTATATTAACTCATTTTACTATCACCTTTTCAGACAAGCTAGAAGAACCTGTATTTATTGTGCCTCTCTATTCACAGTGGAGTCCTTGAGCAGAAAGTCAGATTACTCCCTTTTAGTTTGTTGTCTTTAATAGACAAATGAGAGTTGTTTCCCTGTTCCACACATCATCCCTCTTCTAAAATGACTGAGCATTCCTTACCACTGAACACATGTTGAAACATATCTGGCTTGCGTTTCCTTTTTAGAAGGGCTTGTTGTGAGAATCAATGGAAAAGTACCCAGAGAGAAATTGCTACACAAACTTACAATGTAAAAATAGCTCCAGCGGAGAGGATAACAAAAGCTTTGTCAAATTGCACATAATAGAGTCAATGATAGGCAGACGGTGCTTGGAACTGGTCCTCCTGATACTTCAGTCGTTCATTGGCAGGCTGCTCATGCTCCTTCACAGATTTAGAGATACTGAGGAATTTACTGCACAGTACCGTAGATCACAGCCTAAATCCTTATTTGTGGGGTTATGAGCATTTAAATATTTTCTTGTGGGTTCCGTGGATTTCACAGAATTCTGTTTTGTTTCAATCTGAAAAAAATCCTCCTCTGCTTATGCCTGTCATTAAGAATTACCAATTTTCTGAAACTCCCCCAATCAAGATTTCCCCTTAAAATACGTGAAAATAAATATTTTATATTAATTTACCTAGAGTAAATTAATGTCTTTTAAATAACTATTGATTTCTGATTATAAAATTTAATGGACTGTTTATTCAGAAAGCAATAAAAATTTCAAAACACACATAATAGTACCCTTTCATCCAACAACCCAGAGATAAAAGTATTCTGGATTTTATATATAGATGGAATTGCTGTTAAACGCAAAATGGGAGCACGCTATAAATCCTCTTTTTTTCTACTTAATATAAGTGGACATAAAGTAGTTTTGCGTGATTCACTTGTGGCAGCCGTATCGTATTTCACTGAATGCATGATCATTATGAGTTGATCCTTATGGATGCATGATTATGTTGATTTTGTCTTATGTCATATTTGACATAGCCGTTATGATTCTCATGCACACATCTTTGCATATTTGTACCATTATTTCTTGTAGACAATTTTCTCAAAGTGGGAGCATGGAATTAAAAGATTATGCACATCTTGCAATTTGGTGTATGTTACCAAGCTGCTCTCCAGGAAGAGCCGCCCAATTTACATTCTACTATGGCCTGAGTGCACCTGATCCTCATGTCTTCACTAGACACCTATATTTTAAAATAGATTTTCAATATATTAAGAAGGCTGTCAAAAGTTTTGAGGTCTTGAATTGATTTAGTTTGATTGTAGAAATTTGTGATTGTGTTTTCTGAAGCAATGATCATAAAATTAAATGTTTTTCCAGTAGAAATTGGTTTAACCCATTATAGAAAGTTGTCAGAGAGTCTGGATAAAGATGAGAGAGTGAATTATTTGTCTAGTTATTGACAAATAAGACGGTATCAATATGTCTTATGAGAATAGCATCAGCACTTTAACTGAACTGACTTTGGTATAAGTTTCTCCCATAGAAATTTGAATAAAGAGTGGGGATGGCGTTTAATGTATTGCATTATTTTTTATCACATTCAGCAACAAAGAAGAACCTTAGCCTGGCTTTGCCATGTTTCTTCTGATGGAGTTATTTTTGAATCCTTTTTCTCCATGTACTTTTTAGATGCCAGAGCCCAAGTGAAGCACAGTTTGGTCCTGAGTTTGATGTGAGATGGCATCCAAAAACTAGGCTGATAGCTTTCATTTAAGATATAGTGACTCCAGCCGGCATCTGGCCTTCTCCTCTGGTGGAGTGAGATCCAGCCTAGGCTAAATGACACACTAGACTTTTAACGTTTTTCTGTCCAAGGAAGCTTTTTCTGAGTAAATTGTAGCAAAAGACATATCAACACCTATAACTATTTCCTTTGGAAGCATCTACCCCTTGTGATTCTCTCTCCTTCTACTCCCTTCCATGACTCTCCTGAGTTCAAAGAATAAGGCCAATTTGCTTTTAGAGCTAGCCTTATGAGTGAACTGCCTGTAACATTTTGGGAGGAGGTGGTAAAGGAGTAAGAAACCAACATGTCCTGCATACTTACTATCTAGCACTACACAGAACTTTTCCTTTCATCATCATAACAAGAGTATGAGTGTATTAGTCAGAGTTCTTCAGAAAATATATCCAATAGGGTATATATGTGTGTGTGTGTGTGTGTGTGTGTGTGTGTGTATGTGTGTGTTTGTGTGTATAGAGAGAGAGACTCATTTTTAAAGAATTAGCTTATGTGAACTTGTGGGTTGGCAAGTCCCTATTCTGTAAGGCAGGCCAGTAGTCTGAAAACTCAGGCAGAGTTTCTATGTTGGAGTCTTGAAGCAGAATTGCTTCTTCCTCAGGAATCCTCATTCTTTCTTCTTTAGACCTTCAACTGATTGGATGAGGCCCACCAACACTATGGAACATAATCTTTATTTAAAGTCAACTGATTGTAAATGTTAATCACATCCACAAGTACCTTCACAGCAACATCAAGGCTAGTGTTTGACCAAACAGCTGGGCACCATAGTCTTGCCGAGTTGACACGTGGAGTCAGCCATCACAGATAGCTCTTGAAAGCACAATCAAAGCACCAGATCATACTAAGTGGCTTACAATTTGCAAGTGAGGAAATTGGGCTCAAAGAAATTATGTAACTTCAACAAGGTCTTGTAAGTGGTTGAGCTGAGATTCAAATCCAATTCTGACTAACTTCAAAGTCCACATGTGGCCACTGCACGCACACACACACACACACACACACACACACACACTAACATCTCATATCCTTTCTAGACAAATCCCTGGAAAAATTTATGTCGTAGAAGAGGAAAACTAACCAAGACCATCTTTCATTATCATTGGTATTGAAAGCGGTTATGCACCACAGGGTTGGGGGAAATTAAGTCAGAAAAAAGGCAGCTGTCACAGATAAACCAAAACCTCAAAATTTTGTTTGAGCTATATCTTTTAAAAAAAATTCCACTGTTTTTAGACAAATAAAAATTGTTTAGGGATCGGTAGTTGAGACTGAATCACATGGAGAGAGCTTAAGAGAAAAATTATTAACCATATCAGTTTGTTTAGCTACTCCAAATGTATACTTGGAAGCAGTAGTCCACATCCTTCTCAAGCATGTTAGAGCTTTATAAGCTCCATTTTCCTTCCCTTCTCCTTTTTTAGGGAAATTAGAATGTTTTGTTTTTCATTGGCTGTATCTTAGGAAATAGGATGGTTTAGTAATTTCAATATTGGGTTCAATTAATTTTCATTCTGTATGTATTGAAGATCTTGTGTATTTTTTTATGTCACTCCGCAATATAAAATGGGAAATTTTAGGCAGGATCAAAATAGCATTACTTCCTTAGAATATAATCCTTGAACCCCTAACTCATTCTATTTTGGCTCAGAGTTAGAAAGCAACATTGTTATTTCAGAAAAAGAAGCTTGATTATAAAGATAGCAGTTTTCTGAAAAATGTCCATGTTTATCTTGTTTTACTTTGACTCGTCTTACAGGAGTAGCTTTTAGAGAAAGCTAAAAAATGTCATGAACTATTGACTCAAGGAAAACACTAATCTTATAATGAAAGTATTGCTATTTTTAGATTTGAGGCTCTCATTGATTGTTATATGAGGGTAAGAGATTAAAATCTAGTAACTGACATGGACATTTGATTGATTTGTAAGTTTAATTTTGTAATTGACTAATTTGGGAATGAGCAATGATTTTACATTCTTAAATATAAAATGGATTCTCTATATTTTGATACCATATCCACATCCATCTCCTATTATGAATGCTTAAATAAGTATCAGACACAGAGCTAATTACTGGTCATGGGAAATGTAGAGATAATTGAATATTCATGGTGATAGACTAAACATTTCTAACTTTAGACGCATACAGACTCCTTAAATTCATTTCAAAGGGGAAGAACCACATGCAGGACAGTTGTCCAGGTGGCCTTGGACTGACCCAGTTCTCCCCACCTTCTCACTGGTAGTTCCTTTTTTTCTATTAAAATTTTTTTTTGACACTCAAACAGACTTGCATTAAAGTTGTTCTTAATAATAACTGTAAAATGTGCTGGGACTGTAAAATCCTGAGATAGGGAGGGACTGGCTGAAATGGCCTTGGTTCTATTCCAGTCCTCCACTAGAAGCAGCATGTCTTCCAAAGCTTAAGCCCAGTAATTCACCTGACCCTCGGGTATAAACTCAGGGCAGCCTGCTGTTCAGGGTCCCTCAGCTGCCGTGCAAGTGGAGAGTCACACGACACGGTCAAGACTCAATTTGTCCCAAGCAGCTTTCCTGAGACTCGGGGAACTGGCTTATAATGAATCCTAGGCTTTTGCTCTCCTTTGCTGCCTGTCTGTAAGTAATAAATCTGCTTCATGTGACTTGTTCTGTATGAGTGTGTTCCATCTCACTGGACTCAGAGAAAATGGTAAGCTGTGTACAGTGAGCCTGCTTCACAAAGAAAAATAATATTTACCATTTTTCCTTTAGCTTTGCTCAAAGTTACTTTCAAAAGATATTAAATATCCCAGAAATTGCAATAGCGTTAGGAGGTGGAAGGCCTCATGTGCTATGGGACAGTTCTGGAAGAAAACTAACAAAATATTCCATAAGAACAGTCGTAAAAACCACGGCCTTCTCAGCCCTCACTTTTATGTTATCTGACGCAACCCTTCTTGTCCCTATCCACTCTCTATAAAATGAATGAAATCAGCAGTGAATCTTTGTGTAGTATCATATGGGAGCATCCAGAAGCGTAGACAGTACCATACAAATAACCCAATTCTCCAGTCCAGGAAATGGCAAACAGGCTAGTAGAAAATTCCAAAGGGAAGACCCAAGGACTTTTTAAAATGAAAATAAATTTTTGAGACTTAATCTTGTGCTGGGAAGTTTTATTTCTGGGTGTAATTTTGGTGAATAGGCTAAGAAGGGCTGGTTAGAGTTTTGCCAGCATTCTCCAAGCACAAGGAGACATTTTGAGGTAAAAAAATATCTCCAGGGAACCATAATACCCTATTTTGAATTACTCCCAATTTTATTCCAGTACCACCTCTCTGGCAGCCATCCTCAGCTGCTACTCAACAACCCAGCTACACCTCTAACTCCTTCAAGATCCATGGCAGTGACCCGATTTCCAAGATTTTCTTTTGTGTTTATCATCTACACATATCTATTAGAGATGTGCTAGAGGAAGCACTCTGCTGGGATGTTAATGTATATTGTGATGGGACGGATAACCATGACCTAATGTGAAATGGTATCAGGCTGTGTATTTGCAAATTTGCCTTAATCCTATATCTTTGTTTCACACCTCTCTCTCTCATGTGCCACCATCAAGCATCCGTAACAGGAGCATAAAAATGCAGTTATAGAAATCAGAGCATTTTGGAATCTTAAGAGCAATATATTAATACAAGTATTATATATTGCAGCAAAGGAATTTATCTTACACAATTTTGTCATTTGAAACAAACACACATTATAGTAACTCTCTGCATATATATATGTACACACACATATATAATATAATATATATATAATATGTTTAAGGTTGGCTAGGCTAAGCTATGAGATTTGGTAGGTTAGGTGTATTAAATGCATTTTCTTGTTTTTAACTTTTATTTTACTTTAAGTTCTGGGATGCACATGCAGGTTTGTTACACAGGTATACGTGTGCCATGGTGGTCTGCTGCACCCATCAACCTGTCATCTAGGTTTTAAGCTCTGCATTTCAACTTAACAATATTTTCAACTTACAGTGGGTTTATCTGGATGTAGATAGTATCATAAGTTGATGAGCATCTATAAGTATGTACTATATATGTATACGTATATATCACTCTTTGCCTCAGTATCTTCCACTGACTTCCCAATTCATTCAGAATAAAATCCAAAATCCTTACCGTGGCTTACACGGCTTTACATGACCTGTGTTCTGATACTTACGTGACCTTATCTTCATCTTCTCTCCCTTTCACTCATGATGCTTCAGCCACATTGGCCTCCTTGCTCTTCCTCAAATAGGCTGAGTATTCCCCTACCTCAGAGGATTAGCTTTTGCTGTTTCCTCTTCCTGGTATACCTTTGCCCTAGATACTGGCAAGTCTCATTCCCTTACTTCTTTCAGTTCTCTGCTTAAATAGTACTATATCAAGAGTTCCTTGATCATCTTACCAAAAACCCAGCCTTTTTGTTTCCCAATCCTGTTACTCTCTTTCCTTTGAGCTTGCTTTTTTCTCCCAGAGCTTTTTCACAATTGATGCACTATTTATTTGTTTATGTTTTCTTCTTCTCCATTAGAACGAAACTCCAGGGAGTTTTCTTGTTCCCTGAAGAATCTCCAGCTTCTAGGACCACGGCTGACACATAGTAACGTGCTCAGTCAGTATTTGTTGAATGAATGAAGGAATATTAACAAAGTTAGGCCTAGATAGCACAACTCATCTCCTTGTTTACTGAATTGATGATCTATGTCTTTATAAAGGGCTTTTATGACTGTGAAATAGTTGAGCCTTGCTACATCCAACCAACTAACCAATAGACAAGTGAGTAAAGGATAGATGTATAACTAATAGTTTTAATAAACAAAACGAAATGAAAACAATCATTATTGGTCACATTAAAACAGGAAATGAAAGCCTCTCAGATTCTCAGACTTTGAAGATACATGTTCTTAAGGAAAAATCTTTAGATGACATTATCTATGAGCCTGACTTTAGCCAAAGCAAATGTGCAAATGAATTTTGCCTTTTAATGGTTTCGTCAGCTTGATGTCTATGGCAGATCCTATCTACTTCATCTATGTTGACTAGTGTGACCCATGGGCCTGCTGTATTCTCTGTGTACATTCAGCTAAGACTTTTCACTTCCCACAGTTTCAGTATTCTCACCTTTGAGATCACAGGGTCTTGCTTAATGGCCTCTAAGGTTGCATCTTGTACTAATGTGTCTTCACAGCACTTCCTACAGTTGAATTTGATGAATTAATTTTGTAGTGACTTTTTCATGTACAGTACATAGAGATTACTGCATTCTCTATGAGTTAAAGGATCAGGCCAATTTTCTTCATTGCTATACCCCCAGCATTTAGTGTCTGACACAATAAGTTCCCAATAAAAATGTGTTGATTTGAATAAATGCTGCATGAATGAAATAAATGAATGAAAGTGATTCTAAAAAGGGTGTTCACAAATATACCAAGCTTACTTTTTGATAACTTGCTGGAAGAAGTTATCATCTTCTTCCTATGAAATCTACTACCAATCTTATTTTATTTTTAAACTTGGGCTTTGAGATGTCATGATATCAATTGACTCATTTTAGTAATTTTCTGTTTCATTCTTCTTAAGTAGAAATCTTGCCTTTAATATTTTAATGTTAATGCTATCTTACAGGTACAGGGGTCTAACTCACTTAAATCCATGCTCAGCGCACGTAAAAAGCCAATGTCTTAATTTCCAAAGACATATTTCAAACGCAGTGACATGAACACAGGGCTGCCTGATTGGATTTTCCCCCTAATGAATGGAGACCATAAAAAGGACTTATGTCTAGTATCAATTATTCATACTCCAACAACTTGTGCATCCACAAGTTATAGCTCAACCTCTTTACCAACAATAAAATGCATCTTTTCTCTGAACAGAATGCAGGTTGCTGTCAGGTAAAAATATATCGTGACTTGAACAATGGATATTTGCATCCATCCCTGGGAGGCACGGACACAAGGCCATTACTTGGGTGAAACAGAACTGTCAAAACAGAACTGCGGCAAAAGAGGCCAAAGTATGACTTGAGATATTCTTGCTATTGAAACACCAGTCTCTAAAGTTTGGAGAAGAGAATGGAAGTAGAACATTTCTTAAACCCAACTGCTCTTCAGATCAGCACAGTCAACTAAGCGATTCATTGCTAATGGCATGTTAGCGTCATTAAATATTCAAAATATTTTAGAAGTAATGATACTTCTGTACTTATAGGTTATTTTTTCTTTGGGGTTGAGAGTGAGGTAACTGAGGAAGTGAAATCTTGAGAAAAATTTAGGGCAGGACAATTCTTTTTTAATGCAATTGTCTATTGTGGTGCACTAAATACCAGTAGCATCTCCCTTGACATTGCATCACCTGGGGTCCTACTACACTGTTTCAAAAACCCCTTGGCCTGGGGTGACAGCGATGGTACCATTAGTCATTGTGAATCGTACCCATTTAAAAAGCCAGCACAGAAAAGGGATAGAAGGGGAGGAGGAGAGCTGCTTCTTATAATCGCTTTGAATTTAAGAACTTTGGACTATATCCAACTTTGCCCTTATTAGAGTATTTGTGCAACTACATTCTACACTGTAGATTATAGCTCTATAAAACACATTTGATAATCGATTCAACATATACTTCTTATTCAGTGCCTACTCTGGGTGCCAGTATAGAGTCATGCATTGAGCAGACTTACCCCTGTTCTCAGGGAGTTTACAGTCTAGTAGAGGAAGGGCACAGAGCAGAAAGAAGTAAACACACATTTATTTAACTATATCTTGGGGTAAGTGCTATGAAGGCAGCGTATAGGGAGTGTTGATGCAGAAAAATGAATAAGGTGTTGTTAGAGACCTGCTCAGATCAGGTTGTCAGAGAAAGCTAATTTTATGGTTTGGTATTTAACATGTGACCTGGCCTACATAGTGGCTCTTGTCTGTAATCCTAGCACTATGGAAGGCCTGGGCAGGAGTATCGCTTGGGGCCTGGAGTTGGAGACCAGCCTGGGAACCACTGTGAGCTCCCATCTCTACAAAAAATAAATAAAAAATTAGCCAGCCATGGTGGTGAGCACATATTGTCCTAGCTACTCCAGAGGCTGAGGCAAAAGGATTGCTTGAGCCGAAGAGTTGGAAGCTGCAGTAAGTCATTATTGCATCACTGCACTCCAGCTTAGGCAACAGAGTGAGACTATGTCTCTAAAAAGAAAAATAAAAAAAAAGTAAGACCGGAGGAATGAAAAAGAGTCAGCTATGTTCCAGACAGGAATCAGAATGTGCAAAGGCCCTGAGTTTGGAAAGAGCATGTCAACAATAACCCGAACCAACAATTGTGTAGAGAACTGGCACAGCACAGTGGATAACAGCAAGGATGCTGTGGTCTCCCTGCTCAACTTCACGTGCCATGGTTAGATGTGTGACCTTGCAGAAGGTACTTAACCTCTCTAAAAATCAGTTTTTTCATCTGTTAAATGCAGATAACATTATAATTGTATGAGGTAACATTTGTGAAGAGCTTAAAATAGTGCTTGATACACATTAAGTGCTATGTGTTTGTTAAATTAAAAAATAATAAGTAGGAGAGTGGAAAGAAGTGTCAAGCAACTGGAGTCTGTATCCAAGGATTGCTACCAAAAAGCTGTCCCATCAGCAGTAACTTTGAACAAATCTCTCATCTCTTCTGTGTCTGTTTTCTTACTTGTAAGTGTTACACAAAAATATTCCTATGCTGTCTCTAAGAGTCTATGTGATTCTTTTTTTATTGGTTTGTTCATTCTTGACTGCTGCCATGTGCATTTTATTCTTTTTTTAATTGTAATTTTTTATTATACTTTAAGTTCTGGGATACATGTGCAGAACATGCAGGTTTATTACATAGGTATATATGTGCCATGGTGGTTTGCTGCACCCATCAACCCATCATCTACATTAGGTGTTTCTCCTAATGCTATCCCTTCCCTAACCCCCCACCCCCCGACAGGCCCCAGTATGTGATGTTCCCATCCCTGTGTCCATGTGTTCTCATTGTGCAACTCCCACTTATGAGTGAGAACATGCAGTGTTTGGTTTTCTGTTCCTGTGTTAGTTTGCTGAGAATGACGGTTTCCAGCTTCATCTATGTCCCTGCAAAGGACATGAACTCATCCTTTTTTATGGCTGCATAGTATTCCATGGTGTGCCACATTTTCTCTATCCAGTCTATCATTGATGGGCACTTGGGTTGGTTCCAAGTCTTTGCTATTGTGAATAGTGCTGCAATAAACATATGCGTGCATGTGTCTTTATAGTAGAATGATTTATAATCCTTTGGGCTTATACCCAGTAATGGGCTTGCTGGGTCAAATGGTATTTCTGGTTGTACATCCTTGAGGAATCGCCACACTGTCTTCCACAATAGTTGAACTAATTTATACTCCCACCAGTAGGAGCATCTGTTGTTTCCTGACTTTTTAATGATCGCCATTCTAACTGGCGTGAGATGGTATCTCATTGTGGTTTTTATTTGCATTTCTTCAATGACCAGTGATGATGAGCTTTTTTTCGTATGTTTGTTGGCCACATAAATGTCGCTTTTTTTATTTTTTTAAAAAAGACAGAGTCTTTCTCTGTCACTCAGGCTGGGTGCAATCATAACTCACTACAGCCTCCAACTCCTGAGCTTAAATAATCCTCCTGCCTCAGTCTCCAGAGTAGCTAGGGCTACAGGTTCACACCACCATGCCTGACTAATTAAAAACTTCTTGTGTGTGTGGAGATGGGATCCCACTGTGTTGCCCAGACTAGTCTTGAACTCATGGCCTCAAGCAACCCTCTTGCCTCAGCTTCCCAAAGTGTTGGGATTACAGGTGTGAGCTACTGCACCTAGCCATTTTGTTCTTAAGAAGACAGTGGCCTTGCAGAAGTCTTCATCATCTGAAAGCTGGTTAGTGGTAGAGTTGAGACTAGAACCCAGGTCTCCTGCTTGTTTTCTCAAATAAATACATAATGCAAACACAGAACAGTTGAGAAGAGATGCTGGTCTATTTTAATATATTAGTTGACTCGGATATTTTTAAAAGAATGAAAGTGTCTCAGTCAGGGCCTTGGTAAGAAGTCGATGGCTACCCATATGGAGTAATTTGAAGAGAGTTCATGAAATGCGTGGATAGAGTGAAGGGAAACTACAGGCGGTAGTGCAGTACTCCATGACTAGCAGCAATAGGGAAGCTTTGGCAGTCCTAGGTCTAAAAGGGGAAGGAGAGAAGCTAGAAATATAGCTGTTTGGAGAAGGCATCCCATGGGAATTGGACTTTTGTTTGAGAGGCACCATCCAGATAAATACTTCAAGTAAGTATTCCATCTTCACTCTCCTTTTTCTTTCTGCTTTCCTGAATGGCCTCTCCATTGGCCAAATTCAACCAGAAGCACAACTGTCAAGGGAAGTCCTTGGTGCAGTCCAAGCAGTGTAGACTCCTGGGCAGAAATAGAGGGGAGGGTGTGGAGAGTGGATTTGTAAAGGGAAGGGGAATGTGTACACAGTACAAAAAAGGTTTAATGTCAATGGTCATCTTACCTTTTATTTCTATTAGACATTTTGTTCATCCAACACTTTTAGATATCTTATGTCATGCCAGATATTTGCTCAAAAAATCATTATATAATGAAGTGACGTGTGGTCCTCATTTTTAATTCTGCTGACATTGTAAAGAACTTGTGCCAATATCATGGTCAATTCACATAAAAATTAAATAATGAATTTATCTAAATTGTTCAATATAATTATTGTATTAATTCATTTCAATTTGGCAAAACAATAGTTTCAGGTAAGTACTATTTTAAGGCTACTTATGCTGTACTAGGAGAAAAGGATTAGTCATTGAAATCATTGTATTCTGCATGTAATACAGAAGGCAGGAGCCCAGGTTGAGCTTAACTGCTCACTCTCAGCATTTAAAGGACTGAGCTCGGGGAGCGGCTCTACCAAGATTTTCTTTGCATGAGAGACTAAGAAGTCTCCTAGGCAAGGTTCATCCTAGGGGAAGAAAGAGTTAGAATTATGTTCCCATAAAAATGTCCCGGGTTTCTGAGGAGAATATAATTGTTTTAATATAATAAAAGCACAATACCTATCACTAGAATTTGCCTAAAGATTATGAATTGAAACATTTACAGTATCCAAAACTGTAAAATGGGGATAATAATAATACCTATGCCATGGGTTTGAGAGGATTAAATGTAAGTTAAATGTAAATTGCTTAGAACAGTGCTTGGTGCACACATACACACACACACTTACTGTTATTATTAATTAAGGTAACACATTTCTAGGGATGATTCCATTGAGAATCAATGTTTTTACAGTGGTATTACTGCTTCTCAGAACGTGGATAAATGCATTATTTCTCTCCATACGTATTAAATAATAATAGCACAAAAGCTGGTTGCAATTTTATAACCCATTTTCAGCCAATTTTAGTGTTTTTGTTTCTTTTCAGAATATTCAGTAGTTTTTCAACATACCCTGGAGAAATGGTAACGTGAAAACTATGGCATCTTATTTTAGTAAAATACCTTAGTGTATCCTTTGGACATTGCTTCTGAAGTCTAAATTACATTAGAATCTATTCTATGGATATACAATTCATGAAGCAATTATTTTCTGATATTCAGTTGGTATTCTTTTTATGTAAGAAACGAGAAGCTTAATTTTAAGAATTATAAAAGTGCCTCTCCCAAACTGACATGTTATCCTGTTCCCACTAAGTGAGTCATTCAAGATGAGCACATTCCTCTTATGAAGGGGCACGTGTTAATACTGCACTTAAAGGCACGATTTAACTCTATCTGGATTGACATGTACATCAATTAAAAACTATGAAGCTACAGCCTTTGTTCAGTTGTCTGACTCATACTTTAGATTATGGACTACACTTAGAATATGCTACTCACTACAAACTCACTTCCTCTAATTCTTAAAGTTCTTTTAATATTCCTTCATGTCAAATATTAGTTGCTTACTTAATATATTCAATCATTTTTACCATGTCCCAAATATCATGTAGGTACTCCCTGAGGACTACAAATATCCAAGGGACAGTCTTGGCTCTCAAAGAGCTTAGAATCTAATGGAGGAGACAGACATTTACACAAATCTATTACAAGGCTACAAGAGGGGTATTGGATTAGGTACCAAAATGGCTGGAGGTGGGAAATGATTAATTCTGATTGGAAAATTTGCCAGGGTCCTCTTCTCCGGGTATCAGCTCTTTACCTAGATCTGGAAAGATGAGGAGGGTTTCTGCAGCTTAAGTGAGGGTTTATCTATCCTCAGGCAAGGAGGTAAGGGAATTAGCACCGTGTGTTCAGGTGGTGGCAAGGGATGAGGAGGGTGGTCTCCAAATGCATTTTCACAGGTAAAGCAGGAGTTGAACTCTGAATGCTTTATCCCTTTGGATGGCTTTCAAGTTCCTTTCTAGTCAATAGGGAAGATGATATGCAAAATGTGTGATAATCAAGACATTAACTGATAAGGTACAAAAATGGGGAATCTGATCGCTTGGATCTCTTCGGATTTTAGTCAGAGAAAATTATTCATCTTGCAGACCATGGAAACAATGCAAGATATCTTATTCATTTATTAGCCATGACGAAACGAGATTCAGAAAATGATTCTCTTGCTTCTTCCTCACATTTAGAAATGGCAGGTATGGTTCAGGCATGGTGGCTTACACCTGTAATTTCAGCACTTTGGGAGGCCAAGGCAAGAGGATTGCTTGAGGCCAGGAGTTCGAGATCAGCCTGAGCAACATAGCAAGACCCCATCTTTACAAAAAAATAAACAAATTAGCCAGGTTTCATGGCACGCACCTGTATTCCCAGCTACTGGGGAGACTGAGGTGGGAGGATCATTTGAGCCCAGGAGTTGAGGCTGCAGTGAGTCATGATCATTTCCCTGCACTCTAGCCTAGGTGGCAGAATGAAACCCTGTCTCTGAAGAAAGAACAAACAACAATTAAAAAAGAAATGACAGGTGATACACACTCAAAAGCTATTCATGACTGGGTTAGAAAAAGGAGAACAGAGACTGGGCACGGTGACTCACGTCTGTAATCCCAGCCTCTGGGAGGCCGAAGCAGTTACATCACCTGAGGGTCAGGAGTTTGAGACCAGTCTGGCCAAGATGGTGAAACCCCATCTCTACTAAAAATACAAAAATTAGCCGGGTGTGGTGGCTCGCGCCTGTAATCTCAGCTACTCGGGAGCCTGGGGCAGGAGAATTGCTTGAACCCCAGAGGTGGAGGTTGCAGTGAGCTGAGATTGTGGCATTGCACTCCAGCCTGGCCAACAAGAGCAAAACTCCATAAAAAAAAAAAAAAAAAGTGAGAGCAGAGCAGAAATAGAAATCAAAGTCTAAATTTTTTTAAAAAACAATTTCTCCTTCATGCTTCCAGAGAAGGCAAATATTCCTAACACATGTTCCCCCAGTTCCAACCATTTCCTTGGATTGGATGTTTATTTTTAGGGAAGGCATTCAGGATTAGCTTAGGTAGCAACTTGATCCACTGAACACTCATCTGGGAACTTGTCTTGGAATTATTTTCTTGATGAAGATTAAATATCTAGGAACAGAGTTGAAACAAAGGTTAGAACTGGGACTATTTTAAGACTCGTCCATAAAGGTATGTGGTGTATGTGCTGTACTTCATTCCCTGCCTAATACGATGGGCTTTAGTGCAGCTCATAAATGAAGTTCATGAGAAACACAAGCCTTGTGTGTATCTTTTCAGTATTTCTTAGGAATGTAGCACTTATCTAGTTAATGTGGTCCTTGAATGTTGCCAGCTCCATTCTGCTCCTGTTGGTTCAATAAAAGCAATTTGATCACAGCCAAGCATGGCTTGGGATTCTTTCAGCTGTTGAGTTGGTACATTCTTATTAGAGGGAAGGTATTATCTTCTACATTGCCTAAACTCTAAATAATCAACTTAAGGAGAGTAAGATAAAATATCTTTGCTATGGTACACCAACTACTAAGATGGCCCCCAAAGCTCTCTGCCTCTTGGTTTCTGTGTCCTTGTGTAATTCCCTCCTCTTTTATGTGAGATGAACTTAGTGTCCTGATTCTAAAGAACAGGTTATGGCAAATGTGATGGGATATCACTTCCAATATTGGATTTCGTAAGTCTGTGACTTCTGTCTTCCTAGCACTCTCTTCCACTCCATGGCTCTTCTTGCTTGCTCTGGGGGAGCAAGCTGACACATTTAAAGTTGTCCTACAGAGAGGCCCATATGCCAAGGAATTGAGGGTGGTTTCTGGCCAATAGCTAGTGAGAAAATGAAGCTGGCACAAAAGCCTCGGAGGGACTGAATCTCGTCAATGACCATGCATGGGAGTGAGCTTGGAATCAGATACTTTCTCAGTTGTACATTGAGATGACAGCAGCCTGTGACAGTCCCTGAGCCAGAAGACCCAGCTAAGCCACCCTCAGATTCCTGATCCATAGAAACTGAGATAATACATGTTTCAAGCCACTAAGTTTTGAGTTAAATTTGTTACACAGCAATGGATAACAAATGCACCTGTTTATAGAAGTGGTGAGGCTTCGGAGTGGGGCATAAAGGAAAGAGAATATGTATATTCAGTTGCAACTATCAGAGTCACCAACCCAGGTAGGATCTTTGTAACAGATGTTCTACATATATTGTTTATAATCATTGCAACCACGTGGCAAGGATGGTGTTATTCATATATTTTGAATGAAACTGAGGTTATGGAAATGTTGTTATTTGGCTCCGTACATGTAGTTAGAAGATGACAGAGATGAGAGGGGAAACAAAGTCTCCCTTACTCTGAAGCCTTGGTTCTGTCCCCTGCATTAGAGGGATGTTAGAGGCCTGAGTGGGGTTAAGTAGGCTGGAAATCAGAATCACCTGTGGGTTGCTTTATAGTTAATCATGTCACTTTCCTTTTCTGGAGGTCCTGACAATGTTTATACTGAACCACACTACACAGTACAGTTGCACCAAAGAGTTTTGCTCTTGCACAAGTTCAGCCATATCCCATGCAGCTTGGCCCCAAATCAGAGAATAAAAACTATGCATTTCAGATAGGTTTTGATTGAGAATATGGTAGTTCTTGGATGCCTCTGTGGTGATTAACAAGGTGACCATGTGACTTTGGCATTCTGGTGTTAGGTTGTTTTAATTAAGTGAAAAATTAAAACAATAGTACCCAGAGCTCCACTATTTGATGAGCTTAATATACAATCTTATGTGTCCCAGTCCCTACTTTACCTACAACCAAAAGTTGGCAAAATGAGTTTGGTTAAACAAGGACAAGTTGGAAGTAGAGTGGATGTATGATGAGTGCTGCCGTCATTTGGTGGTGGGAACAAGATTATGAAAAAACAGAAGGGTAGCCTACAGCCCTGCACCTTAGGAAGATTAGGTAGCCCCACATGCTCCTGTAGTGGCTTCTGAAGCTGGGTAGGCAGCTGCAGAATTGATTAGACTCTGAGAACAGGCTGTGGCTCTGTTTCACCAGCTCTAACATCAGGTCTAAGGTCTCTCTCCTATCATCAGCCCTTCAGCTCTTGCAACAGCTTTCCTGCCCATGGCTCTGGAGAGGGCCAGATTAGCCTCTCGCTGCTCATGGTTCTCATGCAAGTTATTGTCTTGCTTCCATGGGAATGGACTCTCCACACAAATAAGTGAAAGACATCACAATTAGCTGACAAAGTCCATAGTTTCTCCTGGAGGAGATTGGAGTGGTCTCTTTTTCAATGACTTCCTGCTATCTCACTGCGTTTTTGCATAGATTTCTCTAGAGTGGCACTACCCAATAACGTAGGTAGCCCCTAGCCACATGAGGCTATGCAGCATTTGCAATGGGGTTAATGAGACAGATGAAGTAAATTTTTCATCTAATTTCATTTCAATTAATTTAAACTTAAATGACCATATGTAGCTGATGATTGCTGTGTTGGATAATATAGTTCTAGAGGTTGTTCTCATTATATTGTTGTTTTGTTAATTTATTTTGGGCTAATATTTATTGGACGTTTTCTATGTGCCAGGCACTATACTTAGAGTTTTGTATATATTCATCCAGTTTTTGCAGAATGCGATGAGACTGATAATATTATTTACATTTTCCAGAGCAGAAAGTTGAATCTCAGAGATGAAGTAGCCTGCTTCAAATCACACAGGCAGGAGACAGGATTCAAAATAAAGTCTGTCTGGCTCCAGCCCTGTGTTTCCTGTACAGAAGAATGAGGCAAAGTCAGCAGAAATAGAGGGTGAAAAAAATGGACACAAGACAATGAAAATATAATCTGTGTTATAATAGGTTCTTTCACTTTATTGCTTATTGTAAACACTTTGGCCATAGCAAATGTTAGTTTTTAAATAACCGTAATTCAAAACTTTCACATCCTATACTATTTTTCCCCAAGAAGCATCATCTATGAAAACAATCAGTGAACTCCAACAGTCTATACTGGTAATGTGCACATTGATGCTATTATGACACTTAATACAAATAGTAAAAATACTCATCTATTGTAGGCTTATGGGTTTGTAAAATGCCTTAAGGGAGGCCATAAACAACTCAAAGAAGAGATGGTGTGGACTGAACTGGCTTCTATTTGGGGAAAATTTGCAGAATATAGGAGGTACGCAATAAATGTTTATTGATGGTGAAGATGAGAAAACCCTATTTCTGCTGATCTTTCCTTTCCGTTTTCCTTAAAGAATATAAGGTATATTTGTATTCAGCATTCTCAGAATCATCACAGAAACCCTGGCACTTTGAGAGTCTTAGCCACAGTGTAATTGGGTCTGACCACACGCAGAAGAAAAATAAATTAAAGCATATGTACTATTAAAATTGCACTGAAAACTTTATGTAAGTCAGGGAGCCCCTCACCAGAACAGGCTGAAACTCTTGAATGCTTTGCATCCTCATATATAAGAAAATCATCAGTGCTTAAAGATCAAGGAACTCATTCAAAACAAATTCAGCCTTTGGACCTTACTGGCAGGTAGGTTATATTTCAGTCAGATCAATATCTTTCTAATATAGGTATTTGAAAGTAATATATGCTACTTATAATAATGATATAGTAAGCTTCTTATCTGCAAGTACAGGTACTATAACTTACACCTTAAAATGCTTTGTTTGATTGTTTCATTCAGCAAAATTCTTGGCACTGTTTTGGGATTTCACTGAATTTTGATGATGATATTGGATTAAGCATTTTAGATTTAATTGTAAAATGACACAAAAATCTAATCATCTATTTCCAATGTTCAATATACAATTTTTATAAATACATGAAACAATTCATATAAAAATATAAATGTTAAGGTCACTCACAGCAAAATATGGCACATTAGAATTATTTATTAAATGCTTTATACATATAAAGGTAGGCACTTCATAAAATTTGCATTTTGGTAAAAGGCAACAATTTGATGTCAGTATCTTAATTGTGTCATTAACTTTTTTAAGAGAACAGATTATCAAAATTTTACGAAGAAGAAAAAAATAATAGTTTTAAGGAAATCTACAGAAGGGAATCTGAACTTCATTTCCCACTTTATTTTTGCGAGTCTGTTGTGTATCTTCATGGTCAAGTTCTGAGATTTTTGCTCCCTGACCTAAAATCCTGTGGGAATAATTGATTTCTCATCTTTTACTTGGAAGTGAAGTGTCTGCTACCTGTGGAACTTGATACAATTTTTTTTTTCTCCCCACAGTTAGAATAACCTTTATTCTGATCCACTATAAAGCCAGATGATTTTTAGGTGGCAGTAGCTGGCATTGAAGAGTTCTTGGCTTCAAGCGGCTGTTGAGTCTTTTTGGTCTTGTTTTAACTCCCTAATTAAATAAATAAGATCCAACTCTTTCTGTTGTATTCACTCCTGGACATATAGAAATTCACTTCACACCCACCTAAAATACGAGCAGAACTTCTGAGGCCCAATGAACCCATCTACTATTTGATTTTGTTATCCCTTCTGGAGCGTGTCTCTACCAAGAGCTTCACAAAGCAATCTAGTCATTGCTCTTTCTTGTACTAAAACCAGAGTACCCGTCCTGTAACTTCCATCAGGACCTCAAACAGTGCTAGGCACATAGTAAACTCTTAGGCACTCAAAATACATTTATTGATGAATGAAAGAATGAACAATTCTAGTTCTGACTTTTAAAGCTATATAGAATAAAGTTGCTTCCTTGTGTGGGCCAAATCATTCTCCCATCCTACTTAGATCTTCTTTTTTTCCAGGATCAATACTGAAACTTTCTTCACCTAGCCCTTAAACAACATGATTATCAGATATTTTGTCAATTACATTACTCTTCCCTGAATGTGCTTAGGTGGATCAGCAGATCTCTTAAAATGTGGTTCCATAGAACCAAACATTAATACTCCAGATGGGGTCAGCTTTGAGCAGAGTAGAAATCCTATATCTCCTAGCAGGGATATTCCACCTGACACATTATCTGACCCCAAAAAGTATTCCTTGGAGCAATTCTTTCCTGCCTGTTTCTGAGTAGAGGCATTTTATTCCAGGCAAGATCGCCCATTGGCACATGTTCTGTTCTGGGAGATAGATTATTTCCTTGCGTTTCCAGGATAAGGAGGGGGTGGAGAACGCTGTGCTGGACCCTGTGGGGTGGGGGAGTATGGAGGAGGCAAGTCTGCACAGTATTCCATCTCGTGGTCGTGACCGTAGGGTGGTGGTCCTGCTGAAAAAGAAGGGGAAGAGAACATCAAGGAGTTAGCAAATATTTGCATTTCTACTGTGTTGAAGCCACTGGGCTAGATACTTTGGGAGGGGACATAAATTGTGGCTGCAAAAATCTTAGTTTTATTAGGTCAGGACCACATATGTATGAAAGGGTAAGTGCTCTAAAATGTGGTATCATGGGTCAAAGTGTTAAGAACTGGTTGTTTAGAGAAAGTTTCTTGAAAATATGATGCTGAAGTGGCAGAAAGAGAAGGTGAGGGACAATTCAGGTTGATCAAAAGCACTGAAGCGGGAGAGCCCTTCATCTCAAGCAAAAGTACATGAAAGGGAGAATGGGAAAAGACAATGAGGAGTGCGGTTATATCACCATGGTGGGCTCTGAATGCAATGTAGAATGTATAACATGTAGCTATCAGAGATTCTTTGAACATGGTAGTGAATATGCTTTGAGAAAACCACTCTCAGCAGTCAACAGAGGCAGAGGTAGATAAAAGAAAAGCTGCAACAATGTAATGGCATATGTGAGGGATGATAAGGGACTCATGACAGTGAGGGAAAAACATTCTAACAGTCCTTGAGCAACCAAGTCTTTAGGTGATGACTGGGTGTGTGGAGAAAGAGAGGAGAAAGTGAAAGAAGGGGTTGAGGTATTAGGTACCAAGTACAGGACTCCTATAATTGGAGGGGGGTGGAACCATTACAGAAATATGAAGAAGACAAAAAAGGAGGACAAGTAGGTTAGGAAATGAAGATGAAACATTTAATTTTCTGAATCTTATATGAAAAATTTTCTTTATTTTGTTACTGTACCATATGTCAGTGTTTTAAGAAAGTTTTTAAATTTTAAATAATTTTATTTTTTTGAATTGACAAATAATAATTGTACATATTCATGGGGTACAGAGTGATGTTTTGATATGCATAATGTATAATAATCAAATCAGGGCAACTGGCATACCCATCATCTCAAACATTTGTCATTTCTTTATGCTGGGAACATTTAGTATCCTCCTTCTACCCATTTGAAACTATATATTATTGTTGACTATAGTCATCCAGTGGTATAGAACACTGGAACTTATTCCTCCTATCTAGCTGTAATTTTATATCCTTTAATAAATTTCTCCCTATCCATCCTTTTTCCTACCCTTCTCAGCCTCTAGTATCCTCTGTTCTACCTTTTAATATACTTTATGATGACTATACATAAAAGTCTATTTTGTAGTGGTTTCAGTTCCTTTCTCTAGTGTTGAAAAAGAAGTACTCCTTGAGCTGAAATTTATCCACGTTTCCAAGAACTGAATCATTTTGCAACATCTGAGCAACTCCCTCAGCAACCAGTCTGATGAACTGCCAGTAGCTGAATCATCATCAGGATCCTGATGCTGCTTGGAAACTGACATGCCTTAATTGCCTACTGTGAATGTAACCCAAATCACAAGACCAGTGTCATAATAATGCAAATAAGTGGGCATGCTCTTAATACTAGAATGGCAGAAAGGAACACACAACATTTCAACAAACTTTTCTAAATGTCTTCTATTAGGTTGATGCAAAAGTAATTGCAGTTTTTGCCATTAAAGTAATTGCAAAAACTGCAATTGCTTTTGCAAACGAACCTTAATTTGTACTCTTTCTAATAAGAATTTGACAGTGTTCTGATAAACAGACATAGACATACATAGGGCTTCCACTGATATGCAGAAAAAAACTATGTTTTTGATATGGTTTGGCTCTGTGTCCCCACCCAAATGTCATGCCATTTTGTAATTCCCAATGTTGGGGGAGGGACTTGGTGGGAGGTGATTGGATCATGGGGGTGGATTTCCCCCTTGCTGTTCTCATGAAGTTTTTACAAGATCTGGTTGTTTCAAAGTGTGTAGCACTTCCCTCTTCTTTCTGTCTTGTGCTGGCCACGTGAAGATGTGCTTGCTTCCCCTTCCCCTTCCGCCATGATTGTAAATTTCCTGAGGACTCGCCAGCCATGCTTCCTGTACATCCAGTGGTACTGTGAGTCAGTTAAACCTCTTTTCTCCATAAATTACCCAGACTCGGGTATGTCTTTATAGCAGTGTGAGAATGGACTAATACAATTTTCTTCTGGATCTTTTTAGTTTGCCTATCTTTACCAAGAGCTTGATGATTTGAACCACTGACTGATTGCCCTGTACTTGGAGGATGTGAGGAAGCAGAATTGAGCCAATAAAGAGAAGAGGAAGAAGGAGCCACAGAACTGAGTGGGATGTCCCCTGAGCACTCCTTGGTGGAGCAAAAGTCTTGCAAGTCTCTAGTGCGCTGGGCAGGCTGAGGGCGTTCAGCCGAGAACACAGCTCTGTAAATACATCAGCGAGGATGCATATATACAGTTTCCCCAGTGCTCCCTCAGACCCTTGGAGGCTGGGCTACTCCAAGCTCTGTTTCCTGCAAAAAAATGGAGTAAGTCCTGTGGAGTCTAAATACACATTCCCTCTGCATTATACCCACGCCTCGACTTCATTATATCTAGGAGCACTGAGACAAAGAGATTTATAACAAACTTCATCCAAGCCAAGAATGAAACACGGCAGCCTCCATGCAGCAGGAAACCCATTGATCTGTTTCTTATAAGCATGTGGTTCTATGCTGTTTTTCTGCCAAAGCTTTTCCCTGCCTCCCACTTGAGGAGCATACACCAGCTGATTCTGCAGATTGACTCTACATCATTCTCTGTCATGAAGCCATGGCATGTGTTTATGCGTCTGTAACAAAGCGTTTATATTCTGCCATCTGCATAAAAACTGCTGAAGGACATTTCAGCAAGAATCCCTATGGTTTATGCAGCTGCATGTTGAACATGAAAATCTAAGATATGACAGTGGTCTTTCATTCATACAACCTTTGAATTTTGGTAAAGTTCTGATGTAATGTTAAAGAGTGGTATTTTGAGGACTACGCATCAAGATATAAACATGGCACATCTTTTATAATATCAGCCACTGGAAGACATTTGAAATAATATTTGTATAATTGTGGGCTGTATTATCTTTCTTTCTTGCACATAATAAAGTTTCACTGGAAGTAAACTTTTCAAGTATCAATTTTAGAATTCCTGATTCATCCTAAGCGGTTTTGTTCTTTTTTTACAGGTGAAATCATACTTAAAAGTTGTATGTATGCAGCTGGAGATACGTGCCTTTGAAATCCTTTCATAACCAATATTCTAATCTCCTATTTAAGTAGGGTAAATAGGCCATTTATCCTCAACATCTGATACAGCTGTCTACAATATTAAAACATTTAGCAATACCATGAAATTCGGAGAAGAAATGTAATGTTTTCTACCCACTCAGGCCAATATTTCTAAAGCTAATGTGGTGGGAAGATGCGTGGTGTTACCCAAACTATTCACAATTATTTCAGAAAATTTGGAAACAGAAGAAAATCATCCATAATTTTGTCACCCCAATTTAACAAATCATATCTTTAAATACTGTCTCTTAGTCATTTGTGCGTAGTTGCATCCTTGCAGTCACAGAGTATGGCCTATACTTTTTCACTTTGTATTACAATGCAAGTCTTTTCATTCTGCTGCATATTCTTCATAAGCTTTATTAATGGCTGCCTTAGCAGTTATTCCATCCACTATTCACTATTTTGAGGTTAATTTTTTATTATAATTAATGTAATGATGAATATCTTCTTACACATAGACTTTTTAATTATTTTTTTTTTAGAATAAAATTCCAGGAATTAATTAGCTGGCTTAAGTAACACATACATTTTATTGCTTAGAATACATTATAAAACTACTTTCAAAAATAATTATTTCATCTTGTAAGGGTATACAAGTACATTATCATTTAATATTTTAGTAAATTAAGTAAAAATTTAGGTCTTTGTTTTACTTGATCATTTCTTTTGATAACAGCTAGGTTTGACACTGTTTTACATCTTGTCCACTGTTTGTTATTCATATTGAGTGAATTTTTTGTTGTTGCTCTGGACTGGTGATAGTTTCTAAATGAGGATCTTAATTTCAATGAAGATATAAGTAAGATATAAAAAAGTGCACAAAATTATATATCTTTTAATAAAAACTCTTTGTCAAAATGGTTTATTATATAATTTTTACCTTACTGACATTCTGAAGTTTAAAACCATAACAAAATATATAGTTATTCATTTAAAAAATCCCTTCTGTGTTATTTCCAAGTTTAAAAATTAGTCTTCTTTTTCAGATAGTTGATACATAACTATCCTGTTTCTGAGTTTACCCATTTAAATTTATGTATTTAATGCTTCGCTACATGTGTTATTTTATTTGGTATATTTTTGCATCAAAGTTTATTTTTTCTAAGTTTTAAATATTGGTTAGGCCGAATTATCTAAATGTGGCTTATTAAATAATCCTCAATTTTTATATTCTTTTGCTATGTCTCCTTTACAGTATATAAAATTCTAATATACCTGTTCTATTCCAATGACCAAGGTGTATCTTTTTGTACCAGACATACCTCAATTTAATTATTACTGATTTTAAATAGTTTTGATACCTGGTAGAACTGATGAATCTCATGCCTTATATTTAAAGACAATTGCTCATTGCAAACCTTCTCATCTACTCTCCCCCAAACCCCACTACTCACAATTTTCCTTAACCCCACCCAGAACAGAGAGTTTAAATAAAGGCCCACACAGCTCCTGGCAAGACCTCCATTACCCGCATCCCCAGCCACATAAACTCAATACTGCCCATTTATCCTCTACAATGGCCTAACATGCAAAGATATAGTATAACCTATTGTTCCCCTTCCACTCAGATAGCATCAAGACAAATTCCATCAAGCCTCACATCCCTCTGTCACCATGAGAAAGACAGGTTTCCTTATTGTAGACCTTTAATTCTGGAAGGCTTTGCACATCGATTTGTTAATTTTCCAAAAGTTCCCCACCCCCTTCACTGTGCTCAGTGGAACACAGTCTGTCACCGCACCCTCTTTCCCTGCCTCCACCATGCAACTCCTGCTTTCAGAATGAAAGTTCTCCTCTGACCCTGTCTGTTTTCTCAAGAAATGAGATCTGTTGAGAAATCACCTGCTGAGAGTGAGAAGGCTGAGGGGATTTTTGAGTTTTGAGATGAAAGAATAATGCATGAGATGGTTAACTCAGGAAGTGGAAAGGGACATTCACATCACCTTTTTACTCTAATTAAAATCTGATTTTCCAGGAGAGCATGGCTTCCTCAGCAGCACTACCAAAGCACAGCTATTCTTTTTCTTCCACATCCTACCACCTATAGGGCCAGGAGGTGCTCAGGCTGTTCATAATCTTCATAGCCACTTTTCAAGCTATTATCTATTCTTACTCTTTAAAACCTTTTGTAGCATATATGCCATGTTGGTTTTTTTTGTTGTTGTGTGTTTTTTGTTTTCGTTTTTTTTTTTTTTTTGAGATGGAGTCTTGCTCTGTTGCCCAGGCTGGAGTGCAATGGCGCGATCTTGCCTCACTGTAAACTCCACCTCCCAGGTGCAAGTGATTCTCCTGCCTCAGCATCCTGAGTAGCTGGGACTACAGGCCCACAGGCGCCTGCCACCATACCTGGCTAATTTTTGTATTTTTAGTAGAGACGGGGTTTCACCATGTTGGTCAGGCTGGTCTCGAACTTCTGACCTCATGATCCTCCCACCTCGGCCTCCCAAAGTGCTGGGATTACAGGTGTGAGCCACCATGCCCAGCCTACCATGTGTTCTTTTCTAGCACATATGCCATGAAAAAAGAAGAATACACCGTGCCTTTTTTTTTTTTTTTTTTTTAACAGAGTAGGTGCCTTGCTATTTTGCCCAAGCCAGGATCAAACTTGAGATCTTCCTGCCTTAGCCTCAGTAGTAGCTGGGGTGATCTTATACTACTTTCTACTCCTTCTTGTTATCAATATCTGTGGTGTGTCCTACCCCAAACTTTCCTTCACTGAAGACTTAACATCTGGCCCATGGTCTCTCTTTCCTCCACAACTTCTCTTATCGTTCTTGTGATTTCAACATCCACCTAACCCTGCCTCTCAAGTCCCTTGACTATTTTTCCTTCAAAAGTCTCTTCACCCTTGTTGTTGGCAATAATAGTGCTATTTTGTAAATCTTAATTATAAATCTGACCACCACCCTTTAGTATCTTTCTAGAATACTCATTCCACTGCATCTTGGACCTCACCTGGATTTCCAATTTACTAATGGCCATTTTAAAGGAATTCAAACTGATGTCACCTCTTTCCTGTCATGGTGTCCTTTGTTATTCAGCACTGATTTATGGGCCATCACTAAAATTACTCTTTTGCACCTATTGTCAATATTCTTATCTCCTTCTCCATTGCCTGGCAGAACCCCAACCCTTATTAAACCCAACACTTTGGTTATCCTGGATCAATATCTAGGAGCTTAATGTGACTAAAGAAAAATGCACAATGATGCTGAATGATTTCACTTTGAGTAAATGACCATTTTCATAAGTGTTGTGGTCTTTGGCCTTGCTCAGAAGCCATACATTTCTTTAGACATTTCACACTCTTCATTTTCTGAGATTCCTGTTTCATGCTTTTTTTTCTTCTTAACCTCAAATACCTCCTCAGTTTTTTTCACTCTCAGCAGAAGACTTGCTTCTTATTTCACTGAGAAAATTGGCACGAGCAAAAAAGAACATCCTTTGACCACCAAGTCTACAACTCATTGAAACTGTGTTTATGTACTTATTGCCTTACATATGCTGTACATAAATAAATTGTCTCTGATCGTGCTGTACATAATGAATTGTCTCTGATCCCATCAAAGGCTAGCCCCTATACTTGTGTACCAAATTCCTTTCTTCCTCAGACTTAAGGACACTGATTTCCAACAATCCCTTCTATCTTCTGTATTCATCAGTTTCCCCCTTTATGTTTACCATCAGTGTACTAGCAAAATACAAGGCACTACTATCTGGATTTCTCAATAAGAAAAACAACAACAACAACAAAACCTCTTGACTTCATGTCCACCTCAGTTTTCTCTACCCATTTTATAGCAAAATTTTGTACTTGCTAGCTCTACTTCATCATACCCATAAATTTTGTCTGTAGCATTAATTCTGCAACCACAGTTAATATGACATCAAAGAAGGTTTTCTCAGTTCATGTTTGAATTCTCTGATTTGTACTAAAAACGTCTGCCTGGGCGAAGACTTGACTACATTAATGTATCCATTTTGTTTCCTTCCAGTGTCTTCAAGGTGAAGGCATCTTCATAGTCACAATATTATTATAGAGAATCTTTCCAGTATGAATTTTTGATGTGTAAAGAAGTTACACATCTGATGAAGATTGTTTTTAATATTCAGTACAAACACAGAAGTTTTCTTTAGTATGAACATGAGCTTGTGATCTCTAAAAAGGTTTGATGAGTACTCAGAAGTCTTCTCATGTCAGTGCACATACTAATAAGGTTTCTGTCATGTGTGAATTCAGTGATGCAAATGGGGTATTTATTTCTTAATGAAGTATTTCCAAGAGACTTGAAAGACTACAGGCCAGTTGTTTTATTGAATGTTCCCCAACTTGGGTTTGTCAGATATTTTCTCATGCTAAGATTTAGGCTGTGATCTTCCAGGTGGGACCTACATACATGAAACTGTGTTGTCCTCAGAGTAACACACTCAAAGGTCCATGATCTTTATCTGTCCTTTAGTAACCGTAAAGTTACTATTTTTCACCTGATAACTGACAAGAAATCTGGTGGACACTTTTAAGACCTGCGAATATCCTTCTCAGCACATTCTCCTCTAGATTTAGCATCGGTTGATGATTTTTGGCTAACTCTTTCTGTATGATGGTCTTAAAACAATTCTTTTCAATTCTATAACTCCCTTCTACATTTATTCTTTGACATTCTTCTGTTAGGAAGAGCCCCATTCCCCTCTCCAATTGTTTGTCTACCCTATCTATCATCTATCTATCTATCTATCTATCTATCTATCTATCTATCTATCTAATCTTCTATTATCTATCTATCTATCTAAAAATCATTTCACAGGACTCAATAATATACGTCAAATCTCATTTTTCTTGATGGCACTGAAATCTCTTGCTTTCCTTTTGTTAGTATTTGACTTTTATATCTTTGGCAAGCCTTTTGTTACAGTTTTACTATATTATTTTCTTTCAGATGTGTATATCCCAAACCTGCTTTTAAAAAAAAGGGTTAATATGATCACTTTCCTTTGTTAGCACTGAAGTTCTGAAAAGTAGTGGAAATGTAAAACTTGAAAATTCTTGCCTTCATGTGGACAATTTAAAAAATAATTGCAATTAAAGAGGACGTCTGTTCATTCTACCCAATATGGCAAGAATGAAAGACTTTTGGAAGGTCACTGTCCAACATAGGGTCAGGTATGACAGCTGAATGACACTGTTTTCACCTCGTGTAGAGTAATAATGTTCACTCTAGGGCTCCCCACTGTACACTTTCACCTTTGCTAAATTATGCTCTCTGCATTTATCTGATCTGTGGGCTGTAGGACTATACAATAAGTTGGGTTGTTATCTCAATTATCATAGGGTTAATTAATTAGTGAGGGTAAAAGCATTTTGTGTTTCCATAGATGAAAGATTTTGAAAAGTATTCAATAGTATTATGTGTTGCTTCCTAAACCTTCAAGTAAAATCTTAATTAGCGCCTTTGAGAAGGAAATGAGAAGTAATCATGCACATTATGTTTTCGAAGACCTAGTCTTTTTTGCAGTAAAAATGTTTTCAGCATGAGGTTCATTATGTTTCTTCCATTATTCAGTTCTGAGAACAATGCATTTAATAAAAATGCAATACATTCCTGTGACCTGAAAGTATAAATGATGCTAATATAAAGTTTTAAAAACATATTTCCGTCGGCTAATTGAAATTTCAAACCCAAGAAAACATGTGACCTTACATTACTATCGTGACATTTAGTATTTTCTAACTTTATTCAAAGTTTGAACTTACAGAAGGATAAAATAAAATATTGAACATTTTATAAAAATATTTAAACATTATTTTCAATTAAACTTTTTTGATCAAGCTAATGAGTATCTAGAACGTTATCTGCAAAGCAATTCTTCATACCTTCTCTACAATTAATGTCTTTGCTTGACTTTCTTCTGTTTTTCTCTTGGGTTATGGTTTGACCAAGGGAAAAAATTCAGAGGTATAAATAATAATAAAAATAATTCCATCTATTTTTTTCCTTATATTCCAACATCTTTACAGTAACCCTACCAATATTCTTGCAAGTTGGGAATATTTGAAATTGCATGTTACTTTTGTAGTGAGTACATTCCAGGGTGAAACTTAAAGTCAATTCCCTAGGGTATTGATATATGATTAATTCAGGTCTTTTCATGAGTTGTGTTCATCATTCATTCAGCTGAGTGCCCATTATGTACCAGGCCTGGTCTTACATGCTTGGAATAGAGTGTTGAACAAAATAGACCAAGATCTCTGCCTCATGGAGTTCATATTCTAGGAAGAGGAAATGAACAATAAACAATCAACATAATGATTAGCTAAACTATACGATATCTTGGAAGATTAAAAGCACTCTGGATAAAAAGCAGAGCAGCACAAAGAGAATTGGGATGCTGTCAGAAGGGACACATTACAATCTTAAATAGGGTGTATTAAATCAGGGCAGACTCCATTCAGGAGGTGACCTTTGATTAAAGACTTAAATGAAGTGAGGGAGTCAGTATTCTAGGCAAAGCCCTATGGTGGAAGTGTGGCCTTGTGAGTTCATGGAACAGCAAGGGAAAAAAATGTGACTGGAGACAGAGTGGCCAGGGAGAGAGTAGAAAAAAAGGAGGCCTGGGAAATAAAAAGAACAGCCAACTCATGCAGTACCTTGAAGGCCTCAGTAAAGAATCTGCCTTTTACTTTGGATAAAATGAAGAACCACACGCTTTAATGCCTCCTCTGCGGGAAATGGGGAACCGCTGGAAGATTCTGAGCACAGGAGTAATACGATCTGACATCTACTTTGAAAGGTTCACTCTGGCTACTGGGTTGAGAATAGACCCCAGGGGGCAAAGGGTGGATGCTGGGAGACCAGCCAGGATGTTATTAGAGTAAAGGAAGTGAGAGCTGATGAAGTTCTCCTACTAGGGGAGTAACAATATCTACTTCTCACTGTGAGAAGTAGTCAAAATACTGTATATATTTTGAAGGTAGAGCCAAGAAGTTTTCCTGGTAGAGTGCATGGTTTCTGGCCTGAGCAACTAGGATAGAGATGCCATCAAGAGAAATGGTAAAGGCTGTGAGTGGACAGGGGTTTTGGGGGAAATCCAACACTTGGATCAGAAATCCAAGTTTAGACATGTCAAATTTGGGATATTTATGAGACACTCAAGTGGAGATGTTCAATAGGCACTGGGATAAAATGAATTGGTTTGGACTGGAGATACATGGGAGGCATTAGCATATAAATGGCACTTACCACCCTGAGGTTGTAATACTCTTAATACAGGCAAAGAAGTAAGTGTAGATACAATATGGAAGAAAAGACAAGACTGAGCCTTCAGGTACTCCAGTATGAAAATATTATAGAAGAAGAACTGGCCAAAGAGGAACAAGAGGAATTATCATACCCTTATTGATCTGAAATTTGCTCCCTCAAGTTGAAGATGATAGAGGAAAAAAAAAAAAAAGATTGACAGAGGAAGGACAGAACAGGGAATTAATACAAATACAAAGCACAGTTGCATGTAGAAGGTACCCTGTTCTTTTCCTGTAGAGACAGAGAAAGAAAAGACATGAGTATGGATGGGAAATTAACTTCCTAAGAGTGTGTTAAATTTAGAACTTGCCTGCTTTTTATATGTCAAATTGTACATGCACAGATTGACTTAGAAAGCATTATTGAAATCCTCTAATGCAAAATGCAGTATTTTGTTTATGAAGTCACATGTACTCAATATATTTTAATACATGGAACTTCTAGCATATTCTCAATAAATATTTGTCAAATTATTAATATATTGCCCTTGCTCTTTGTTGAAATTTTTTTTTTCTTTTGTATTTTTAGTAGAGACTGAGTTTCTCCAAGTTGGCCAGGCTAGTCATGAACCCTTGCCCTCAAGTGATCCACCCACCTCGGCCTACCAAAATGTTGGGATTACAGGCGTGAGCCACTGTGCCTGGCCTGTTGAGAATTTTAATATTGTGTTTAAAGCTGTTCTCTCGACCTAATGAAGATATATGAAAATTTTCTTGAATGCTTTTTCTCAAGACATATATATCTATTGGATCAGATGCCAGTTTATTGAGACATACATTATACTTTATAAATTACTTGTCAGTACTCACTAGCAGGTAGACACAGTGGGTGTGAATTGCTTATTTGTCTTAATTCTGGCTGACTGGCAATTGTAGTCAATGAAACAGACATTAAAAATATGAATACCTTCAAAAAAAAAGAATTGGGTTGTATTACTTGGATCTAAGCAATCTTGATTCAGCTAGAACTTCAATCTACATGTACCTAGAAATACTCTATGAAATTGAAGGTGGTTTCATTGACCATCTAGAATGTTTCCTTCTCTCTGTGAGGAGCAGAGGATAACTAGCAAATCTGAGCCTTCGAGAGTCAACAGTTTTGCTCACCAGGATAGGAGGAGACGGTGTTGATGTGAGTCGTCCTGAGGATGCCCACGCGGGTCGCCCTGTGGTTCTTCATGCACATGCAGATGCATATGGCAATCCCAGCAATGACCCCCATGATAAATACTATTCCAAAAACAATGCCCGCAATTGCAGTGCCCCTAAAAGGAAAAACAAGTAAGTTTACTCAAAAGACTTGTAAGCATTCTTTAGACTTTCTAGTAGAGCTCCATGATTATAGGACAAGTGTTTTCTTACAAATGTTCTTAAGGATAATGTGTGTGTGTTTTTCTTTTCTTTTTTTTTTTAAAACCCATAAGTTCCCTGAATTGATAAAGCAAATAGTCTGTATTTCAATAGATATGAAAAAGTTATAAAAATCCTCTTCTAGCACCGTTGACCAATTCATCATTCAGATTCCAGTTCTTAAAATTCATGTTTTGATACAAAGCACAATTCTCTAGATATGCTCTCCAAAGTAATAATTTTAAAAACCATTCTGCTGTGTATCTAAACAGCAAAGAATTTATCTGTTGGGCATAGCATGTATGTGTTTAATGAAAACAACTTGGTAGATGTCAGAATATTAAGTGAAATTTAACACTCATTCCTGATTAACACTCTTCATAGAACAAGAATATTTGTTTCTTAATAAAAGAAAACCAAACCAAACTTCATATTTTTAAGCTACCCAGAGAACAGTTATGACAAATAAGTATCCCATTAATTCAGGAAGAACATAAATAAAACTTCGATTTCTACTAATGTTAATGGTTTCTTTCCCGCAGAAAGTTTTAGCTCATGCAACAAAACCATAAATAGAAAAAAAAGCCGAATAGCAGAAAAGAGTCAACATTATGATTGTTTGTGTGGAATATAATTTGTAGGTAACTACATTTTTCTGTTATTTTGAAAAGCAATGGGGAAATCTTTATCAAAATATAAATTTTGACCAAGAAGCATCATTTTTAGCAATGCTCCCTAAGGAAATGTAGCACATAAGCATAAATACTATAACAAGGATGTTCATCACAGTGTTGTGGCTAATAGCAAAATAGGAGAAACATCCTAATGTCCATAAAAAGAGGACTGACAGAAAAAAATTCGTCAGAAAAGGAATCTTACATATTGATTAAAAAGGGTCAAGAGATCCACATGGATTGAAGTGAAATGTTTATGATACATGGTTAACTTAATAGTAATACTATTACTATTGATAGTAATTTGTATTCATTCAATTAATTAGTGTTAGCTTCCAGCACCATCCATGTGCCTGCAAAAGACATGATCTTGTTCTTTTTTATGGCTGCATAATATTCCACGGTGTGTATGTACTACATTTTCTTTATCCAGTCTGTCACTGATGGGCATTTAGGTTGATTCCATGTCTTTTCTATTGTGAACAGTGCTGCAATGAACATTTGCATGCATGTGTCTTTATGGTAGAATGCTTCATTTTCCTCTGGGAATGAATTAGTATTAATTGAATACTAATTCAATTAATTAGTATTTTCAATACTTACTAGTATTGAATACTAGTAATTAGTATTGATAGTAATTAGTATTGAATGGAAAAGCAAGTATTAACAGGATACTACCAGTAATAACAGAATAATTGCCATGAGGTAAAACTGCATTTCTATGTATCAAGTTTTTTATTATCTACAGTGATGATCTTGTAAATGTGAAAAATAAAAATATTCACTTTCTCATTTGCATATTCCACAAAAGCAACCACTTCAACCCTTTCAGTTATTTTTTCTAATACCCTCTCTCCTATTTCTCAATATTATTATTACATTATTTTATATTTTTTGTTTTTACACATTATTTATTGCCTCCTCTTATACTATTTGGGAATGCAGATCTCTCAGACAAGATTTATCCTTGGTTAAATCAGTCTTCAGTATTTACATTGCCATAACTTTGCTATCTGCTGAGCCAAGCAATGTACCATAGTTAACTTTTACAAATTATTATCGCATTTATTTTACAACTTACTATTTTTAAACAATTTCCATGAATTTTTATTTTTCCATATACATATTGATATCTGCTCCTTGCAAAAATTCCTAGAAATCTTTCCCACATTATCAGTAGCTTTTTCATACTCAAACATAGTAAAATAGCTTATCAGTTCTGTTCTGCTCCCCTGATGATTTCCTTCTTACAGCAACTAAGACTACTGGTTGTTCCGAACCTGGAACTGTTCCCCTTGAGCCCTGTTTGCTGGTCCTCACATTTAGTTTCTGGACCCAATTCTTGCTAATTCTTGGTGAACTGCATTGTTTGTTGAAGCACGTTCCTGAATGGCTTCTTAAAAATCGACTCAAAGGAAAGTAGATTTTTCAAGTCTTTGAATGCCTGAAAATGACTTAATGCTTCACTCTTACGTGATTGATAATTCATCTATGCATGAAATTCTAAACTGCAAGACATTATTTCTTAGAAATATGAGGGCATTGCTTATTGTCTTCTAGAATTTGGAGCTGCTGTAAAGAATTCCCATGGCATTATAATTACTTTCCTTTGTGTGATACCGTTTTTTCTTTTCTTTCTTTCTGGAAGTTCTTAGCATTTTCTTTTTACTCTTGGTATTCTAAAATTTCATAATGTGCCTGGGTTTAAAATATATATATTTTCCAGGTCCTTTTGATTCTTTATGTTCGGAGACTCACGTCCTTCAGTTGTTGAAACTTCTCCATACAATGTTAATTTTTTCTTCACTATTTTCTGTATTCTTCCTTCTGGAAACTCATTCTGAAATAAGCTTTTGAACTTTCTGGATCGATTCTCTAACTCTTTTTTAAAATCCTTTTTAAAAAACTACTGTCTGGAGAATTTCATTGACTTTATCTTCCAAAGTTGTACTAAACTTTAAATTACAGTTATCTTATTTTTAATTTTCTGGTGCTTTATCTCATCCTCTATTGCACTCCCCTCCCTGTTTCCAGTGTCTGTGTTTCTTCCATTGATGCAGTCTCTTAATCTTTGAAAGCACCAATGATATATTCTTTGATACTTTCTCTACTGTTTGTATTTCCTCGTCCTGTCTGGGTTCTTTTTTATTGATTGTTCATTTTGATCTCATTCATATTTGATGTTTTCTTCAAATGTCTGGTGATCCTTGAATTCTCTCCTATCAAAAAAAAAAAAAAAAGCTTGAAGTAGCTACTTGGAAGTTTAGTTTGCAAGCCAGAATTTGACAGGTGAACTCCAAAGAACAGGACAAACTGAGATCAGACCATAGATCTTTTCCTTGGGGCTATTCATTTTTCTCCATGAAAGCATTCTCCAATTTCATACTTGGGGAGCATCAGCCTCACTGCCAATATCCCGGAGCTTGGAATTGTACTCATAAGGATATGAACTTTCATGAAATCCTTACGCTTTCATCTCAGACACCCAGTCTCTGGCTTCGCTTTGTCGGCTGTCTTTTGGGTTTCACTCTGGAGGCTTACGGGTTTAAGTCTTCACAAACCATTCTTTGTTGTGTAAAAGCATGATCTCTGAAGGCAGATCACCTGGGTACCAACTATAGCTGTGGAACCTTGGGCATGTTGCTCAATCTCTCTGTGCCTCAGTTTCCTCATTTATAAAGGGAAGGTCAGTTTGGTGCTCATTTGACTCTCCTCCCAAATTTCTTGTCATGAGTCTTGTGCTCCTGGACTTATCTGTTGGGTAAATAGGTCCTTATTCTCAGTGGTACCTGAACACCTATCCTATACTTTTCTGAGACTGGCCATAATTTCTTACCCCAAACCACTGGGGCCAGATCTGTCTCATAGTCAGAAATTTTCAGATTTTGTAAAGAAAATACATACACTACGCATTGTGAAATATTCCCAGGGGCAGCTAGGGCAGCATGTTGAGAACATTTATATTCCTACAGCGAAGGTGGGAATATTAACGCTGTTAGATTATATGGGGACTACACAAAAGCCCAAGGTTGGTTCAGGTCAAGTCTGGCCACCAACTGACCTTTATCTGCAATTCTGAAATCCACAGAAAACTCTGAAAACTGAAAGTGCACATAAGGGATTGTGAAGCTGTATTTATACTTTCCAGAGGATATTTTCTCTCTAACACTTTTCCCCACCTACATACAAAAATAGAATGCCATTAAGAATATCAATAATCTCCTTTAAAATACTTCTATAGGCATTTTTACTTAGTTATTAAGAAGGCAGAATGTGAGACATATTTGGATGTGTTGCTATTAGTAATTAAATAATAGCAGAGTCCAGTAGTTTAATAAATAAATCTTTTCAAGAAAAAAAGATCTATGAAAGGAGATAATTCGAAGTGAGAAAATTAAAAGTAATCTGGAAACTTCCTTTATTGTAAGTTTCAGGTCCAAATAAGATTAAACTGGAGGACTTAATTTATGTTCCAGAAATAATCAATGGCCCAGTTATTCAGGCATAGAGTTTCCAAACTATGTGTTATGGAAGCTGTTAAGATATCGAATTGGGACATATTTATATTCATTAATTCTTTTCTTAAATAGAGGAAAGTAGAAAATTAGTCACATTTTGTTTCCTTGTTGGCAGCTCCAGCAAAAGTGCCTGCTCTTGAGGTCAATAATGAGGTTGCAACTAATGTATTAAATTAGTTTTTTTGATTAAATCATGAAGTTGGTGCCCTTGATCCTTTGATACCCATTAGCAATCGTAAATTAGTTATTTAAGACATGGCAAGTATAAAATTTACAGCATTATTTACTTTGTAATTAATAAAAAGAAACAATAAACAAATAGTAACTTTCCTGCATATAAATAATTGGCTCAGTCAACTGTTGGAAAGTGAGAAGCTATTAATTTGAAAAATCTGGCATCATTAAAACCTTGAAAAAATTTCAGGGAATGTATTTTTTTTAAAACAACGCCTTGCAAGGTTTGCACATTTTCCTCTCTCCTTTTAAACTTTTATTTTAAAATAATTATAAATTCACGGGAAGTGTAAAAAGAGTACAGAGAGAGCTCACGTACCCTTCACCCAGTTTCCCCAGATGGTTACATCTTAAGTAACAATGGCACAACATGAAAAGCAGGAAATTGACATTACTATAAGGTGTATTTATAGTTCCATGTCATCTGAACACATGCACAGAGTCATATAACCACTACAGCAAGCAAGATACAAAACTATTCCATCATCACAAAATATTTCCCTTTCGCTATTACTTTGCTTTATGGTCATATCCAACATGCCTTCTCTCTGCCATCAATAACCCCGGGTATCAGCAATCTGTTCTCCGTTTCTGTAATTTAGTCATTTCAAGAAGATTATACAAATGGAATCATACAGCATGTGAGTTTTGGAGATAGTCTTTTTTCCCTCAGCGTAATGCCTTTGGAATCCATTCCAGTTTCTGCATGTATCAGTAGTTCATTCCTAGATGAGCAAGCAGTCCATGATATGGCTATAACACACTTTGTTTAACCATTATTTATTGTAGGGCATTTTGGTTTGACAAATAAAGTTGCTATAAACAATCATGTACAGATTTTTGTGTGGACATAAGTATTCATTTCTCTGCAATAAATGCCCAGAAGTGCAATTACTGGGATGTACGATAAATGTATGTTTGAGTTTTAAAGAAACTTCCAAGTTATTTACATTCCTACCAGCAAGGTATGAGAGATCCTCTCTGCGTCCTTGCCAGTATCTAGTTTTATAATCTGTTTTTTAGCTGTTTTAACGGATAAAGCATTAAGTGTAGTGGTATTTCATCATGGCCTTAATTTGCATTCCCGTAATGGCTAGCAAGGTTGAACATGTTTTCGAAAGCTTATTTGCCATTCATCTTCTTCAGTGAAATGTCCACCTGAGTCTTTTGCCCATATTCTAATTGGATTGCTTGGTTATTTTACTGTTGAGTTTTTGAGAATTATTTGAGTCCTTTACAAAATATGTAGTTTGCGAATATTTTTACTGGTCTGTAGCACATCTTTTCATTCTCCCAACAGGGTCGTTCACAGAACAAAAGTTTTTAAATAAAGTCCAATCTATCATTTTTTTTCTTTTATGGATTGTGCTTTGGGGTCATACGTGGGAACTTTTCATGAAGCCCTAGGTCCTGAAGACTTTCTCCTATGCTTCTTTCTAAAAGACTGATTATTTTACATTTGATATTTAAACCTATGATCTATTTTTGTTTAATTTCTGTACGAGGTATTAGATTTAGGTTGAGGTTCATTATTACCAGATTATTTTGCCTGTGGATAGCCAGCTACTTCAGTACCATTTATTAAAAGCATTCCTCATCCCCCCATCGCATTGCTTTTGCACCTTTGTCAAAAATCAGTTGGCCTGTGCAGGACTGTTTCTAGGTTCTAATTTAGCTAATTTTTTTTTCTTTTTTTGCAAAATGAGATTTTATAATCAAGATATTAAATGTATCTATGGTGGCTGAAATAATATGAAACTGTCTTTTATAACAAAGCTCAGAGATAATATATTTTATTCCATAAATCGCTTTTCATGAGTAAAAAAAGATTCTGATAATGTTGCCATGTTGCAGTAACACTTTTAGGCTTAGCACTGCTATACAGCAGCTTACTAGTTATCTTGATGTGGTTTTACTATTAATATTAAATAATATTTAAGGAAAATAGCAGATATGAAAAGTACGCCAGAGTAATATTTATCTTCTTCTCGGATACGACCCAATTTACAAATGCATTTTATAAAACTATAAATCAAAGGGCTTATGAATATTCTATGTAATAATTTAGTAACAGCAGTCCCAATAAAGTAGAAAAATTAAAAAGGCCATGCGGATATTTGATATCTATATTTGATACCACACGGATATTTTACACCTATACAAAAAGTGGGGAAAATTCTAGAATATTTTTGTTAGGATAAACTTCCATATGGAAATAAGAGTTTGAAATAAAATACCTTTACCTTTGAAATAAGTCAAAGGTAAAAGTATCAGAAGAGAGAGTTCTCTGGAAAAAGTAACCATAGCTTCAAAAGAATAAACTTAAAGTAGGTTTATTTCTTATTAAAATAAAAAAATTATAAGTGAAGCTAAAGCATTTTTATCTTTTGTTAAAGAAGGTAATATTTAGTCGACTTATTTATTTGTGATGATACACATGAGATGAATTAAGCAATGATAAAAATCCTATTCCTACTACAGCGCTGAAAGTCGACTACATACATGAGAATAAATCTTGGCAAAATTCTATATCAGATCATCCTACTTCCTCAATAATTCATTCTTTTGGCCAATTCATTAAAATACTGTAATACCCTTGAATACAATGTTTTATTATAAATCATTGGCAATTTTAGTAACACTTTGACTTGCTTAACTTAAAAATAATGCATTTTCTTCTCTGTTGCTTAAATAAATACAGAAAATAATAGAAAAACAAACTCAATGGAGTATCATTTTCAATATTAACAGTATTTACTTATATTAATCGTAGGATCTCAGAACTATCTCTATTTCTATTTTTATCTCTATGAGTCTGGTTACATGTACATCTATGTATACGTGTATCAGATAAGAAAACCATAATATCGAATAGTTAAATTGTTATTAAATATTGTTACTACTCCAAGTGTAAAATGCTTAGGAGGGTAGGAAGACCAATCCATGTAATTTTTCCAGTAAGTCTACATTACTTGCAAAAAAAAAAAAAAATCTGTAAAATCCAAATATGCTAATAATGTTTTTTTATTTTGCTTTTTTTTTTTCTTTCATTCTGGTGACTCCCCTTAATAACTTCACTCAATATATCCTCTTTCTTGGGGCTTTATAGATAACTTCTTTCTGTTAGCCTCATGATAATAAAACTGGAAACTAATATCTCTTTGAATGAATAAATTTACGTGATTTATTGACTCAAGCCCCATGACAGAGACAATTGTGTAACCCAATATTCATTTTCTACATTTTCCTTGATAAAAGAAGTCTGAGGGTTGACTAAAATAAAGACTACATCTTCCCCTACTTCCTTCCTTCCTTCCTTCCTTCCTTCCTTCCTTCCTTCCTTCCAGACAAGGTCTAACTGCGTCACCCAGGCTGGAGTGCAGTGGCTCACTGAAGTCTCAACCTCTGGGCTCAAGTGATTCTCCCACCTCAGCCTCCCTAGTAGCTGGCACTATGGGCACACGTCACCATTACCAGCTAATTTTGTAATTTTTGTAGAGACAGGATTTCGCTATGTTGCCAGGCTGGTCTCCAACTCCTGAGGTAAAGCAATCTGCCTGCCTCAGCCTCCCAAAGTGCTGGGATTACAGGCATGAGCCACCATGCCTGGCGAGTACTACATCTTCCAGGTAGCCTTAAAGCTAGTGTTTTGTTTTGTTTTGTTTTTTACATGTTGAGTTTTGGAAAATAAGTTGTAATAAAATATTTTGTGTCAATTCTCAGGAAACCTCCTTAAAAGATGGCTGGAATGGGATTTTTCTCCCATTTTCTGTCTTACCTTCCTTTCAGCTTTCTGAAATAGGAGTGTAATGGCTGAGCTCTAGTCTCCAAGGTGGACCATGAAGACAAGAGCCATATCCTAGGGATGGAAGAGGTATGAGTTTGATGGAGTTTGTATCCTTAATAACAACATGGAGATGCTGTATCAACTCCCATTTCCTTTGCACGAGAAACAAACTAGTTTAAAAAAAATTATTAAAGTCTCTGTTATTCTAGTTTGAGTGTGAATGTATGTGTGTGTGATATGCTACCCAACCTAATCTTACCTAATACAATTCCTTTGCCAAAATTGCTATACAGTTTAAACAAAAGCAAATATTTAATGTGGAAATGGCAGTTTTAAGGAACATACAGGTACTCTGGGATCCTGTAGAAAAGTTCTAAAAAAGCATATCAGAACCAGGAAAGCAAGAGACTGCATTCAATTTCATTAATTGGGATTGTTCCTCATATCTTACGTAGAATTAAACTTTATGGCTCAGTGAGAGATCTTTAAGAAATCTATACATTACTTCGATGTCAAAGTAGTATACAAAATGAGAATAAAAAGTGCTCTTGAATATGTTGTAGATTGTAGGGTGATCTACAGAATAACACTTTATCACTAGAGTTCAATGGTAAATGCTTTGATTGATGAACAAAAAGTACCCTTTAAGAACTGCCTGGTTAGCATTTATTTGCACTGACTGAATTATCTGAACAAGTGCCAAATTCTTACATGATTTTGTGCCAATATAGATTTAATGAGAGTCGAATACATATGATTCAAAAATGGTCATATTAAAAAAATCAAACACGATTTTTCAGTTTTCTGTAAGGTTTTATATACATGCACATACATATTGTTTTATGTATGTATAATATATATAATATAAGATATATATTTAACTGTGTGGATACCAAATGTCATCATTTGGTTAGTTGTCAGTACAGCTTTGAGACTGCACAACACAACATACTATATGTCAAAATCTAAATGCAGTAAATCATAGTTACAGAAGTTTCTAGAACATTTTAATGCTATGTACATGAAAGTGATTCATTTAACTGTTTAACACCAATATTTGGAAAAGCAGTATTGACTCAGTAGTACTGAAACAGGTATAATTGTATCCCCAGTAACAACATGGAGATGCTATATCAACTCCTGTTCCCTTTACATGAGGGAGAAACAAACTCGTTTTTGAAAAACAAAACACCTTAGATGTTTGATTTATCCCTCAGTCATTTTGCCTACAATTCTAACTGACTACCACTAGATAGCGACATTCACGACTTCACTCATTAAGTATATATTGAGCGGCTGGGGGCAGTGGCTCACACCTGTAATCCCAGCACTTTAGGAGGCTGAGGAGTGCTGATCCCTTGAGCCAGGAGTTCAACACAAGCCTGGCCACATGGTGAAACCCTGCCTGTACGAAAAATACAAAAATTAGCCGGTGTGTGACACACACCTGTAGTCTCATCTACTTGGTAGGATGAGGCATGAGAATCGCTTAAACCTGGGAGGCAGAGGTTGCAGTGAGCCAAGATAGCCTCACTGCACTCCAACCTGGGTGACAGAGTGAGACCCTGTCTCAAAAAATTTAAAAAAAATATATATATATTGAGCATCACTACGTGCTAGCACTATTCTGGGTACTACGATACAAAGTTGGATGATACATAATACTTGACTTTAAAGATTTTAGAGCCATGTACTAGATAGCAAACAAAGAGATTTTGAAGGTCAACTATCTCCAGGCATAGAAGACTATGACAAGACAACAATGAAATAATTTGGTCATACTCAGCAAAAGAGAATTGTTTTTCTTTTTAAAGTATAAATATAATACACTAGAGAGAATAGTAGTAATTTCTTAATGCTATTTCTTGGTTACATGTAACAGATTTTTGAATCAGAGAGTACTTTTGGGACATTGACCACAACTCACGTGTTTTGAAGGTAAGAAAACCAAATATGTGAGGACCTAAAATAAAATAGTTGCCAAAGTTCTTCCAGCTAGTTTTGTGGTAGAGTTCAAACTGGAGCTTGGCAGTCCTAATTTCCACCACGGAGCTGAGTAGATTGCAATGGCCTGCCTTGCTCTCATTTTCTCATCCACTCAACAAATGCTATGGTGTATCTTCTTTGTGCCAGACACTCTACTAAGCACTAGGCATGTAAAGATGAAAAAATTCTACTTGGGAAGTAGAGAAAGAGAGGAGAAAAGAATTCCTGGAATGTCTGTGAAATTTAAGCTCTAAGACCTGATGACTGATCCAACGGGGGAGTGAGTGAAAGGCAAGAGTGTAGAATGCTTTCCCTATGGGTGATTGCATTCTGCCACACAATACAGTCTATCAAAATGTGTTGAAAAGAAAAATATGAAACATGGAATTATAAACTAGAGCCAAATAGATACAGCTACTGCACACAGGCTTTCCTGCTTTTCTCATTCCAAGCCTAAAAAATCTTCAATTACTTCCAGATACAATACTCTCATTTATAATGCATTGGCATGGTTCACCCTTTTGAAGTAACCTTTGCTGAAACTTCCCACTGAGCTAATTATCTTAACTTGCTTATGGTGATTACTTTAGACAGGACTTTCTTCTTTTTCTTTCTGTACCTTTTTGTCATGCTTTGAGTGGAAATAAAAACTCACAAACTGGTTTTTTAATAGTGACTACAAGGATTTCTATTGAAAGTCCATTTGTTGAGATTTAAGTCCTGAGAGCATATAAGACTTAAAAGATTGAATGCGATATGAAAATTCAGAGCTAATACTCTTTCCTTTCCATTGACTCGAAGATGGAGAGTTTCAAATAAATATGGAGGCTCACACAGTCAATGACCTGGCAGAACAGCATCTGCTTTTTGGGGGCAGCTGGATATTTAAAGATTTAATAAGGATTAAATATTTAAAGATTCTAATAAAACTCATGTTGATATTGGAGATTGTAAACCTTTCCAAAGTAACTGCTGAAGGAGGTAATAAACTCTGATGGCAAGTAGACTCCAGACAATGAGTCCACGTGCCTAACCCAGTGTCTTCTCCTGTGGCTCTACTGATTGCTTTTGTCTACACATTACAAGCTGGCCTGCCCACCCAGGCCACTGTGATCCTTTGCCTGGGCCCTCGCAAGTTCCCATTCTCTGTTGAGACAAGCCTGTGACTGATCGCTGTCTGCTGGGGAGATCTCCTGTTCTAGGGCTGTCAGTGATTTGCCTGGTTCTGACATTTATTATCTGCACACAACTCTCACAAGCCTGAGGCTGCCCAGACTCAACAGCTCCTGCCCAGTCACACCTCCTCAAATGTCTTGCTCACAACCTTACCTGTGTCAGCCTGATGTGATTGATTGGAGCTGTCATACTTTGGCTTCCTCTTAGGGTCTAGCTTCGTGCGCATTAAAATTCACAAGCAACCTATTTTCATCATAGCATCAATATCATTGTCTTTCACTATAGATGCTGCTAATACACAGCTCCAAAGAGTTTCTGAGTTTTATGTCTATCCATTAGATCTCAATCTCATCTTATTCCAGTATATACAATCCCAGAGAAGGAACGTGATTGGCGTTGGGAACCTACCTTTGTATCAATTCACATGGCCAAGGCCAGAGATACTGTAATTGGCCTAGCTTTAATTAGATACCTGTCCTTAGACCTGCCATTTGTAACCACTGAGAAAGACATGAGGGAAATAGAGGTGCTCAGTTTAGTAGCAGAGGCAGGGGAATTGGCAAACAATGACACAGACATTCACACACACTGCAACTTTGTATGGTTGGCATTATTTGAATTCTAGGTTCAAGTTTGCACCTACAGATGTGAGCTAGAATTATAAAGAATGAATGACAGAGACAGATGCCCCCAAATCTCAGTTCCATTTATCTTTCATCTAAACATATAAGTGGTACCACAAAGTCAGAAACGTACCTTTGGGCACGTTTGCAGGAGTGAGGCTACGAAGAGTTCTAGTGGCCATCTGTTCTGGCAGATCATATTTCAAAAAAAAAAATCTCAAGGTCGAAGAGAATAATAAATTATGCAGCATGAAACAATTTTAAATATCTCTAGCCTACCTATGATGTTGGAAATTTAAGGGAGACTAAGACTGGGAAAGACACACGCATATGCATAGGATTAAACGCAAATGGGGAAGTGCAAACTAGGTTCTATGAGATCAGAGAGGACGGCATCTATCATATATGTTAGCATGTGTGAGAGTGTGTGTGAGTAGAGATTGGTTGTGTGAGAGAGAGGTTGTGTGTATATGTGTGTGTGTGAAAGGGTAACTTAGGGAGTTAACCCTTTCTGAATCCTAAAGGGTTGACGGGATTAGAGCAGAAGCACATTTCAGATCAAAAGAACACAGAAATGCCATAGGAATGCAATATATCATGATGTGCTTCAGGGACCATGAAAAGTTGACAGTTGCTGGAATAAAAAACAGAGAGGTAAGGCTGGAGAATAAGCAGAGGTTTGGGTGGGGTCTTCTGGATAAGGAACGTCTTTAATAATACTGTAAAGAACTTGAACTTTTTATTGGAGTTCATGGGAAACAAATGAAATGGTCTAAACATGGATACGTTTAAGGGTAACATGGAGAGTGGATTTGATGGGTACCAGACTGCATCCAGGCATTCTAATTAAAAGACTGTTGTAAATATCTGGACAAAAGATGGTAAAAGACTTAACTTGGCAATGGCAGTGGGACAGGAAAGAAGGTGGGGAGAAAAGAATTCAGGAAAAACATTGAAGGTAAAGTTAGTTGTGTCTTAAAGTTACCAAGTTCAAACTCCTAAAGGACTATTACAACTCTATCCTATTCCAAGTCACCCAAAGCTACTGGACACTCCTAATATTTAAAAGTAACTAAGTCTGGAGGAAGTTTATTCCACTGTGGAATAGCACCCTGAATGTGTGTGAAATTTTAAGGTAAATTTGGTCTACTAGATCTCTTACTGTTCCCAGAGGAGTGACCTCTAGAAAGGGAAGTTTCTGACACCTTGTAGGAAAGAAGGGATGGATCAGGCCCAGAAAGGTATCACAAAGAGTGCAGGAGATAAACTTTGCTTACTGTTGTTGCTTACTGGTCTGACTTTAACCACCTTTGTTTTCCAAAGATGAACATGTTTATAAAATGCATATCTACTCTTTAATACTGCATTACATAAACTTTCAGCATAATGAGCATGCATAGATAGGAAGTTTGCTTTACTTGTATTATCAATGGACTCTTAACTGTCCTTCTCTGAAACTAATGTTCTTAAACTTCTGTTAAACATAAATTAAAAATAATAATCTTTTAGTTATTCTTAGATTGCTTCCTGCAGTCTGATCTTTCCATCCAGGTCTTTGTGCAGTTGGAATCTAATTGGATCAGACAATGCCCGAGGTTCCCTCCAGCTCCCTAGTACCACAACTAATTAGCAGAAATTCTACTTTAATAATACAGTTGCTGCAGGTCAAGAAAGAAAAGCAAAGCAGAAATGGAAATCTCAGCTTAATGAACATTGAAAAAAGATTAGAAGTGAGTTAAATTTCGGTGTGATAATTAATTACAGTCCAACAAGAACAAAATTCTATGAATATTGACTAGCTGTAATTAACCTATATTTATTCACACAATTATCTCCCCCAACATCACCTCCATTTCTGAGGGGGGAGAAAGAGAATATCTTCTTTCAAGAATTCTTATGTATTGTCAAGATAAGCAACAATCTCAAGTCTGTGGAGATGTAATAATTATCAAGGTAATATTAAATATATAAGTAATTATAACTGCATGTACTCATTCATATTATCTAGCTAAATTTTAATTACTTGTTTCTAATTTGGAAAGATATACTTTTGTCTCAAAGACCTTGGCAAAAGATGGCTACACCAAGACGCAGTAGTTGGTGTGGAAGATATCTTCTGTGATTTTTTTTTTCCCCTTAAAAGAGTAACAGTTTCAGAATATTCTATGCTTGTATACACAAACTGGGACATCACATTGTGCCCCATAAATATATGTAATTACTATTTGTCAATTTTAAAAGGAGAAGAAAAGATTTAAAAATCAGATGTATTTTTAGAAGCAGTTACTATAATGTGTTTGAATGTTTAAACTGTATTCTTTGAAATTCCCATAGACCAGGGTGCTACTTACTCTTGTAAGAGTAACGTGTTACAGGGAACTTACCAGAGAGAAGATTTATGCCAGGGTTGAGCCATCGGAGTGATGGTTCTTACACCACAACTTTGTTTCTTTTCTATGTCCCAGAAGTCAGAGAAACTGAATTCTGTTTCATGTACCAGGACAGGCAAAAGGAAAGAGGAACAACCTGAGAAATGACTGTTTTTCTACCAGAGGAGCAGAAAGTTAGTCAGTATAAGCTGTGTAGACTGGGAGAATTAGGCAACCTGCAGTTATTCACATAACTTATGTTGCCTATGTGGACAGGCGGAATAAGGAGAATTACAGTCTGGGTTATCACTTCAGATAGAGATTCTTCTGATCACGTTAATGCAGATTGGGCAGAGAGCGGTAGATCTAACAGCAACAGGAATTAAAGGGGTAGTAATCTTTGGGTCCACAGATCCATCTAAATCAAGTGAGTGCTAGCAGCAAGCTTGCAACAGTTAGGGCTTGCCAAATATCTGCGCTAGGCTCTACATTTCCCAGCTTCCCACGCGTCTCAGAAGGGCCATGTGACTAACTTTTCCCAACAGACTTAAAGAAAGTGATGTTTACTTCCTGTCACTTCAGTAAAGTCACGTTTACTTCCTGTCACCTCCAACTGCATTGGAGGGTTGTCTAATTGGGCATTATGTGATCCAATTAGACTCCAACTGCACAAAGACCTGTTTCCACTTCACCCCTTGTGCTCCTGGAGCAGATCTGCGTGACTGGGAGCAAAGGATCCTGGGAGGGCCAGCCCACAATATGGAAGGAGGCGGAGTCACACAGCCGTGACTTGAGAGAGAGCCACACGGGTGAACTGTTGACGTGATCAAGAAATGAAAGTGTATTTGGCTAAGCCACAGAGATTTCAGGGTTTATTTGTTTCAGCAGCATAATCAACTTCACGATTAAAAGAAGAGGATATGGATTCCAGAATCTTATTAAAATGGGATATCAAAGGGGTTTAAACTCAGGAAACAAAATGGAAGCACTACTGTGGTGAATCCCTGGAAATACCACGTTAGTAGGCAGATGAAACTTCCAAGGACTTGGGCGTGGCTGTTAGGCTTCCCCAGTTATTTAGCTGAATGTGCAGAGCAGGGCACCGGATTTGGTAAAGAATTTGAGGGCCAAACCCATTTTGTCTTGGAGTGAAGGCTGTGGTCCTCAACTCTGGCTTCAAGTTAGGTTTCAATTAAATCACAAAAATGCTGATGTTTGGGCCTTAAGTCAAATCGGTTAAATCAGAATCTCTGGAGATGAGATCAAGATATTGTTATATTTTTAAAGTTACCCTAGTAGTGCTAATACGTAGCTAGATTGGGAATCCCTGAGTTGATGTAACTAGAGGCAAATATTTTCACAAAGGGGTCTGAAGCTGCTTAAGAGCTTTGTCTCAATAGAAATTGGGTTAGGAAGCCTAGGACAGAGTCCAAAGGAAAGAAATATCAGCTAGATTCAGATATGTGGAACTGGAAAAGAAGAATATTTTAGCATCAATCTCTCAAGAAAAAAAGAGGTAATGACTTAAAGTACTTCCATCAACAGAGATTATATGAAAGAAATGCTGTTAATGAATATTGCTATTATTTTTTTCTCAGTCTACAAAATGCATTTAAAATATAGGAAGAAATCATGGATGTACAAAATGAATATTTAACATAGAATCATTTTTTTCTGGTAAATATACAAAACTAGTAAACCTTAACAAGATGTTACAGAAATAGAGACACTGAACAATTGCTGGCAATCTTTTTTGTTTATATATAGCCATTGAAGGATATGTTTGATTATATGAAAATAGACAGGTCAGTGCATCCCAAATGGGGAGAATACTCTAGCAAGCTAGAAATTTCCAAATTTGTGTAGACCCGGATAAATAGAATATTTATTGATATTTATCCAATACTTATAGAATATTTATGCAATACCCTATTGCTGATCTAACCCACGTTCAGCAAGGAAGATCAGTTTCCCACCAGATGTGAGTGAATCTTAATGGAAAGGTATACATTAATTTCATTTAGTCATTTATAACTTTTATTCAAAAATTTTCTTTGTTTTTGGACCATTAACATCTAGTAGGATGACCAACTTGAAAATATCTTCTGGTAATGAAAGATATTTATTGAACAGTAACTTATTATTTAGTTTTAACAATTTAAAAAGGTTACCAAACAACACACAACTTTGCTATACCAAGTTGCACTTGTGCCAAAGTTTTAAAATTTTCTTTACTTGGAATCAGAGTCAACTTTCTTAGTAACTTTGGTCCTTAAAACATCCTCATATTTGGTCAGATTTAATTCGATAAGGGGCCCTTTCCTACTAATGTACGCTCAGCAGGAAATCCAGATCCTAAAAATTCCAGGGAACAACATCAATAACTTATTTTATAGAAATAGTTTTGGATTATGCCAATCAATTCACCAGTCCATGATTTCAAAGATCGTTTCATCAATCTTGTATCATTCATGTAATAGAACATAAAATAAGCCCTTTAACAAGAATTTGGATTTCATTCTATAAGAAAGACAAGGTCATTTTTAAAAAGCAAATCAGCTAGCAAGAGTGCTATGAGAAGAATGCCTACAAAGAAAAATGGTTATACAGCCTTCAGCCCTATTCCATAAATCTTGACTTATATTTTTCCCTTCTGCTTCTAGGAGATAGTTTGCTTCTTATATGATTCCCTAAGGGAAGTTCCAGTAGCACATGGGGCTAAGAAATATAATTTGCTCTTTTACTATTTGAAATTCAAGTTATTAAACTACCATGGACTAGTGAAGTATGACCCATATCCATATGACCCACCTTAGAAGGAGTCATACACACTGCCTCGTACAATGATATCCTAATAATGTAAAACTAATAATTAATTTTTGGGGGACCAATCAATTTAGAATCAAAGCCCCTCTGTTATGTTGCAAAATACCTACAGAATGCACATTCTTTTCTACATTGAAAGACAGGTGACCACTTCCCTTCAGCAGACTCTTATTGTAAGATCAATATGTGTAAATATTGATCTTATGCCCTCTATTGAATTAAAGTTTGAACTGTATGTCTTATTCAGGTGACATATGTCATTTGTATCATATGTTTTTATTTGGTTTGAAATTTCAAGAAGCTAAATTTGATGTCAGCTTTCCAAGATTTCTACCTTTTACATTTGCTAAGTTCTTGAAAAAGAGTGAGGAACACATCTCTTCATATATTCACTTACTACAGATGAAGTACCTAGTCAGTATTTTTCTAGGAGCTGTGGATACAACAATGATCTAGAAGGTGTCATATTTGGCCTCTCTCAGGGAGAAAGACAGACAACAAAAATAACATCTTATTTGAAGGCCCTATAGCCATTTTTCTTTGTTGGCATTCTTCTCATAGCATTCTTGCTAGCTGATTTGCTTTTTAAAAATGACCTTGTCTTTCTTATAGGATCACGTCCAAATTGTAAAGATGTTAAGGAAGAAGTAATTAAAATGAGATTTGAAAGATCAGTTAGTCAAGGAAGAAGAGAAAAGAGTATTCAAGGAGAGGAAACAACCAGTAGGAAGGCAAAAGAGCACAGGCCTGTTTTAAGAGAGAAAAGTTCAATACAGCAAGTCTGTATTCAGTTTTGATGGTAGGAGGGTGTTTGACTAATGGTTGTGAATGTGCTTGGAGAATTAAGTCTAGCTTGTGAAGGGCCTTATGAGCCATGCTAACATGAAAACTGGAACATAACAATAACAGTGGCAAGAGTAGAGCTGTTGTATTAGTCTATTCTCATGTTACTATATGGACATATCCAAGACTGGGTAATTTATAAAGCAAAGGGGTTTAATTGACTCACACTTCCGCATGACTGGGGAGGCCTCAGGAAACTTACAATCATGGGGAAGGGGAAGCAAACACGTTCTTCTTCACATGGCGGCAGGAGACAGAAGTGCTGAGCAAAGGGGGAAAAGCCCCTTATAGAACCCTCAGATCTCATGAGAATTCACTCATTACCACGAGAACGGCATGCGAGTAACTGCCCCCAAAATTTAATTACCTCCCACTGGGTCCCTCCCACAACACATGGGGATTATGGGAACTACAATTCAAGATGAGATTTGGTTGAGGACACAGCCAAACCATATCAGCTGTGTTTCAAAATGATATTCGTAGAATGAAAAATAGATAATAAAAGTCGAGAATGGAAACAGGGACACTAATTGGGAGGCTGCTATGGTAACTGATGTGAGGAAAGGAATGGTCTCCAAAAAGATATGTCCATGTTCTAATTCCCTGAACCATATTTGGAAAGGGTCTTTGCAGGTGTAATTACATTGAGGGTCTTGAGGTGTAGGGTTCATACTGGATTACCTGGGTCAGCCCTAAATACAACGATGAGTATTTTTATAAGGGACACACAGGGGCGATGTGACAGACAGAAAAAGAGAAGGCCATGTGACTGTAGAGGCAGAGATTTCAGCATGAGCTGAGGAATGTTGACAGCACCAGAAACTGGGAGAGGTAAGGAAGGTTTTTCCTCTAGGGATTCCAGAGGGAGTATGGCTCTGCTGACACACTGTTTTCAGACTTCTGGTCCCCAGAACGTCAAGAGAATAAATTTCTGTTGTTTTTAGTTAAAATTTTTTGGTAATTTGTTATGGCAGCCACAGGTAACTAACATAGCAAGGCAAAAGCAAAACACAGGCAGATGAAAAGGAGAAAACCTGGTGCATTTGGGTCACTGTACAAGTCCAGTAGTGCAGGACCTAACAATATCTGTGAGTGAGAAGCTGGAAATGAGGTTGGACAGATAAGCAGGAGGTTATGTTTGTGAAAGGCTGCTGGGTCTGATTGCACATGAAATGCCAGAAGATCAGTGAGTGGATCAGACTGGCTGGAAGAGGATTACATTTTTGAGCAGTGGAAAGGAAAACTGGAAAGGGAAAGGGAGGAGCAATGAACAGAACACATTTTTGTTTTTTTTTTTTTTTTCAGAGAAGGGGTCTATGGTAGTGCAGGGAGAGAACTGGAAAGGGCTTGATTGGGGAAATTTATACCCTACCCAAAATAGGGCAATGTCTTAGTTGCCTTGGGCTGCTATGACAAATACCACAGGCTAGGTGATTCAAACAATAGAAATTTATTTCTCATAGTTCTGGAGGCTGGGAAGTCCAAGATCAAGGTGCTGGCAAATTTGGTTCTTGGTGAGGACCTACTTTCTGGCCACCATCTTGCTGTGTCTTCACATTGCAGAGAGAAGAACCTTTGGTGGTTCTTCCTCTTTTTATAAGGATCCTAATCCCATCATGGTGGGGGATCCACCCTCCTAACCTCATCTAAACCTAATTCTCTGTTAAAGGCCCCACCATCCTAATGCCATCATGTTGGGGATATGGGCTGCAATATATAAATTTTATGGTGGCACAAACATTCAGTCCATAACAGGCAAGAAATTAAACTATCCATGCATCAGATGTGGGCCACATAGGAAAGAGGGTCAGCCTGGAGCTCTTCTAGGTCCTGAGAGTACCACCTGGAAGGGCAATGGGCCACAATAGGAGAGTCTGAGTCTTTGTGGAGCGGATGATGGAAGGCCAGGAAGTGGTGCAAGGAGGAAGGGAAAGCAGACACTTGTAGCAGATGCCAGCAAGGCTTCCAGGCCAGCAGGGGAGAGGCTGTGTCTAAGTACTGGAGGCTGCTATTAGAGAGGCCCAGTGGCTTAGGACAGTACTTATCAGGAGCTGAACAAGAACTTTCCTCTTTTTCTCTCTCCCCAACAACAGCTCTCACACTGGTGGGCCTGCACTGGGGGTGGGGAGGACTTCTGGGTGGGAAATGAGTGGGAAGACAGAGCAATTGGCCACACCCCTCTCCCCAAGGGCAGGTGACCCACTGACTGCTGGCCTCAGCTGGAAGATGGGGATAAGCCTTGCATGAAGTCTAAGATGTTTACTGACATCTTAGATTAGACATTTAAAATTTCTGAATTAGAGTGTTTTGAGACATAGAAGACTTGAGGACTCAGCCATCAGAGTAGAAAGTTTCCTATAAAACAGTAGTGGGACAGAGTTGTGTTTTGCTTATCTATTAAGCATCATACTTGTACCATGTACCATTTAGATTTTCAAAGAAAAGGATGGACATTTCATCCAGGAAATCCTAGTGAGTGACTTATTTCCTTAGAATAAAATCAGTAAGGCCGGGCGCAGTGACTTACGCCTGTAATCCCAGCACTTTGGGAGGCCAAGGCAGGCAGATCATGAAGTCAGGAGATCGAGACCATCCTGGCCAACATGGTGAAACCCCATCTCTACTAAAAATACAAAAATTAGCTGGGCGTGGTGGCACATGCCTGCAATCCTAGCTACTCGGGAGGCTGAAGCAGGAGAATCGCTTGAACCGGGAGTTGGAGGTTGCAGTGAGCCGAGATTGCACCACTGCACTCCAGCCTGGTGACAGAGTGAGACTTCGTCTAAATAAATAAACAAATAAAATCAGCAAGATGGAAAAGGCCTGTTCTGAATAGATGCTTCCCTATTTCTCTAGTGCTAAATTTAAGATAGACAAATCATGTTGTGCAATGTATTTGGTTAATGTTATCACTTCTAATTCTTACAGGTTTTATACAGAAATTTCTAAAGCATCACATTCACATTCCATTTGTTTTCCCTAGCCAAGAGAGGTCTGTAACATGGTAAACACAAAAGACTCAGAACTGAAAACTGGAATTGAAAAGACTTTTCTATTCTGTTCACAAGGACCTTCTTTTCCCCCTTGGTTCACCACTTAATCTTTTGGTCTCTTTTTCTTCATCTGTACAGTGGAGATAATGGGTCCCAATTTCATTTTATGTTATCTCGATGGAAGGATTCCCACAGTTAGACTGAATGAAAACCTGACAAGTAATACCCACTTATCTACCTCTCTGAAGTGCTGTAAGAATTAATGACAGCCTGCAAAGTGCACTGACGATGAAGAACACGCCATGAGAGAAAGAGAGGTGATGAGTATTATTAAAAGTGTCAAAGGATAAGTATATCTTAATGAATGTGGATAAACACATACACCAAAGGATCTTGGCTTGCTTGCCCTAGTGCCTCAATGCCTTAGGGTAAAAAGAAATATGAATAATATCTGAGTAGAAAAATAAAAGCAGTAAAAAAAATCTCTCCATCCAGGACATTAGTAGTGAAATCATTTTTACATCCTAAAATATTTCATTCTAAATTTTAAAAATAAAGCACTGATTTATGCACCCCAAATCTAATGAAATCAAGCAGTATGTCTTGGAAATTTAGAACAGTCTATGTAGGAAGGCAAAGTACTAAAGACAAAGATGTTCAGAAATTGAGTCAAGCCAAACAGATCAAAGATACTCTGCTCCCCAATGCAAAAGGCATCACGGGCAGAATTTATTTGCTATGTATAGAATTGAGAACTGCTTTTTTTTTTTTTTTTTGATCTTGCAAAGGAGATGAAATGGATATGTGAATGTTGCTTGATTAGGAGGACACTCTGGGAGCGGGCAAAAATGCACAGCAAATTTGACAGGAAGAGTAACTAATAATTACTTTGGTTAGTTACATTTACAAAACAATAAGAGAAGAATAAGTCACTTATGAAGTTAAATAAATTTAAAGAAAATTAGGGTAGTTGTTTCCTTCCTGTACACAAATTATTTCAGGCTATGAACTCTCCAGCAAGTAAATAAAAAATTATTTTGGCTTTTACAATTTATCTTGGTCTTGATGCACACAAGGGCAAGATATGACAGTGTCTATTTCTTCTAGAGGACTCCGATTTGTTGTATATATAAGCAGGTGTCCTCATAAGTCTCATTATATACTATGTTTACCTCCACATATATTTTCTGTTTCCTATTGTTTGTTTCTATGTTGTAATATGCCAGTGAGCTATAGGTAATGTTGGAGAAGAGATTTTTTAAAAAATCTCTTATCTTTCATACCATATGTGAAACAGGTGGTAGTCTGCTCTCATAGATGAATATTTCTGTGATGAATTTTTTCTTTTTATTTCTTATTTACATAAGCTAATTTATTTTTGCCAAAGTGTTTACATTCTGCCCTATAGATGTGGTCTGAGTGTATTTGCTGTAGTCAAAAGTCTCTGTTTTATACTTGATTTTGGAGTTAGGTGGGACAAGGAAAATGCAAGTAGATGGAACTCATGGTGGCCTTAATGTTATCATTTCTTTTTTAAACAGGGCTCAATTTTAGAGCTGTGCTGTAGTCCACAAAACAATCAGTCTCTATGACAATAATTCTAATTTTGGTAGAATAATTTTAACACCACTAAAAGCACTTGGAGAGACTTCATTTATGTAGGACATTAGTGAGATAATTTGGAACCTGTTCCTGAGTGCGGGACATACTTGCAAATATTTAAATGCTGACTTCTTTAGTCACTTGTTTCACTTTTTAAAAAAAGAAAATAGTAATTTGAGGTATATGATCAAAATTAAATAAAAACTCTACTTAAACAGTATATTACTGAGTATTATATTTTCTTGGTAAAAAATTAAAGTATTGTGAAACAAATATTGAATAAATAACTAAAAATCCCATATTTAATAAATTAATTATAGAGCGAAAATTTTCCTTTGAAATCCTCTCTTCAACACACTATAATATTCGTATGTGTGTGAAATTCTTCCCTATTCCAAATTTACCATCTCATTTCTGTTCACTTTTGTGTCCACAGAGTATCTGCCTGGAAACCCTGTTGCCTGGAGACCACTCTTGAAGAACATCCACTGCTGTGGCCTCTTAAAGATTTAAGACATCTAATGAACAGCTGACAGAAATCATCAATTTGCTCCTCAGTAAGTAATATTTTTAAGTCACAATAAAACACTTATCTGGATATTATTTATTCAGATAATCATAACAGCTCAAGTATAGGATGCAAAGGGGAAAAATACCTTTGAAAAATTTGAATTGTACAAATCCATACAAAAGAGAGATGGGACAAAAAATAAAATCTGCATTTTCTTCATGGAAGACGCTGTCGAGTCCTCCTATTAATTATTTATTCAGATTTTAAAAACTATTCAAAAAGGCTTTACGTATATTTTGAACTCTATTATGTATTATCGTTCTCTGTGGCCCAAAGGAATTTTGAAGCAGAAATTCAATAAATGGCATAAGGATACTGGAATAGTGGATGAGAGGAGACATGATGCAGCCAAAAGAATTCCATCTCAACTTGAGGCATTCTGGAGAGGGTTCAAGAATCCAGCATATCTTAACAGTGTCCAAGTATCTCACGATATGATGGCAGAATTTGTCACCAGTAACAGACACCAAGTACAAATTATTATTATTTTATTTTACTCTTTGTGATGTATTTATTTATTTATTTATTTATTTTTGAATCAGAGTCTTGCCTTGTCACATTTATTTATTTTTGAGACAGAGTCTTGCCCTGTCACCCAGGCTGGAGCGCAGTGGTGCCATCTTGGCTCACTGCAACCTCTGCCTCCCGGGTTCAAGCGATTCTCCTGCCTCAGCCTCCTGAGTAGCTGGGATTACAGGCGCGTACCACCACGCCTGGCTAATTTTTTGTATCTTTAGTAGAGATGGGGTTTAACCATATTGGCTAGGCTGTAATTTTTATTATTTTAAAAAATTATTTAAAAATTTTTTGTGAGTACATAGTAGGTGTATATATTTATGGAGTACATGAGGTGTTTTGATACACGCATGCAATGTGAAATAAGTACATCATGAAGAATGAAGTATCCATCCCCTCAAGCATTTATCCTTTCAGTTACAAATAATCCAATTACATTCTTTAAGTTATTTTAAAATGTACAATTAAGTTATTATTGACTATAGTCACCGTATTGTGCTATCAAATAGTAGGTCTTATTCATTCTTTCTATTGTTTTGTACCCTTTAACCATCCTCACCTCCATCCGATTCCCTGACTACCCTTCCCAGCCTCTGGTAACCACCCTTCTACTCCCTATGTCCGTGAGTTGAATTGATTTGATTTTTAGATCCCACAAAAAGTGAGAACATGCAATGTTTGTCTTTCTGTGCCTGGCTTATTTCACTGAACATAATGATCTCCAGTTCCATCCATGTCCCCGAATACAAATTAATACATGGTAGAATCTGTGCTCTGTTTAAGAAGTTAGGAACATATTCAGGCTATATTTTGCATTTTTGAAAGATGGTTAAAATATTTTAAAAATGTTTATGCTGAAAGGAAAAAGTTCTGTGAACTAGAAAATTTACATGAATTAAAACATAGCTCAGAGATGAAATCTGAAAGAAAACATGGCCCCTCTTTGCTAAACTTCATAGTTTTGATGCTGTTAATTACACTTTGTTTTCCATATGATGCCTCATGGTGACCAAAGTAAGGTAAATTATTTTGAATTAATATTCCCTCCAAAAATTGTTATCCCCAAGCATGTAAAAAGTAAAAAGCAATAAAAGCCCAAGTTGCAAAGAAAGATGTGCTTCTATAAGAGCATTTGGAGGCTGCCGGAAGATGGTGCATTCCAGAGAGCTTAAGACTGAGCTTTGATAACAGACAGACCCAAATTTCTGCCACATTTCACAGTGTGACTGTGCATTGGCTGCTCAACCTTGCTAAGCTTTAATATTTTTGTGTAAGAAAAATATATGTATTTATTGTACCTAAAGGTTGTTAAGAGAATTAAATGAGTGTGTGTACATAACCAGAGTGCCTGGAACATTAAATGCTTAATGCACATTAGCTATTACCCTTATCATTATTATCAAGTTAAATTAAGCCAATATAATCATAAAGTTGGAAGCTGAGTTTATGAGGGCAGTGGCAAAGCCACCTAGCTAATCATGAGCTGCTGTTTAACAAAATGAAAGGAAGTTATTGTTTACATAACACCATACAAAGAGGACATTTTGGAGAAACTAGGTTAATACATATTTTAAAAAAAAAGGTTTTTAATGCTTTTCGTAAGCGCGAGAGAAGAAATTGAGATAACGTTGCATTAAGGAACTATTTAGTCTTGGGAGATACATAAAATCAAAGTACTGCCCCACTTTGACCCTTTCTCTGCTTTGTTAATCCTTTATTGAGATATAATTCACAGCAGTACAATATATACATATTAAATATGCTGCATGATGAATTTTATGCTTTTATGTATATGCCCATGGAACCATGACCACACCAACATATAGCATGCATCCGTCATCTCAATAGGCCCATTGTGCCCATTACAGTCAATCGACCACCCATTTCCCAAAGGTTCAGATGATAGGAAGGTTCAGATTTCCCTCTCCATCTAGAAAAGGGGCCCTTGGGAAATTTGAAGTCCTCTTTCTTTTCCCTAGCTAGACTTTAATTCTCACCCATTAATTTTACTTTAATTCTAGGTCACCACGCCTCTAGCCTACAGTCATGCTCCCATCGAAATGCCCCTGCTTAATTTATCTGCATTGTGACGTTCTTCTGACATTGAGGGGGCTTTCTCTTAGCTATAATGTCAATGAGGTTTCACTGCACTTTTGGATTCACGAATCCCATAAATACTGTTATTTTTGACTGTCATTGTATTGTGTTTTACAAGGCATCCTGGGCCAAGGCTGAGTAAGGAGACAGAGGAGCTTTAAGGAGACATGGAGGTGAACTCTAGGGGCAGCTACACTCTCAAACTCAACTTTCCTGAAGAAGGTTTTCTGGTTCTAGTTTCAGTGTCAAATCATGATGCAACAGCAGAGTGAACTCAGTGTTTTTGGTATGAAGATCTCCATGTGTTTCCATCATCAGCATCTCCTGTGCTCTTAATCTTACCCTGGACACCTGACCCAGGTGCCCATTCTGTGAATTCTTTCATTGTAGGAAAGAGAAACAGGTACAAAAGATGCATGGTCCTCCCATGGCTAAGGTTCCTAGCCAATCTAGGTGGGTGCCCACTTGCTAAAATGACCCTGACCCCTCATTTGGTCACTTGACCACTGGTAACTCTACAAGCAAAGAAGCCCTTAGTGACCAGAAACACAGGATCCTGGGTTTAAAAAGCTGATCACAGAGAAAGTAGAAAAATCCATAATATCATCCTTTTCACAGCAGTACTTATAAGCTTTGAGTTTGTATTTTTCCACTCACTGCATGAAAATACCAATAGTGTAATAATGCAACTTCAAAAAAATCAAAGAGTAGCTGTGAAAGCCCTCAGCCCACAGGTTGCTGTGATTTGCACTTGAGTATGCTCAAGGGTTCATTTTATTTTCGACTTTAAAATTCACACTCAATTTTGACACATGAGACATATGTCTCAGCTCCTTACAGTACCAATCCTGTAAAAACAGATGACTCAGCCACCAGTTACAACAGCATATTATTGCAGTATTCAACAAAACATGCCTTATGCTGACTAGAGAGAGGTTTCAAGTTGATGAGGCAAAAACAGCAATGTCCCATCTCAGAACATATGCTATACTATAGTAAGGAAAAAAGAGCCAAATATAAACACTAAACAATGTTGCATTGCTGAAATGTAATCCCTTTAAAACATTAGATGTCTTTACATTTCTCATTATTCTATTATTAATTTTAGAATATGTTCTCTTTAATGCAATCTATCTTTACACAAATTTAAAAATTCAGATTTCTAGAAGAACCAACAAACCAGGGGCTGATTTTTCTCAATGGATTTCTCCTTTATACTCATAGCATCTGATGAGGTCAGCATTAAGAAGCAAGGCAATTATTTAATAGCAATGGCTGTGAGCCAAAGAAGAATTACAAAGATAAATCAATCTGGGGTGATAAAATGCCAAAAAACAGGCAGCCACCTCAAGTAAGAACAAGTTCGATATTAAAATACTGTTTTATTTTCAAGTTACCCAACAAACTGCTGAAAGAAATTACATTTTCCCTCATGAAGGAAATGACAATAAATGCCATTTTCTACCCATTGGGCATCACAGGATGGGTGTTGAGATACAGATATGACATCCTCCCAATTATGGTAATACTGGGCATTGGAGCCAGAATGGTATTTAGAGGTATTAATTCATTCAACACATATGAACACCTATTATGTATGTGCCTTTGTTTTGGGGATGTGACATACAGAGAGTTTTCTTGTGGAGATGACAGATGTAAGCTCATAGTCACCTTTGAAATAAAGTTACCTATGAGGGATCCTGAAGGTGAGATCAAGGAAGACTATAAATGAGACAATGTATAAACAGAGGCTGAAAGCAAGAGAAAGTTGCCAGTTAGAGAAGGCAAGAAAATATCCCATGAGAGGGCATGGCATTTGCAGTCACAGATGTGTGAAATAGCTTAGGATGCTTGGAAAACAACAAGCGGCTTTGTGTGGCTGCAGCAAATGTTGCAATCCATAAGCAGCAAGAGTTGCTCCTAAAAATGCAGGCAGGAACTGGATCATGAGGGGTCTTTAGGCCCAAAGAGTTTAGCACATTCTTGCAGAAAGGAGAGTGACACAACCAGAAGGCCAGAGAGACCCGTGGGGTTTGTTCTAGCAATTCACATGAAAGGGAATAAGGACTAGATTTGAGGTTGGGTTGGATTGTGGGAAAGCTGAATTTGAGGGGGTAGGTAAAAGAAAAAACTTTTAGAAATGGTTACCAATCTTTGCGGTTTCTGACTTAAGCTATTGTGGTAATGGGGGCTTTCTGAATGGAGTAAAGGAATACAGTGGGCACAAATTCTGGAATAGGTAGTTAGGAATGAAGAATGATTTTACTTTTTGGAGATGCTGTCGTTTGGGTACTGAGGTGGAAATGACAAAGTAAATAGTTTGTAAGATCAATGCATTCATTCTATCATCACTTAGGACACTCCAAGTGATGGTTTCATATGCTATGGAATTATATCCAACTATTTTTGATGATTTACTATGGAGATTCTGGAGAATAAAGATCCTTGCAAGGATCTATTTGATAACTTTATGGCAAGTGTTTCAAATCAGAGGATTGCAGCTTAAGGTATTAGGAAACTTAGATAGAAGCTTGATTATCATCAGTATAATGTGCATTGTGAACTAAGACCACGAGCATTGGTTTAGTGAGGATTAGCCCATGCCTCAAAATAACACATGATCGAATACACATTATATTGCAACACTCTCCATTGTAAATAACTGTTCAATGCCATAAATCTGCTTTTAGAAAACAGTCCTCTAAAAATAGAAATCAAACCATATTGCTACACTGCATCACACTCAAAGGCTTCTCATTTCACTCAGAGTAAAAGGCAAAGTCCTTACAATAGCCTACAAACCCCTCCATGATATGCCTTGTTCTCCTTGTCTCTCTAACCTCATTGCTCTTTACACTCCTCCCTCTCAGTCACTGTATTCAGCTATACTGACCTCTTTGCTGCTCCTAAAACATCAAATGCTCGACAATTCCCTTTTTCCTAGAATGTATTTCTTGCAGATATCTGTATGCTGTTAAGTCATTGGTCAAATGTTACATTTTACGTGAGTTCTTTCTTGACCACTGAGTTAAAATTGTGGCACCTAAGCCTTAATAACTTCCTATCCCTTTTTACTATTTTATTTTCTCCATAGAACCAAAGACCAGTTTTTGTACTTCCTTTAACATCTTAACTGGAGATGATATATTAGGAGATAATAATGGTATAATGCTGATAGCAGCTGTAGAAAGGATGTGGATTAGTTTTGTTAGAATAAGCTGAGCTTATGCTGCAGTGACAACTGGCCCTCAGATCTCAGTGGCTTTACTGAAAAAGTTTATTTCTTCCTCAGTCAAAGCCTGCTTAAGTCAGATGACTCTCCAGGGTAGCTCTCCTCTATGCAGTGACTCAGTGATCCAGGATTTTTCATCCTATAGCTCCACCATCTCAATCTATGGCTTCCATGTTTGCTACCGAGGATCTCACGAAGGCTTTTATCCAACTCGTTCCAGAAGTGACACACCTCATTCCTGCTCATAGCCTATTGGTCAGAGCTAGTACCATGATCTCACCCAACTGGGGGTTAAGGCTGACTGGGAAGTATGATGTTCTAAGTGCTCTGGAAGGAGAGGAGACTTGGCTATTGGTGAGCACTCCTCAGGTTTACACAGCAACCAACTCTGGAATGATCTTCTTAAGATGCAGTGTGATGCAATGTAGGGAGCACAGAACAGGATTCAGCAGGGCTGGATGTAAGATCTCATTGAACTAATCACTATTCACATGGCTTCAATTTAGGTATCCGCTCTGGAACTCTATTTTCAAACTCATGAGATCGGGGAAAATACTTATCCTGCTTATATCAGAAAGGTTTGTAAGTCCCAAATATAAAAGTTTGTAAACAGAATTTCCAAATGTAGGCAACCGTTCAAATGCCAGTACATGAATAATGCAGTATGGAGCATAGGAAACCTGCCCAGATAAGATAAAATGAATTACATTCCTATTTTACATCAATATTTATAAAGTTATCTCATTGTTAGAGCCATAGAGAATGCTATCATTTCCAGACCTGCTGGCTTAACAGCTGTGATACCTAGCCAGTGAGGTAGGGAGCTGTTTATGTATCAGCACTGGTTTATTTTGTATGTATGGAGCATGAAGAAAATGCCAAGGAAATTCAGATGTATAACAAACACTTAAGATTACCGAAAGCAAAATTCATTCAACAGTGAATGAATCCAATACTGGCAGCTTGTGTGGTATCTTCTGTTCTGTTGCTGGAGGACATTGGCTATTGTGCAATGTAGTCTATTGTTGCAAGGATTCATGTGTATTTAGCACAAGGTATGATACTGACAAAATATCAGCTATTTGAAAAGTCTCATTAGAATGTATTTAAGGATATATTAAAATCTTTTGATAATATTAGATTTTATAGATTTGAGTACTAAGTACATTTGTTGTCAGACTTCAAAAAGATATTGAATTTATATATAATAATTTTGTTAGTCACTTCAAGTTTGTTGAGGATGGTAAAATATTAGCATTAATAATGATATCCTATTTGTCAGTGTTATCTATTCAAAGAAGTATTATAAATAACAAATCTAAACTTTTAAATACATTTAATACAAAATAGTCAAATATGTGGATTTCTCTATTATTTTACTAGTGATTTGGGTCTTCTGGAATTCCTCAGCAGACTTTTACAACATTAGGGTAGAAGGAATCCAAATTATCTGTTTCAATTCCTTGCCAAATGAACACATTATCCCTATGGGGAACTTCTTGCTAACTGACGTTATTGTAGCATGCCATTTATTATCTGTGAGAAAGTTTACCCTTTGTGTGTATCCATATGTGATAGAGAAGTATTTCACATAGTAAACAGATATTTGCCTCAGTAGACACTTCACCCATTATTTTAGATTGGAGATGTTTCTTGCCACTGGTATCTGTGTTATACACACATACTAAATATTAGTAACATCTTTACAGTTCATTTAAAAATAGTAGATTCAGAGACTAAACTATTAAAGATGATAAACCAGTTAGTACTTGGGTAACCAACACATAAAAACCTAGATGATAATTTTCTAATCGAATCTTGTCATGGAATTTTCCTGCCTAGTCATTGGCTCACATAGTTCTACTGTGATGAACAAAAGAAGATGGATCCAATAAGATCAGACACAAATAGATGCCCATAGTCATATGCTGGAATGCAGACAGCATATCAACAATGAGATAAAGCTTTGTACAACAGAAGTTCACTGAATCGATATTCTGAAACATTCCCAAGTGCTGGCTTTTAAAATGGAGGGTAACAGAAAGCACAATGAATTTTATAAGATGTTTTATATGATGTTGTGATAAAAGAGGAGCAAGTGATTGCAAAGTGAAGGCTTCTTTGTTTTATTTCTTGAAAATTTATACTACTGCCTCCACTCAAGGGTTTGAGTTTCTTCCCCTTTAACCCCAAAGATTATAACCTTGAGAATGATTGCTTTCCTCCTTTTATTCTTTTAAGACACTTCTGCCATTCACTTTTATAAAAGACATCCAGAGAGCTGGTCATGGTGCCAAGTTGATGATACATTGTGTAGACAATTTAGAGGAAAAAGTATAGAAAAATAGGTGTATTCAAATAGAAGGCCTAGTTCAAATGTCACTTTCTACATGGCAGTTCAGAAATATGTCAACAATATCACACATACACACACACACACACACACACACACTCTGCTTGAAGTACGGCAGTACCATCAGAATGGGATTCCCTTTTCACATCTCTTTTTCCTCTCGTCTATTTCTTATACAGACAAAACTGCATCATGCTGGTCTTTAATAAACAGCATCAATGGATTTCCACCATGGTCCATGTGTCTTACAACTTAGGAGTATCGTTCACATTCAGTCCCTCTTTTTTTATTTATTTTTTTTTGAGACAGAGTCTCACTCTGTCACTCAGGCTGGAGTGCAATGGTGCGATCTTGGCTCACTGCAACCTCCGTCTCCAGGGTCCAAGCGATTCTCCTGCCTCGGCCTCCCAAGTAGCTGGGATTACAGGCGCATGCCACCATGCCTGGCTAATTTTTTTTTGTATTTTTAGTAGAAACGGGGTTCCACTATGTTGGCCTGGCTGATCTTGAACCCCTCATCTCAAGTGATCCACCTGCCTTGGCCCCCAAAGTGCTGGGATCACAGCGTGAGCCACCGCGCCCGGCCCACAGAGTCTTTATCAGGTGTCAGCACGCTACATCCTAGGGGCCAGATCTGGTCTGCTGCCTGTTTCTGTATGACCTGTTAGCTAAGAACATTCTGTTTTTACATTCTTAAGTGGCTTAAAAAGTGAGAAGAGTAACATTTTGTGAAATTCAAATTTCAGTGTCTATAAATAAAATTTTATTGGGACACATCCAAATTCATGTGTTTACGCATTGTCTATAACTTTTTCTGAGCTCCAAAGGCAGAGTTGAGTAGTTACAACATAGACCACGTGGCCTGCAAAGCCTAAAATATTTACTATCAGGCTAGATAAAACAGAAAAGGTTGACCAACCCCTAATGCATATGAATGGGACCCCTGGAGTTGGCTGTGCATAACCTGTGTGGCTGTATACTATAGCCCTGGTCTCAAATAGTCATCAAAGTAAGTGCTTTTCTCCTAGCCAAGCGTTTAACATTTTTCACAATCTGGATGCAGACCAGATTCTCTCCAGCTCGCCCACCTACTACATATTCTTCCCTTGTTATCATTTACCTACCTCTGTGTCTTTGTTCACGTTGCTTCCCTGTCCTAGCCATGTCTTTTCATTTATCTGTCTGTTGATATCTATCACTGAAAGCCTAGCTCAAATGTTGCTTTCACCATGGCAGTTCAACAATGTGATTGAAATCTTGCTTCTGTGAATTCACAGGGTGCTTTGTACTTCCCTAACACACTTACCATATTCTGCCTTGTACGATCCTTAGTCTTGCACTCATTTCATATTGCCTACTATCTTATATGATCTTTAAGTCTAAGAACTGGGCTTGCTCATCTTTGTACCTCTAAGAATGCTGCAGACATGGGCAGGCCTGGCACAGATCCCTGGAGGCTGAGACTAGGACTAGGAGCCATGCCAACCCTCAATACACACACAGTCACTTCCTTAGTTGCAGGGTCCAGGGGAAATTCCAGTGGTGTGGCAAAAGATCCAAGTTAGTGCTCCCATAAAGCTGCTGTGGGGAGAGGTGGCTTAGTTCCATAAAAAGCAAGGTTTTTGAAAGACACAAACCCAGGACCCAATCCAGAAGTAGGCAATACTGTGGAGACTAGTCAAACCCTATCAGTGAAGTTCATTAGTAGCAAAAACCTATTGACCAGACCAAGTTCCAGGGCAGCACAGCCAGTAAGAAAAGGGGATAAAGTGGGAGTTGTGGAGTTTAGCAAGGAGAGGACAGAGGCTTGGTCTTAGAAAGATCAGGGCTCTAAAAGGGCGACTGGGGCAAAAGTCCAAAGAGGAAAAAACCATGCATGCTCAGCAAACTATTGCAAGGACAAAAAACCAAACACCGCATGTTCTCACTCATAGGTGGGAATTGAACAATGAGAACACATGGACACAGGAAGGGGACTATCACACACCGGGGACTGTTGTGGGGTGGGGGGAGGGGGGAGGGATACCATTAGGAGATATACCTAATGTAAATGACGAGTTAATGGGTGCAGCACACCAACATGGCACATGTATACATATGTAACAAACCTGCACGTTGTGCACATGTACCCTAAAACTTGAAGTATAATAATAAAAAAAAAAACCATGCCCAAGGTAAGAAAGAAACTACTATAGAGAGGATGACCTGAGCTGAGTCCCAGACGTTGGGTGGGGGCTCCAGAAATTACTCTTGCTTATGTTTAGATGTAATCCTAGGGTCTTCAGAATAGAGAAAGTTATTGCTCTAATTTGGTTTGACCCCCCTCCAAATCTCATGTTGAAATTTGATCCCCAGTGTTGGAAGTGGAGCCTAATGGGAGGTGTTTTGGTTGTGGGGGAAGATGGTTCATGAATGCCTTGGTACTCGTGGTAATGAGTTTTTACTCTGTTAGTTCTCCCAAGACCTGGTTGTCAAAAAGAGCCTCACACCTCCCCTGCTCTTGCTTCCTCTATCACCATGTGATCTCTGTAGATACCAGCTCCCTTCTGCCTTCCACTGTAAATGGAGGCAGTCAGAGGCCCTCATCAGAAGCAGATGCTGCTGTCATGCTTCTTTTATTGCCTGCAGAACCATGAGCCAAATAAACCTATTTTCTTTATAAATTACTCGGCCTCAGCTATTCCTTTAGAGCAACACAAAAGTGGCCCTAGTTTCCTAGTGCAGGGAGACAGTAGACTACAGGAAGAGAAAGAGTGTATAAAAAGGGCCAGAGTCAGAGGGAACTAACTTATTTTGAGCACTAACCATATGTCAGGCCATGTAATAAGGCTTTTATTCACAGTATCTCACTTAATGTGCACAGTAACTCTGCAAGGAAGCAGCATTATGCCCATTTAACAGATGAGAAAATTGAGGCTTAGACTAAGCAATTGACGGACATGAGATCTGAAGGCAGGCCTAAGTGAACCCAAACCAATTCCTTCACATGTTTCCCACCGCTATATCATACTTCTTCAATAAATATTTATTAAGTGAATAATGAAGATAGAAAAATTATAACTGGACATGCTTTTCACGATTCAATGTGGTATGCATGATAGTACTATCTTTTCTCCCCATGTTTTCTCTTGTAAGTTAAAGAGCTTTTGTCTCTTTTATCACTGGTTCAGTGAATTAATAACTCATGCATACTCTGTGTCCTATGTGCCAACAGGCACGTTAAGTAATCTAAGAACATACTAGTTGCCCTAGGGAATTGCTTTGGATCTCTGGCCTTCAATGCCTTCCACAAACTAGTCCAAACTTCCTTTCCAGGCTTATTTTATTTTGTTCAGCCCTCTTAGGCCACTTACTGTTTTCCAGTCAACTCCTGTACACCTTGTCTCCTCCATATTACATGTTACTCTTTCAGTAAAATCCACCCTGATCTCTTTTTCTTTTTCTTTTCTTTTCTTTTTTTTTGGGAGAGAGTCTCACTTTGTCGCCCAAGGCTGGAGTGCAGTTGCACAATCTTGGCTCACTGCAGCCTCAACCACTGGCGTTCAAGTGATCCTCCTGCCTCAGCTCCCCAGGTAGCTGGAAACTATAGTCACATACCATCATGCCCGGCTAATTTTTTGTACTTTTTGTAGAGATGGGGTTTTGTCATGTTGCCCAGGCTGGTCCTGAACTCCTGAGTTCAAGTGATCCACCCATGTCAGCCTCCCTGATGTCTTTATTCAGAACTGCTCTCTTTCTCCCCAACTCATGGAGCATTGATATGGTTCTATGCTTGATCTGAAATAATACTAAAAACTCCAATAACTATACTATAAATCTCCAAAAGAGTTTGCACTTATCCTTTTTCTCCCACAATGCTTATACTGTCATTCACACAAAAGACATGCTTAAAATATGTTTTAAGTACTAAAAAAAGGCATAAGTGAAATTTCACTTTCTTAGGCTCTTTCATATGGGCAATTTTTCCCTCAGAAGTTTGTTTCCACACTAGCCCTCCCCACCTTTTTTGACTTGATTCTTTCCAGTCAATGCAATTCTTTCTGGTCCCTGAAATTCTATAGAATGAAGCAGTTGTATGAAATGTAAGAAGTTGGCGTATTTAAGGTAGACTATGGCTCTTTGCTTTATACCACTTGCAAAGCCAATGTTGAGTACCTGAGTCTAAAAATACTTTTCACTGCCAATCACATGTACAGACTAGGTTATTTGGTGTATAATCTGATTACCAGTATTTAATGAAAAATACTGATTGCATCCTAGGATCACACATCCTTCCAAGAAGTTCTATTTAAATCACTCTGTAATTTCTCTTACTATGTAATTTGCATTGTGACAGTTTGATAGTTTATAAGGGCCCTTTGAAAGCCAACTTGAACTGTAGGGCAAAATGTATTTAGCACATTTTTAAAGCACATTAAAAAAGACTTGTCATTTGATAAATATTAATGCATTTATTAATAGATGACCAATGGCTGCTAAATGATGACAAAAGTTTGAGATTTCAGTGACTACAAGCAAATCCATTGCTATTGAAGTTAAAAATCTGAAATGCATTCTTCTGAAAGTTGCACTCTAAAAATATTGATTGCAGAATATCAAGCTGAACGATTCTGTTACATGACAAGTTCTCTAGTTTTGATGAGTTTATAGAGATCTCCCAAAATATAATCAATTTTTAATTGTCTGTTTAAATAGGCAATAGTATCTGTACATATTATGTATGATAATGGTCAAACTCAGATTCACTTGTATTGGCCTCTGGAATGTTTGATATATTTTAAGGAATGTGTGATAATTGATTTGCTTCAAAATCCTTTGCTTAACTGAATATTAACATTCAGCTATAAGCTAGCAAGTAATGAAAGGATTCTAGGGAATAATAAAAGCAATGTTTAGCCAGGATTTAAGAATTCACTGGGGGCCGGGCGCGGTGGCTCACGCCTGTAATCCCAGCACTTTGGGAGGCCGAGGCGGGCGGATCACGAGGTCAGGAGATCGAGACCATCCTGGCTAACACGGTGAAACCCCGTCTCTACTAAAAATACAAAAAATTAGCCGGGCGTGGTAGCGGGCGCCTGTAGTCCCAGCTACTCGGGAGGCTGAGGCAGGAGAATGGCGTGAACCCGGGAGGCGGAGCTTGCAGTGAGCCGAGATCGCGCCACTGCACTCCAGCCTGGGCGACAGAGCGAGACTCCGTCTCAAAAAAAAAAAAAAAAAAAAAAAAAAAAAAGAATTCACTGGGATAATCTATCAAATTATAATTTTGACTATAATCAAGGTTAAAAATAAGGTACCTATCAATAAAATGAGTTATTGTGAAAGAAATAGGGCAGCTCTATAGTAGGATTAGTCAAGCCTGTCCTTCTGCAATCCATTGTTTACTTCATATTATTAGACAGTTTTAATATGGTATTACTTCTAATCTTTCAAGTATCTTGTCAGATAAATCTAATTATTTCTGAGAAGTGGCTTGCAACTGAAAGAAAAATGTAGCAGAAAAACTTATTTGTCTATCTAGCTATATTTAGTTTGAAAAAAATAATTCCTCCTTTTTCTTCTATCTAAAAGAAGACTCAGATGGGGAATGGGGTATATTAAAACTTCCTGGAATGGGGAGGAGAATTCCAAAATTCAAGAGAGCCCAGACAGTTCTTTTTTGGAGACAGAGTCTTGCTTTGTTGTCCAGGCTGGAGTGCAGTGGCATGGTCTTGGCTCACTGCAACCTCCATCTCCCGGATTCAAGTGATTTTCCTGCCTCAGCCTCCCGAGTAGCTGGGATTACAGGCACACACCACTATGCCTGGCTAATTTTTGTATTTTTAGTAGAGACAGGGTTTCACCATGCTGCCCAGCCTGGTCTCGAACTCATGAGTTCAGGCTATCCTCCCACCTCGGCTTCCCAAAGTGCTAGGATTACAGACGTGAGTCACCGTGCCCAGCCCCAGACAATTCTTTATTAAACCTGTAAGAGATGCCAGAAGATTTCCACACAAGAACATACAGGTATTTCTTGGGGGACCTCAGCACTTGTCTGTGACTTGAAGGCTTATCAGTATTCCTCTCACCTGACCCTGAGGTCTTGGCCCACAATAACAACGAACCTTTGTTTCTCAGCACTCACACTGATTGACTGAACACAGCCATGTTGAACAGGTTGGATTGTTAAGAAAGGAGTGATTTCAAACTTGGGTGTGATCACTCCCTGAGGATTTGGGAAGGCAATGCAGAGACAGTGTCTTGGTTATGAAAGTAGAAATCAGCCGCTATGTGAATGTGACCACCAGAAATTCCAAACTTAGACCACTGACATTGGTTGTCTGAGACACTAACATCTTTTTTGCCCTGTGTTCTGGTTTGAACGTCTGTTCCACAACTCATGTTGAAATTTAATTGGCAATGTAATGGTATTGGGAGGTTGGGGCTTTAAGAGATGAGGAGGTCATGAATGTCCTGCCCTGATAAATGAATTAAAGTTATTATCCCAGGTGTGGATTAGTTATTGCAGTGGTGAGCTCTTGATAAAAGGATGAGTTTGACCCGATTTCTCTCTCTGTCTCCTGTGCTCACTTCTGCCTCCTGCCTTCTGCCTTGGGATGACCCTTGCCAGATGTTGACACCATGCTCTTGGACTTCCCAGCTTCCAGAATCATGAGCCAAATAAACCTCTTTTCTTTATAAATTACCCAGTCTGTTGTATTCTGTCATAGCTGCAGCAGACAGACTAAGACACTGCTGCTTTAATCTCCTCATTTGTGAAATGCAGAAATCATGCTACTTTTATTGATGGCAGCTCCATCATTTATGATGCTGCCTGACCAATATCATCCTAAAACTCAGCCTTCTGACACTTAACAAATGCTTCAATAAATTTTGATCCCAGTTCTTTAACAATTGACTACCTCAAGAAAAGGATGGGGCTCAGGATCAGGGTATCACAATGAGTTCTGAAATTAGGCAGTAATTTACATTTTTGGAGTATCACTGGAATCCGTACAACTTTTTTCCTGAAGTAGAATAGCTTTGGGTAAACCATCCTTGCTCCTTCACTCAGGCCTGTTTGTGATCCACTGCAAACAATTTAATATAGTTCCTAAGGTTAGAGGTGGTTTTTGGAAGATAGTTCCAAGTCTTATACATTTTTGTATCCCTAGAATGAATTAATAAGAAAATCTTAGGCTGTATAGCCAATCTATTCATTCATTTGATTCAACAAATATTTATTGAGAGCTTACTATGTGCCAAATACTATTTCAGATGTTTGGAATATATCATTAAGTAAGATAACTGTCCTACAAGAGATTACATCCTGGAGGGGCGGGGGAACAGGCAATGCACATAATAAATAAGTATAAATATTGTCAGAAGCTATAAAATTGTACAAAGTATAAAAGAATGAGTCAGCCAGGATCAGGGGAAGGGATGTAGAAGAACTGGGAAACAAAGACTTGAAAGTGGTGAAGGAGTTGGCCAAAGAGACATCTGGGTAACAGCATACCAGACAGATGGCACAGCTAGGAGAGGGACCTGAAGGGAATCTGACATACTCAAGCAGTGAAGTCAATGTGGCTGAAGGAAAGTGCATATGGGAAAAATGGCAGGACATGAGGTCAGAGGTTAAGGGGCCAGGTCGTGGAGTAACTTGTAGGCCATTTAAGACTTTGGCTCTTACTCTGTGTGAAAAAGGGAAAGTACTGAAGCGTTTTGAGCAGAGCAGTGGCATAATCCTATCTCAGGTTTTTGAAAGAAATAACCCTGGTTGCTGGGCTGAGAACAGACTATCTAAATTGAGAATAAAGTAGAGATATTAAAAAGAAACAACAGATGCTGGTGAGGCTGTAGAGAAATAAGAATGCTTTTACACTGTTGGTGGGGATGTAAATTAGTTCAACCATTGTGGAAGATAGCATGGTGATTCCTCAAGGATCTAGAACCAAGGATCATTTCACCCAGCAATCCCATTACTAGGTATATACCCAAAGTAATATAAATCATTCTGTTATAAAGATACATGCTCTTGTATGTTCATTGCAGCACTATTCACAATAGCAAAGACATGGAATCAACCCAAATGTCCATCAATGACGGATTGGAAAAAGAAAATGTGGTATATATACACCATGGAATACTATGAAGCCATAAAAAGGAATGAAATCATGCCTTCTTTTTCTTTATTTCTTCTTCTAAAAAAAAACCCAGGAGATATATATATATATATATATATATATATGCAGAAAGTGCAGGTTTATTACACAGGTATCCGTGTGCCATGGTGGTTTGCTGCACCTATTGACCCATCCTCTAAGTTCCCTCCCCTCAACCCCTACCCCCCAACAGGCCCTGGTATGTGTTGTTCCCCTCTCTGTGTCCATGAGTTTTCAATGTTCAACTCCTACTTATAAATGAGAACATGTGTTGTTTGGTTTTCTGTTCCTGTGTTAGTTTCCTGATGATGATGGCTTCCAGCTTCATCCATGTCCCTGCAAAGGACATGATCTCATTCCTTTTTATGGCTGCATAGTATTCCATGGTGTATATGTACCACATTTTCTTTATCCAGCCTATCGTTGATGGGCATTTGGGTTGGTTCCATGTCTTTGCTATTGTAAATAGTGCTTCAGTAAACATATGTGTGCATGTGTCTTTATAGTAGAATGATTTATGTTCCTTTGGGTATATACCCAGTAATGGGATTGCTGGGTGAAATGGTATTTCTGGTTCTAGATCCTTGAGGAATCACCATACTATCTTCCACAATGGTTGAACGAATTTACATTCCCACCAACAGTGTAAAAGCTTTCCTATTTCTCCACAGCCTTGCCAGCATCTATTGTTTCCTGATTTTTTAATAATCGCCATTCTGACTGGCATGAGATGGTATCTCCTTGTGGTTTTGATTTCTGTTTCTCTGATGATCAGTGATGTTGAGCTTTATGCAACCAACAAACATATGAGATCATGTCTTTTGCAGGGACATGGATCGACCTGGAAGCCATTATCCTCAGCAAACTGATGCAGGAACAGAAAACCAAACACTGCGCGTTCTCACTTGTAAGTGGGACCTGAACAATGAGAACACATGAACACAAGGAGGGGAACAACACATACTGGGTCCCGTCAGGGGGTGCGGAGGGAGGGAGAGCATCACGATAAATAGCTAATGCATGCGGGGCTTACTACCTAGGTGATGGGTTGATAGGTTCAGCAAACCACCATGGTACATGTTTACCTGTTTATCTATGTAACAAACCTGCACATCCTGCACATGTATCTTGGAACTTAAAATAAAATAAAATTAAAAACTTTTAAAAGAGAATAAAGTAGGGAGATGAATTAAGAGGCACTAATCCAGGTGAAACAGTTTTAAGAGATTAAATCAGCATCCTTGGTTTCCCCATCAAATAACCCATCATGCTAACCAGCCCAGACTGATATTGCTTTACATGTATACGAAAGACATCTGGTTAAATCAAATAGCACTGCCAATCAATTTTCACCTAGAGATATGCTCAGGTATTTTCTTAGTTCTTACATTTTGTAAATAGGTGGTATGCTGAATGGACATCAAATTCAATAACAAATTCCCATAAGAAACATCAGGACTAATTTATCCAAAAGGAACATTCAAATTAACATCAATCAGCAATAGCAAATAATGACCTACTTTATCTTGTACTGATCTTGACTAAGGAAAGAATTCATGATGCACTGCTACCTCTATTGAACTCTTGAGTATATCTCATTCCAAAGAGAATGGTGAGCAAAACATTGTTTCATTTGGGTCATGGATACATGCTGTATATTCCAGTCCACCCACCCATAGGTTACTCATGACAGGGCCTCTAGATAGAGGCAGGACAATTATATATCAAAGAAGAAAATATGAAAAGACAGATAAAATATTTGCTGATGTTTTATAAAGAAAATTCAGTGCACTTCTTTATCAGTCAAAGGTAGTATTTTCAATGTTTTTCTCTTTGTTTTGGAGCCGTACTGTCTCCTTTGTAGCTGTTCTGTCCTTCAAGAAAGGACCTGTGGTGGTATGGATTGAAAAGTTGACTCTGTCATCACCTTACAAATGAATTCTATCTGAAGTGAAAAGTCACCAACAGTTTTACATTGATGTTGTGTTGTTCCATGTGGTATTCTGTCAAAACTACGTGCCTTCTTGAACAAAGATTTCACCTTTATTTTTAAGCACATTTCAACCAACCACAGTATCAGACACTTCCACTAGGAGGTTAATGAAAATTGGCAATATGGACAATATTCCCACTGTAGAGAAGATTTACCATATATTTTTTAGAAGTTTACAGAAGGTACCTTGACCTAGTCTTGATCTACTCCATAAATGGGTTTAAGTGGACTTGAAAGTCCCTAAAATTATTCGCAAAGTTGTGAATCTGTTATATGATCCAGTAGCTTTTATCAGAACTTCAAAGGCATCTGTAATGGCACTTCCCCTCAAAAATTTTTTAAAAAAACTTTAAAACAACACTGACATAGAAATATGCAAAGATGGTATTTTTAAGGGTTATTTATATTTAGGGAGAATGCTCTCCCAAATTATAGACAGTTTGCTTGCAAAATTTAGTTCTGTTTTGATTAAAATGGACTTTTTGCTTTCACATCTTACATTTCCAGAGAAAATATTTTATTTTACCAATTATAATGTTCCATAGTAGGATAAACCTTAATTTATTTCAACCACATTTATGAGCACTCACTCTACACTGGAGGATATGATGATGCCACAAAGATAAAACACCACGTTCCTGCCCTTGAAAATCTACAGTCTATCAGGAGAGATGGAGACACAGCTGATGATCATATACAGTGAAAAAACCCAACGAAGGAAATGAATTCAAGGGCAGTTTTGTTCTCGGGATAATTGAATTCTGCCAGAAGTTATTAAGACTGGAAAGGTGAATACGTTTTTCCAGACACAGGAAGAAATCAAGAGTGTTCTGAGCACAACAAACAATAGGCATGAAAGCGTGAATGTTCAGCTTGGTGGGAGCCCAGGCTCTGAGGAAGGCTTGGCTGAAGGGAAGTCTGGACTTCGTCAGGAGGCAAAGGATCTTGTGCATGTTAGGTGATGAGGAAATATTGAAAATGGTAAGATAGAGGAAAGATATAATCTGAATTATTTTCGAAGTTTAACTGTGGTGAACGAGATGAGGACAGATTGAAAGTATAATAGGAAGCTGCCAAAAAAAGGCAATTTTTTGAATTAATAACATAATATAGTTCTGGCCTCTTTTCTAGAAGTTATCCTACTTTTCTTTGTCTAACTTTGTCCTTCTAATCTGTCAGCAATTACTATTGATGCTACCTCTAAAACATATTCTGAATCTACTCATTTGTCTTTATGCCTGTGCTGTTATCTGAGGAAATGCCCCCTTTCTCTCTCTCTTGCTCCCCTGAGATAATTCCAAAGTTGTGTCTCTGCTTCTTTTCTTACCCCTCACAATCTGTTCACCACATGGCAGCAAGTGGCCTTTTAAAATAAAATACCAATCAGATCATTCCATTCCCTTATTTAAAACTCCCATGGCTTTCTGCTATGCTTAGGAGTCACATCCAACCTCTGCATTGCGGTCTGCCGGACTCTGTGTCATCTGACCTATGTCAACTTCTTTCTGCCTACTATCTCATTTTCTACCACTCATTCACTCAGTTATGATGCTCCAGCCACTCCAGTGTTCTTCCTGTTATTGGACCACCTCAAATTCTTTCCTGTCCTAAATCTTTGGCTAGAAATACTCTTCTCCTTCATTTCTGGGACCTTTTCAGGCTCTAGATCAAATGTCACCTTCTCAGAGAAGCCTTTGTGACCACTCAACCTAATGTAGGCTGCCCAAACTCATCACACCATCTTGCCTTCAGTACATTTTCTGAGCCACAGACAATAGGCGTTACTCCCCTCTGGAGTAATGATCAAAAGTAGGGAAGATTAGAGTAGATGGGCATGTGGCCCAATTCCACCAACTGGAACTGGGACTATTTCCCCATAAGAACAAAGTAAAAATTCAGAGTTTTGATAAATTTGTGGCTCAATGAATGAGCTTTTGTGAGACAGTTAGCATCCTGGCCACCAGAGATTACATAATTTCCATCAGAAAAATATGTTCTAAGGTCCAGGTTTACCATTAAGACAAATATATTCATATGTGTATATATTTCATTTGTAGGTTAAGGGTGGCCTATACTTGCTACATTTAAACATTTCATATGCCGGGGGTTGTTTTGCATGTTGGTATTAGAGCTCGAACCATGTAGGTATATGTATTTAGATATTTGTACTTCTTATTCCTTAACTATTTTATTTCTCAAAATATATGTTTGCTCTGACATTAAATGCAATCCTATATCATTAAAAAGTGCTTACTCTCATCTTAAATCAACTAGGCTAACCAAATTTGCTACTCTTGAATTTAATCCAACAATTTCAAACATTGTTGGATTAAATTGCTTACATTGAATGTTTTGGCCGCTCCAATCAAAGTTGATGTTGTGGAAAGCAGGAAAATATATTTGGCCTGTATGTCTGAAATCCTAATTCTCTTTCCTCAGCAACAAACTGTACAAGACATTTAAAAACAAATTACCTTGTGGTAGAGAAATAAAGGCTTAGCCTTGCTTTAGGCAGTTTTGTTGGATTCAGATGGCTGGAAGCTGAACATGCTTGGTCATCAACCTGGAAGCCAACCACTTAGTAATGTCTTGCCCTTCTCTCTCTGTGTAATTGACTTTTTAAAAAATTTTGTTAATTTAACATTTTTGTGTACACATATAAAAGATCACTTAGCAAATAACCATGTACCCATTATCAAGAATAAACTGCCATGAGCATTTTGTCACTTTGCTCCACATATTTTGTTTTTTTAAGAAAATAAATGACTACAGGTAAAGACGATGTTTGTAATATTCCCCTCTACAGCCTTATTTCCAGTGCCCTTGACTGAGAAATGTCAATGTCATGCTCACTTTATAAGAGAAATGCTGAAAGGAATCCATCTGTTCTCACAGAGCATGTATTGAAGGGTGAATTTGGAGCTAAGAGGCAATAAATTGATTACTGGAATGGGAGTTGTAGAACATTCCCTCCGTCATCCCCTTTCTGATGCCCTACATGAAATCCTCAGTACCATCTTCCAATTCATTAAATCTCTCTACAGATCTAATTCTATGCAATTAAAAAGATTTCAGTGCCACATTATTTTTACTTTCAGTCTTTCTACTTCCTTTTCCTCCTCCTCTTTCTTCTCTTCCCTTTTATCCTACACTTTTTTTCATTTCTGCCTATTTTTCTTCATTGCTCTTTCAAATTTTTTTCAATGAGTTTCTACCTTTATGTCTTTAAGAATATTAAAAAATATTATTTTGAACTAATTTTCAATGGCTCCATTGTATTATTTTATTGCAGTCATTTCATCCTCTTGGATACATGGGTGAGCTGACCTCAGCCCCATAATAGCTCAAAGGTCCAAGCAGTGAGCGTGGTTCCAGCCCTCAACCATGAGGGCCTCCCGCCTTGAGCTGAGGACTTTGGAATTTAGTTCCTGCTGCCCCTGCCGCCTTCCTTCCCCAGAGGCTTCAGCACTATCACCTTTAGATTTCTATTCCTATTTTTGGCCCATGAAGATATTTATCTCATTTTTGATCCCTGTAACTTTATAACTAAAGGATGTTATTCTTAACGTGTGTTCAGGATATTTAATAAGTAAATTTATGGCACTATGTTAAATGGAAGTTTATCTGTTTTCTGAAAGGATCCACTTATTAAATAAAGGTGTGCTGGGCTATCTGACCCCCCAAATCCCTATAGTCATTGCCTACATGTGAATCATTTTACTGTGTTAACATTATGGATGGTTCCCATTGAATGAAGAATTATTGCTACTTATTATTTTTTAGCTTGCTGAAAGATAGTTACAGGCAGTTCCTAATTTACTGACATGGATGGAACCAGAAGCTATTATCCTTAGCAAAGTAGCAAGGAACAATAAACCAAATACCGCATGTTCTCAGTTATAAATGGAAGCTAAATGATGAGAACACATGGACACAGACAGGAACAATGGACACTGGGGGCCTTTTGGAGGGTGGAGGGTGTGGGAGAGATCAGGAAAAATAACTAATGGGTACTAGGCTCAATACATGGATGAGGAAATAATCTGTACAACAAACCCCCACGACACAAGTTTACTTATGTAACAAACCTAAACATGTACCCCTGAGCTTAAAAGTTAAGCTGGAGTGGTGTCTCATGCCTGTAATCCTAGCACTTTGGGAGGCAAAGGTGGGTGGACCACTTAAGGTCAGGAGTTCGAAACCAGCCTGGCCAACATGGTGAAATCCCGTCTCTACTAAAAATACAAAAAATAGCTGGGCGTGGTGATGGGAGCCTATAATCCCAGCTACTCGGGAGGCTGAGGCAGGAGATTCGCTTGAAACTGGGAGGTGGAGTTTGCAGTGAGCTGAGATTGTGCCACTGTACTCCAGCCTGGGCGACAGAGCAAAATTCTGGCCCCACCCCCCAACAACAACAACAAAAAAGTTAAAAAAAATTAACCATTTTACAAAAGTTCCATTTTAAACCTCTTACTTGTAAAATAGAAGCTATTCCATGTTAAGATTATGACAACCATTTGAATTATTTTATAAATATGATAATTTCAAAAGTATTTAAAATAATTAACGGTTTCAAAAGAAATAATGAATGAATTCTAATGCCGAATAAGGATTTCAGGAACACATCTTTCTTCCACCTTGGTATCCTGCTATAATATTCAGAAAATCCAAATTCCAATCTTAGGTCAACCAGGTATTAGCTAAGTGACTTTGTGAACACTGTGTAAGCCTCTTTACCTCTTTAACTTTTGGGTAAAAGCTTTTTTAAGTTGTATAATAATTTCTGCTGTTACTTCAGGGTTTTAGGTGTCAAAGGAAATAAGGAAGGTGCAAGCATTTAAACATTTGAGAACCCTACTTGGGAGCACATGATGTGTCCTCCAAACACTATGGTCTTGTTAATTGTCAACACCTGACTCAGAGCAGGCACAAGCTATGTTAAGCACTTATAATGAATTAGAAAATAAAGTTGACCCCAAAGGTGAAAAGGATCTGGGCCTTTTTTTCTTCCCAATATGCAAGTGTGTTCACAACATGAGTGATCAGAAGTCAGGGGATGCTGGGCTATCCCACGTAACTCTATTCTGCACGAGAAACACATATAAAGGCATTTGGACATTTGGAACAAATTAGAGCTACAGTAAAGGCCAGAAACACTGCCAGTTTCCCTCTTGCTTTCTCCCCAGGCCAACATATTACCAAAATAAGTAGTCTCATCAATAAACTAGGGTTTGGAATTTGGAATTAACCAGGCATAATTTCTCAAGTATTATGGCCTCTTTTTTAAAGGCATGAAGTTGGGTAAAATTGATACCTTTTAATTCTGTAAAATATAACCCAATTTACATAACCAAATAAAGTCAAATCACTTTTAATTTTACTTATTGAGTGCTGTACAAACCTCAAAGGTTAGAAAGCCAACAAAAAAAATGCAGAATAGGCAGCTTTTTATATTTTTCCTGAATTTAGAAATTTTTCATTATATGGACAATTATTATTGAAAATATGTGTTTTTATCATCCAGTAAAAATGGCTTATGTTGGCATGAATATACTCCATTTCATTGCTACTTTTGTACATTTCTTTTATTTTGCCTGAATATGGCCAGATGAATCATATATAAAGAAAGCTCAGCTCCTCCAGAACACTGCTATTGTATAAAGAGTACTGCTGCCAAATTCAAAGCTAAATTCAGGTTTGAGGTATCAGAATCTTTTATAGGTCCCGGGAGAATATTTTGTTCAAATAATAGTCCAGTGATTTGAGGGTGTGTGCACCTGTTGATTTTCTAGAAATATAATATTCTGCGAAGTCAGGGATAATGAAGGCTAAGCCATCATTACCTTTTTAAAAATGACAAAGGAATGAACTGTTTCATAAAAGTGTCATATAGAAATTTCAAAAATAAACTACAGAAATTCTATAAATAAAGAGTAAAGGAAAAAAATTCAGCAACACTTAAAACGAGTAAAAATCCAGAGACATCCTGGTAGAAATCTTAGTCCACAGTCAATCAAAAAGAAGCAAATATCACTACAGAAAAACAATTTTGACAGAATAGAAATAAAAATATTCATTGTATTCCAAAAAATAACATCATTTTTGTTAATAGCTAAATATCTTTTTTTAGTTCAAAAGGTTTACCTTTTAAAGCTTTGATTTCTTTTAGAAATTCCTATTAAATACTATTTTCCAGAAATTTGTTAATGCAACTGATATGATTTGGATATGTGTCCCCTCCAAATCTCGTGTTGAAATGTGATCCTTAGTGTTGGAGGTGGGCCTAGTGAGAGGTGTTTAGGTCATGGAGCAGGTCCCTCAGGAATGGCTTGGTGCCACTCTCATGGTAAGGAGGGAGTTCTTGCTCTGGTAGTTCAAGCAAGAGCTGGTTGTTTAAAGGAGACTGGCTCCTTCCTGCTCTCCCTCTTTTGCCCCTTCTCTCACCATATGATGTGCCTGCTCCTCAATTGCCTTTTGCCATGAGTGGAAGCTTCCTGAGGCCCTCGTCAGAACCGGGTGCCAGTGCTATGCTTCCTGTACAGCCTGTAGAACCATGAGCCAAAATAAATTTCTTTCCTTCATAAATTACCCTTCCTCAAGTCTTTACAGAAATGAAGGAATGAACTAACACAGCAACTTTGTAAAGCACTTAAAATGAGGGGAAAAGGGAAAGTCTAAGACTCAGTTCAATCTATTGGATGGTACAATTATTTATATATTTAAAGAGGAGCAACTTCTTGATCAGAAATCAATTTGACCTACAGTTACGGGAGCTTAAGTACTGATTATATGTGGCCATCAGAGAAGAAAACATGTAAGAGATGGAGGAACATTCAAAAAGATCTCTTATAAGCCTTTTCAACAGAGATTTCTCTGGAACAGGTGGGCTAACACTACAAAATTTTGTTGGTTTAGTATGTTTCATGCAAACACAGTCCATTATTAGAAGCAAACAAAGGGCCACAGGTGAGATTAAAATAATTACTCAGTTTTTCCTTGTGATGACTCTTACACTGATACTTTATATATAGTACTTATTAGTCACAACCATTCAGTAGATGTGTATTACCACTGTTTCCTAACATATAATGAAAGTGAGGGTCAGAGGAGGTTAGTAACTTGCCTAAGGTCACTCAGTAAGTGGCATTTAGAGGTGGCAATTTGAATAGAAGCATGTCTAGCTCAAAGTCCATTCTATGTTTATCACATTAGATAATCTTACATATGTTTCTTTTGCATCTTTTTTAGAATGATATACAGAGTTTTATGAAATAATTGCATTTCTGATAAACTGGCTATAAATTACCTTTTATAAACAGAGTCACATATTAATATACATTGGAAGCACTCACTCATTCAACAAATGCCATGCAATGCATTTATAAAGTAATTCATGAAGAAAACAGGTAACCACAATTTTATATAAATTTCAACTACAAATGATAACTCTTAGCTTTGCCTAAAATGGATTAAATCTGTACCAAGTGTGCTTTTGCTGGATCCAGCAGCACTCATTAGCATGGTTTGGGAATAGGTGCCCTCTTGCAGACTTGCAGGCTAGCTGAACCAGTAGCATAGTGCATATAAATGCAGATCCTGAAAACATAGGGGAGTGCGGTTTGCAACAGCCAAGAATGATATCATCAGTCTCTATTTCATTTAATTAAAAATTATCAGCTGTACATAGTGCTATTTTTGACACAGGTCACTGTGGTTCAATGCTATTGGATTTTATCTTATTAAGCACTTAGCTGTTTGCTGGAATGATGGAGGGGCAGAGCTGTGTATTCACAGAGGTTACAGAGTTAGCCCTTAGACCTTTGGTAACATTGAATAGTTTATCCTCAAAGGCTCCTTTCTTGAAAACTTTATGTTATGGCTACCCATCCCATCTTTTCTAGTGACAATGATGAAATGTGTTGAAACATTAATATATATCAACGGAAATACTGACATATGTTGACATACATAAGTGTTGGTAAACAACTCTACAACTATAGTAAATAAATAAACCATTCTTCTATCAGAGACTAGGGCAAACCTAAGCTGTATGACTTTGGATATTACTGTGAAGCTTAGTTTTGCCAGACAATTTTGCTTGTATTTGTATGTTCTGAAAGCCAACTGAGTTGAGAAACTACTTACAGAATTCAATCTGCTCCAGCAGCCTGAATGATTGTTTTGCCCATAATAAAATTATTTTTTATTCATAAATATATACTTTTTAATTTTGAAGTAATCCTAAACTTAAAGAGAAAGTTGTAAGTATAATATAAATAACTATAAAAATCATTTTTGTCTGCAGCATTTTCTGCAAATGTTGCCTCCAGTTATAGTTTTTCTTTTAATTGTTAGGATTTTGTTTTAAATTTAGCCTTAAAATGTGAGTTTATTGGGCATTTTATAATATTAATTTTATTTTTTTTAATTATACTTTAAGTTCTGGGATACATGTGCAGAACGTGCAGGTTTGTTACATATGTATACACGTGCCATGGTGGTTTGCTGCACCCATCAACCTGTCATCTAAATGAGGTATTTCTCTTAATGTTATCCCTCCCCTATCCCCCAACCCCTCGACAGGCCCCGGTGTGTGATGTTCCCCTCCCTGTGCCCATGTGTTCTCATTGTTCAACTCCCACTTATGAGTGAGAACAGGCAGTGTTTGGTTTTCTGTTCTTGTGTTATTTTGCTGAGAATGATGGTTTCCAGCTTCATCCATGTGCCTGCAAAGGACATGAACTCATCCTTTTTTGTGGCCACATAGTATTCCATGGTGTATATGTGCCACATTTTCTTTATCCAGTCTATCAGAGAAATTCATTGACAAGTTTGCCAAGGTCATCACTGATAAAAATGTGACACTAGGACAAGTCTATAATGATGATGCAATGTGACTGTTTTAGTGTTAGTGGCCCAGAAAGACACTGACTACAGCCAATCAGACAGCTCCTACAGGAATTAAGAATGCCAAAGAGAGAATAACTGTGCTGAGAGGTGCTAATGCAGCAGGCACGCATAAGTGTAAACTTGCTGTAATAGTCAAAAGCTTGCATCCTCCTTGTTTTCAAGGAGTAATTTTTTTAACCAGTCCATTATTACGCTAATAAAAAGACATGGATCACCAGGGACACCTCGTCGGATTGGTTTCACAAACATTTTGCATCAGTGGCTCATGCTCACCACAGGGAAGCTGGATTGGATGGATGACTATTGCAAGATTGTGTTATTCCTTGACAACCGTTCTTCTCATCCCGCGGCTGAAATTCCCATAAAAATAATGTCTATGTCATGTACTTTCCCCTAAATATGACTTATATGGTTTGGCTCTGTGTCCCCACCCAAATCTCATGTCAAACTATAATCCCCACGTGTTGAAGGAGAATCCTGGTGGGAGGGGATTGAATCCCTGGACTTCCTCCTTGCTGTTATCATGATAGAGTTTTCACGAGATCTGGTTGTTTAAAAGTGCAGCATTTTTCCCTTCATTTTCTCTCTCCTGCTCCAACATGGGGAGTCATGCTTGCTTCTCCTTCACTTTCCACTATGACTGGAAGTTTCCTGAGGCCTCCCCAGCTGTGGAACTAACTCTTCCTGTACAGCCTGTGGAACTCTTGAGTCAATGAAACCTCTTTTCTTCATAAATTACCCAGTCTCAGGTAGTTCTTTATAGCAGTGTGAGAACGGGCTATGACAATGACTTTATTAACTCAGTCATGTGGCCAGGGTATCCTTAGATCGATAAAGAGTAAATATAAAAACATTTTCTTGAACAGCGTGCTAGCCAGCAGTGAACAGAGGTGTGAATGTGGAAAGTTTTCAAACCTTTAAGGTTTGAAAAAAGTTCAGCATGAAGAATGCCATACATACTGTTGCCAATGCTTGAAACATAGTGATTAAAGTCACAGTTGTGCATGCCTGACACAACCTCTGGCCTGCAACTAAGTTCAGTGATGATGATGAACAAGGTGGTGACTTTGAAGGATTCTGTAATTTGAAGGATTATGTAAAGCGAGAAAAAAAGAATGTCTGATTTCCTTACATATGCAAAAAATATATCTTCAGAGTTCATTAGTAAGCTGGAAGAGGTGAATATCAAAGACATTTTTAATATCAATAATGAGGCTCTAGTTCATTCACTGATGATGAAATAGCTGAAATGGTTCTGAATCAAGGTGATCATGAAAACAGTAACAATGAAGATGATGTCAACACTGCAGAAAAGGTGCCTATAGACAACATGGTGAAAATGTGTGATGGGCTTATTGAAGGACTAAAGCAGCATGCATTTGTAACAGGACAGGAAATCATGTCAGTTTATAAAGTCAGTGAGAGGCTTCTAAGACAAAAGCTATTGTTAAGGAGGCAGATGACGCTGGAGGAAACATTTTAAAAAGCCATCCAGCAGAATGCTCTTATCCCTAGAGGACCCGTTTCCTGGTCCCTCCACTGCTTCTGACATTTCTTCTCACCTAAAAAAATAAAATACAGTGTATAGAAACCTTTTAATTAAAACACAGCATAGTAGGTGGAAATGGAAAGGCTGCCATTGTTTGTTCCTGCTGTTGTTTAGCAGCTGATACAGGTATTCTGTTACTGTGCTGCTTAGCTACTCTGAACATGTTAATTTTTCACTGTATTAATGGTTTTCCATATTTTCAACTAAGTACTTATGTACGAATAAGTGTAAGAAAATGCTTGTTTATTGGTGGCACATAAATTCAGAGTCAGAAATGATGGTGATGCCAAACAACCACAGATTTTCCATGTGGGTGGCTAAGATAGTGACACCTTTGCTTTCTGATGGTTCAATGTACACAAACTGTTTCATGCACAAAATTATTAAAAAATGTCGTATAAAATTATCTTTATGTTATGTTTATAAGGTATGTATAAAACATAAACAAATTTTGTGTTTAGACTTGGGTTCTATACCCAAGGTATCTTATTATGTATATGCAAATATTCCAAAATCCAAAAAATTCTTAAGTCTGAAATACTTCTGGTCCCATGCATTTTGGATAAGGGATACTCAACCCGGAATCTCATGAGCCAATTCCCATAATGGTAAATATATTTATTTATTATAAGAAATATGTATTGTAGTAAATATTATTTACTATTTACTATAGTAAATACATATTTTTACTGTTTACTAATTTATACATATATATTATATTCATAGTATATTTATAAATACTTATAAATATTTATATATATTTACTATTACAGGAATTGGCTTACGGAATTATGAGGACTGATAATTATGAGGGCTCACAATATGTCATTTGCAAGCTGCAGAACCAGGAAAGCTGGTGACTTAATACGGTCTAAGTCTGAAGGCCTGAGAACCAGGGGTCTGTGGTATAAGTTCTGGAGCTCAAAGATCTGAGAACAAAGAACACTGAAGTCCAAGGGCAGAAGAAGATGAATGTCCCAGCTCAGATAGGGCAAATTCACCCCTCCTCTGCCTTTTTGTTCTAGCTGTGCTGTCAGTTGATTGGAGGATGTCCACTCACATTGGTGAGGGTGATCTTCTTCCCCCAGTCCACGAATTCAAATGCTAATCTCTTCCAGAAACACCCTCACAGTCACACCCAGAAATAATGTTTACCAGCTATGTGAGTATCCCTTAGCCCAGTCAAGTTGACACATAAAATTCACCATCACAATTAGGTTGTTGCTATTGCTGTTGTTATTGCTGCTGTTGTTGGTGTGCGTGTGTATGTATTTTCTGTGCAATGCTTGCTGTTCGTCTGAGAGTGAAAAGATTATAAAAGTGAATGTTAGCAAACACAAATTTACATAAAAACCCACCAAAGTCACTTATTCTTTCATGGCAGAAGACCTACAAGCTTTTGTTAGGAATTGAGGACACAGGTGTACCTAAGATTAATTCAAATGACATAAAATTCAGGATTCCAGTGTAACTGCGCCACAGAAACAGAGCACCAAGCACACATAGCATGCCACTCACCATTATTTCTGGTACTATGTTAGCAGTTCATTCAAATCAGTTTCAGCCATTTGTCAACCAGAATCTCATAATGGCCTCGCAAAAATATTTGTCAATATTTCACTAATACTGCTATGATATATTTGCATTTGTTTGTTTACCTGTCCAGTTTCTCAATTACAACACTTTGAGGACAGAAATGATGTCTTATTTTGTTATATCTTCAGAAACTTGCATTTTATTTGCGTAATAAGGGCTTAACAAAGGATTACTGTTAAATGAGTAAGTTAATGAATGAATTACTGCTTTCTCAACTTCTCCAGACTCAGCTTCAGAGGCAGTGGCCTCTCTATTGCATCTCTATTATGTGTTAATGTGCTGAATCTTTTCTTGCCCCTCCTGATCTACTCTCTACCTTGCTCCATCTTGCTCAGTCATCAGGGAGGCTGATGCATGGTGACTATATCAAGAGACCAACTTCTCCTTTGTCTTCTGTTTGGATTTGCCCAATGAAAGCCTGGCACAGGAGACTGGAGATGGAGAGGAAAGGGAGAATAAAACCTTTGATCCTTTGGCTCGCTCTCAGTATCGTTGCCACTTAACCACCTTGCACTATAGACTGCCATGACTCTCATGGACATCCTCTTCCTATACCTACTGTCTCTGCATTTTCGTAACTGTTCCCTCCCTTTCAGGCTTAGAAATGGCAAGGGATCTCTGTTGTTAATAACCCAGAATATTGCACCATATTTTCTTGACTTCCTTAATCCTGCCTGCACTGTTATAAAAGATGCATTTGTTAAACTCTCTTCAATTTCCTGTCTGAGTATGCTATTTGTTTCCTGCTGGGATTGACAGATATAGACAGGTACTGTAATAGTTGTATGTACGATCTTATGTAATTAATTTTACTCCTTGAGTTTGCAAAGTAAATATAACTATTCCCATTTTACAGAATACCTATGATACAAATGTATTCTATCTGGAATTCTTATTTTATTATTTATTTATTTACTTAACTTATTCATTCATTTTTATTTCCCACAGTTCATTGGAAATTCATCTCTTGGCAAGAATATACACCGGGGACTACTGTGGGGGTGTTTGGGGGAAGGGAGCAAATGTTGAAAAACTAACTATTAGGTACTATGCTCACCACCCAGGTGGTAGGATCAATTGTATCCCAAACGTCAGCATCATACAATATACCCATGTAACAAACCTGCATATGTACCCCTGAATCTAAAATGAAAGTTAAAATTATTTTAAAAAATTAAATAAGAGGAACTTTATCTCTTGATACAACTGCTAGAGCAGGGTGGTACAGAGACAACCTGGCACAAAGGAAGTGTCTCCACTGGATAAACGAGTAGGCCGCTTTAAGAGGGCTCATTGTTGAATGTGGGCAAAAAGGGGGAGAGGGAAAGTTATAAAAGAAGGAATGAATGGAAGAGGCTCAGCTCAGAATAATTTTGCTATTATAAACAACAGTACTAATAAAGTTTTGCTCCTTCTATTCGTTTGAATAGAGCAAGGAAGGCTTGTGAAATTTTTATTAATACCTAGCCTAATAGCTATGGGGTTAAGTCAATGAATTCTAAACCAGATATTATTACAGCACCCTCTAAAAACTAGGGGCTCTCTCCAATTTTACTTGTTTCGTATGCAATCTCTGCATTCTGAGAGCTCTTTTCCATACCTGTGCTGCCACAGTGAGTCGGTGGCCACTCTCAGATCTCCATCCTCTAAGATCTACTCCAGTTTTTCTATCAGGCTCAAGAGTGGAGTGAATTCTGAGCCACCTCCATGGGAAGATGTTTGTAACTTACTTATGCAGTGAAACTCAGTGAGTTTGTATGTTCCCTTTGCCACTTATGCTCTAAGTTGCCAGAGAAGCATGAGAAAGAGGTGTATTAGTCTGTTTTCACGTTGATATACAGAACAACCTAAGACTGGGTAGTTTATAAAGAAAAGAAGTTTAATTGACTCACAGTTCGGCAGGCTGTACAAGAAGCATGGCTGGGAGGCTTCGAGACGCTTACAACCATGGTGAAAGGTGAAGGGGAAGCAAGCATGTCTTCACATGGCGGCAGGAGAGAGAGAGTGATGGGGGAGTTGCTACGCACTTGCAAACAACTGGATCTCATGAGAACTCTATCATGAGAAAAGCAAGGGCAAAGTCCACCCCCATGATTCAATTATCTCCCACCAGGCCCCTTCCCTGACACATGCGGATTACAATTTGACATGATATTTGGTGGAGACACAGAGCAAAATCATATCAAGAGAGTAGACATAACTTACTGTTGAAAGCTACACAGGCATTAAGCCCTGCTTTTCCACGAGATGCTTTATTATGCTTTTAATAAATGGGTATGTTTATAGTCTGTGTGATTTAAGAAATGGTATACCAAAGGGAGGTGATGTCAAATTATAACATTTCAAAATCAGGTAAGGCAGGAACTTCAGACTTTTTTTGGAAGGTCTAAGAAAGTTACCTGAGTACATTTTAAACACCATTGCCTCCATTCTTCAGAGGGTTTCGTTTCAGGAAAGCATAACAAGAGTCATTCTAATGTGATTATAAAGGACCCGAAGCTTTGCTTTTAAAATTCAATACTTAGGTAGAAAGAAAATGATAACTTTTTCCCTTTGATTTTTATTCACTATTTTTATAACACTAGCAGCCCTGAGACACCGGATTGGAAATATCTATGCCTCTTGATGTTACCTGGGCACCACTGCATCACAGTCCTTTAACCGGGTCTGTTTTCATCTGTTCCTTGATCTTCTGCATTCTCCCCCACCAAGCGACATCATTTCTATACTCTTTAGACTTATTCTCAGCTTTCTGGATGCTAAATTTGCCTGTTCACTGATTCAATAAACATTTACTGAGCACCTACTGTGTGCCAGGCCCAGATAGAGATCCTGCACTCATGGAAATTCCAGTCAAACAAAAGGGCCAAGAATGTGCAATTGTAAATACTGGTATGTTCTGTGATGGAAAAGCATTAAGTGCAGGGGCATAAGGTAAGGAATCTTATCTGGTGTGCGGGTTCAGAGTTTTCCTAGGTTATGATGTTGGAGGAGAGTTGTGATTGATGAGCCTACGTTAATTAACTGAGGAGCATAGGAGTAAATATAGGAAAGGGGTTAGATAGAAAGCATGGCATATGCAGGGACTCGGAGACTCTGTGGTGCTGAAATCAGGTATGGATTTGACTTAAACCACTGTACTCCAGTGAACTCATGCATAAGGTAAAAGCTCAGACCTTAAGGGATACAAGTCTGCTTTACCTATCCTGTTCTTTCGTGTAACAATCCTTTTTTTGCTTCACAACTCAGAACACATAAAGGGATGATGGAGGGAGGTAGATGGTGGAGAGTCTGGCTTTTATTGCAATACTAAAAAGCTCTCAGTGCTTGGGCCAATCAAGGTTTACCTGTTGCTCAAGTTTTATGTCCACCTTGGCTAGGCAGAAAGGGAGCTTTCATTCTTTATTGGTACTCAGTGATTCTGGCTGGCAGAGGCTTTACTGTTACAGAGAAGAGCACACGCCAAATAATTAACCAGCTCTGAGAACTTCTCTCTAGAAGTGTTGCACCTTTCACTGGGCAAAGCAAATCGAGGGCAATGCTTAACCTCCAACTGCAGCAGGGTGGAGCCAGCCTGATGTTTCAGGCTGGTAAGTAGAAAGCTAGAAATATTTGGTGAGTGCTATGGTCCGAATATTTGGGTCCCCTTAAAATTCATACGTTGACCCCTAATCACCCATTTGATGGTATCAGGAGGTGGGGTCTGTTGGGAGATGATTAGAATGGGATTAGCAACCTTATCAAAAAACTGCCTTATCCCTCTTCCACCATGCGAGGAGAAGACACCATCTATAAGAAAAAGGAATCTCCCCAGATAGCAGATATGCCCATGCCTTGATCTTGGACTTCTCAGCTTAGGGAACTGCAAGAAGAAAATTTCTATCATTCGTAAGCAATCAGTCTACGTTGTTTTATGATAGCAGCCTGAATGGACTAAGACAGTGAGCAAGAGTAGCGATCACCACGGAGATGAGCCTTCATCAGGTATTGCAGTCTATGGCAAGAGCACATTACTGGCGCTCTGACTGCAACTAACTGGTTTCTAACCTTCTCTTAATTCCAACAACTTGTCACTGCACAGGTAAATGTGTGTGGGTGATGACATTGCAGTGAAGTCATAGTGTGCAGAAGTGGAAGTTGGAAAGTATTTACTAAGAGGTGGTATAGTGGATAAAATTCCACTTCCAATCTTTGAGTTTTTCGTCTACTTTCTGGAAGAAGGAAAAGGGTAATGGGCCCTTAATAATATTTTCCAATTATCTGTTGATTTTTTAATTGGATCTTTCTTAATTTAATTTCCAAGAGCTCCTTATTCTTTGTTCTTCTGTATGTAGTGTACTGGTTTTGTTTTATGAATGCAATATAGTCTTTTATTTCTCTCAATATTTTAATTATGGTGTTTCTTTCATGTGCTTATTTTTCCACCACTTTGTTTTTGCCACTCTTTTTTCTTTATTTGATTCTATTTTGTTTTGCTCTCTATCTCTATCTTCCATAATAGAGGCTTTCATCAAATATCAGGTCTTTAGCTGTCATATATAAAAGTGAGACTCAGAAAAACCCCATTTGGGAGCAAGAGTGTGGCTTATTAATTTGTGAATCTCACTGTAGGTTTGCTACTGTGGTATCATATTTTTAATTGGGGAAATATCCAAATACCTGTGTCTAGTTCAGAAGTTCTTAAACTTTTTGGTGTCATGGCAGCCTGGTAAAGTCTAGGATCCTGTTTTAGACTTATGTCCTATGCATGAAACCAATTATATCACAATCTGGTTCTCAAACTATTAAACCATTAAATTTGTGATATAGTCATATGTGCTTTTAATTAATGCACCACCTAATAAACTTTAGAGTTGTATCTAATAACTACTATAATTTTGAAACAATGATGAGTGAAAATGCAATTTGGAGATACAGGCAAAGAATAATGTGATACGAAAACAACTGTGATTTTTATTGGTCACAAAGTCACAGGTACCAATTATACTACGACGGTTTGTTGCCTATACTCAAAGATGCCAGAAATGCTGACTTTCAGAAGTTAGTTTAAAATAAAAATGAATTATTGTTCTCATTCAAGTTCACAGACTCGCTGGTTAAAAATTCCTGCTGTAGGTCTTTACTTCTGGGTGAATGGATTTTTCTAGAAATCAGTTCACCCATCTCCAACCTTAAGTACGTAAGTGTGGCTGTGAGCCTTTCACGAGCCAAGCAGGGGACAAATCTCTCTTCAGTGGGGAGGCTTTTCCTATAATCCCTCTGATTTCAACACAGTAACTCACACTCCAACCAAAAATGTATTTATTTGCTGTCTTCCAAATTCAAATACTGTCTGATAAAACCAATCCAAAAATAGGCCCTAGGTTTTCTCTTGATGCATCAGGGTTGGAGAAAGAATATGAGAAGTCTAACTCCTATTTTAAAGATATTTAATCCATACTGTAGTTTTCATTCCCATTTTTGCACACCTGCCTTTAAAGCAGCAATTGTCTCCAATCCCTGAGGATTTCTGTAGCTTTGTGTTGAAAGGATTAGCTTTTTGATATTCTGCCTCAACATACTTAGATCTCTATGTTCTCTAGTCTAAAACAGTTCCCAGTGGTTAAACTATTTCCCAGATTTCAAAATGTTGCTTCTTTTGTCTGGTATCTTCTTTTTGAGGTTTCTTCCCCCGCCCCCTAAGTTCCTTTACTGTCATTGCTTTGTGAACACTCAGGAGGAAGTACAGATAGACATTTGCATTCAACCTATGTTATTTAACCAGAAGCTTTGATGCATTCATAAGTAGCATTTTAATATGTTTGGGTTCGCATCTTTTTCCCTCTCATAATAGCATATCTCCTTTTCTCTGATTTAATATAAAAGTAAGAGGAGAAACAAGGTTGACATGCAATGTCACTTTAAGGAAGGCCTCTTTTTTGTGTTTTAAGGAAACCATTTCTTAAAAGAACTTTTCTCAGACTCTCTCTAGATGCTTTCAGCATTTTCGTTTAAGACATTAGACTATGAGTTCTTCAAAAGGATGTATGTAGTTTCTTTTTTGGTAGAGTGGTAGAAGTGGAATAGCTCTTATTGGTATAACCCTACCACGGATCACAACTGCAAGCTCTTAAGAAAGTATAAAGACTCCCTGAAATCCCTGGAGAGAAACCCAAAGCCACCATAAATTGGAAGTGAATCAAAACTGGGAAGAAGGAAATGGAACTGAGTAGCGTTCCATTGATAAGGCTTTTTGGCTAACGGCATGCCCCAATCAGAATAAGCTAGTTAGCTAAATCCCGAACAGAAACCCTTGGGGTGTACTGCTTTTAAAAACCAGGGGACAGAGTTTAGAACTACGAAAACAGACGAAAAGTGAGAGGGGAAATCATGCAAAGGAGAAACTATACAGGGTAGAGCATCACATTTTGCACATAAACTCTGCGGAAAATCTTAGGATGACCTCTACACTATGCACGCATGGGGCATACTCCCAGCAGCCCATCTAAGGCTAAAAAGAACCGAACAAAGATTTTAGAAGTTACCCACTGCAGGAGTGACAAAAAATGGATTTGAGTTCTTCTAGATTAACTACAAATAAAAATCAACATTCAGAGAAATAGCAGAATCCAGTCTCTACAGTGTATTCTTTTAAAAAAAAATGTCCAGGGTATAATTCCAAATTATTCCATACATAGTCAAGAGGAAAGGCAATTAAATAAACTGATCCTGAAATGAACCAGATGTTAGAACAGGCTAGCAAGGATTTTAACATAGATACTATAACTATGCTCAAGGGTAGAAGGTAAAATATGTTTGTGATGAATGGATATACAGAAAATCTCAGCAGAGAGATTGCAACTTTAAAAAAGAACCAAATGGAAATTCTAGAAATGAGGAATAAAATATCTGAAACAAAAGGAAATTAATTGTATGGGCTTAACAAGATGTTAAGGATGAAAGAAGAGTCAGTGACGTGAAGGTATCTCAATCAAAACTATATAATCTAGAGAGCAGAGAGAAAAAATATTTAAAAAATTAGAATCTCAGTGATTGTGGGACTATATCAAAATCTAATACATGTGGAGTTTTACAAGGAGATAAGAGGCAGGAACAGGTAAAACCCAACATCTGAAGAAAGAATGTTTAAAAATTTCCCCCATTTTACAGACTCAAAAACCTCACGTATCCTATGTAGTATAAATAGAGAAAAGACACCTTGAAAATATCACAATTCGATAGATAAAAACAAAAGATAAAGAGAATCTTGAAAGCATCCATAGAAAAAAGACAAATTACATATATAAGAACAAAAATACAAATCACCACTGACATCTTAGCAGAAACAATGAGGCTGGAATATGGTGTAATGACATCTTTAAAAGTGCCAAATGAAAGCAACACACTGAAAACCTAAAATTCAATGTGAAGCAAAAATAGCTTTCAGAAATAAAGATGACATAAAGGCATTTCAGATGAACAGAAACAGTGGTAACTCTTCTCAAGTAGACTTGCCCTACAAGAAAAGCTAACAGAAGTTCTTCAAGCAAAAGTGAAATGAGATCAGATAAAAATTCAGATTTTAATTTCCCTAAAATACTAATGATTGTTTAAAATAAAAATAACAGTTTGCATAGCATCTTATGTAATAAACGTGAAAATACAGAATTAATTATAGGAGGTAAAAGACCTATAGGATTGCAAAGTTATTACATTTTATGAGAAGGGGTGCTTAACTTTCAATAGAAAAATTAAGGGTGCATATTGCAATCTTTAGAGCACCACTGAAATAATAAAATAAAGAGGTAAGCTAAAAAGCCAAGATAAATTAAAATGGAATTCTAAAAGCAATTTCAATTAACTCAAAAGTAGCAGGAGAGGAGCATGAAGGAAACACAAAGCAAGTGGGACAAACAGAAAAGATAACAGTAAACTGAAAGACTAAATCCCACCACATCAGTAGGAAATGAAGTATTTTAAAAGGCAGAGATTGTCAGAATTACTTAAAAAGCATGAACTATTTGTTGTCTACATGAAAGGTACTTTGAATACAAAAAAATCAAGTAGATGCCCTCTGAATACAGAAACTCCCTTAAGGGCTGGGAAGATATTCTATTATACCATGCAACATAAACAGCATAAGAAGGTGGGGGACGGGGGCGGGGCGGGAGAGAGAAAGAGAGAGAGAGAGAATATGTGTGTGTGTGCGTGTGTGTGTGTGTGTGTGTGTGTGTGTGTGTGTGTCAGAGATATATTTTCCCAGGAATGCAAACATCATTTAAATTTTGAAAATTTATCAATATATTTCACCTTACAAGAGACCTAAACATGCGATCATTTCAACAGATGCAAAAAGCGTTTGATGAAATTCAACCTCCATTCATTACAGAACTCTCAGCGAATTAGGAACAGAAAGAAATTTCCTCAATCCGATAAAAAGAATCAATGAAAAACATTACAATTAGCATCATGCTTAATTGTTTTTTTCCTATGTTCCAGAACAAGGCAAAGATACCTACTCCAACAACTTCTAGTCAATATTTCCAGAGACATAAAGTAAAAACCAAAAAGAATTAAAAGGCATACAGATCAGAAAGAAGTAAAACTCTATTTGCAGATAAGATTTTTTTTACATAGAAAATCCTAATCAATGTATAAAGTAATTACTAGATGTACAAAGTGAATTTAGCAATGTTGTTTTATATATGATCAATACACTAACACCAATTGTATTTTCATACTCTGCAGCAACAAACAACTAGAAAACAAAATTAATAACAATTCCATGTATTAGGGTGTTAAGAAGCAAATTACTATTTAGGAAATTTAACAAAGGCAAGGACTGACTCACATTTACCTTCATTTTCACAATGTTTAGCCCAATGCCTAAATGATATATTCAACACAATTTTTTGAAAAGCTAAAGAATGTTTGTCTGCTATAAAAAGATTCAAGTTAAAGTCTTTAAAAATTCCTTAGCAAACTAACACAGGAACAGAAAACCAAACACTGCATGTCTGCATGTTCTCACTTAGAAGTAGGAGCTGAACAAGGAGAACACAGGGACACAGGGAGGGGAACGGCACACACTGGAGTCTGTTGCGTGGTGGATGCGGGGAGGAAGAGCAGTAGGAAAAACAGCTAATGCACGCCGGGCTTAATACCTAAGTGGTGGGTTGACAGGTGCAGCAAACCACCATGGCACATGTTTACCTATGTAACAAACCTGCACATGTACCCCAGAACTTAAAATAAAAATAAAATTTTAAAAAGTTATGATATTCAATTCAATGTAGAAAGAGACAGTAAAATAATCTTTTTCAAAAAAAAAATTATAGGTTGTTTTTTCCTTCATCTCTCTGTCCAGGTTTAAGTGCAGCAGGGCTCAAAGAATGGCACCCACATGTCAGGGGCCTGTGCTCCTTTCCTTCCGCACTGGGACCTGTGCTACTTTGGCACCTCAGCAAAGCATGTACTGAAGTTGCACACAATCATCTCTGCTCATGCACCATTGGCTGAAGTTAGTTAAATGGTCACATATAGCTGGGCGTGGTGGCTCACGCCTGTAATCCCAGCACTTTGGGAGGCCGAGGCGGGTGGATCACCTGAGGTCCGGAGTTCGAGACCAGCCTGACCAACAAGGTAAAACCCCGTCTCTATTAAAAAATACAAAAATTAGGGGGTGTGGTTGTGGACGTCTGTAATCCCAGCTACTCAGGAGGCTGAGGCAGGAGAATTGCTTGAACCCGGGAGGCGGAGTTTGCAGTGAACCGAAATCACGGCACTGCACTCCAGCCTGGGCTACAGAGTGAGACTCCATCTCAAAAAATAATAATAATAATAAATAAATAAAATAAAATAAATGGTCACACATAGCTGCAAGGAGGGCTGGGATTGTAGTGCTTACCCTGGAAAGCTATTGTGCTCTATTAAATTTATATCAATATTAGATAAGGGAGATTGGACATTAGAAGACAACTTGTTGTCACTAACATACCATTTCTAACTGTCTGACAGATACAGTGAAGAAGAATTTTAATGGCGATATTTTACCGTTCTGAAGACTAAAACATTTTGAGATTATTAATGAATTTAAAGCTCACTTCTACTAATCCACCAACCAGAATACAGGAAAACTGTTCAGCTGCTGTTTTTATTTACTTGAATTCTGTACGAATAATCACTTTTAGTCGTCAAAATCCTAAAATATGAACTTAACAAGACTCACTGTTAAATGCAGAGCGCTTAGAAAACCAGACACAGAACCTGACCAGGATTTATGAATCATATGTTAAAACAGAAATCGTAAAATAAGATTTATGCCTGGTCAAATTATAGATTTTAGCATACTGACTCATAAATCAGTCACCTGAATCCCAAGGGCAATAAAAGGATTTATAAATCAAAACTGATTTAGGATTTATTAGCTAAATGTCTACCATAAGAATGCCGTGTTTATAAATCTCTTTTGACTTACAGAACTAAATTTCACAAACTCTACAGTCAGGGCCCATCTCTAATGATGCTTTTGAAGGGTATACATCCTGGTGACCCTGAAGAAACACGGATCGATGATAATGTCAGAGGAAAGAGAATTGTATTAAAATTATTAAACATTATTTAAATAAATTCTAAAGGATGATCTTGTAAGTAAAAACAACATCTATCTCTATATTTTTGAATTGTGAATATATGGGTTTAAATATTTAAATAATAAGAAAGGCCGAGAAAGGTGGCTCATGCCTGTAATCCCAGCACTTTGGGAGGTTGAGGTGGATCCTAGGAGTTCCAGACCAGCCTGGGCAAAGAAACTGTGATTACCCCACTGCCCTCCAGCCTGGGCAACAGAGTGAGACCCTATCTCAACAAAAACAAAAACAAAAAAGAAAAAGATAAATTATGATTTGAGTATAAAATGACATGTAAAGGATAATTTACCTCAACTCCCAAATCATTTCAGAGTAGATTAAATGTTTCAGAACACATTAAATGACAACATTTCTCTACTAGATATACCAGTCCCTTTTTAATTCCTAATTTGACAAACATATTACTTTTTTATTGAAATTATATAATATATTTTATTACAAATAAAAAGTATTTGTGTTAATTTGAACTATCTTATTTTTAAGGTTCAATTTTCTCATGTATCATGGCCTGTTTAGAGTCTCTGGGTTTGCCTCCCACTTGGTAGAATGGAATTGTTCTAAATATTCACGTGGCTGACTTAAGTCATTTTGTTCTGTTCTCTACTCAGATGTCACCTCCTCAGGGCCTCTTCTGTGTTCATCCCTGACCATCCAGTGGGAAGCAGCATCCACATCACCCTGTCCTTCAGGCTTCTTCGTCTTCTTTTCTCATAGAAAGATAATAATAAGCAACCTGAAAGTTTAATTCCAAGGTGGCAAGGTTAATGAGTGATAGTACAGGCTTACGGTTGGACTGTGTAATGGTTTCTACCTTCTGGTTAATAAGATGCTTATTCTTTTTTTTTTTTTTTTTTTTTTTTTTGAGACGGAGTCTCGCCCAGGCTGGAGTTCAGTGGTGCGATCTCGGCTCACTGCAAGCTCCGCCTCCCGGGTTCACGCCAGTCTCCTGTAAGAAAGCCCACCTCAGCCTCCCCAGTAGCTGGGACTACAGGCGCCTGCCACCACGCCCGGCTAATTTTTTTTGTATTTTTTTAGTAGAGATGGGGTTTCACCGTGTTAGCCAGGATGGTCTCGATCTCCTGACCTCGTGATCCGCCCGCCTCGGCCTCCCAAAGTGCTGAGATTACAGTTTATTCTTAATTAAATAAGATAGTTTACATTACCCACTTCTCAATAATTGAGAGATTAAACAGATAATTAAGCACGTAAATATGGTGTTTTCTTAGGTGAGACATGGACCTGGCTGTCCAGGTTGAATATCAGAGATTTCTGAAGCAAAATAAATGAAGAATAAAATAACTTTATTTTTTGAGCTCCTTTTCCTGTGACTACAACTTTGTGGTATCTTTTTCCAAACAGAGAAGAGAAAGATAACATAGTATGTCCTCTAACATGATGGATTGTAATTGGCTTTTGGCTATTCTTGGTTTAAAAAACTATTTTAGTCTCACAGCATGTTAGTGGTAATGTGTAAATATTTAGAATTGTTAGCAAATTTGAGAAAACTTCTGTTAGATTTCTTTCAAATACAAGTAGTAATATTGTATTTGGAAGAACTGTGCCACAGATTCTCTTCTGACTCCTATTTTGAAACTTTGTTTCTTCATCACCACCCAATCACTTCCATTTTGCTTAGTTGTAGGAGTCACTTTGATCACACATTCATGTTGGCATCTGATCTTGCTTTGCCCCTAGGCATCAGAATACTGAATGAGTTGGTGTGGTGGGCTGTTGATCATGCTTGGGAGCTATTCCTATATTGGAATGGCTAGCAATAATTTAACTATACATGGAAGTGATTATGACCTATGTACTAAATGCAGACTAAATTTACTCACAATTCCACTTCCCCCAACTGGAACCCCCAAATGGTGAAGTCATTTTAAAGCCTCTAGGGAGAGGAAATTGAAGTAGAAAGAGGTCATAGTCTTGAAAGAGATCATTTAAATATCTTACTTTTGCAACTGCTGCAAAATGCATGACCATGGGAATGCACCGTCTTAGGTGTAAGGAAGAAGCCCATGCAGTACACCAACCCGAGAGAGAAAGCTTTATTAACGTCGGGATAGATTCTACTCTGCTTACAGCCCTACAGCAACAATAGTGGATACGTCAGGAAATAACTTGCCCAGCTCAGGGAGGAAGTTCATTGTGGCTCGACGCTGCTTCAGAGGACATTTAAAAGGCACAAAAACAACCCAGTGGAAATGCCAGCTTCCCAGCATCTAGACAATGAAGGCGGAAGTGGCCCCTGAGCACAGGAGGAAGTGCAACTTGCCAGGAGTCAAGAGCTGAGCAAGGTTGAAGGTGCATTTTTCTGGTTAGGGAGCCAGGGTGCAAGGACTCATTTTTATTTTTCTTAAAATCAAGCACAGAGGGGTCCAGGTTGTGCAATGTTCGGGCTCAGAAACTGATCGCCTGAAATACGGTGTTTTGACATACTCAACTGAAGGATCTTCAAAGTCCCTTTGACCTTCTCCCCACTCCTGTCTCTCAATTCCCTGTCTCTCTCCAAGCACAGAATGAAGTTGTTCCCAGAAGTTCCCTCATCTGGCTAAAGTCCAGACTCGCCAAAGAAAAAAACAATTACCTATGATCCCCTCCCTGATTTTTCACTAACTGAAGTCATATGGGAGGAACAAAGACTGAAGTCTGTCAACACACCTGGACAGACTTGTCACAAACCATGGTCTGTTTTGTGGGCCCAAGAGACTTTGTCCCAGGCCATTGTATGTTCTTCAAGCCCATTTAATTTGCCTAAAAACAATTTGCTATCCCCCTAAGATCATCCACACTTCCCCATCTCCCTTTACCCTGAAGATAAGGGTATATAACCATCTGTACCCCAATGTGTGGTGGGGCAACCACTCTATGATTCTCTCCCATGCGCATTAATAATTTTATATGCCATCTATTAATGTGACTTTTGTCAGATAATTTTCAACGAACCTTCAGAGGGCAAAGGAAAAGCTTTTCCTTGGCACCTAGAGCAGCATTCAGGTTACGGGTTTTGTTCCTTCCTGCTGAAAGTTGTAATTCTATTTCTACTTTTTTTTTTTTTTCTTTTTTTGGCTCCCATTGCCAAGGAAACCTCGATTTCAACCAATACAACTTTCCTGTTATACTAATACCATTCCCTGATTTACCCATCATGTATGAATAATGGAAGCATACATTAGAGAATAGAAAGTAGCTAAACGGAGTACCAGCTGATGTTCTAAGTGGTTCATAAGTATTAATTCATTTAAACCTTGTAGCAACCTATGGGGCTGATTCTACTGTTATCACTATTTTACATCTATTACACTATTTTATCACTTATTTTTGGCACAGGCAAAGCTTTGTAAATTTGTTTGGGGTCTTACTGAGAACCCATGGGTCTCTGTTAGCTATTCAATCACTTCGATCAAACACAAATGAATTTTATATAGCATTTTATTTTCAATACTTCTGAATATATTTACCATGGTAATTTAAAGTAACCCTTTATGTAAGTCTACATAAGTGTGAAGAAATTAGTTTATGAAATGATGGTTTGATTACATCCCTTAATTGATAATTACATAGGATAATAGGAGTGGACAATGAAATGTTTTTTGGTAAGGTTTATTTGTCTAATGATTATTATTTTTAAGAGACAGGGTTGTGCTCTGTGCCCAGGATGCAGTGCAGTGGCATGAGTATGGCTCATTACAGCCTCGAACTCCTGGGCTCAAGCAATTCTCCTGTCTCAGCCTCCTGAGTAGTTGAGATTACAGGCGTGTGTCATCACATCTGGCTAATTTTCTCATTTTTTATAGAGATGAAGTCTTGCTATGTTGTCCAGGTTGGTCTTAAAAACTTCTAGCATCAAACTATCCTCCCACCTCAGCATCCCAAAGTGCTGGGATCACAGGCATGAGCCACCAAGCCCGGCCAGTATGGGTTATTTAGAGCAGTGTGGTCTAAGGGCCATTGGTTAAAGAATCTCCTAGTGAGGGATAATTAATAATAATGTAGATTTTCTACCCTAATTTTCTACCCACTGGATCTGAATTTCTAGATTAGATTCTGGGAAAGTGTTATTTTTAGAAAGTACTCCTAGGTGATTTTAGTGCATAATAAAGTCTGAGAATCTCTAATTTAAACAAATTTAAATTCTGTGAAATCTCTACTTTTCACTGAATAGACATAATTAAGGTCTAGTGTTTACAACTGCAAGACATTTATAAGCTTGAATGTGATTTAAGACAGGAATACATGATAAATATGTTTTTGTTCCTTGTGTGCAAATACAGGCTTAAAAGTGTTGTTTGAAACAAATGATGCAGTAAAAGAAAAAAAAAAAGAAACTACAAGTTTTACAGACCTTTAAATCAGACCGTTGACTAATTGAAACACATAGGGGTTAGTCTTCCTAGAGGCATAATCTGAAAAATAGAGCAGGTTTTACTGGCTTAGGATACATCGTTCCAGGATAAGCTCTTTTCTCTCATGTGCTACTTTTTTCATGTACCCAGAAAACAATAAATTTTGGGGTTCTGCAGTTCTATGTGAGCACTCCCATCTCATAAATATTTAGACTAGAAGAAAAGAGCCAGGATCATTCTTTTAAAAAGTTTAATGAATTTTTAAAAATGTATGAACATGGTTGGGAAGCCTGCCAGTGATTAAAGAGTGTTCATTTTAATATTGTACTCTTTTCCCTTTCCAAATTCTTTCCCACACCTCATCGGACTGTACATTTCTCTTAATAAACCTAATTTAAAATGAATTATTTTAGTCATTTTCATCACAAAATTTAATGATCAACCTTCTTAATTTTCTATTTCTGTGTCTTTGTTTTCATGTCATGTCACCTACAGGGCACATTCTGTATGCTGTATGTTAAATTAATATTTCTACCATGGCTGCAATGGGTATTTGATGCACTACAGAAAAGTGTAGAGTGTGGGCCAGATCCTCAAAGATCTCAAATCCGAATTGAGGTGTTTATACATGTACGAAATGCCAGGGACTGTCAAGCTTTTGAATGATTTAGAATTACAGTAAAGTCAATCTAAGCTTCCACGGTATTATTTGTAATCCACTGACACGCCTCATAAACAAAAATTTAAAAAGAATAAGAAAAAATGCAAATAACTTCATTTTACCCTCCGTGTAAGTCAGTATAAACAGATTGTTCATTTTCCTTTGTCAGGTGAGTTTCAAGAAACTACAGGCATACCTCATTTTATTGTATTTTCTTTATTGAGTCTCACAGATATTATGTTATTTATAAATTGAAGATCTGTGGCAGCCCTTCATTGAGCAAGTCTATTGGCACAATTTTTCCAACAGCATATGCTCACTTTGTGTTTCTGTGTCACATTTTGGTAATTTTCACAATATGTCAAACTTTTTCATTATATCTGTTTTTCACTATATCTTTTTCATTACATCTGTTATGGTAATTGTGATCAGTGATCTTTGATGATGTTACTATTGTAATTACTTTCGGCCACCACAAACTGCACCTGTATAAGATGGTGAACTTAATTGATAAATGTTGTGTGTGTTCTCACTGCTCCATTGACCAGCTGTTCCCAATCTTTCTCTCTCCCCTCAGGCCTCCCTCCTCCCTGAAACACAAAAACATTGAAATTAGGCCAATTAATAACTCTACAATGGCCTCTAAGAGTTAAAATGAAAGGAAGTGTAAAATGGTTTCTCACTTGAAATCAAAAGCTAGAAATGATTAAGCTTCGTGAGGAAGGCAAGTTGAAAGCTGAGACAGCCAAAAGCTGACTCCCGCACCAGGGAGCCAAGTTGTGCAAGCAAAGGAAAAGTTCTTGAAGGAAATTAAAAGTGCTGCTCCAGTGAACACATGAATGATAAGAAAGCAAAAGTGATCTGGGTAGAAGATCAAACCAGCCACAACATGCCCTTAAGCCAAAGCCTAATCCAGAGCAAGGCTTTAACTCTCTTCAAGTTTGTGAAGACTGAGAGAGGTAAGGAAAGTGCAGAAGGAAAGTTAAATGCTAGAAGAGTCGGTTCAGGAGGTTTCAGGAAAAAGCCATCTCCACAAATAAACATACAACGCGAAGCAACAAATGCTGATGTAGAAGCTGTGGCAAGTTTTCCAGAAGAGCTAGCTCAGATCATTGATAAACGTGGCTACATTAAACAACATATTTTCAGTGTGGATGAAACAGAGTCCTATTGGAAGAAGACACCATCTAGGACTTTCATAGCTACAGGGAAAAGTCAATGACTGGCTTCAAAGCTTCAAAGAACAGGGTGACTCTCTTGTCAGACACTAATACAGCTGCTGACTTGAAGTTGAAGCCAGTGCTCACTGCACATTCTGAAAACTTAAGGATCCTTAAGAACTGTGCTAAATCTACTGTGCCTATGTGCAACAAAGCCCTTATGGCAGCATGTCTGTTTACAGTATCATTTACTGAATATTTGAAGCCTACTACTGAGAACTACTGCTCAGGAAAAAAGATACTTTTCAAAATAGTACTGCTCTTTGACAATGGACCTGGTCACCCAAGAGCTCTGATGGAGGTGTGCAAGGAGATGAACGCTGTGTTCATGCCTGCTAACACAACACCCGTTCTGTACTCCATGGATCACAGAGTAATTTTGACTTTCAAGTCTTATTATTTGAGAAATAAATTTTGTAAGGCTATAGCTGCCACACATAGTTATTCCTGTGATGGATCCGGGCAAAGTAAATTGAAAACCTAGAAAAGAGTCACCATTCTAGATGTCACTAAGAACATTTGTGATTCATGGGAGGAGGTTAAATTATCAACATTAATAGAAGTTTGAAAGAAATTTATTCCAGCCCTCATGGATGACTTTGATGGGTTCAAGACTTTGGTAGAGGAAGTAACTGCAGGTATAGTGATAATATCAAGGAAATTAGAACTAAAAGTGGAGCCTGAAGATGTGACTGAATTGCTTCAGTCTCACGATAAAACTTGAACATAACAGCAGTTAATTCTTACGGATTAGCAAAAAAGTGGTTTTGTGAGATGGAATCTATTCCTGGTGAAAATGCTGTGAACACTGTGGAAATGACAACAAAGGATTTAGAATATTACATAAACTTAGTTGATAAAGCAGCAGTAGGGTTTAGAAGGATTGACTCCAATTTTGAAAGAAGTTCTACGGTGGGTCAAACGCTACCGAAGAGCGTTGCACGCTATAGAGAAATCTTTCATGAAAGGAGGAGTCAACTGATGTAGCAGACTTCACTGTTGTCTTATTTTTAAAAATTTCCACAGCCACCCCAATTTTCAGCAACCACCACCTTGATCAGTCAGCAGCCATCAGCATCAAAGCAAGACCCTCTTCCAGCAAAAAAATTACAACAACTTGCTGAAGGCTCGGATGATTTTTAGCAACAAACTATTTTAAAATTAAGGTATGTACATTGTTTTTTGGGTGTAATGCTACTGCACCCTTAATAGACTACAGTATAAACAACTTTATATGTACCAAGAAACCAAAAAATTCATGTGACTCACTTTGTTGCCATATGTGCCTTATTTTGGTAGTCCAGAATGGAACCTACAATGTCTGCAAGGTATAATTGTACTTTGTCAGCCACTCCAGCTTTCTTTTGGTTAATATTTGCATGGTATATCTTTTTCCATCCTTTTACTTAAGTTAGCTATTTCAGTAGAGTTGAAATGAATAACATATATTTGAGTAGGTTCAGAACAAAATCCATTTGCTGTTTTTACTGGTATGTTTAGATCATTAATGTAATTATTGATATGTTTGAATTTAGGTATATCATTTTGTGATTTGCTTTCTGTTTGTTCCCTCTGTTTTTCATTCCTTTGACTCCCCTTTTCTGCCTTCTTTTCAGTTATAAGAATATTTATTAGTATCCATTTTAATTGATCTACTATGATTTTGACTATATTACTCTGTAGTTCTTTATTGTTCTTTTTAGTGGGTGCTCTAGGGATTACAGGATATATACTTAACTCTTCATCATCACCTAGAATCAATTTTGTATCATTTTAGTTGGAATATAGAAACCTTATCATCTTATTGATCCATTAACCTTTCCCCTCCTGTGCTAGTCATGTTAAATATTACATCTAAACCATTGAATGTGCTATCATACATATCATATGTTTTCACATTAAATAGTCGATTGCATTTTAACAAACTCAAGAGGAGAAAAACAGCCTACCATATTTACTAACTAGTACTGCTAGTGGGGCAGGACTTTGATTTTTTACTCTTCTTTTTCCTTTATGATATTCCATGTTTTCTCTGGTATCATTTGCTTTCTTCCTGAAGAACTTTTACATCAGGTCTGCTGGATTAATATTTTCTTAATTTTTCTTAATTTAAGAATGTCTTTATTTTCTCTCTATTCTTGGAGAATATTTTTTACTTGATATAGAGGTTGATAATTCTATTCTTTTGGCACTTAAAAAATATGCCACTTTCCTGGCCTCTAAGGTTTCTGATGAGAAAATGAAGTCATTCAAATCACAGCTCCCCTATAGGTAATGTTTTGTTTTTCTCTGGCTGCTTCCAAATTTTTTTTCTTTAGCTTTTAACCAATTTGATTATGATGTATCTGGGTGTGAATTTCATTGGGTTTATCCAGTTTGGAATTTCCTCAGCTTCTTAGATCTGTAATTTATTTCTTTCACCAAACTTGGGATTTTTTTAGCTCCATACTCTTTCTCCTTTCTTCTGGGATTCTGATGGCACAGATGCTAAACCCTGTCCACATTATGCTTGCTTACTTAGACAGAACTAGAGGGCTTCTCCTGCAGCTCTCTGTTCATGTCCTGAAGCCTATTTCTATGTTTTGGGCTGCGTTTAGTCCAAAGTCGAGTAACAGAGGGAAACAACTGGTAAATTTATGGCTAGTTGGGCAGTATTTCAAATTTTGTCTGGTTCCCCAATCCACCTGCTAGTATTTACTTTCCACAGTCCTGAAGTAGCTGCTTCGTGCATTCTGTCCACGCTCTCCATAGTTATGCTCAGTAGGAGGCAGAGCGTGGAGCTTGTTTTCTTCATCTTACTCAGAACTGGAACCAACCCTCCCAACTAAATATAATGAGACAAAAGCTATTTTACCACAAACACTAAACAAAATATATAACATGTATATTATGCTGGTGGTGTAAAGCCAACAGGCTGAATAAAAAGAAACTCATTTTAGAATTGATAGACCTCAGCTGATCCTCACTATGATCAATGACTTTTTATTTGGCATGCCATCTGGCATTTATTTGCTTCCACTGAAAATACATTCTGTCTGGAGATTGTTCCAAATGTAGGTTATGCACAATATCATCGGAGGCAAGTTGTTGTGCTTTTTGTTCTTTTAAGTCTTACAAGTCTTGACTTAAATGGAGAAAACTGCTGATTAACACAATTTTTTAAAGAGCTTAATCAGGGAAATTCTCAACTGTTACATACAAAGGAACACTCAATCTATACAGCACTAGGATCACTCTGCCAAAAGAGCCGGCAGTTAGAACACCACTGTGTGCATTATTTATTGACATATTGTCAATGGAGATGAGCCATTGGAATTCTTTAATGAATCATTTTTAAAGCAAATCATTACCCACTGATTTTTGATATTATATATGTAATTTTTTTCTATAAATCAGGTTTATATATTTTTATTTAGATTTGATTTCCTAGTTTCTGAGTGGGTTTCTCCCTCTAATTCACAAGCCAGCCTAGGGTAACATGGCAGACTTGTGTATCTAATGTACATGACTTTTCAGGCAGTATTATGCCTTCAGCAACCACTGGGCAGCAGGACACCGTACTTAATTAGCTGCTTTTGCAGTTATCAGACTGCAATCACATTTGATTAAGGGCACCATTTATTTCACTCAAGGCCGAGAGTGCTCTCCTGGGGAGAGGCAGGTGGTACTCTCCTGTTGATGAAGTCCAGAGAGCCAGAGAGACAGCCTGTGACCAGAAGTGACACTCTGCAGCTCAGTCACAGACTTTCCAAATGACCTTGCAGAAGTCATTTTTCTCCCCATCATGTTTTATTTATTTTATTTTTTAAATTATTATTATGATTCTTTTTGATCACTCTGTTGCTCAGGCTGGACTCAAACTCCTGGACTCAAGCAACCTTCCCACCTCAACCTTCCAAGTAGCTGGGATGACAGGCATGTATTTCCATGCCCAGCTTAAAACCCAGATGTTTTCAAAGCCCAATGTTTTCATCAATGACAGGAAAAATTTGTAAAGCCCTTCTAAGTGCTTCTTTGTATAAATATATATGTCAGGGGGGCAAGTTACTATTCCCTGTCTACACATGAACAAACTGAGGCTCGGTGATATTAGGAGATCTAAGTTCACACAGCATCAGGAACCCAAGCCCGATTTTTCTGTGGTATTTCTCTTACAACTTCCTATCACAAAACTACTGTTAATCAAGAATAGAATCACAAAGCATTGTTTCCTGTTTAATTCTACTTGGCAAAAGCCAAGAGGGTCTATTTACTTAATATAAGAATGAATATTACTTGAGACTGCAACCTCAAAGTAGAGTTTTCAGCATTTATTTGATAAACTTAAATTCTAATATATTTCTATGTGTAATACTTCAGAGGCTGATCCTACATTATACCTGATGTTTGTTTAAAAAAAATGTTGTATCCACACAGTAGAGTTGGCTATTTGCAACCACAGGTAGCTCTTATTTTTTGCAAAATGCAGCATAGAGAGATATAGTTTTGCTTATGTTTTTGACAGTGTGAGTTGATACAGAAATATGTTTAAAGTAATTTGTCATGTTTTTCTCTATTTTTGCCAGATTTGTGCAAAGGCATAAATTGTTTTTTATTACTGTAGGGTCTTTTTCTTCCTCTCCTTTCTGTAACCATGAATATTGAAATTAAAAATTCTCTTTGTTTCTGAGTCACAGAGTTACCATCGGCTAAATAGCTGAGGCTTTCACCCATAGCACTTTCAGATGGAATCCTATTATACCTTATGAGGTTATCATCACCCTCTGAAATTTTCATTAGTTATGGGTGTGTACATCCTAACATTTTGCAGTTGGGAGACAGCTGGGAGACACTGTGTTCTGGGTTGCAGCTGCCCATCAGAATTCTTCCAACATAATGGAATAAAAATCACTGGGTGTGTGTAATTCTTCCCTCCTCAATTTTATCAACAAAACATTTTATCTCCAAAAATCATGAAGGTGAGTTGCACAGGAGCCTGTTGTCTTAACAGTCATAGGCTGGCAGATCATATTGCCTCATTGATGGAGCACATTCAACCCAGAAACATGACAGGAGGTTAAATTATTATAATCAAATTGGCTTTTCAATTCTAGTCTCTATCATCTGATTATAATTTATCATAAACAGTGTGATTAGAAAGTGACAATTGATTCTATCATTCCTTTTACTCTGTAATGACACCTAATCTGTATTCCATGAGAAGATACTATTTGAAACCAATAACACATTCAAATGATGGTTTGATTTTGCTAAGCAAATATTTTTCCAGATGATGAACACTAGTTTAGAACCCACAAAATGTCAGATTTTTCATGTTTAAATGAAGAATTGATCTGTGTTTAAATAATCTATTCTGGATCCTTCAATCTATTAGGCCCTGTGGCTTTGATAGTGAGTTGGCAGACTAGCTTCTCGTCCTCTTAGGTCTGGAATGTGGAAGGGCAGACAGATATTAAGGAACATAAATAAACTGATAAATAGTAACAGGATAGTGTATTAGTCTGTCTTCACACTGCTAGGAAGAAATACCTGAGACTGGGTAATTTATAAAGAAAAGAGGCTTAATTGACTCATGGTTCCATAGGCTGTACAGATAGCATGACTGGGGAGACGTCAGAAAACTTTCAATCATGGCAGACGGTGAAGGGGAATCAGGCACGTCCTCACATGGCCAGAGCAGGAAAGACAGTGAAAGGGGAAGGGCTACACACTTTTAAACAACCAGATCTCATGAGGACTCACTCACTATCACAAGAACAGCAAGGGAGAAATCCACGCCCATGATCCATTCACCTTCCACCAGGCCCCTCCTACAACACTGAGGATTGCAATTCGACATGAAATTTGGGTAGAGACACAAATCCAAACCTATCAAATAGAGAAGGGATAATGCTACGGCAGCAAACAGCAGGGAATCAAATCCAGATATAGTGGGTAAGAAAAGGTTCTCTCCAAAATATAGCGTTTAGGTCTTCAAAAGGATAGCAATGAATCATTTTCACTCATGGCATCTTGAAACCTTCTTCAGATCTTCAAGAGCCAGTGAGGAGTAGCAGAAACAGGCCAAGTATGTCTCATTTTAAATGCCAGCCCTTTACATAGCAGCTATACGAAATGACTTATTCTGAGCCTCATCCTCCTCATCTGAACAGACAGGAATAATACATAGGTCACAAGGACTATTCTGAAGGTTAATTAACTTATATGTTTTACACATCGGTGACAGAGAACGCATTAAATAAATGGTAGTTCTCTTTCTTCCAACAATTCCTGCTGCCACCAAAAACACTTTCTTTTATAATATCCAACTGTGATGTCTATCTAATTAAGGCAGCTCCTAAACCTAGATTATATGAACAGATATGAGGTAATCTGATTTGGAAACAATCCAAGTCAATAAAAATGGGCGCTCACATAGACTGCTTTGTTATGGTAACATATTCAATTCAGAATGAACTGAAATATCACAAATCCTACATTTTATGTAACATAAAACGCAACAAGCAAATAGAAGAAAATAAAGGCATTGATTGTCCCCACCACCACAAGGAGTGTATTCAGGTTGATTAGTGAAGGACAGATCAGTTTTGATAGAGGTAAAGAGGGCTAAAATAGCATCCGAATGTAAAGAGGGGAGAAATCTCAGTGTATTCCTGAATTTCCCTAAGGCTCCGTTGTTGGCTTGCTGTTCTATTTCTTATACCTCTCTTCAGAAAATCTCATTCATTCCCACACACCTTTCAACCCCAGCATCTCCAGGCTTTTTACTCCCAGACCTATATGTGATGTTTCATGCTCTCCACTGGGCTTCAGAATGGAACATTCCACCATCTGAAGCTCACTGAGTTTGGTTCATACCCTACAGGCTTTTCCTTGTTTAATGTACTAAAAGTAGAATTCATTCCCGTTTCTGAACCTTCCTGAATATTCCCCATTAGTTCTCAGCACACCATCCAGCCTCTTATCCAAAGCAGAAACCTCAGAATTAATTCAGACATGTTCCTCTCATTTAGCCCCAATCCTTAGGTCCACATCCCATCAGTCCTCAAGTACTAATCTCTTCTGTCCTTTCATCCTGTAGCACAAGACACTGTCAAATAGCACCAACCTTTGCTTTCCAGGTGTACTGGGCAGATAGGTAGTGGCAGTAATGCCTGGGAGTTGGTTACAAGCGCAGAATTTCAGGCCCCATCCAGACCTACCAAGTCTGAATCGGCATGTTAAAAAGGTGTCTGGGCGACTCCATTACAACCATGATCAAACTTTTCCATTGCCTTTTTTTAATTACAAGAATTTTCAAACATATAAGAATCATAGATAATATAAAACACCCATATGCCACTACCTGGATTTATTACATGTTAATAATTATACTTTCTTGAGATATTTAATTTAAAACAATTTTTTGAGACAGGGTCTTGCTATGTTGTCCAGGCTGGTCTCAAATTCCTTGGCTCAGGCAATCCTCCCACCTCAGCCTCCCGTGTAGCTGTGAATGCAGATGCAATCCACCATGATTAAGCAATGAAATGTCAGAGTTGAAGGCCACTTCCCAACACTCCTCCCTAGGGTGACCAATGTGTCTCAGTTTGCCCGGGACCATCCAGGTTGCTGCACTCAAAGTATTGAATCCCTGGAAACTTCTCAGTCCTGGGCAATCCTGAAATTCATTGGTACTCTTCTCTCCCTCAGATATTTACACATTCATGACATGTGTTTGTTTTCATAAATAATACACAGAATTATTTTATGTGTTTATGCAAATGGCATCATGTAGTACACATTGCTCTTCAGTTAGCTCTTCACACAGCATTATTCGTTTTGAGATTTACTCTAATGTTATGTTAACATGAACTGAGTTATTTTAATTGCTGTATCCTTTGCACGAATATACTCTATCCACTTGGTCTTCTGATGGAGGTGTGGGTTGCTTCCAATGTTTTGCTATTTTTTAAATAATACGTCAATCAACAGTATAAATGTCTCCTTGGGCATATTTGGAAATTTCCTAGGGAATATATCTTGAAGAGGTGTTACTGCTAAATCCTAAAGTATGTCTATCTTCAGCTTTACTATATGGGGTCTGATTGCTCTCTATGTGGAACAGTTCTTGTTCTCCCATCAACAATGTGAGAGCCCTTTTATCTTTGCCCACATTGCTTGGCACTATCAGACTTACGGAGTATTTGAGCCCAATGGGTATGAGACGGTATTTCAATGTTTTAAGTTGGTTTGTCCTGCTTTAGTTAGCCAGGTGGATCATCTTTCACTTGTTTATGGACCATCCAGTTTTCTGCTCTATGCCTTTTTTTGTGCACACACATTGCCCATTATCCTATTCAGGCATTGCGGATACTAATCTCCTGTGAATCATATGAATTGCAAATATCTTCTCCAAGTGAGGGTTTGCCTTACATTTTTATCTAGGAATTCTGTTGCTCTCTATATTAAAAATTTTAAAAATCAAGATATAATTCACGTCCCACAAAACTCACCATTTTAAAGTGTACAGTTCGGTGTTTTTTAGTAATCTTTTCTTTTGTGTTTTTTAATCTTTTATTTTAGACATTTTTTCTATCCTGATACCATAAATGCTATTCTCCTCCCATTAAAAAAATGTAATTGTTTGCTTTTTGTTTTTACATATTTAGTCTGATAAGAGTGGATTTTTTATTGTGGAGTGATGAATTGATCTCATTTAATGTTTATGCATATGGATAGCTAGTTATTTTAGCAACATCTGTTACATAATCTATCCACCTCCACTAGTCTGTAATGCCATTTCTGTTATCCATCAAGTTTCCATATATACGTCAGTCAGTTTCTAAGCTCCAAATTCTTTTGGTTTATCCATTAACCAATATCACACAATTTCTTTTTTATAACTTTATAATAAATCTTGATGTCTGTAAGGCATATCTTCTGACCTTATTCTTTTTCATAACTCTCTTCTCTTCCCACGATCTTTACTGTCCCACATAAATTTTAGGCCCATTCTTTCAAATTCAACATAAAATGTTCTTGTGGATTTTGATTGGAATTGCACTGAATGTACAGATAGTTCAGGAAGAACTGCCATGTTTAAATATTGACATCTTTACAATACCTGCATCCACAATTTGATATGTCTCTTAATTTCATTAGGTCTCTCTTTATCCCTTGTAATTTTTACATGGTTATAATACTCACTAAATGCATATATTATTACTGGATTCCTTACTGGATATATTATAGTTTTAAATATTGTATTTTAGATTTATTTATGCACATATCTATTACATTTTCTTATTGATTGTTGATGGTATGTAGGAATATACCACTTTGGACACTGATCTTATATCCTGCAATTTTGGTGAATTCCGTTATTTTTCATAGTCTGAGAAATACTGACAATCATCTCATTTGTAAATGAGAGCAATTTACTTTCTTCCTTTCCAGTCTTTATTACCTTTTTAAAAATGTGTCTTGCTGATTGCACTGGCCAGGACTTCCAGTACAATGCTGACTAGAAGTGGTAGAAGGCACTAGTTTGTCATATTTTTGCCTTTAAAGGCAAGGGTTATAACAACATACCATTGATTATGCTGCCTGAGATAGGGTGGTGGTTTTTAAAATATATATTTATTAGGTTAAACATTTTTTCTTCTATATCCCTAGTTTGCTAAGCATTTTAACTCTGAGTGATGACTTTAATTGCTTTTCCTTTTAAAACTGATCTTAGAATTACCCTGCTTTAAGAGGCCTTTCCAGCAATCTAAAGTTGGAATAAAAGCTCCTCGTCTCTGATCCCACTGCATTTTGTGCTTCCAGTGGCAAGTTCATCTGCTGATGTGTCTATGCTCCTCAGTAGCTTCTAAGCAACTCAAGGGCAGGAACGTGATGTTTGATTCATGGCTATATCCTCCGGCACCTGATGTAGATCACTAAAAACTGTACATAGCTGTAAGATAAATTGTGGAAAACATGTTCTAGAAACCTTATTTTTCCTTCCTCAAAACCAATTCTGTTTCTGACAATTAGGCTTAATTTACAAAGACAATTATAACAGCATAGAAATTGGACTGAGAAAAGTTTTAGTTATCTACACATTTATATTTTCTTTTAATACAATAACTCATAGAATGCAAATATACATTTGAAAATCACTGACTTCCTTCTTATAGCAAACATAAGTTGTTGCTACATTCTAAATCAAGTTCATATTTATTTTAACATCATATTAGTTACTTATCTGTGTCATTATTAAAACAAAAATAAGACTCCCACAAGCTTTGATTTCTTCAGTATGTACCTCCTAGAGGTCTTTTCATATCTAATTACTAAGATTATTTTAACTTAATTAATTTAAATGGTTTTTTTTTTTTTTACTAATGCCAAAGGCCTTTTTAAATGCGTTACGTTTGTCAGTGTTTGAATAGCCTTACCTGATTAATCCAGAACACTAAGATACTTAATGATCATAGGACCTCAAATGCCACTCGAAAATATGAAACCTTTATCTTTTAACTCAGTTTTGCTTTCATGCATAGCATGGCTCTCAAATCACGGTTGTGATATTTATTAGCTGTCTTTGCCAAACTGCGGGTAATACATCTTTCACATTTCATTGAGAAGAAAAGAAATTTAATCTCACCAGGATCTCCATTATTAGTTCTCCCTCTTGGTTTTTTTTCCTGTGGGGATTTTATGTTGGCCAGATGGGGCTCTGAAGAATCCACAGACCGATGAGTGCTTTACAATGGCAAAGTGGAAAAGCAAAATCTATTTTTGAGTTAGGAAATTAAATGCGATATATTGTCATCTAGCTCACTATGTCCAAACTAGTCAATATTTTGTTCATATTCAGTATTGTACAATTATTCTCTTACAAAAGAGAATACCTTCATTTTCCTCAACTTTACTTCAGTTCCATGTTTAGCTTGTTCTACTGGATAACAGTAATTAACCACTCAATTGCACCCTCTATTCCCTTAAATTCTACCAACTCCGAAGAGGACTCTATAAACCACATTTTTACACTGGATCTACTTTCTGGGGAATGCCAATTAAATCTCATTAGCAGCAAAAAGTTAAACATCCCTTTCCATATTCATCACAGATCTATCTTCCATGAAGCAGAGTTGCTGAATCAAATGTTTGAGAATCAATCTGGTGGGAAATTGTTTATTTCTTGAATTGGCCCAATTCTCATTTTTAAATATTCTGAGGCTTCTATCTTCGGGTAGTTGCCCTCATGTTCAAAAATCTCTTAAATGGAGAAATAATTATAAGGTCACATAGTTTGTCATAAATGGTTTCAAATAGTGTAACATCTCAAAGTTTGCATTCCAAATATTTCATTTATGGAATAAATAAAAAGCAACTTCATTTGGAGCCTTCTTATCTTTGTCTATTGTCTTAATGATGCCTAAGAATGTGTCGGTTCTATATAAAATCGGATATCTGATTTCCAGAAAAGTACTGAATTATTTTGTTTCAGTTTTGCTAGGCATGACCAACAAAAGCACATCATTAAAGGATCTATCTTTTGTCTGACCTACATATTCCTACATATATTCAAAGGTTACTCGTTCCCCACTAGCCACACTGAACAGTAGGGACTTTCTCAACTGGATCATTTCCTTTCTTGTATCTTTGACTTTGTATGCTAGAGTCTGTCTTAAAACCATGTCCCTTTCTTCACTATTTATGTAAATATCTACTTTTCCTTCAAAACTCTGATCAGATTCCATGTTGATGATCTGTTCCCTAAACATCTCCTCCTAAACACACACACACACACACACACACACACACACAGAGACATACACAAACACACACACACAGAGACATACACAAACACACACACACACACACACACACACACACGGACAGACTTAGCTTTCCAGTCCTCCAATAATACTTCATAGATTAGCTCTTTGAATTAGAATTATTTGTCTATGCTCTCTTTTCTTATCAGATTTTGAGGTCTTGGAAGTCAGAGTCCATCATTTTTTCATCTTTGGATCCCAGGACCTAGGCCACCACTGCCATGGTAGCAGGCACTCAATGTGCATTTATAAATAATAGATTGAATTAAACTTGCTGAATACTGTAAAAATTATTATTAAATTCTGGATAATACTGATTCTCCTATACTAAAGCCAGTATCTGTGACTATAATGACCAGAAGTAGACAGGCCATCTTTTAAGTTCAATTTTAAAGTTTTTCATAAGACAGAAGTAAATCTTAAAATTCCTAGCAGAAGCAAGAAAGAAAAAGGGCACCTGAATTTATTTGCCAAAATTCACTCATATTTAGAATAGAAAGAATCTAAAAAAAAAAAATGAGAGGGCAGGGCACAGTGGCTCTTGCCTGTCAGCACTTTGGGAAGCCGAGGTGGGCAGATCACTTGAGGCCAGGAGTCCAACACCAGCCTGGACAACATGGTGAAAACCACTCTCTACTAAAAATACAAAAATTAGCCAAGCATGGTGGTGCCTGCCTGTAATCCCAGCTACTTGGGAGGTTGAGGCATGAGAATTGCTTGAACTCAGGAGGCGGAGGCTGCAGTGAGCTGAGATTGTGCCACAGCACTCCAGCCTGGGTGACAGAATGAGACTCTGTCTCAAAAATAAATAAATAAATACAATAAATAAAAAAGGAGAGCAAACTGAAAAAAATAAGACTTTTCAACTAAATTAGCTCCTGTGACTGCTTTATAAACAAATCTTAATGGTTAGTTTGCAAAACAGCAAAGGCAATTGAAGTTAGCAGAATTAAGGGCTAAACAGCAACTCTGATGATTTCAGCTGGTGACTAGGGGAAGACCTCAGCAAGGACAGTCAAGTGGCCCTAAACCAACCAATTTGCAAACACTCTAAAATGCCCAAATTATATTTTGCTCTCTTTTTAGCTCATTTTAAACTGAGCAAACATTTTTATTTTAAAAACAAACAAAAACATAAACCAAATTATAAAAATATTCATTTAAGTTACCTAATATTTCATTGTGTTACTGCTTTGTTCCTTATTACTTTTCTAATAACCACAAGGGTTTACCTTTCTGTTACAACAGTTAAAATGATTTCACTAAGAATGTGCCCGGATGCTTGAAAAAGAGGAAACATCATTTATGAATTTCAAAACAGAAATATGTGACAACCTGTGTATGAAGGAACCCTTGTAAGCATTCTGGAATTAATTTTTTTCCTACCTCCTGCATCGCCGACCACCCATTAAAAAAAAAAAACACTTTGGGTGGAGTTAAGAATTCTTTTCAAATGTTAAACAATAACTGGAAATCCTGAAAATGTATTCTCTTTTATCAAGTGGGAAAACGCTTTAAAGTATCCCCCCACCACTGCCACCTTTCTTTTTGCTAAGAATTGTTTAGCATGATATTTACTCAGAGGTTTCTATTTTGAACAGAAAGTTCAGTTATAACTGCCTGAAATATGATGCCATCTGTGTTTATTTTCCCTTCTGAAACACGATTTTTTCCCCCAAACATAGCAAGTACCTGGTCCTAATAACCTAGATACATGTATCAGCTCAACCAATTCTTCACTTAACCAGCGGTGAGATTAAAGATATAGAACATGTACCATAAAAATGTGAACTTCACTGCAAATGTAAATCATATCAAGTACATCTATAAATTCAAATATATAAAAATATTCTGATTAATAAGTAGTTATGAGTTATATGTATTTACCAGGGTGGAGGTAGCTATGGAGTGAGAAAGAGGGCACACAGCACACTCCATGATATAGTTAGTGAATCAAGAGCTAAGCTAGGAGCCAGATGACCAAAGAATCACAGAATCAGTTTGACTTCACATTCTCCAAGTTATACTCGCACCTCTACCTGGGACAGCAGCATCTGGTATGTGGAGACAGTTTGAGAAAAAAAAAATTTAAATTTATTAATAATATATTTTGTTACTTTAAATACTGCGAAGTAATATGCCACTGTAAACATCATTATATATTTAAATTTGAGCTGATAAGTTACTGTAAAAAATCATCCTGACAGTTTTCTAATGTAAAAAGTGGGCTTAATTTCTTTTCTACCAAACCATCCATGAAGAAAAATTCAAACATTTTATTGGAGCTTATTTGCATTTCAAGGAAGGCTTAAATTCTATACATGGTTTTTAATTATAGCTTGACATTTCTTTCACATCTATTATAGTGTTCAAGAGTATCCCAAAGTATGATTTTTTATTTTGTATTCTCAGAGTCATGATCTCTAATAGGAGCCTCAACACTGATTCCAGAAAGTTTATGTGGTGCCAGGTTTTCTATTCTCGGGAAATGGAGGATGTGTAACAAGCCGTCTCAACGGACACTTCCCTAAAACAGCCAGGCACATATGACTTAGCGCCTAATGTTTCCCGTTTCCACTTGAGCCTTTGTAGGGCATGAATTAAACAGAACATTTCCCAAATCATCATGATACTGACTTGAAAAACAAGAACAGAAGACAGAGGCACAACCGTTGCTGCTCTCTGAAAGCCATGGGGATTTTGACTCAAGAAATTCTTATGTTCCCAATTCTCAACCCTCGTTTCTCAGTTGTGGGTTCCTCTCTTGAGGAATTGACAAGTGCACACTTTTCCAGCCGTACAGCCCTGGAGGCAGGTCCAGCTTCCATATTTCCCTTTGTCCAGAATCGGCTCTAAAATAAATTTCTAATTTGTTACAAGGAAATGCTTCACAGAGTCTACATGTACATATTTCATTTGTGTTTTTGTGCCTTGTTGTTTATCACTTTGCATTACTCATACCTAGCTTGTCTTAGGCTCTAAACTTGTTTCCTGAAGTTGCTGTATGTGTATCATGTGAGAACTGACATTTCATGTCTCAACTGTTTTTTATTCATAACCTCTCTTTTTCCTGACATCTACTGGATGTATTAAATTAATACATGATGACAAAATAAACTGGCTATAATTAAATAACAAATCTTAACTTGCACAAAACAGACAAAACCATATCACTGATGATGTTATAAAATTATCAATAAAATGATGTCTACTTAAAACATTATTATAGTACACAAAGTAAAACAATAAAAGAATAACTCTTTTTAGTTCCTTTATAATGAAGGCAATTTATTTTGTATATTATTTTGCATATTTTGTCAAACAATATAGTCCATTAGATAGCGATGTGTTAATATCTCCAGTAAAGATTTCATGTCAATAACCAATCTTGAAATCTCTTGCCCACAACTATCACTTAGTACTTTTAAAAGACATAACTGGACAACTGGACAAGAGGAAGAGCATCAGTATTGCCAAATCTGACGAATACTCACGAGAGGATATTCCCAATATAAGCGTAGTAGGAGCAACAGTAGGGCGTGGTTCCATCACAGCAGTAAGATTTGCAATCTTTGCCACACTGAGCAAGGCAATCATCTACAAAACAAAAACCACTTGTGAGCAGTTATAGTTGTAAAATCACAGTTTCAAGAAAAATTATTCTATTTCACAACTTAATCAGCCAATGACCACCCTTTAGTGGTTTTAAATCTTCATTTTCGTCCTCAGAATTCAAAAACATTTGTAAGGATCTAAATTAGCCTCTCTTCCCCATTAGACTCTAAGCTGTAAAGACAAAGACAACTCTTGAATCTTCTACACCAAGCACCATAATTACCAGTCAGGGTTAGTGGAATGAGATAATGAAGGAAGGAATGAAAGAACAATTAAACTACTCAGTCGCTGGATTTGTCCATAGAGTTTTTATAATAATTTTTAAATGATAAAGCCTTCTTGGCCAGGCAAAATGGCTCACGCATGTAATCCCAGCACTTTGGGAGGCTGAGGCGGGTGATCACTTGAGGTCAGGAGTCTGAGACCAGCCTGGCCAACATGATAAAATCCCGTGTCTACTAAAAATACAAAAAGTAGCTGGGTGTCGTGGTGCACACCTGTAATCTCAGCTACTCAGGAGGCTGAGGCAGGAGAATTACTTGAACCCAGGAGATGGAGGTTGCAATGAGCCGAGATCATGCCACTGCACTCCAGCCTGGGCGACACAGTGAGGCTCTGTCTCAAAAAAAAAAAAAAAAAAAAGAGTCTTCTTACTTTAGGGTCTTGTATTCCCAACTGAGCTCAATCAATAGAAGGTTTAGTGGCATATATAATACCAAAAAGGAATAATTTCAAAATGATGTATATTTTTCCATGATAGTGCATTGTATGCTTTTCATTTGGTGACTTTTTTTTACCTGTATAATTACAGTTTGCATATGTGTGGTAACACAATGAGTCTGCATCCTGTAAATTCATCTGGATGAAAAGATGATTGGTTATAGGAAGAAATCCCCAGAGACAATTATTTTGTAAATAATGAAGAGTTTACTTAATGTCAGATTGAGGAATCAGTAAGATATAAAACAGTACTATGTGAAGGGGGAAGAGTTATTTTCTGAATAAAGGATCAGAAATTACTATTTTTTCCATATATTTTGCTGCAAGAAAAATTATACTAAAAATGTTGGATAAAAATTACTCTAGCTTTTAAGTATTCTTTATTCCACCTAAATGATTTATGTTTAACAAGCAAAGGTTGTCACTGACTTAGTCGTATAAGTTATGATGGATATATAAGTTTCAGATACATGATTAGGAAAACATTAAGTACAGTCTGATAATTTATGTTGTACATTTAAGAGTCACAAAATAATCCATTTCCAGCTCAATTCCTGAAGGTAATATTAATTATTATATAAATTATATAAAACTTTTGTTTCCCTATCAAAGCTATAACATTAAAAATACAAAATATTATATTTATGTCTGCACGTCCATGTAACTGATTTATCCAGAAAGGAAATTTTACATTGCTTTTAAATCACTTCCCTGCTAAGATGATACTTTACAAAGAGATGTGATTAAAAGGCAGCAAAGTTCAGTCACCATTAACAATTATGCGTGGCTTTTGTGGAACAAATGGAAAAGTTCGTATTTTCTTCTCCTCAATTTTATTTTTACATTACAGATTGTCAAACATGACCCTTGAGGCTTACCTCTGGATTGTGGTATGAAGGAATGAAAGCGAAAAATAATTACCTTTGTGAGATTCAGTAAGTACTTAAGTCCACTTTTAAAATTTGAAAACAGAAACAAAATCTAACGATTTAGACACAAGGGAGAAGCCAATATATTGACAATAGATGCTTTTTGCAGAGTACAACAGACTTTTAAAGGCTATTTATTTTACAGTTTTCTTGGTGAATTTCCATAGCTCTCATTTTTAGTGCTGTTTAATTTATTCAAATATTTAGACTGGTCAGTTATCCCAAGGGCTTAGTGGGGATGTTTTGCTTCATGTTCTTAAAAGCCATTCAATGTACGCCTACAGCCATCTGATCTTTGACAAAGTCAGCAAAAATAAGCAATGGGGAAAGGACTCCCTACTCAATAAATGGTGTTGGATAACCAGTTGGCCATACACAGAAGAATGAAACTGGACTCCTATCTTTTACCACATACAAAAATTAACTGAAAATGGATTAAAGATTTAAATGAAAGACCTCAAACTATAAGACTCCTAGAAGAAAAGCTAGGAAGCACCGTTCCTGACATCAGCCTTGGGAAGGAATTTATAACTAAGTCCTCAATAGCAATTGCAACAAAAGCAATTGACAAGCGGGATTTAATTAAACTAAAGAGCTTCTGCACAGCAAAATAAACTATCAACAGAGTAAACAATCTACAGAATGGGAGAAAATATGTGTAAGCTATGCATCTGACAAAAGCCTAATATCCAGAATCTATAAGGAGGTTAAATAATTGAACAAACAAAAACCAAATAATCTCATTAAAAAATGGGCAAAGGACATCAACCAGACACTTCTCAAAAGAAGACATACAAGCAGCCAACAAACACAACAAAAAAATGTTCAACAAGTCACCAATCATCAGAGAAATGCAAATCAAAACAGAGGGCTATTATTGAAAAGTCAAAAAAGCAACAGATGCTGGTGAGCCTGTGGAGAAAAGGGAATACTTATACACTGCTATTGGAAATGTAAATTAGTTCAACCACTGTGGAAAGCAGTTGGGAGATTTCTCAAAGAACTTAAATCAAAACTACCATTTGCCTCAGTGATCCCATTGCTGGGGTATCTATCTAAAGGGAAATAAATCATTCTATCAAAAAGACAAATGCAGTTGTACATTCGTCACAGCACTATTCAAAATAGTAAAGAGACTGATTCATCCCAAGTGTTCATTAATAGTGGACTCAGTAAAGAAAATGTGGTACATACACACCGTGGAATACTATGCAGCCAGAAAAAAAAAAGAATAAAATCATGTCCTTTGCAGCAACATGGATGAAACTGGAGGCCATCATCCTATGCAAATTAATTCAGGAACAGAAAACCAAATACCGCATGTTCTCACTTACAAGTGGGAGCTAAACACTGGGTACTCACGGACATAAAGATGGCAACAACAGATGCTGGGGACTTCTAGAGCAGGGAGGAAAGGGAGTGGGGAGGGTTGAAAAACTAACTATTGGGTACTGTATTCAATACCTGGGTGACGGGATCCATTGTACCTCAAACCTCAGCATCACAAAATATACCCAGGTAACAAATCTGCACATGTACTCCCTGAGTCTAAAATTAAAGAAGTTGAAATTATCAAAAAATAAATAAATAAAAGCCATTCTGATTGTGAGAGAGCTAATGTCCCCACTATTCCGTCAGAGTAGGACAACCAATGTGTAAGTAACGTCATGGGTGCCTTTTGAACCATGTCCAGGACAGTGACATCTTATTAAACTCGCCATCAATATCGAAGATTCAATTGCTACCGTTGCATTCCGGTGACTACTTTTATAAAGACATGGTGTTATCAAAATATTTTGAGCCAACGTTACAGGAAACCAAGCCCAAAATGTTGTAGCCAAGAAGCTGGATTATACCTGCAGCAAACATCTGGATCATGTTACACACTGGTCATTGTTTTTATGGCATTTTCCAGTGCTCTTGTCTACTTCCCAGAATTAAACTACCCAAAAGGGGAGATTTAACAGAATGGCAAATACATTTACAATCACAACCTCTCCAAAATGAAATTTCAACCACACTTCAAAGCCTTTTTTATGTTGGTTGCTTTCTCTGGGATATTTGAGAATAATTTGACAAAGATCAGTGTTTGCGCCATACAGGAGCTTTTTCTCACTGGAGAAAGAACAGATCATTCCAATTTGTCTTCAGAAGATAAATAATATTACTTCTAATGTCCAAGTTAGTATCCCTGAAAATCAGCCAACTTAAACTTTCTTCAATGACTTTTTGCTGAAAGGTGTGGTCTGGAAGAAGGTTCCCCAACTCACCCCTGACTCCCAACTCACCCTGCCTCCCACCTTAAGGAATGCGCAGAACAGGAAAAGCAGTATCTGGCTTGAAGCACTTGCTTAGAAATGGCCCTTGCAAGCTATAGCTAAGATAAGAGAGGAAGGAAAGGGAGGAGACAGAAGTTACTGGCTGAGGCCCGGAAGGTAAAACCTTGACCGAATCCTGTCTTTGTAGCCTGCAGTGGGAGTCAGACAATAATATCAACACTTCACTGGGTCTCCTTCCAAAAGTAACTCTATAGTACAACATGATGCTTCAGGTATAGAAACCTTGCTCTTATTTGTTTAGCCAAATGAAATGTGAATCTAATGCATTTGCTTTGGGGAAAATAATTTAGATTATGAGCAGTGCATCTACTTAGATTTTTGTCCCACAAAGCTGGCAATTCATTTAATAGTATGAACTATTTTGACTTCTGTGGTGTTCCAGCATCTAACCTCAACCCTTACTTCTAGCCATACCTCTTAGTTCCAACCAAACTGAAATATCCTTTGTTGCATGTACAGATCTTGATTTTTGACTTTGATCACACGATATCCTACTATATCCCACTCCGTCTCGTTGGGTTCAGGGCGTCTATATTTTTCAAAGGTCTAGTTCCTTCAAGTCTTCTTCAATTCAGTTTTCCTGAGCAAATACTGATTGATCTTTTTGCTGAACAAAATAGACATTGTCCTCATGAAGCTTACTCTTTTAAGCCAGCAGTAAGACTTTCTTCTTTGAACATCTATAGCACGTGATTTTACCTCTCCTATGACACAACCTTTTATACCTTAAAGTAACTTATGATCATACCGTAGTTCCCAGAGAAGACTGATAAGAACATGACCTCTTACGGCTCAACATACCTCACTCAGTAAGTAATAGTTGAATGAATATGAAAAGCATAAAAAGGCCTCTGAATAACAAGTCCAGGAATTGACACCAAAGAGCTTATTAGCTAAACACTTCTTAGCAAAGATAGTAAGTCAACTTAGCACTGGCTTACAACTACTTTGTAGCTTATGATAGAGGGATTCCAAAGAAGAGAAATGAATGGACTGAAAACTTTCTAAACTAACCACCCTTGTTGCTGGCCAGCTTCGCTGATTTCCTGAGCCCTGAGGAGCTGGGCACCTAGCACTGGGGAAACAGGAGGAGGGGGCAGATGTGTAAAGCAGAAGCTTTCAGTTTACCACAGGGAATATAATAAACAAACAAACAAACAAACAAAATTGTGGTTCAATGGAGTGGTTGAATAAGTGTGAGTGAAAGTATTAAATATTGTCGAGCAGAGGAAGTGAAAAGCATAATTACTTCGAAAGAACTAATAAAGAGATTTTTTCAATAGAAAATGAATATTAATGCAGTTGACTCTGTTAATCCCTCAAATTCTGAAAACCTTATACAAATTTAATAAAAGAAATAAATGTTGTAAACAGATTAAATGTAATTCTCTTCATTAAATACGAAGAACTTATCCTACTTTTATGAATTTTCATATTAGAAGGTCAGCATTTTTCCTGCCATAAAACATCTTTAAAATGGTAACTCCTAGACAGCCACTAATTTGCATTTCAATAAACAGGCTAAAAATGTCTACAGAAGTTATGGTGACTCTTTTCTAGCAAGGTTGAATGAGAAATTCAATTCTTTTAATACTCAGGTGCAACACTGAAGAACATCATTTCAGTTGCAATATCTTTTTGAGTATCAAAGGTAAATTTCAGTGCTATATATACATTTCGTATTGGAGGCTCAGGGGTGAGCCTGCGATTTTTGTCATAGGACGTTAGAGACACAAAAACATTTTACAAAGAACTTTGCTTTTAGCTTGCATTGTTTTGTGAATATGAACTGATGCAAAGACCACGTGTGTAAGACACTTTATACCTGAATAACCAATGAAAGGCCATTTGGGGCTCCATATTAATCACAAACAAGAAAACCCACTTTGCTTCGTTAATTATTAGCAGTTCTTACTACGAATAATTAGAAGGGAAACCAGATGCCCTTCTCTTATAAACAAGTGTCTATCTAAATCAACGAACCTGTACAGATTAGACCCTGGGTGAATTCATGCTTCTCAAAAACCTTGTGTTTGACTTCAGTCCAATAGCTCAGTCTACCACACTTGTGAATCTCCCAAAGAACGAAAACAAAGCTCTAAGTTTTTTTTATTCACAAGAGGGAAAACCAGGACTATTTAGAAAGCAGAAGATGGAGAGGCCACTGCCTAGCCTATCCAGATAAGTTTATTTGGATATAGTTTACTCTATCCAGAGAGTCAAATCCCCTAAACACGAGACTGCTATTTCCAAGGTGGAAAGGGAAAGAAAAGAAATGCAAAAGGTAAAAGTTAAAGGAAAAGGAACAAAACAAAACCGCGTGCGGCTGGAAGTGCGCGGGTTTCTGCCGTCGCCTCGCGGAAAAGGCAGAAGCGTCTGCAAAGGTCCTTCTGCAAAGGTCCCGGTCCGTCCAGCTCAACCCACGTTAGCCCGGACCGTGACCCAAGGGCAGCCCCGAGCCTCTGACCCTCTCCGCCGCCCTCCGTCACTGACCTGCGTAGACAAAGAGCAGGACCAACTTCGGAAGCAAGACCCCTGGACGCACGGGTAGCCTCGGAGCGTCCATCCAAGCCGGTGGCCTGAGGCTTGGAGCGAAGGGAGAGCCCGGAACCGGAGGGAATGGGGAGGATGGAGGGCGATCAGATGGAGAGAGCAGCGCTCCTGAGAGCCGGGTGGAGCAGAGACCCGGCCATTGCCTAGGGAGCCTTCCAAGGGAGCCCGGGCCGGGCGCGTCCCGGGCCAGCGACTGCGGGACTCCGCGGAGCTGGGGCGCCCGTGGCCCGAGACGGGCTGCGCTGGGGGCCCAGGTCTCTTTGTCTCGCCCCACTGCGCTCAGGCGCGGGGAAGGCGGCCACTCCGGCGTCCTTGGCCACCCAGGCTCACATTTCATCTCCGCGGGTGGCAACGACTGCGGGCAGGGGGCGGGGGTGGCCCCGACTCCTCCCCAAGCCCGGGTTCTTCCTTCTAAAGAGTGACTAGGGGACCAAGAAACTTTTCCTAACCCCTTGCTTTGGCGATTGCTATGGAGTTCAGCCTGCTCCTTTTTAACCTTGCCTCCACTACAATTTTTCCTTTCTAAGCAATGGATGAACAACTTTGCTTTTTATCTTTAAACAAAGGGAAGGAATTTTCAGGGTTGAAGGTATTCGACAAAGAGTGACAGTGAAGAAAACTCAGGATTGGGAAGTACAGAAAGTGTATGGCATCTCTGCTGAAAGCTGATAAAATGTTTATTATTTTTTCCTGTAAATTCAGAAAAAAAAAACACAACAGTGCACACTGTCGTTATGATTTTGACGTTTTGGAGTTACTGGCCTATGCAATTAAACAAGAGAAAGAAAAAGATTTATGAAAAATGAAAGCTAAATTGTCATTAGCAAATGAAATACGTGTATACATGGAAAATCAAAGTTAATCAACTATAAAGCTCTTGTTTAGCAAACCAATAGTTTTCTTTCCTGCAAACAAAAATCAGAAAGTTCTCAATGTTATGCATGAAGGAAAAAAAATGATACGAATAAGTAAAGAGATACTTTTTTCACTAAGAAAATTTAGTAGGATAAAGACAACAAGATTCCCCAAATTATTATATACATTTGGAAATAAAATTGATCCCAATTTTTAAAATAACATGATTTTTTTCAAACCAATCTGATTCTAAAGTTTATATGGAAAATAAATATGTAAGAATATCTATTTAAAACAAGAGTAATGAATGGGAATAATGAATGGGATATTACATATAATATCACAATAATTAAAACAGTTTAGATTAACATTGGAATAGATAGGCTTAGTGAAAGAGAAAAGGTAACCCAAAAGTAGACATGAGTATGTACAGCAATTTAATTTATGGTTTAAAGAAATATCAATGTAAAGTAGTAGGGGAAATGATGAGTTACTCAGTGAAAAGTGTTGAGGCCGTAAATAGCCATCTGTGGAGCCTTATCTTTTTACATCAAAATCAGTTCTATATGAATTACATATTTAAGATACAACTATGAAAATATTAGATTAAAAAATAAGAGGATAACATTCAAATAATTGTGGAATAGGGAAGCCTTTTCTAAGCATTATAAAAAACTCAGAAACCATAAAACAAAATATTGACCAACTTGACTAAATAAGAATTAATACTTCCAGTTGGCAGACATTTAACTGGCAAAAATATTTGCAATGCAAAGTCCTAATCTCATTATTATACTGAGCTTAAAAAAATCAATAGGAAAAACAACCAAGAGATAACTGAGGAAGGATATTAATAGACACTTCATACAAAACAAATAAATATAAATATAGAAATAAAATTGACAGTGAGACATCACTTTTCATGTATCAAACCAACCAAATACAAAACCAAATGAACTCTTAAGGGAAACGGTGTGGTTATATGTACGAAAATTCAAATACACATGTACTTAATTTAGTCAGTTCTCTTCCAGGAATTTTTTCCTGTAAATGCAGTGCTGCAAGGGAATACGAGAGTGGGAGGAAACATCACCCCCAAAATAAACATAAGCTAAGCTCTTTACTGTGTTTTACACGTTGGTGAAGGCCCAACCATCCACCATGTTCTAAAGAAGGCTGATCAGTTCCACCTTTTTTCTCATCCTCGCTGGCCAATCTATCACCAAGTTCACCTAATCTGTCCACCTGAACACCACCCAAACGCATTTTAAATTATCATCTATTTCTGTCCTAATCTAGACTTTTATAGTCTTGATTATATTCAGCCTCCCTGCCTTCAGAGATGTTTGCCAGACTGAAGCTGGAATATTTCTTCTTAAACTACAGATTTCATCATGTTCACTCACTCAGTAGCATCCTGTTGCCCTTAGGTTAAAATTCAAACATTTAATCCAGGGTGTTCAAGAACTTGTTCACTAGGTCCTGTCATTCTTGTAGCCTGATCAAAACATTCCACTGGGAAGCACAATTTCTAAATAACTGGGACAATGGTTGGAACCTAGAGAAAATCCCAGGCATACAAGCCCTTTGAGTCTTGAAGGAAGAAGATACAGATGGAAGTCAGTGTTTGCAGAGCTGAAGAATGGTATCCAGCCTGCTTGGAATAGAAAAATGATTGTCTTTGCAGATGAGACTGAATACAGATCCTTGATGGGCTGGTAGCTGTGATAGAAGAAGGGGCTTCTCCCGCCCACTTTTTGACACAGATCAGGAAGAGGCTGGCTGTTGCCACTGAGGCCCATAGGAAGTTGCAGTGTTGGTCAGGATAGTCTCTTTCAGCTTACTTTTGAGAACAGAAAGACTTCTCATACAGTTCAACAGATTGGTCGAGCAAGCTTGCCTGCAAGTGTACCTTCCAGAGCTGCTACCTTGAAGTATGCTGATGCTCAGGAAACCAAACTCAATTGACATGGAAAGGCAAAGAAAGATGGCAAGCCATTTAAGAAATTGTGGTAGTTAAAAGAAAGGATTTGAAGGAAAAAAAGATGTATATACAAATATGTATGGAATGAGAAACCTTAAGAATACAACATCAGAGGAACTAAAAGAGTTCCTGGAAATTAAAATAAATGTGGTTTGAGGTTTTAAAATTTACAGAAAAAAATTATAAAATAGTCACATTAAAAAAAAAAAACTTAGATTGTTAGATCAGGCCAGGCGCGGTGGATCACGCCTGTAATCCCAGCACTTTGGGAGGCCGAGGTGGGTATCACTTGAGGCTAAGAGTTCAAGAGCAGCCTAGCCAACATGGTGAAACTTCATCTGTACTAAAAATACAAAAAATTAACTGGGCGTGGTGGTGTGCACCAGTAGTCTCAGCTCTCAGCTATTCGGGTAGCTGAGGCAGGAGAATCAGGAGGTAGAGGTTACAGTGAGGTAAGATCATGCCACTGCACTCCAGAGTGAGACTCTGTCTCAAAAAAAGAAAAAAAAAATTGTTAGATCAAATAAGGAGTATTTTTCATATAACAGAGGAAAAAAAACACAAAGAAATAGAAACCACGAATAAAAATATAAAAACCCAAAGAATGGGAATAATGTGCAGGCTAATAGTTTCCAGAGAAACACAAAGTGAAAAAGCAAACGTCAAAGAAATAATGTTTTAAAATTCTGAGCTGTAATAAAATTTGAATTTTCATATTTAAAATGGTGAGTTAGTTCCGAGAAATTTTTTTTGAAAAGAAGCACAAATATGTACATATCTTAGAGACCAGTTTCAACAAGTATAAATTTAAAATCATATACATTTTCATATATAATTTTTATGTTTCCTTGAAAAAGAGAATCTGACAGGCATCAGATTTCTCATTTGCAACCCTGGAATTGAAGAGGGTGAAACTATTTTTAACCCACTGAAAGATAAAGAATGCAATCCAAGAATCCTCTTCTAAATCAGATTTTATTAATATTTCTGATCCACTATGACATCTAGAACAATGTTTATTACAATTTTAAAAAATAGTTTACATGTACAACAGAGGTAAAACAGTTAAGTAAATTAGGGTATATCCACATTATGAACTCATATCTAATGTTTAAAATTGTTGAAAAGATCTTTAAGATATATAGTTAAATAAGAAATGGAATACAAAATGATCTCAACAGTGGAAAAATGCAGCTAATGTTTTCATCTTTTATTGAACTTTCTTTTTCCCCACTTTCTTCCTGGGTATCTCTTTTTTTTTAAAAAAAAAAGTACCTCTGAATGAGGTATATGCTGAAATTTTAAATGCTTGAAGATGATTAAAAAGCTATAGGTGAAATATGACAAGTAAGTAGTTTTAACTTATAGTTTTATTTAGGACCAAAAAGTTAGAATAGGACAGGACTCCACAGATTGTCTAGGTCAGTTTCCCAGTTTCTTACGTAAGAAGACTAAGGCCAAATTACCAAGTCAGTTAGAGGCAGGCTAGATCCCATGGCAAGAGGCCACATAGCAGATTTTGCCATGATGTGATAGAGTGTGTTCAAGTTTGATGATAATCCCCTTTTGAGTTCCCTGACCCACATTTCTCTCTTCCAATAATTTATTTCACCATAGAATCAAACGGATTAGTATAATGTCTTACAATTAATTACCTTTTAATAAATACAACAAAAACATTTTATGTACACGCAAGGGCTCTACTTGTATCTGTTCTTCATCTTCATTTGACGACGTGTGAATGCCAAGGAAAAAAAAGTACTTATACAGAAACATGCAAAAACCCCAGAAGAAAACAAGAAGAAAAACCATGAAGAAAAGGGGAGATGATTTAAGTGTCGCATTTAAGGTGTGGAAGGAATATCAAATGTTTATTATGTACCAAGTCCATTTCTAAGTTCTTTAAGTTTATTCATGAATACTCTCAAAATCTCAGTGAGGTAGATACTATTATTATCACCTCTATTTGGATGAATACAGGTATTGAGACTGAGAGTGGTTAAGTAACTCTGCCCAAGGTCACACGTCTAACTGCCATGAGAGTGTGTCTCCAGAGCAGAGCTTCTGCCTGCACCCATCAAATGTAAACTGTTTTTCAAAATAGCTTTGCTTGGTTTTGACTATGTAAAAAACAGAAGATAATACGTTCCTATGACCTTTCTCAACAGCAATGTTTTTATTAGCATCAAAAATGCTTTACTGAGGCACCTCCTCTGTGCAAGACCTAGCATCAAGTGTGGGATGGTTTGAGGAAATAACTTTCTTTTTAAAAAATGATTTCAACTTTTATTTTAGATTCAGTGGGTACATCTGCAGGTTTGTTAAATGGGTATATTGTATGGTGCTGAGGTTTGGGATATGGGAGATCCCATCGCCCAGATTGTAGTGAACATAGCACCCATATTCTTCATCCCTTCCTTCCGCCTTCTATAAGTCCCCAGAGTCCATTGTTGCCGGCTTTATGTTCATGAGCACCCAATATTTAGCTCCCACTTATAAGTGAGACTATGTGCTGTTTGGTTTTCTATTCCTGCATTAATTCACCTTAAGTTATGGCCTCCAGAGACATCCATGTTGCTGCAAAGGACATGATTTTGTTGTTTTTTTAATTTTTTATGGCTGTGTAGTATTCCGTGGTGTATAAGTTCCACATTTTCTTTTTCCAATCCTCCACTGAAGGGCACCTACGTTTATTTCATGTCTTTGCTATGGTGAATAATGCTGCAATGAACATATGGATGCATGTGTCTTTTGGTAAAATGGTTTATTTTCTTCTGGCTTGGATATATTCCCAGCAATGGGATTGCTGGGTTAATGGTAGTTATGTTTTAAGTCCTTTTTTTTTTTTCTTTTGAGATGGAGTCTTGCTCTTGTTGCCCAGGCTGGAGTGCAGTGGCACAATCTCGGCTCACTGCAACCTCTGCCTCCCAGGTTCATGCGATTCTCCTGCCTCAGCCTCCAGAGTAGCTGGGACTACAGATGCCCATCACCACACCCGGCTAATTTTTGTATTTTTAGTAGAGATGAGGTTTCACCATGTTGGCCAGGCTGACCTCAGGTGATCTGCCCACCTCGGCCTCCCAAAGTGCTGGGATTACAGGCGTGAGCCACCGTGCCTGGCTTATTTTTTAATTCCTTTGAGAAATCTCCAAATTGCTTTCCACAGGGACTGAACTAATTTCATTACCATCGACAGTGTATAAGTGTTCCTTTTTCTCTGCAGTCTCATCAGCATCTGTTGTTTTTTGATTTTTCAGTAATAGCCCTTCTGACTGGTGTAAGATGATATCTCATTATGGTGTTGACTTGCGTTCCTGTGATGGTTAGTGACGTTGAGCATTTTTTATATGCTTGTTTGCTGCTTGTATGTCATCTTTTGAGAAGTGTCTGTTCATGTCTTCTGCATATGGCTAGCCAGTTATCCCAGCCCCATATATTGAATAGGGAGTCATTTCCCCATTGCCTATTTGTGTTGACTTTGTCAACGATCAGATGGCTGTAGCTATGCAGCTTTATTTCTGGGTTCTCTATTCTGTTTCATTAGTCTATCTGTCTGTCTTTGTACCAGTACCATGCTGTTTTGGCTACTGGTAGCCTTATAGTATAGTTTGAAGTTCGGTAATGTGAGGCCTCTGGCTTTGTTCTTTTTGCTTAGAATTATTTTGGTTGTTTGGGTTCTTTTTTGGTTCCAAATGAATTTGACAATAGTTTCTTTCTAATTCTGCAAAAAATGACATTGGTAGTTTGATAGAAATAGGATTGAATCTGCAGATTGTTTTCAGCAGAATGGTCATTTTAACGGTATTGAGTCTTCCAATCCATGAACATAGAATGTGTTCCCATTTGCTTGTGTCATCTATGATTTCTTTCAGCAATGTTTTGTAGTTCTCCTTGTAGAGATTCTTCACCTCCTTGGTTAGATGTATTCCTAGGTATTTTATTCCTTTTGTCACTATGGTAATTTGGATTATGTTCTTGATTTGGCTCTCAGCTTGAACTTAATTGGTGTACAGAAATGCTACTGATTTTCATACCTTGATTTTGTATCCTGAAACTTTACTGAAGTCATTTGTCAGTTAGTTCTAGGAACCTTTTGATGGAGTCTTTAGGCTTTTTAAAGTATAGAATCATATCATCAGTGAAAAGAGATAATTTGACTTCTTCTTCTTCTCTTTGGATGCCTTTTATTTCTTTCTCTTGCTTGATTGCTCTGGCAAGGACTTCCAGTACTATGTTAGATAAGATTGGTGAGAATGGGCATCCTTGCCTTGTTCCAGTTCTCAAGGGGTATGCTTCCAACTTTTGCCAATTCAGTGATATTGGCCATGGATTTGTTATAGATGGCTCTTACTTTGAGATATATTCCCTTGATCCCTAGTTTGTTGAGGGTTTTTATCACAAAGGGATGTTGGATTTCATTGAAGGTTTTTTTCACCCCTGTTGAGCTGATCATATGGTTTTTGTTTTTAATTCTGTTTATGCAGTGAATCATATTTATTGATTTGCATACATAGACCCATCCTTGCTTCCCAGGAATGAAGCCTACTTGATTGTGGTGAATTAACTTTTTGATATGCTGCTCCATGTGGTTTGCTAGTATTTTGTTGTGGATTCTTGTGTCTATGTTCATCAGATATAGTGTGATCTATAGTTTTCTTTTTTCATTGTGTCTTTGCCTGGTTTTAGTATCAGGGTGATGTTGGCTTCATAGAATGAGTTAGGGAGGAGTCTCTCCTCCTGGATTTTTTTGAATTGTTTCAGTACAATTGGTACCAGCTCTTCTTTGCACATCTGGTAGAATTTGGCTGTGAATTCATCTGGTCCAGGTGATATGGTTTGGCTGTTTCCCCACTCAAATCTCACTTTGAATTGTAATAATCCCGATGTGTCAAGGGCGGGTGGGGCCTAATGGAGATAATTGAATCACGGGGGCAGTTTTCCTTATACCATTCTCGTGGTAGTGAATAAGTCTCATGAGATCTGATGATTTTAGAAATGGGAGTTCCCATGCACAAGCTCTCTTGCCAGCTACCACATAAGACATGCTTTTGCTTCTCCTTTGCCTTCCACCGTGATTGTGAGACCCCACCCCCCAGCCATGTGGAACTGTGAGTCCATTAAACCTCTTTCTTTTATAAGTTACCCAGTCTTGGGTATGTCTTTATTAGCAGCGTGAGAATAGACTAATGCACCAGGGGTTTTTTGTTTGTTTGGCAAATTTTTTATTACTGATTCAATTTCAGAACTTGATATAGGTGTGCTCAGGGTTTTGATTTCTTCCTAATTCAATCTTGGATGGTTGTGTGTTTCCAGAAGTTTATCCATTTTTGTTCATAATAGTCTCCGAGAATCTTTTGTATTTCTGTGAGATCAGTTGTAGTGTTACCTTTGTCATTTCTGATTGTGCTTATTTGGATCTTCTCTTTTTCTTTAACTTAGCTAGTGGTCTATTGATCTTATTTATCCTTTCAAAAAACCAACTTTTGGTTTCATTGATTCTTTGTATGGATTTTTTGGTCTCAATTTCACTTAGTCCTGATCTAATTTTGGTTATTTCTTTTTCTTCTGCTAGCTTTGGGTTGGTTTGTTCTTGTTTTTCTAGTTCCTCTAGGTGTGATGTTAGATCGTTAATTCGAGATCGCTCTAACTTTTTGAGGTAGGTATTTGGTGCTATAAATGTTCCTCTTAGTGCTGCTTTTGCTGCATCCAGGAGATTTTGGTATGTAGTGTCTCTTTTTTCATTTGAAATAACCTTCTTTAAAGTTTCTTTGAAGATGGTTTTGATGAAATCACAAAGTAACTATTGATTTAGCATTTTTTCTCCCACAACTCTATGTCACACAACAATAATCAACCATTAACAATGATTTTTTTAAATACAGTTTAGAAAAATCATCTTCACATGTGTAATATACTTAATCATTCTAACAATCCTAAAATGTGCTGTATTACCATCGTTGTTACACTATGGTTGGAAGTATCAGTCTGAAAGTTTAGTGTGCATCAGAATCACCTGCAGGGTGTGTTAAAATAGAGATCACCAGACCCTGTCCCTGATTCAGTTGGCACCAAATAATTTGCATTTCTAATAAGTTATCAGTTGATGCAGATGCTGCTGGCCAAGTACCGTAATGAGAACCACTGATTTAGAAAATTCTGACTTTAGGAATATTATCCCTTGTCTCTAGCTACTGCTAAGAGGAAAAAGCAACTTTTAAATCCAGGTTTTACTTATTTATTTATTTATTTATTTATTTATTTATTTATTTAGATCTCATGTCCACTTTAGCATACCACTGTTTCTCACCTTTGCCTTTTCACCAAGGTTTTGTTCTTAAGGCCTCAAAATTGTTCTTAAAATTATCCTTTCAATGTCCTCAGCCTAACAAGGATTTATAATGATGATCTTAAAATCAAAAGTTGGCTTTGAGTTTGTGGCTACTTTTTCTTTTAAATATGGCCATATTAGCTTTTCAAAGGAAATTTGGGAGACAGTTCATATTCAAACCATGTGCTTTGATATATTAATTTTGTTGAAAAAGTCTATTATAGGGAAATAATTTTGTTTTCATTATCAATCTTGGTGGCATAAATGCTCTTAAAGATTTTAGCTTAAGAACTTCATATTTTTTCAGGAAATATACTACAATTACTACTAAGTACGTGATGTGTCCTATTTTATTTAATTATTTTAATCAGCTGCTTCATCATTTTTTGTTTGTTTGTTTGCTTCTGGAAAAACACTCCAAAATCGGTCCCTAATTCAAAGAAAAAGGACAAGATGGAAGCTTCACTGTTAGAATATTTTTCTATGTATCCTATTAATTGTGACATTTGCATTCACTCCGAGGACAATGAAACAATGGCATTTGTATAAGCCTGTTTTTAAATTTTGTTTATTACTTTTTATTTGGAAATCTCAAATACAAAATTTGAAAGAGTGGTATAAAGCACTCACATATTTTTTACTCCGTTTCACCTATTAGCGTTCTATCTCTTTTGCCATTTGTTCTTTTTCTCTATCTGTGCACATATTACTGTTTTTCTGAATCATTCAAGAGTAAGTTGCACACATTGTAGCTCTTTCCCCCTAAATATTTCAGTATGTGTGTTAATCTGTTGGAAACTTCCAACCTATATTTGCTAATTTTTCCTTTCCTACCAATATGCAATCTACAGGGAGACATTAAGCCGTGCAAATATCCTGCTCTTCAGCAAATTTTCCTCCTTTAGGTTTAACACACATTAGTAATTTTTGCTTGAAGCAATCTTTACTGTTATGGATGCAAATTATCATGTTTTGAACTCCAGCTTTCCCTCTGTCTATTCACCAGTTGTTGCTCGTCATTCAAAATAAGAATGCCTCTCCCTCATTGATTGATTGATTGTGAGTATGGACTTAAGAATTCCTACTTTTTCAAGAGTTTATAATTCATTAATCTTAAAATGTCCCATTTTGGGCCAGTGGAGCATCTTCAAGCTAGCTATTGTGTCCTTGTGACACAACCCCACAAGTGTTTTGGGAATTTCTTAACTTTTTGACATAAAAGATATCCCAGGTTCATTTTGAATCTTCTCTGCTCCAGCCCTGAAATCAGTCATTTCTCTGAGGAGTTCTGGGTCCTTTTAGTGGATAATGGTCTTAGAGATCAAAGTACCCTAGAACTTAAAGTATAATAATAATAAAAAAAAAGAATGGGGAAAAGAAAGAAATCAAAGTGCATGTTACTGCTGGAGTGCCTTTGTATCTTGTCTCTTTCAGTATAAGAGCTAGGAAATATATGCATGTTTTACACACACACACACACACACGGGCACTCAGATATATATATGTATATATGTAGCTGTGTATATATATATATAATGTGTATATATATATATCATCACCATAGGGCTGTTCCTTGACTTCTCTCACTCCATATTTGTAACTCTTTTTACACTTGCTATTTCTTCACTCACTCCTGTAATACATCTAAAACAGTTTCAGAATTGAATTGCTCTGTCCATACCACAACATAAAATAACAATACAAAAAAAAAACACTAAAAAGAATTTAGATTGTGCTTTCAATTAATTCTCCCCCCAACTCCACCCAAGACTGAGGGCGTATAGTCAGTTACTGTGTTCATCACTTACTTGAGTTAGTGCTCCCCTACCCCTGCCAACTTTAATTCACTTGAAATGCATTTGGGTTCATTTATTTCCATTTGCTTTCGGTTTTACTTAGGTTGCTGCTATTGGTGCTGCTATTGTTTGCTTTGTTTTCTCTCCCATCATTGTTGACTTGTTTTTTGAATATGTAGAACATTAGAGAGCTTCTAAAAGTAAAAAAAAAAAATAAATACCAAAGGCTATATTCAGGGAAGTGTTAATCCTTCCCGTATGCCTCCATTCCAGTCTCCCTGTTCCTCTAACATAACCGGTGGTCATGATTTTCTAGTTTCTCTCTAATGTGTTTCTTTTTTAATAAAGATAAGCAGATTTTTTAGTAGCTTGTTGTGGTGATATATGCAAAGCAATTCTGAAATTATTTTAGATGTATTATAGGATTGTGGAATGGGTAACAGCAAGGAAGAACCTCGTGGTGATGGATTGAAATTAGAGTTATTGGTACAGATTTCATTATTTCCCTTTCCTTCTTACACGGAAGATAGCATACTGTATATGTTCTTTTGCACTATTTTTGTTTTTTGTTTGTACTGAATGATATATCCAGGAGATCATTCCATATCAGTTCCTAGAGATTGTCCTCATTCATCTATTGTTGCTCCATAGTTTACACGAAATGTGTACCATTGTTTTCTCATATGTTTGAATATTTACTTATCGGTATTTGCAATAGCAAATAATGCTGCAATGAATAACCTTAATAACCTTGAAAATATGTATTTTCTTGTTGTTGGAGCTATATCTCAGGGTAAATTTGCAGAAGTGGTAACGCATTTTGCTAAATATTGCCAAATCCTGCTCTAGAGGGACTGTGACATTTTGCATTCCCAGCAGTAATGTATTCCTTACAACTTTGCCTACATAATATATTGCTGAGCTTTTGGATTTTTTCTTTATTGCCAATTTGATGGAAGAGTTGATTTTTCTTGCATTTCTCTTATGAGTGAAATTGAACATCACAGGACTGTTAGTTATAATCTTTTTGTGAGTTACTTATTCAAATCTTTGCCCATTTTTCTTTAGGATTTTGGTGTTTTTCCCTCAATTTTAAAAATTTCTTTGTATATTAGGGATGTTAGATTTTTTAAAGTGGTATATGTTGCAATTTCTTTCACTTATGGTGTTCATGCCATACAAAGGATTTAATTTTAAAGAGGTCAAATGTAATAATTTTCTTTTTGTGGTGCCTGGGTTGTGAAGTTTTGGGCAGAAAGTCTTTTTCTACTCTCAGATTGTAGAGGAACTTACCCTCAATAATAATACTTTTGCAGTTTCATATTATACATTTCGATTTCTGTGTTGTTAGATACATAACTCCGTAGGGTAGCAGGATATACATTAGCATGTAACAACAAATACCGTTTAAATAGATGAATTATAACTAGGTAAATGTATGTTTCTTTTGTTGGTGAGAGGTTCTATGTGGAGATTTGAAATCTGATGACTATCATTGTTTTCCAATTGAAGGTCTGATGCATTGATTTTAATACAACTGGAAATTCTTCTAGTGGATGATATCTTATTTCTGCTTGCAGTACAGAGAATGATATGGAAAAACTAATGGAATGCCTGTTTGCTTAAAACATGGAAATTTATTCTGTAGTAATAAACAAATATAAATGTCATTCATATTATGACAATTTTGTCTTTTTGGAACATACAAATATTTCACCATACAAAGAGAAAAAAATGGGAAACATTCTTTGTTTAATTAAAGCAAGTCTCCCACTCTATATGTTTGTAAAATAACACTATGTTAATTTGAATTTTGCAAAAGGAAAAGTATCATCCATCTTACCACTATTTTTCTTTTCTTTTTTGACGGAGGTGGGTTACTTTCTTATTTAGACTTTATAGGCATACATAACTTCACGTAATTGAAGCTTACATAATGTTTGTATAATTTTATCTTCTTTTTAAAGTTAATATTGTATCCTAAGCATTTCCCATATCTGTGAAGCCTCCATAGTTGCTATTTTCCATAGCTGCTTAGTATTCCACCAGGTTGTTTTAGCTATTTTACTCAGCTCTCCCTTCACTGTTGGAATAGCCTTCTTACTTATCTCTCAATTTCCATTCTTGCTCATATCCAAATAGTTTTCCAGACATTACTTGTGTAATCTCTTAAAAGTGAAAATGTATTCCAATCCTCCACTGACAGAAACTTTTTCAGACATTCTCATTAGACTTTGAATAAAATTCAAACTTTTTACCAAAGCCTAAAGAGTCACACATGATTTGGTTCCCTTCTGCCTTTCTGAGTTCTTTTCCCCCTAAATCTGACCACGAGAGCCTTTCAGAAGTACTGATCGTTTCCTTGCCACATGCTGTTTTATTTCTCTGTAGCAATCCTCCCCACAAATCTTCACCTTTAGATTTCACCTTAATTATCACTTTTTGTCAGAGATCACTTCCTGGCTCACACTCTCTCATTCTCAATCAAAACATTATATTGGTTTAACGTGCCTTCTAGGTAATTCTGATGAGAATTTGAGAACCACTAGTCTAGAAAATTGCTGTCTAACAAAAATATGTGAGCCACATAGGTAATTTAAAATTTTTCATAGCCACGTTAAAAGGGTAAAATAAAAGAAGTGAAGTTAATTTAACAATGTCTTGTATTTACCTTGATTAATCTGAAATATTTCAACATGTAATTAATTTTTTTCTTTCTTTTTTTACTGATCCAAAGAGGAACAAGTTTCAACATGTAATTAATATAAATAATTATTGATGAAATATATTACATGGTTTTTAACACAAGGTCGTCAAAATCCTGTGGGGTTGTTTGTTGTTTGGTTTTTTTTTTTTTTTTTTTTGAGACGGAGTCTCGCTCTGCCACCCAGGCTGGAGTGCAGTGGTGCAATCTTGGCTCACTGCAAGCTCCGCCTCTCAGGTTCACACCATTCTCCTGCCTCAGCCTCCCTAGTAGCTGGGACTACAGGTGCCCACCCCCATGCCCGGCTAATGTTTTGTATTTTTAGTATAGATGGAATTTCACCATGTTAGCCAGGATGGCCTCAATCTCCTGACCTCATGATCTGCCCACCTCGGCCTCCCAAAGTGCTGGGATTACAGGCATGAGCCACCACTCCCGGCCCTCCTGTGTGCTTTTTACGCTTACAACCCATCTCAACTTGGGCACTAAATGTTTATCAAAGATACCAGACCTATATTTACATTTCAAAAAATGTACATTTGAAAAAGTAGATTCACATATCAGAATTGCTTCAATTCTACTTCAGTTTTCCAGTAACTGAAGTATTTTTAAATTAAAATTTAAATTAATTAAAATGAAATAAAATGAAAAATTTAGTTTATCAGTTGCACTATTCATATTTTAAGTAGCCATGATTTAAGCCATATTTTAAGATGCATGTGGCTAGTAGTGACCATATTGGACGGTACCAATCTAGGTAATACTAAGATTATGCCATGAGGCTGCTCAAGTGAGGACTCCACATCTTAGGTACCAAAGATCATTATGTGAATGGCTATTGCTGCTCCCTCTTGGGCCTGGATGACTTTGCCATGCCAGTCCACACTTACAAAAAGTAGACTCTTTATGCTTTCATCTCCATGCCCTTTCATTTGCACTTAATATTGTAACAATGCATTGGATAGGAAGAGCCAAAATCATGCCTGGGCTCTAGTTGGAACTCTGAGATGTGGAGCTTCTGGAATCTTCACGGGGGTGGCAGTCCTCCTTACCTGGAAAATTTGCAAGACACGGGAAAAAAAAACTCAAAAAGTGCTGGGTACTCAAAGACATATTTCCTATATCCACTGTATGTGCCTATTATTTTGTAAGCCTTCAAAGGCAGGGACCGGATCCATTCTGTTCATGGCTGTTTTATCGAGAGCTTTCAACATGGTTTGGCTTCTATGAGTGTGCAATGATTTTTGCTTTAATAAATGAATGTATGATTTACACCAGGGAAAGCGAACTAATATAAAACATATGTTCGTTTCGGTGTCTGGGGAAACTTAGTTTCAATCTTACACTGTTGTGGAGAAGACATATACTTATCTATTTGCTTTTAACCTCTGCTACTGCCAAGACTGTTTTTCTGATATCTTCCAGGGATTTCTCTGGACGATAAATTAAAAATGAAACATGAATCACAGCGGAGCTGAAAGGCAGGATGACCTTGAGTACATAGCAAAGGATGATTCAGCTGGTGATTTCACAAGATATGTCAATCAGGAAGCTTGCTTACCCTCGCTCTTTAAAGGAAAATTGACTTGACTTCAGTCATACCGAAGGGAAACTTCAGGCAGATGTTTTGGTACCAAATGACCTTTTTCTGTTGTAGCCTTGTTGATTAGATTAGGAAAGGGCATCTGATCCCAGAGTAGTCAATCCTTAGACTAGCAAGCAGTTTACAGCATTACTTGGAATAAAACGATAAGCTTGGCCCATCAGATTAGAATAGTTGAGAATTAAAATTAGGAAACAACAAAATAATGAGGGAGGTGACAGTGGGAGCTGAAAATGCAGCGTGTGAGAGAGGGGAGGGCGTGCAGCTGTACCGAGCCATTTTTGGCCTAAATTAATGAGGGAGGAGCGGCGATGGGCAAACAGAAACAAGGAAGTAGAGAAAAATGTCAATTTAAATGTATATATGTATCCATACACATGCGCACACATATGTGTATACACACACATAGCACTGAATGTTCCCTTTTCCTGGAGTTGTATTTCTAAATTTTCATATGGGAAACTTTTAATTACGTCCTCTACTTGTGTTTTTGGCTTTGAGTCAGATGTCTCCTTTTTAGTGAGTCTTCTCTAACTTCCTAGTCTAATCTTGCCTTCTCTGCCTCTTCCCCTCCAACCTTTATTTCTTTGGCTGGAGTGCAGTGGTGTGATCTCAGCTCACTGCAACCCCCGCCTCCCAGGTTCAAGCAATTCTCCTGCCTTAGCCTCCCCGAGTAGCTGGGACTACAGACGCCTGCAACCATGCGGAGCTAATTTTTGTACTTTTAGTAGAGGCGGGGTTTCACCATGTTGACCAGGCTGGTCTCGAACTCCCACACACCTTGGCCTCCCAAAGTGCTGGGATTATAGGCATCAGTCACTGCACCTGGCCCCATCCTTCATTTCTAACACAATATATTCTTATTGTCCATATAACACTTATCACTATCTGAGTTAACTTTTGTATTGATTGGTTTACGATTTACTGTCAATTGCTCCCACATGAATATAAACAGCATGAAATTAGGAGAGTATATCTCACATACAGTACTCTATGTGCAGTGTCTCCAGTGGTACCTGATGTTCTTTCAGTGGGAAATATCTGTTAAAAGAATATGTAATAAATATAAATTTGCAGATGACATAGGAAACAAAATTGGTAGACTGAAAAAAAAAATACCAAGAGCTGCAAAGCCGGTGAGCCTGTAAACAGTTATGGAAATGGAAATGAAGATTGTGTGAGGATCACAGAATTCTACTACTGAGTTCCTTAGCACTACCTTGGCTCACTTCATTTTCCCCTTGTCCTGGGAGTATGATATCTTTTTCCTGGGATTATGTAGTAATTCAGGGTCAAAAGTATTAGGCTATGTCTTGCCGCAAGGTTTTGCAAGTTATATTTTTGTTGATCAGATAAAATAGAGACGTTTCTTGCGTTTGCCACCGGCCCCCCTCCTCACTCTGGTAACGATACTCTCAAGTTCTAAATCATTGGTTCTCAACCAGGGGCACTTTCTCCCCAGGACACGTTTGACTATGTCTGGGGATGTTTTGGTTATTACAACTTGGGCAGGGAAGAGGAGATAGGGACCAAGGATGCTGCTGAGTATTCTACAATGCACAGCAAAGCTCCCCACAATAAAGAGTTTTGCAGTCCCAAACATCAATAGCGCTGAGGTTGAGAAACCCTGTTTTAAAGTGTCATGCTGTCTAAACTGACTAAACTATCATTGCTCTTAAGCAGATGATATAGTATCAGATATAGGATTTCATATAGGATTTGCCCTCAAGTCCCAGGGTTTTCTGTAACTTATAATAGAAGAGTTGGGAGAAATCAAGTTAATCCTAGGGATGTGCTATGGGTTGAATGTTTGGGTCCCTTCTAAAATTCATGTTAAAACTGCATCCCAAGGGCAACAGTATTAAGAGGTAGGGTCTTCAGAAGTTGATTAGGACATGAGGGCTCTGCTCTCAGGGTTGGGATTAGTGCCTTTTAAAAGAGCTGGGGCAGGCCAAGCATGGTGGTTTACACCTGTAATCCCAGCACTTTGGGAGGCTAAGGCAGGATGATTGCTTGAGGCCAGGAATTCGAGGTCAACATGGGCAACATAGTGAGACCTTGTCTCTGCAAAAAATAAAAAATTTTAAAAATAGCTGAGCTAAAAAATTAGTGATGGCACGCAGCTATAATCCTAACTACTTGAGAGGCTGAGAGGTGAGGATCACTTGAGACCAGGAGTTTGAGATTGCAGTGAGCCATGATCCTGCCACTGTACTCTAGTCTGGGTGACACAGTGAGACCCTGTCGAAAAAAAAAAAAAAAGAGAGGGAGCTAGCTAGGCTTATTTCCTCTTTCATTCCTTCCACCATGTGAAGACACAATGTTTGTCTTATCCAGGGGATGCAGCAATAAAATGCCATCTTAGAAGAAGGGACAGAGTGCCCTGGCCAGACAATAGAACCTCCTGGCAAATTGATGTCAGATTTCTCAGCCTTGAGAACTGCGAAAAATAAATGTCTTCTCTTTATAAATTACATAGTCTTAGGTATTTTGTTATCACAGCATGAATGATCTAAGACAGGATACTTCCTATTAAGTGGGCTGATTGACCATATACATATATCTACTCTCCCGAACTTCACTGAAGAAGAATGAAGAATTAAAAATGTATCAGTTCATAAGGTCAAAGAAATAGGAGAGAAAAAGAAAACTATTGACAAGAGATTGCTGTGAATTTTGGAAGCTAGAAAGTCGGTCAAGGTATAGTACCTGACCTAGAGAAAAAAATGGACAATTTAACCTGAGTACTTGTGAAAGGTATTCCAATTGCAATGCTCAGAGCTTGAAGGTACCAGGTAAAATGGAAGGCAGCAATAAGAATTGGGGCTGAGAAGAGAAGGACTGATTTAAAATGGGTATATAAAAGTGGGTAGATTCCAGATCTCCTCTGCCATGAAATGCCACTTGCATCGCTTCCCTTTTCAGCTCCCTCCCTCTCCACTCCTAATTCTCCCTGACCACCACAAGTACCTCATGTTCAGACTCTGGATAATTTGAACAAGAGACTTTCTGGAATCAGTGACTGGAAGCATGACTGCACTAATGTAAGCAGGGGGTGTTGTGGTATGAGATGGTGGTATCGCACTAAAGCCTTGTTAGTCCTGGTAGACCATGATGAGAAGCTCAAAATTCATTCCAAATATGGCAGGAAGATACTGAGAGTTTCAAGAAGAATTTCATGATCGTAAATAATGAATGGTGTAGCATTATTGCATTGGTGCCGTCGTTGCCACAGTCAGTGAATTCTCGTAAGATCTGGTTGCTTAAAAGTGTGTGGCACCTCCCCGCAACCTCCACTCTCTCTATTGCTCCCATCCTCACCAGGACCCTGGATTCCCCTTTACCTTCGGCCATAAGTAAAAGCTCCCTGAGGCCACCCCAGAAGCTGAGCAGATGTTGGTGCCATGTTTGTACAGCCTGCAAAACCGTGAGTCAACTAAACCTATTTTCTTTATAACTTACCCAGTCTCAGGTATTCCTTTCTAGCAATGCACAAATGGTCTAACACACCTGGTATTGTCCTTGTGCTTATGTCTTTTACAATGACTCATACCATTGCTGCCTTACTAAGAGAAGAGATAGAAAGGACAGCAGACTTGTGAGGCGCTGCTTGTATTACTATCTTACTAAATGGGATTATAGACTTGTCTACTCATAGCTAACAAACAGTAGAGCCAGAATGTTAAGCAAGATCGGAGGACTTCAAAACTTACTCTCTTTCCACTGCAACCCATCGTGCCAATTCTGAGATATGGCAGCCTTTACAAATGAACGTTCCAGATGTGCGATATTCTGCTTTAGTGGATGAATAGCCTCTCATTCATAACATTTGATACAATCGATGTTTCGTATCATAGGACTAATGATCAACCTACCTTCAATACAAGATGTTCAAGCTGATAAGGAAGAACTCACCTCTTATCTACTGATATTAATGCCTCTGCTCCATAGTTGTCAAGTAAACATATAAATCTTCTCTTATATATTTCATCTTGATTATGAACAAGATATTATGTAACTTAATGTGTATTTGCCATTTTCTATTTATCTGTGATCACACATTTTATATTTCTGTATCCTAAAGTGAGAAGTAAGCAGGGATGCAATACTTCTCTCTTATAAAGTAAATTCAAACCTACAGATGTAAGGTGGCTTGTTTACTAACCACTTAGAAGTTAACTGTGAAACTGAAATAAATTTAATATATTAGGCCTGGTGAGGTGGCTCACACCTATAATCCCAGCACTTTGGGAGGCCGGGGAGGGTGGATCACGGGGGTTCAGGAGTTCGAGGCCAGCCTGGCCAATGTGGTGAAACCCCATCTCTACTAAAAATAAAAAAAAATTATCTGAGCATAGTGGCATGTGCCTGTAATCCCAGCTACACGGGAAGCTGAGGCAGGAGAACAGCTTGAAGCCAGGAGGCAGAGGTTGCAGTGAGCCGAGATCATGCCATTGCACTCCAGCCTGGGCAACAAGAGCAAAACTCTGTCTTAAAAAAAATTAATGTATTATCCTGCCTATTTCCCACATCTTACTAGAGATTTCAATTTTAGTGTAGAATCTTCTCCCAGGTTTCTACTCCCAAGCCAAGATCAGCTTTTCTTCTGATCCAAGGTTGGTCCATACACTTGTGTTTTGACTTCTACCTCCTTCTATCTCTTAATTATTATCCCCTTAAGATATTTTTCCCTATAGGTATCTCTTATTCCATATTTTAGACTTTTTTTTCTTCTTTGGCTCTTTTCTTCAGTATGTAAACATGATTGCAGATGTTATAAACTGAGAAGCTATGTAGCATCTTTGGTAATTTTAACTGTTGTGCGTAAGTTTTTGGCAAAGCTATATCTCCACAGATTTTGTTGCTTCTTTGAGAGATATGTTTCTGTTTTATGGATATACTTTTAATGTAGTCTGCTTGTATACTGTAATTTATTCTTTGAGATTGCATGTATTCTTGCTTGAGCAGCTGTTTTCTGGAATGAGGATCTCAAATGAAGAGGGCTTTAATAAAGAGATATAGGCACAGTTTTAAATTGATACTGAAAAGAACTCATAAAAGGAAGGACATTTTTATGTGTGTATGAACATTTTAGGGAATTCTTGATTTCTTACCAGTGGCATTGTCTAAGACGAAATGACCTAGATGCTGGGAAATGACTTTGTTGAGAACTGTTGTGTTCAGATACGTTTGTCCTGGTGGGGCCAGAGGAAGAGCCACATCTCTGTGAAGGTGAGGTCTGTCCTTAAGGGAGAAGATATTTCTTCAGCTAATCAACTAGGAAAAATGAACATCCTGTAACAAGAAGTCAAATCTTATGGTATAGTGAAAGGAAGACATTTTTCCCCATTTAAGGTCTTGGGGCAGTGAAGATTAAACTCAAGGGTATGATATAGTCAGGGCACTCTGTAGAGGTATGAGCTGGCACTCTGTAGAGGTATGACCTGGTAGTGTCATGTTTCTTACTGAAGATAGGCTAGTCTTTACATATATGATATGAGACATGGATTTTATGATCAAGAGGCTATAAGTCCGTGTATCCCATATGGCTAGAAAGATTGTATGACCCTGAGAATGGGCCTGAACCTGGGGACTGTGAGATCATCTATATACAGCAGAAGTTGATAGTTAATCTCTGTGTTGTAATTTCATTGAATCTCCAGTAAGGCCTAAAATATTCAGTCTTTTCTTGGCTCTATGACTGAAAATATAGGCAGATGTGCCTAGGATGATGATAGCAGTGATGGGCACCAGTCCAGGTAGGCTGGGCCTGGCAGAGTGTAAATCTTATGCCAGAGCATCAGTGACCAACTCCATGAGCAGGCCAGCACATGTGAAAAAGGCTCCTGGGAAACTTAGAGATATAATTGGAAGATTATTAAATGGACTCAGAGTCATGGCATTCACAGGCACGTTACCTTTTAGATTAGAGAACACAACAGTATCTTCAATAGTCCTTCATTTCCCCTCCTGCCTCACAATAAAAAATACCTCTTGCCTCTAACCCTGAAAATATGCAGTGAAAAAATAATTATTGTACTCTTTGTAACCTCTGAGGGATAATGAAATTGCCAGAGGAATGGCAGGGAAAGAGTGATCAATTAAAAAATAAACCCAGGAATTATAAGTGGTAAGTTGGATGTTGATTTTTGACCACATTTGAGAAAGCAATTTTTACGTAAGTTTTGGTTAGAATGAAAGTGGAAAAATTAGTGAGTCAGGTTACAATAATGGGAAACAGTAGAGTAGACATCAGAAAGTTAGGATTATAGTCCTGATTAATGCTTACTAGCAGTGGATTCTTATATTATTTTACCATTCTGAGTTTTTATTTCTTTGATAGTGCAAGGAGAACACTTCTATCTTCTCTGCTGGTATCATAGTAAGAATAACTAAATGATATATGCAAAAGATATACACACCTATGTTATTATTTCTACCAGTCAATGGCCTCTTACATCCCTTTAAATCATGATTCCCTGACTCTGTGAAAGCTAGACATATATAGAAATATTTAAAACTATTAATAGTAATATTTGTGCCATTTTCCATATTATATTGAGACACTAGAATACAAATATTTTCAATTGTACATTTGGTTTTTATAATCCAGAGTTAAAACTTTATGCAATCAATATTATTATCCTGGGGAATTTAGACAAAATAATAATAAGCATTGTCATCTATAGAAAGAAGCATTTTCAGTTCATCAATTGCTGCAGATCCATATTCCTTTATTGGATTTTCTTAGCCACACTATAATAAAGTGTATATGGAATCATCTGTCTGCCAAAAGGTAAAATTTCAGAGCAAAGAATTTTTGTTTGGAAGGTAGTAGCAAGTATATGAAAATAGCCATCTGTATTAGCCTGCTAGGGCTGCTGTAACAAATGCCATAGACTGGGTAGCTTAAATAACACAAATGTGTTTACTTTCACAGTTCTGGATGCTGGAAGTCCACGATTTAGATGTTGGCAGGGTTGGGCTCTCCTGAGGCCTCTCTCCTTGGCTTTCAGATGACTGCCCTCTCACTGTGTCCTCTCGTGGCCTTTCCACCGTGTGCACATCTCCAGCATCTTTTTCTCTTCTTAGAAGGACACAAGTCATATTGATTTAAGATCCCATGCTATGACCTGATTTAATTTTAACTGCTCTTTAAAGGCCCTATCTCCAAATACAATCACATTGAGGGTTTAGGCCTTCAACACATAAATTTTGGAGGGGACACCATTTGGTCCACAACGACATCATAAGACAATTTTCTAAGGCTGAACAAATTAGCAAAACCTAAAGTACATTAATAATGTATAGTGACAAATCTAAAACCTAATGCCAGCTAATGGCAACTAAAAGAATAATTAGCCCATTTGTTCATTTTCTTTCTGGGTGTGGTATAATTAAAGAAAATTATTGATTCATAAAAAATACTTAGCTTCAATCCAGGTGTGAACATGTTGGCTGTGATTGAGTCTCTCTTATAAAGGCGTAATTCATGACATTAAAATATGAAATATTAAAAACATTGATTCATTTATTATAATCAAAGTCCAAGATTTTATTTGAACCCACATAAAGAGAGGACAATTTAGGAATATTTAGGTTGTGATATAAAGTACCATAGAAATGACTACCTGTGTGTTAATATGAGATTATACTGGTAGAAAAGAGCCGTACCTTTGGGGATGTTGCTTAGTCTCTTTGACAGTCAGTATCCTCAATGGCAAAAGGAAGAAGTTTTTTAGTGAAGACCAAATTTCTGATCATCTCAAAAGCATAAACGGTTCTCTGCTGGGTGTCAGCCCTGAGTGAGGTTAAGAGGTTTTTTTTGAGTTTAGAGTGGTGGGGATGGAGAGGAAGCTTCTTCCTCACTCAAGGAAGATGGACTATTAATATGAGACCTTACTTGGGGGCACTTCTGCAAGTGGGCAGGTGACCTTGTGCACAGATGGGTGCACAGATGGTCATGGCTCTGTCTTCTGTCACTTATCCGCAGTGGCGAAAAGAGATGCACTACGATCGATTCATGCCTACAGGAGGAGCTCCTTCACCCAGCTCGACTGATTTTCTTTTCTCCTTGAGATCTTTTGGTAAAATTAGTCGTGTTTGTTCTCCACTGAGACTGGACTGGCCATCCCTCTGGAACCCTGGCACTGTTGTCTTTTGGGTCTCTTTTTCTTCTATGTGGTCAGTGGTAAGATTCAAGTTTGAGATTTATGAAATGACCTGGCCTAGTTTATCAGTAATCCCTTCATTAGAGTTTCTGACATAAATACAGTCATGAAATAAGTAAATAGCGACCCTAACTGAAAGTCATAGCACCTATGAGTATAACAAGAAAGATGATCTCTAAATCATTGATAGGTTGATCATCAAAATGTCAAGAAAAACATATTTACTTTATTTGAATAAACTTTATAACATTTTTCTCTATAAACACTCTATTCCTCCATTAATTTACATTAAACATAAAGAATTAGGTTTGAAAGGAAGATATTCGACAGAAGTCAAATATCACTGCAACCCTGTGTGATGGGGAACTCAATCTATTTCCACGGTAGTTTTAATTATTTTCATGGTAGTTGACATCTCACCAACGGAAGTAACCCACCACTCCCTCAAATTAAAAAAAATAAAAATAAATAAATAATAAAGTGAGGCAGGGAGAAAGAGAGAGGTGTTTTCTTCTCTGGGCATAAGCTGGTTTGGGATAAAGCATTTTGTGAAAGGGTACATTTTATAAATCAGCAAAGAGAATATGAGAATAGCTCATGGAAAATTCAGACTACCAATCACTCTGGCGATTCACAAAAACGTGCTGAAGATCCACCTGGGGCACGTGATTGTTACTGCAAATTCAGTAAAAGTCTGTGACCTGCATTTGTTTTTTTTTTTAATAAGAAATATTCACATCAAACCAATGGTGCAAAATTAATGTGTAGGGATATGCATATTTTAATCTGTTAAATAATAGGACGGAGGATGACACATTTTGCATACATTGCTGACTACATTCGTGCTTTCTGCCACCATTCTAGGAAACAAAGCTGGCTTAGATGAGTCATTCCTTGCATTTATGTTTTTCTGTGACTATTTTGCTCTGGATTCAAGTTATGTGTCTTTTGTTCAGTAAATGCACTTAGAATAAACATTACCCTTAATGATCATCTTGATTCCAAGAATCATAACTGACTGTTATTGGTTCTTAAGATGGCTGAGATTTTATTAGCTCATTTTAGTGGCCCTGTATAAATTTAAGTTAATTGACATTGTAGGCAAGTATGTGTTTGCCAACGTCCATCCTTGCAGATACGTTTTTAAGCACCCATTCCACTTTCAGACTGCATCTCCTCATTCTCTCCATCAGAAAGTGAACAGGAAATTAAAACTAATTTTAATATTATGCAAGGCAAAACATAATTAAGAAAATGTGTAAAAAATTAAAAAGCTGAAATCCTCATAATACAGTTCAAAGCTAAATAGAAAATGATTTTTTAATTATATGCTCATTTGAGTTATGTGCCACAGCCTCCCAAGAGAGATGCCTGTTTAAATCCAAGTACTGACCTCAGTGCTTCATTATTACACCATGGGGTGGTATAAAAGGAAGTAAAATTTTTCTCCCTCTGCCCCCTCCCTCCTTCTTGTCTGGGTTTGGGAGAGAGTATGGTAAGAATATGGTTCTCACTATTCCCAATCCAACATCCACTCATCTTCTCAAGGATGTGCTCAATACTGGGGCATTGGGTTGGGGAGAGATTGATTATTAAATTGCTTCTTATACGGAATCTCAAGCATCCTTCACGTTTGGAGCTCAATCTGCCCATCACGTTCAATTCCTTAACTTTTTTAGCAGTTCAGCAGGGCCAGCAGGTTTGCTTTCTGGGCAGTCAGGTAGCTTTCATCTTTCTTTGGCCAGCTAAATCCATTATTACTCACCTGTCTGTTCTCCAGCTTCTAAAATTGTGTTGACCTGTCTGCACTTGTCTCTTTACTGCTCTCTTTATCTGTGTGAGATTCTGACTTTTACTTTTTTAAAAATCTCTTTGATGTCATTGTGGTTAGATTTCTGAAGGCAGCATGGGAAAATATATCTGTGCAATCTGCCATTCTTAAACAGATGTCCCTAAGACAGTATTTTGAATTAGAGTTTAGATTTTTGAAACAATACATTTTAAAAGGCATTTTAGTTGAGGGCATAAAAATGAGAAAAAATACTAAAGCAGCTCTCTTTTGCATTACTATTTGCATTAAACATGCCTTATAGCCTTGATAGCTGGGGAGATCCTAGAACCAACATAAGAAATAAATTCTTGAATGTGTTTATAAATCCTTGAAAAAATAATTCACAAGTATATTATTTCTTCATAAAGTAGGCAGAAAATGAAACAAACCCCAAAATCCCAAGGAAAAAAGTAAGCGGTAATTAAAAATCTATTATTAAACAGTGAGAACAGCAAAATTTATTTTTATGGCACTGTGGCAATAATAGAAGTTTTTCAAAAAGCCATATATGTAACAATATTTACCATTAGCCAGCTACAGAACACTCCCAGTTAAAATTCTAGAAACTTATCTGATATTAATTCTTTAACAAAGAAGCTGACATAGTAATGTTCTTGGTAAGAATATGGTCCCTGAAGTTCTCAATCCAACATTCGCTCCTCTTCCCAAGGATGTCCTCAGTGCTGGGGCATTGGGTTGGAAAAGGATCTTGTAAAACCACATGGTACAGGCTTTCATCCTGTTTTACTTTAAAAAAAAAAGAAAGTTGGGATCCTCTTTCTAGGTCTCAGCTGAGGTTAAAGAAAAAGTTTGCGTATTAAACACCATCATTTAATGACTATAGGTTGCTGGTGTGCTGAGCTAAAGGTAATGAGACACAAGACAAAAACTCTGGTTTAATCACAGTATTTTCCATGTTATTTAAAATTTTAATCTTACCACAAAGTGTGAATCTGTCTTCAGGAGTAAAACTCAAGCAGGCCTTAAACTTGGATGGGTCTAGGAAAGAGCCCAGAATATTGACCCCTGCCTGTCAGGAAACATTAGAAACATTATGTGGTTGCTTTACACTTGATTTATGCACTAGTTGGGCTTGTAGACTCTTTCCAAAAGTCTGAATTTTTCCAAAAATTCAGTGATGGGAAGAAGGGGTGGTGTGTGTGAGTGTGTGTGTGTGTGTGTGTGTGTGTGACCTAAAACCTCTAAATAAATGCATGGGAAACTTCTCGCATCTGGTTGTATTCTCTCTCTTCACAGATGGAAGCATGAACAGCTGTGTTTCCCTAGCTCTTTCCATGATATTTCTGGGAACTGAAAAACTGTACCTCTGTGTAATCTTCTCCTTATGTGACTAAATCCATACATTCCTATATTTTTTGCTGTCAGCTGAGCTATTTTAACTGTGTTTGTTGACCTCTTTCCATCAAGAACATTACCATTTTATTGTGCTAACAATATACCACCACCACCACCACCACCACCACCACCAATTTAGAGTTTTCACGGCATTGGGAACATCTCACTGGGAATAGATCTGCTTTCCAAAAACGTAAAGGCTTAGCCTACAAAATCCGAGAAAAGTTACAAACCTGTACTGTTAGGTTAACATGGGAAGTAGTAAACTTCTCTATTAAGATTCTGCCCTTTTATACTTTCTTCATTGTATTTTTTTGACTCATTTTGCATTCGTTTGAGCATTGGGAATATCCCAGTATCATCTTGGGCAGTGGGTGACTTCCATAGTGCCAGACAGCTCTACTGTCTTGGGGAGGTCTTCCGTGACACCTCAGCTCGCTGCAGTGAAGTGCTGGCTCATGCCAGCTGACTGTGTTTATCTCCTCCCAACTTTGCATTTGTCAAAGAGAAGTTGCTAACATAGATCAAGCATGGTGGGAGTAATTACACCATTGGAATTTTCCATCGCTACCAATCAGGGCTTTTATCGTCCTCCTCTCCCCCAAGCAGGTTGTTAAACATTTACCAGCATACCACTGTTCCCAATTATCTACACATTAATATACATTCTGATATATTTAAATGTGTTATGTTATAGCATAAATGATAATAAAAAATCAAAACGTCTTTTCAAAGCAACTGCTCCAGTCTTAAAAAAATACCGCATGCTCTTAGTATATACCCAGTACATAAAAATAGTTACCCAATATAAATAGTAAATAGTTATCCAGTCCCTTACACATTGTATTTAGCTGTTGGTAATGCTGATTCACATAATGAAGGGCCTGGAAGTTCAGCTATGATATGGTTAGGCTTTATGTCCCCACCCAGATCTCATCTTGAATTGTAACCCCCATAATCTCCATAATCCCCACCTGTCAAGGGAGAGACCAGGTGGAGGTAATTGAATCACGAGAGCGGTTCCCCCATGCTGTTCTCTTGATAGTGAGGGTGTTCTCACAAGATTTGATGGTTTTATAAAGGCCTTTCCCCCCTTCACTCAGCACTTCTCCTTCCTCCTACCTTGTGAGGAAGATGCCTTGCTTCCCCTTCGCCTTCCACCACGATTGTGAGTTTCCTGAGGCTTCCCCAGCCATGCTGAACTGTGAGTCAGTTAAACCTCTTTCTTTTATAAATTACCCAGTCTCGGAGAGTTCTTTATAGCAGAATGAGAATTGATTAATACAAGCTATTTCTGTGTCTCCCAAGCATTCTAGCTTAAACTCTTCTTACTTACTATACTTTCTAAAGGGTCCTCTTAGGAATTTGTTGAATCATGTGTTCACTTCTGAGTGGGTTAGTACTATAAAAGAAAATTTGTTATTATTGTAAAATATTTCAGTCATAATACAAGACACAAAGGCTGTTACAATAACCTCTCATGTACTCACAGCCCAATTTAAAGAAAATTAATGGAAAATTCCCATCTCTTAGCCCACTTCCATTTGTGCAGAGGTAACTATTATCCTCTATTTGATATTTTCATTCTTATATCGTTCTTGATACGTTTTCTACACCTGTGCTGTTATTTTTATTACTTTAAGTGTTTGAATAAATAGTATAACATTCTTTTAAATTTGCTTTTTTCCTTTGCTCAATATTTGTGAGAATTATCCAGGTAGATACAAGAAGCCCATGTTTAGCGATTCCAGTGCCATATCGTGTTCATTTTAAGGTTATATCACAATGTATTAATTGTTCTGTTTATAAGACATTTATGCTATTTTGACTATTTCATAAACATGCTGCTTAAGAACATTTTTGTATATGTGTTGTTATGCATGTATCTGAGAGTTTCTTAAAACATATAATTAGGGGTAGAATTACTAGAGAGTGAAGAGTGCCTCTCTAGCTTTCTTAGATATTGCCACATGTTGTCTAAAGTGATAATAATTTACCTTACATCTAGTAGAATATAAGAGTTATAGTTGCTTTATAATCTTCCTAAAATGTAGTACTGTTAGACTTAAATTTGAGCTGGTATGATGGATGTGAAATTAACAAAGTGGTTTTAAGTAAAAACACTTAATATATTATTAAACACAAAGTAGCAGGAGAATAAAAAATGGAAAAACTCAAATGTACTTCAACAATAGAATGTATAAACAGGCAATAATGTATGCATACAATAGAATATCACTCGGCAATAAAATGAATGAAATACTGATACATGAGAAATATGGACAAATCATAAAATGGTGATAGAAATCATTGTACTGATCAGCTCTGTTATTGTGGGGAACTGCCTGACAAGGGTGCAAATGAACTTTCTGGGTTAATGTAAATGTTCTGTGTAGCTTGAAAGTTGGGAATTGTTAACAGGTGTATGTGTTTGTCAAAATTCATTAAACAGTACATTTGAAGGTATGTACATTTTACAGAATGTAAATTACACATCAATTTTTTAACAAAAGAGTACAGGAGGAAAGTGAAATTGTGAGATCAAAGAAAAAGCATTGAATATGAACATCCACAATTTTTCTTCCCACTCCCACATTAAAAGAAAAACTCCGTTACTGTTTAATAGCTTTCAGGACTTTTTTTCTATTTGTTATTTTTTTTTCTTTTTTTCTTTTTCTTTTTTTTTTTTTTTTTTTTGAGATGGAGTCTTGCTCTGTCACTCAGGCTGGAGTGCAGTGGCGCAATCTTGGCTCACTGCAACCTCCGCCTCCCAGGTTCAAGTGATTCTATGCCTCAGCCTCCTGAGTAGCTGGGATTACAGGTGCCCGCCACCACACTTGGCTAATTTTTTTGTGTTTTTATTAAAGATGGGGTTTCACCATCTTGGCCAGGCTGGTCTTGAACTCCTGACTTTCTGATCCACCCGCCTCGGCCTTCCAAAGTGCTAGGATTACAGGTGTGAGCCACCACGCCCGGCTTATTTGTTAATTTTTAATAAACACATTTTTAATTTGTAATTTTTGTAGGTATGTAGTAGGTGTATATATTTATGGGGTACATGAGATATTTTGATACAGGCATGCAATGCATAATAATCACATCAGGGTAAGTGGAATATCCATCAGCTCAAGCATTTATTCTTTATTTGTTATACAAACAATTCAATTACAGTATTTTTTGCTATTTTAAGAATTACAATAAATTATTGTTAACTGTAGTCATCCTGTTGTGCTATCAAATACTAGATTTTGTTCATTCTATCTATGTTTTTGTACGCATTAACGATCCTCACTTCCACCATCCCTTCCCTCTCTGACTACCCTTCCCAGCCTATGGTAACCATCATTCTACTCTCTATCTCCATGAATTCAGTTGTTTTACTTTTTAGCTCCCACAAATAAGTGAGAATATGTGAAGTTTCTCTTTCTGTGCCTGGCTTATTTCACTTAACATAATGACTTCCAATTCCATCTATATCGTTGCAAATGATTGGATCTCATTTTTTATATGGCTGAATAGTACTCCATTGCATATATGTACCACATTTTCTTGATCCATTTATCTGTTGAGGGACACTTGCTCCCAAACCTTGGCTATTGTAAATAATGCTGCAATAAACATGGAATGCAGATATCTCTTCAATATACTCATTTATTTTGGGTATATACCAGCAGTGTGATTGCTGGATCTTATAGTAGCTCTATTTTTAGTCTTCTGAGGAACCTCCAAATTGTCCTCCATAGTGATTGTACTAATTTACTTTCCCATCAACAGTGTATGAGTGTTCCTTTTTCCCCACATCTTTGCCAGCATTTGTTATTGCCTGTCTTTTGGATAAAAACCGTTTTAACTGGGGTGAGATGATATCTTATAGTAGTTTTGATTTACATTTCTCTGATGATCAATGATGTTGAAAACTTTTTTCATATTATTTGTTTGCCAGTTCTATGTCTTCTTTTGAGAAATGTCTATTCAGATCCTTTGCCAATTTTTAAATTGGTTTATTAGATTTTTAACTTCATATATATTCTGGTTATTAATCCCTTGTCAGATGGACAGTGTGCAAGTATTTTCTCCCATTCTGTGGGTTGTCTCTTCATTTTGTTGATTGTTTTCTTTGCTGTACAGGAGCTTTTTAACTTGATATGATCCCATTTGTCAATTTTTGCTTTGGTTGTCTGTGCTTCTGGGGTGTCGTTCAAGAAACCTTTGCCCAGACCAATGTCCTGTTGTGTCTCCAATGTTTTATTTTAGTAGTTTCATAGTTTAAGGTCTTAAATTTAAGTCTTTAATCCATTCTGATTTGATTTTTGTATATGGTGAGAGATAGAGATCTATTTTCTTTCATCTGTATATAGGTATTCAGTTTCCCCAGCCCCATTTATTGAAGAGACTGTCCCTTGCTCAATGTATGTTCCTGGCAACTTTGTTGAAAATGAGTTCACTTTAGATGTATGGATTTGTCTCTGGGTTCTCTATTCTGTTTCATTGGTCTATGTGTCTGCTTTTATGCCAGTACCATGCTGTTTTGGTTACTATAGCTCTGTAGTATAATGTGAGGTCAGGCAATGTGGTTTCTCCAGTTTTGGTCTTTTTGCTTAGGATAGCTTTGGATATTCTGAGTATTTTGTGGTCTCATATAAATTTTAGAATTTTTTTTCTATTTCTGTGAAGAATGCCATTGGTATTTTGATAGGAATTGCATTGAATCCATTGAATGTTTTGGGTAGTGTGAACATTTTAACAATATTGATTCTTCCAGTCCATGAATATCAATTTTTTTCATATTTTGTTGTCTTTTTTATTTCTTTGATCAATATTTTAAAGTTTTCATTGCAGATATCTTTTACTTCTTTGGTTAGGTTAATTCTTAGGTATTTAATTTTATGTGTAGCTATTATAAGTAAGATTACTTTCTTGATTATTTTTCAAATTGTTTATTGTTGGCATATAGAAATGCTATTGATTTTAAAAAGTACTTTTTATTTCAACACTTTTAAGGTACAAGTACTTTTTGGTTACATGAATAAATTGTGTTGTGGTGAAGTCTGAGATTTTAGTGAAGCCATTACCTGAGCTACTGATTTTTGTATGTTGATTTTCTATTCCTCGTTTTTACTGAATTTATTTATCAATTCTATTTGTTTTTTGGTGGAGTCCTACAGACAATAATTTGACCTCTTCCTTTCCAATTTGGAAGCCCTTTATTTCTTTCATTTGTCTGATTGCTCTTGCTAGAACTATGTTGAATCATAGTGGTGAAAGTAGGCATCTTAGTCTTTTTCTAGATCTTAGAGGAAAGGCTTTGAATTTTTCCCCATTCAGTATGATACTAGCAACAGGTCTGTCATTTATGGCTTTTAATGTGTTGGGGTATGTTTCTTCTATACCCAGTTTTTTGAGGGTATTTTTTGTCATGAAGTGGTGTTGAATTTTATCCAATGCTTTTTCAGCATCAATTGAAATGATCATATGGTTTTTATCTTTCATTCTATTGATATGATCTATCATATTAATTGATTTACAGATGTTGAATTATCCTTGGGTCCCTGGGATAAATACCACTTGGCCATGATGAATGATCTTTTAAAAGTGTTGTTGAATTTGATTTGCTAGTATTTTGTTGACGATTTTGCATCAATATTTATTAGGGATATTGACCTGTAGTTTTCTCTTTTTGATATGTCACTGTCTAGTTTTGGTATCAGGATAACACTGGACTCATAGAATATGTTTGGAAGTATTCCTGCCTCCTTTACTTTTTGGAATAGTATAAGTAGGAGTGGTATTAGTTCTTCTTTAAATTGGTAAAATTCAGCATTGAAGTCATTAAGTCCTGGGCTTTTCTTTGCTCAGAAAATTTTTATTACGTCTTCAATCTAGTCACTTGTTATTGGTCTGTTCAGGTTTGGGATTTAATGGTTCAATCTTGCCCTTATGGATTTTCCAATTTATTGGAATATAGTTGCTCATAGTAGCCTCTAATGATCCTTTGAATGTCTGTGACATTGGCTGTAATGTCTCCTTTTTCATATTTGATTTTATTTATTTGAGTCTTCTCTTTTTCTTAGTCTGACTAAAGGTTTGTCAATTTTCTCTATCTTTTCAAAGAACTAACTTTTCATTTGATTAATCTTTTGTATTGCTTTCTTTATTTCAATTTCATTAATTTCTGCTCTGATCTTTATTATTTCTTTTCTCCTAATTTTGGGTTTGATTTTGCTCTTGCTTTTCTAGTTCTTTAAGATGCATTGTTAAGTTGTTTGAGGTTTTTCTACTTTTTTGATGTAGGTGTTTATTGCTATAAACCCTCTTAGTACTGCTTTCACTGTATCCCATAGGTTTTGGTATGCTGTATTCCCAACATCATTTGTTTAAGAAATTTTTAAAATTACTCCTTAATTTCTTCATTGACCCACTGGTCGTTCAGGAGCATATTATTTAAATTTCCATGTGTTTGTATAGTTTCCAAAAATCCTCTTGTTTTTGACTTCTAGTTTTATTCCGTTGTGGTCAAAGAGGATATTTGATATGATTTCAACTTTTTTGAATTTTTTTAACATTTATTTTGTGGCCTAACATATGGTTTATTCTTGAGAATGATCCATGTGCTGAGAAGAATGCATATTCTGTGGCTATTACATAAAATGTTCAGTAAATAACTATGAGGTCTATTTGGTCTATAGCGTAGATTAAGTCCAATGTTCCTTTATTTATTTTCTGTTTGGAAGGTCTGTCCAATGCTGAAAGTGAGGTGCTGAAGTCTCCAGTTATTATTGTATTGAGGTCTATCTCTCTCTTAACTCTAATAATATTTGCTTTATATATCTGGGTGCTCCAGTGTTGGGTGCATATATATTTCAAATTGTTATAGCCTCTTGCTGAATTAACCCCTTAACATTATATAATGACTTTCTTTGTCTTCTATTATTATTTTTAAATTATGTGTTTCCCACCACAATGGAAGCAACTGCAACAATATAGAGAGAAAGAAGTTGAGGGAGCTGGACAGAGAGAGAAGGAACATTGATAGCCACTATCTTGCTACACTGTGTAAGATTAAAAGAGAGTCTCGGATAAAGAGATTTTAACACATTTTGCTCATTGTTAAAAATACAGTTCCTCTTTAATGCTTTCCAAAAGCAGCAGTAAAGATTTAAATTGCCTCCCAATCTCTCTTGGACATTGCACCAGTGTTTCACTTAAATGTATTCTCTTTGCTGAGGTAGACCAGGAAACAGTGTTTCCTGAGGCACACTAGCATCATATGTTCAATCCTAATATATTTTTATTATCATTCTTAAGACACATCAGACAAATTTTAGCATTTTGTCTAATGTGTGACATCCTTTGGTTAATTTATTTTAATAAGTGACAGTCTGGTGAATTTATTTTAAATGAATTATACAAGAAAAGTGATTTAAAAATAAATAAATCAGTAACAATGAAATATTTTATTTTTGAATATTAAGTAATGTGTTGTAGTAAAACATGCAAAAGTAACTTTCATTATCTGGTATGGAAAATGTTGCAATTTGTATTTTTTCATGATTTCATGTTTTGTTTCTAGATTAGACAAATAGGCATATAAAGTTATTATTTCAATTATGCTTTGTAAATTAGCTTCAGGAGTTTAGGCAATCATTTTCAAAGAGGCAAATGTTAAATTAGAGGCATTCCATTGCTGTATTTTGTCTTTTTCACATTGATCTTCAAAGTTGAAGTATCATTTAAATGCTAGTTACGAGTTTTGATCAGCTGGATATAATAACAATTACTCTGAAATGAAATTTCAGGTTTTTGTGTGCTTCTCATTACCTGCAGTCCGAAATCATTGTTCCTTATGCTACCTGCTTTTAATGAAGGGTCCAGTATGGGTATACAGGTTGAACATCCCTAATGTGAAAATCCAAAATTCAAAATTCAAAATGCTTCAAATTCTGAAACATTTTGAGTACTGAAAAGATGACGCAAGTGGAAAATTCCACACCTGCCCTCCTGTGATGGCTCACAGTGAAAATGTGGTCAAAGCTTTGGAGCCGGGCTCTATTGTGGCCACAACCAGCCTCTAGCAATCTGTAGTTGGAGCTGGATGGATCTTCGGAGGTGTGCCAAATACAGCGAAGGTGTCCACGCCCTCATGGCCTTACATCCACCTTTCTCTGGATGCCAGCAGGCCCTGGGAAGGGAGATGACTTCCATCAAGGATCAAGATGGCTCTCCTCAGTGGAGGGTTATCACAGGGAGGGAGGTGTGAATGGGAAAACTGGGAGTAAGAGGGAGCATTCAGCATTGAGGAAGAAGCTCCTCAGTCTAGAAGGAGAATCCCTGGGCTAAACCAGAGCATCTACTATAGAGGGGGAGGCACACTATTTAGAGGTTGAAGAAAGATGCAAAGTGTGATAAGAACGAAGGAGATGAATGAATTGGAGGTAGGTAATAATGTTACCTTTAGGAAGAAGGAAAAGTGTGGGTTAGAACCTAGGACTATTATTTATGAGACTGAAAAGAAGTTTGCTCAAATGAGATTTTATACTCAAGTCCTTATTTAATGTTGTGATGTTAATCTAAAATATGATTGTCTATGAACCTTGAATATGATCCAATATTGAACCTGAATATGGTCCAATATATGTCAGCAATATAATTTATTATTATTTTTGAAACAAATGCCATTTTACATAAAATCTATTACTTCAGTGCAACTTTCTGCCTTTAAACCTGTTAAAAATTTCCTATTGTTGTTATCATTATCTATCTTCCTTATGTATGTTTTACTTGTGTATTGCAGGTTCTTAATGAAAAATTTTCTTTCCCCTCTGCTCTCCTCTTGGAGGTCATAATGACAATTACATATCCTTCGTGCTCATACATAATACATGAATACTACAGAAGTAGGTTATTGAAGTATTTCACTTATCTCCTGTATCACCTTTTCATCTGATGTGTACTGAGGAGAAATTTAATATACAGATGTTCTCTTCCACTTTTAAGCACTAATTGTAAATTTAGGTTGCATATACATGAAAGAGAGTTTAAAGAAGTTTGTTAATTTGGGGAATAAATAGTGTACTAGACCTATATTCCAGTTCTGGCTAGATCTGTATTCCACTCCGTGCTCTGCTGTGAACTTTGTGTAGAACCTTGACCAAGCAGTTTTATATCTCTAGTCTCAGTTATTATTTGTAAAGTTCAGTTTTGCATTGTGTGATTTGTAATGATATTTTTCTGTGAAATTGAAGCTGGGCTAAGACTCTGTAGGATCCCGCATTCTTTGACTGTTGACTACATCTTACATTTTCTAATTGTTCACAATAGTTTTTTTCCAGAGACATTTTTCTTTCTTTATGAACTGTCGCTCAACATAGGTAATTTAGTATGCAACTAAATTTCACATTAAATATTACACTTTCGCTTGGTTTCATAAATTTAAATCTAGTTCAAAACTGTAGTAGGATCACTTACATATACCTCTAAACTCACATGCTATAAAATCTAATAGTTTAATTATTTTTCATAATTGTTCAAAAACTCCTAGGAAACTTCCATTGCCACTGAAAGAAAGGAAAATTCAAATTCCCTTTCAGGCCTGTTTCTTTGTTTCCCATCCTAAGTCCCAAATGGAAGGACAGCTCACAAGGCGAGGGATCCAGACCTATGTGTGAACTGTGTGTCATCAGGACTCCTACCATCTCTCTTCTCGCTGGCTACGGGCACCAGTGCCTACTGTGGTACAACTGGCTCCTCTGGATATGTTGTGGTTTATGTTTCCTCCCCTGCTGAAGTCTGGGGCTGGTGAATATTTTCTGTGGGTTCTACTTTATAGGTACAGACTCTGTTCTTGTCCATGGAGCGATAACTTCTGGCTGCTGTTTCCTTGTGAGGCATAATTGATGGTCTTCAGGCACTAGCTAGGCATCTCTTCCACAGCTTCTTGGCGTTTGGGATCCAGTGGAATCTTGATGGCTACTTCTACCTGGGATCTTCTGGGGACAAAATCCCATTGCTTTGGAGTTCCAACTTATCTTTCTGTTTTTTTTTTAAATACCCATTGCATAAACCTGAACACAAACATATGAACATCTCCTGTATAGTCTCCTCCCAGCCCCCTCGCCACTCGGAGAAGTGAGTGAGGTCTCTCTCACTCCTCTTTCCATCTGAGGGACTTCTCCTGTGTCAACTCCATCCTCCAGCTTTCCAAAGTGGGATGCAACTTTCATCTTTCCTGGAGGCATGTTGATTCTCAAAATTAAGGTGCCTTGAGTTATTGAAATCACAACCTTCCCACTCCTAAAGCATGTAATCTCAAAAGTGAAATCTGCCTGGCTGCGTCTTGTGTGATGGAGAAGGAAATGTGCCTGGCGGGCCCCTTTAAATCTGATGGGAATGGGGAGGACATTAGGGGTTACTGCTCAGACCCACATGCCAGGTGACTCTGTGGGCTGCTAGGCCTAAGTGTGACCTACAGAAACTTCCTCAGCAGGTCCTGCAGGGCAAGCATTTGGACCTTTTGAAGCAACAGAATCAATTTTGCTTGAACTTTCTGTAGCTGACTGCATTGCTCTGTGTTTCCTCTAGCAAATCTCAGTATGAGAATTACTGTGAGCCCTCTAGGGCAGCATGTTTCAAACTGTGTGTTGTGACCCATTACTGATTATGAAATCCATTTAACAGGTCTGGAGCAACGTTTTAAAAAAAATGTGAAAGAGGATAGAATAGGAAGGAAAATATCAGCTTCCATAGCCTGTAGTGAGGGCAACATTTATTGAAACTTGTTTATTTTGTTCAAGATCTTCTAAGTGTCTTGTACTGGCTTAGAAATTAAAATACATTTCTTACAGAGTCCTCAGGCCATAAATTTCAAACACTACTTCTCTAAGATATATGAGCAAAGTCATGCCTGCCTGATCAAATAACTTGTTTCCTTTGAAGGAACAGCTCTTTCCCTAGTACTTGGATCTGGAAGATGGAGACTGGGTCTGACACTAGAAGACCATATTGCTCTTCATGATCTGGGTGTTATCTGACCTCCTAATCAATAAAGTAGGGCCTGACCAGCATCACTTAATCATCACACGAAAATGGCATATATGGTATTAGACAATAACCAGCCCAGAACACACAAATAATAGAAATAAGTTGTTCTCACTGCCAGTATACATCCTGATGCATAAAGTGTCACCTGCCCCATGACCCACAACTAGAGTCACATGTGGAGTTCCATTTGATGTGTTGACTGAGGGGAAAAATAAATGGATTCCAGGAACAAATCATTCCTTTCAGAGTTCTAAAATCAGCTGTGAGTAGGTGTGCAGTGTTACATCTCCATCAGGGTACTTCTGAAGGACAGTGGACAGAGTTTGCCACTGGGTTGCCCACTTTCCTGGAGGAAGAGATAATCTAAATAAATGTTAACATGATTTCCTTGGTTGGTTCGTTGGTCTGGGATTTGAGGAGTAGTGACAATGTTTGGGGAAGAGGTATGTGGGTGAGGCTAGAGTATGGGGTTATTTGTGAAACTTACTTCTGAAGAGACAGCTTTTAATTAATCATCAGGTGGACAAGATGACCATCTCTGTGACTATCAGTCAGCCGCATCTTCCAAAATCCAGCACTTGTGCAGTGGTTAAAGTGGCAAAGGCAGTAAAAACACATGAGTTTAACACTTCTTTTTACCAAGGCTTATCTGAACATTGGAGGCCCTATATGCCATCAGCAGAAACAAAACCTGAGACTCTGTAGGAGATTGTGTTGATTGTCCCACTCAATAGGTGTACCCTAAGAGAAGAGAGATATACATGGAAATAAAGACCTGCCCTTTCTTGCTGCCTTTGGATGTTGTTACACCACAGCATGAAGCTCGGGGCTGGGCAGTCATTTTGCCACCTAGAGAGAAGATCCAAGAGATTCTTAAAAAAATTGGCTTAGAGTCCCAGACTTCTCAGAGATCCTGAACTTACCAATCCAAAATTACTGTGATGTGAGAAGATAAACCTTCATTGTTTAAACCACATCTTATTTGGTGTATTAGCTTTATGTGGCTGCTATAACAAATTACTGCAAACTTGGCAGCTTAAAATAGCACACATTTATTCTCTTACTATTCTGGAGATCAGAATTCCAAAATCAGTTTCACTGGGCTGAAATCAAGGTGTCAGCAACGCTGTGCTTCCTCCAGATACTCTAGGGAAAAATCTGTTTCCTTGTCTTTTCCAGCTTCTAGAGCTGCATTTCTTGCATTCCTTGGCTTGTGGCCCTTTCCCCCATCTTCAAAGCCAGATGTGTGGCACTTTCAATATTTTCTCTCCTTCATCACATTGCCTTCTGTGTCTGTAACTTTATCCCCTTTGAAAATTATAGTATGGGATAACCCGAATAATTCAAATAATGCCCCATGTTAAAATCCTAAACTTAATCACATCTGTAAAATCATATAAATTAGCACTCATAGCTTCTACAGATTAGAACCTGGATATCTTTGGGGGCCATTAGGAAGCCAACCGTATTGGATATTCTATCATCACTTGGAGGTAAAAGCTTTCTTACTAATAGTCCCTCCAATACGGAAGTATGCCTGGGGTGTGGGGGACTACCAGCAATTTTCCAAGGCTCTAGGTTGATTCCTCTGGACTCCTTCCATCACAAAAGGAAATAATTGATCTTCCCTAACTTATCTCATCCCGGATTTGTATTTTCTTTTGCTTCCTACCATGCCATATGTACCTTCATCCTTGAATTTATTGCATGTCTAAAAGCTTTCAGCATGTGCAACATTGTGGGAGCTGACACTCACGGGATTCATTAGTATTATCACGTCCCCTGCAAGTTAGAAGCTTCTGGTCTTCCAGAATAAAGAATAACCTTATTGTCACCTAGTTATAACTCATCTAGGAGACTATTTTTGCAGGATATAGTATGAACCAGAAGTCAATATGTGCTGTTGATTCTCCCATTGCGAGAATATATTGATTCTCAAAATAGGGAGTAGAGGTGAGGGTGTCAATTCTCATATTACGTGAAATGTGAGTTCAATCTCCCAACTCTGGGATGTTTGGGCTTAGAAATTTTAGGGACCAAGGAATAAGTAGACAAAATTTATACTGGCCATCACAGGCTTTTCAGCTGCTGGATAAAAATTCACCAAAGGAGAAAAAAGAAGAGAGAGCGAGAAGAATATTCCTATTAAAGAGAAATGAGAAATAAGATTGCAATATTCATCAATATTGCTTTACTTATGGTATAATGTATATTTCTATATATTTTATGCACAACTCCCCCATCCTTGTGGTTAAAATGCAAGTTAAACTATACATTGAGGAATGCCAAAATCGAACAGCGACAGAACTAGAGAAAGACTGCAGCACCCCAGCGATTCTGCAGATGGTTCGGTTTGGTGAAAAACAATCACTCTGACACATTTTATTGAAGTTACATTTTGGTTGATAAGTTCAAAGGACAAATTTGCAGCAAAGCCTAAGATATTAAGCTGGGGGATGTTCAGTGATCGTGGCCCCTTTAATCTGTTTAGGTCTTCATTGGAGAAGATCCTGTCATAGAGTTCTGTCTGACCATAGGAAGGTTCTACCAAGTTGCAAGAAGCCCTGGTTGGGGCTTACCTAGTGGTTCATCCCTCTGCCAAGTCACATTTAAATAATTACTTCATGTGGAAGCAAACTTGCATTTACTATATCACTTCATGTGGCTCTAGCATCCAGGTTCCAGGTACAATTTCTAAGTATGCCTCTCAACATCACCCACTCCATTGTCACAAGTTGTATTATAATGACCAGGCACCTCACATGTGTCCTTTTACTTACAACTACATAACTACTGATGTCTCCTGGACAATGAGATCAGCGAGGGATACACTTCTACTTGAAAATATTTCACATGAACTAGATTGAGTGGACTTCTGAAAGAATATGTGAAAGCGAATTCTCCTGAGCATATGCTACTGTGAGAACTATTTCATGCTAATGTCATTGAATATAATATTTCTGCATGTTAGCTTTAGTTCAGGAGTTCCCATCCTTTACTAAACCATGAACAGCTTTGGTTGTCGGCTGAAGCCTGTGGAGTCCTGCTCAGTATATTATTCCTAAATGTACAAAATAAAAATACATAGAATCACAAAGAACATCGATAATATTGAAATACAATTATCAAAATAATCATGTTTTTAAAAACAGTAATATACGTGCTTTTTAAGGAATATACAAAATAATAAGCTCTAGCAGTGGGCTGAAATCTGCTTTAATTTCAAGCTAGTTTTGAACATTAATGATAGTCTGTAACAACTGTAATGTGATATGAAATTGGCAGTAATTTCTTGAAAGCACAGATATTGCTAACACTTCTCTGGCTTGTTACCTATATTTTTAACTGGAAAAAATGCTAATCTATAGAGTTAGTGGTTAATGAAAAAACAATTATATTTTTTCCATTCAAGTTCAAATATCTCTGAATTTTATAAACAAATCCCTTGTTTAAGGGACGCTACATAAATTCTGAAGACTTTGACAGATATCTATAGGCAGTTCTTCATAAGAAGGGTACCACTATAACAAATATTACATTTTTAAGTTGTGGGGTGGGGGGAGGGGGAGGGATAGCATTAGAAGATATACCTAATGTAAATGACAAGTTAATGGGTGCAGCACACCAACATGGCACATGCATACATATATAACAAACGTGCACTTTGTGCACATGTTCCCTAGAACTTAAAGTATAATAAAAGATACATTTTTACATTTATTTTATGGGTATGTTTCTTACCCACTTCTATACACTGTTTCATCAAAATTCTTACTTTTTTGGATTCTCCTAAGATTTTTCTCTTCCTGAAGTTCCTTTCTCAGTTACATATGTCATCAGCAGGGTTCTCAAGTTCCCTCTTCTTTCCTCCTCATTTCATCATCTCTAGTCTATCTAAGGAAGAGTATTTTTTTCTTTTTCTTCTAACAGTGAAAGAGAAAGTTGATCTACAGATTGTATATTCAACTAAAGATTTTGGTCCATAATTCATGTGGCAGTCAAACAGAACCTGGTAAGATGTGAACTTTTACCAGTGATCATTTCTGTGTAATCGCATTGTTCATTGGCCGTAACTTCATTTGTAAATCCATTTATTAAATTACATAGTATATTCATTTCAGTCTTCAGCCATTTTTTGGAAAATCTGAAAATACTTTATAAATCTAAGGTTTCACAGTGACTCACAGACATTACATTTGTCAGAAATCATATCATATATAAGATATATTTATTATCCCAGTCCTCTACAATTAATGATATGAAGGAAAAGTAAATGCTTGCATGAAGTCTAAAGAAACGTAGAAGTTCAATCATTATAGAAATCCGTAGAGAGCTAATATGCTGGTAGGTTAAAGAAAGAGTGAGGTCATATGCAAAAAGTTTATTGGCAGATTTAAGATTTGTACTGTGGTGAAAGAAGAGAGAGCTGAAGCCTGGGAACAGGATGAAGAAAGCTGTTTCCTGTGATACAGGGTTCAGAGGCACACTAACATGGTAGGTGGAAGAGTGAGAAAGGAGTGCAGGAGATTCATAAGGAGTTAAGCTGGTACTTGTGATTTGTGCATTAGAAAAATGTTAGATATTGAAAAAAATGAGTAAAATGGAAAATATCAGTATAGAGAATAAATGCAATAATCTAGTTTCTGTGTGATACAATTAAAGTTTCTACCTTTTCAATGATATAAAAGTTAAGAAAGTGCTTAGAGGCCAGTTGCAGTGGTTCATGCCTGTAATCTCAACAATTTGGGAGGTTGAGGCGGGCAGATTGCTTGAGCCCAGGAGTTCAAGACCACCTAGGTAACATGGTGACACACCCCCTCTACAAAAGATACAAAAATTAGTGGTGGTGTGTGCCTGTAGTCTCAGCTACTTGGGAGGCTGAGGTGGGAGGATCACCTGAGCCCGGAAGGTCGAGGTTGCACTGAGCCAAAATTGCAGCACTGCACTCCAGCCTGGGCAATAGAGTGAGACCCTGTCTCAAAAAGAAAGAAAGGAAGGGAGGAAGGAGGAAGAAGGAAGGAAGGAAGGAAAGAAGGAAGGAAGGAAGGAATGAAGGAAAGAAGGAAGGAATGAAGGAAAGAAGGAAGGAAATGCTTAAAGGGTTTTAAATAGCAAACATAAAGTAAAAGAAAAATAAGAATTATTAAGAGTATTCTTGAACCATATATGGTAACCATAAAATTATATTACAATGATATGTGCAATAGACAGACTATATTCGTTTAATGTATATATTAAGATAAATAATATTTGATTACTTTTGATCCTTTAATATAATAGAAAAATAATTTATATTCAAATGAGGATAATATCAAAATTAGATATTGATATGTTTGTTTAACATATTTCATAATCTTTAAGACTGGTTTATCTTTAGGGACTCAATTTACACAAATGCCTTTGGATCCATTTAGAATTTTTAGTCATTTGCCAATTTTCCTGTATTTCATTCAAGTTGGCTATTCCTCCATCCCAAATTCCTCCCCAGCAACCAAAGTTCTTTGTGGACAAGTACATTCAACTCTTCTTAGAAAGCGTAAACCTTAACCTACAAAGCTGTATTTTATGTTCAGAAGCTATACAGTTGATATTATACATCTTAAAATGTATAAAAGTTCATTTCTGTAGCTATTGCATAGTTTCCTTTTAACTGCTTTAGTTCCATTATTATCAAGCAAATAACAGAAGGAAAAACATGTTGTATTGGAGGGTCTATTAAGATCTATGGTATGTATATACCTGAATTTCATAGCTTCTTCTGCATTTCTGTAATTGTAATTGATACAAATTAATTTTAGAAATCTTTTTATATAGAATGGACATATTACAAAAGAATTATTTGTTTAGCTGGTACCATAAAATTTTTTCATTAGCTTCACTCTGGTTTGCCTGATGCATGATGTGATTGGTTTAAAAACAACTTCAGAAAATGTCTCACCTAATTATGCATTTAGTCAATGGACCATGAAAGCTTTAAAGAGACTCATTCTAGTTTATTGAGTAGTTATTTATTCATAATAGAGTTTTATCAGTCTCTTGAGTAAAAAGTTTAGAATTTCCTCCCACCAAAATGCACTTACATAATTACAATAAAACTATAATCTTGAAAATGCAGTTTAACGTGAAAACCACATAGATATTAGATAGTCAATATCTGAATACTGAGAAGAGACAATGTAAAAATAATGGAAAATTTTACTTGTTCTAGGAATAATCCTTTAAATAATCTTGTAAGTAAAAAATTATTTCCAATCATCTTATCCATTTCTTCTTCCACCATTCTCTTTCATGAAGAAAAAAAGTGTTTTCGAAGCAACAGTATCTGGAGGGATAATATAAATACATTAAAAAATTATTAAAACTATAACCACTCTCTTTCTAAACTTCATCCTTAAAGCAAGTGGGAAAGAAGAAAGAGGCCAAATGTTTCCCTAAGCTGTTTAATCATACAAACTGGATTTTAGTTGACTCTTAAAGGAGTGCCTTTGTTGGATTTACACAGTCATGTTTAAATAGCTAGCTTCCAAGTTCTCAGAGTGAGGGTCAAGTAATATGTTTTTAATTTCAGGAGCAGTTTCTCTCGGATTTATCCCAAATCCTCTAATGTTGTATATTTCTTTAAGAAACTCAGTTAAGAGTATTATTCCACTTAAATATTGAGCCATCTTTTATGTCCATAAAGCTCCTTTCGAATGCAATCAGACCTGTGTGAGGACAGAGGATAAATGGTACATGGAGAAAAAGTGATAATCTGACCCTCAGCTTTTCCATTAAAAAACATAAAATGCAGCATTTCTGTGCCTTGTGAAAATGATGTTGCTATGGAGACTGCCTTTATGAATCCCAATGAAATTGATATTAGCAACATTCTTCTGATTTTGACTGCCTATGAGTTAAGACTTCTTCTTGTTCTCCAAACCTTTTTATTCTTTGTTGAATATGCATTTCTAGGGCAGCAGAGCAAGACATGAAAATCTGTAGGACAGTCATCTTTTTTCATAACAAAGTAGAAAATATGGAGATAAGATACTGACATTTCACGAAAAAGAAGCATTTACTCACAGTATGGAGAATATTCATAAAAATAGCTTTTTGTACTTGCTCTGTACATGGAGCAAAGGAGAAAATGCATAAGAAGTTTGAAAGTAATTTTTCTGTGTGTTTTTACAACTTTTCATGTAGGAATACTCCATATTTTTTAAATGTGTTAATTTCATCTCCATTGATTTATAAGAGATAAAGCATACACTGAATTACATTTTCTTAGCAACATTTTTCCTTTTCAATTTTACAACAATTACTGATGTTCTGTTATTTCCTTTCATAAACAAACACGAACTTCTCTTTCTAAATGTTACTACAATCCTGGTTGCACTATTTAGGAAGATGAGAGCCAAGCTCAAACCTACTCAAACCAAACCAAAATGAAAACCTGTTTATTAAATGGAAAGACACTAATGACCAAGCTGAGAATGAGTAAAATATATTTTATTGATTAGGAATTTTTGTATGGTGTGTTACTTTAATTTATGAAGCATAAATTGCTGATACATTGTCCTGTTTAAAGCTGGTAATTGGATTAATATCAAAATATGACTTCGGCATTTTTTCCCCTGAGCACCCATAGCACTTTGTACATGCTTCTGTGAGTGGTAATAATTTGCTTCCTTCTCTATGGCCTCCCCAGTCTGTGAGACATTGGAATGCTGAACCTGTGTTGTCCCCATCCTCTGTTCCCAGCAGACATCAGCATAGTCCCTGGCAAAAGGAAGGCACTCAGTCTCTATTCAGCAGACATCATGACCTGCTAAAGATTTGGTAAATTCTTCCCATTCCTTTTATAAAGAGTCCTTTAAAAATGTTCATTTCTGGTCTTCAGTTGAATGTATACTTTAAACTCTAAGATTCTTTCCTTATGCACAGAATGAATTTACATTCCATGTGAGACTACATATATAATTTTCTACAAGATTTCAGAGATTGGATAGGTATTAGGAGAGCATTTCACTGAAGTTTTACTTCTATAAGAAAGTTAAAAGTAGTATAGCCAGGCTCGGTGGCTCATGCCTGTAATCCCAGCACTTTGGGAGGCCGAGGCGGGAGGATCACCTGAGCTCAGGAGATCGAGGCCATCTTGGCTAATACGGTGAAACCCCGTCTCTACTAAAAATACAAAAAATTAGCCGGGCGTGGTGGTGGGCACCTGTAGTCCCAGCTACTCAGGAGGCTGAGGCAGGAGAATCGCTTGAACCCAGGAGGCAGAGGTTGCAGTGAGCTGAGATCGTTCCACTGCACTCCAGCCTGGGCAACAGAGTGAGACTAGTCTCAAAAAAAAAAAAAGTTTAAAAAATATTTTGGGGGTAAAGAAAGTGCCCTTTATATTCTCAGTATGGTGCTATTCATGCTCTTGGAGATAGGCATGAAAAGATAGATAAATACTGTTCATCTTCAGATAAATTAAAATGACATTAGAAAATCTATGAAAAAGTGGAGAGACTGTATATTGTTTTAGAGTGAAGCGTCATTAAACATGACTGTTGATTGCTTAAAATTTCTCTTTTCTAGGATTTATAAGAGGACTCTGCTTCTCTTCTCTGTTTTTTCTTGACCCACTTTTATGTGCTATTTTTTTCACAGCGCATACTTTCTCCAGAGTTCTGCTCAAACCATTTTCCCTTTGAACTCCTTCTTACTCTGAATTCTCTAAGTACAACATCCATTTTTCTTTGTTTTTTTTAAAGCTGAGCACGAGCTGATGACCTCAAAATCTGCCATCCTGATTTTCCCAGCGCTCCTAAAATTAACTCACCATCTTCTTTGCCCAAATCTTTCTCTATCTCTGCCTCCCTCTTTCATCTGCAATCCAGGTCTGTGCTTAGGTGATCTTCATCTGCCCAGCCACCCGACATGAAACCTCAGTCGCCTTAGCCTTCTCCCTTAACCTACACATCCTAGTCCTTACAATTTAACTTACTAAATATTCCTGATATCTCACTGTTACTCACCATCCCTCCTCCTTGACACTCTCATTGTTTTTCACTGGAAGTTGTATAATATAATAGCTCCCTAATTGGTATCTCATTTTCCAGGCTTGATCTTTTTGAAATCCATTCACCAACCAGAAAAAACTTTCCAAAATAAATCTGACCTAGAAAAATCCATCTAACAGTGCTCGTTTTCTGGCCATATCATATGACGTCCCTATGTCCTGGCCCTTGCCCATCTCAAGAGTTTCATCGCCACAATCTGTGCCTGACATTTTACACCTTGCACTTGTTACTCAATTAAAGAATTTATGTTTCTCAAACATAAGTGTAAGCTTGTTCTCTCTGCCTGGTAGGTCCTTCTCAGTTTAAAAAAAATATTGACTCATTCTTATTCATCCTTTGATACTCAACTTGTTGAGTGTTAATCTTCTTTTTAAAATTTTCCATCTATCATTTTGTTGGATTAAGTTTCTCTGCGCTTGGAAATTCCTATATCTTATCATTAATCATATTATATTACAATTATGTCTATTTGTTTCCTGCCTATTAGACATTGTATTTCTTGATGGCTCAAACTATTTTCCTCCTTCCTTCCTTCCTTCCTTCCTTCATTCCTTCCTTCCTTCCTCCCTCCCTCCCTCCCTCCCTCCCTCCCTCCCTCTCTCCCTCCCTTCCTCCCTTCCTTCCTTCCTTCCTTTCATAGGCTTTCACTCTGTTTCCCAGGCTGGAGTGTAGTGGCTCGATCTCAGCTCACTGCAGCCTTGACCTCCCGGACTACAGGCATGCACCAACAAACGTGGCTAATTTTTGCATAATTTTGTAGAGATGGGGTTTTGCCATGTTGCCCAGGCTGGTCTTGAACTCCTGGGACTACAGGCATGCACCAACAAACCTGGCTAATTTTTGCCACAAACTATTTCTTATTCACTTATCATAATGCCTAATATATAGTCAGAGTTAAGTAATGTTATTAAACTAAACTGGGATTAAGAGACAGAAGAAATGTTTGGTTAATATTTATTGTTGTAAGTTAGTGTTTTGTGCAAGCCCTATCAAAAAATGCTCTCATCTTTTCAAGCATGTAATACTGCTCGCCTCTGTGCTAGATGAAATACATAGAATGTTAAATTTTTATCCTCACCAGAAACCTAGAAGAGGTAGTGACTTTTGCTCTCATTTCTGAATTAAGAGAAAAAAATTGTCTAATATCACACACCTAATAAAGTAAAGCTTTGAACCACATACAGAGATAATTTTTCCAATACTGCCTTAAATAGGATCAGAGGATCTTGTGTTCAAGCTTTAAACTAAGCTGAGCATCTTCCAGGAGGTGTGTGTGCATGCGTGTGTGTGTGTGTGTGCACGCGTGTGTGTGTGTGCACATGCATGTACACATATGCTTGTGGTGATAATAGTGCTTCTTTCTTTGTTTACCTAACAGAGTTTGAAAATAAAAATATATCACCTTTTCTCCAAAGGTCAGCTTTCTGAAGTATTGCTATAATATGTAGGAAAGTGGTCAATTGGGATCATGCAAAACACCAAGCTAAATTGGCATGTGCTTCTGTGGTCATTTAAATAATTTCTACATGACTGCTTATCCTCCCGTGGAAGTTGGCTATAATGACCTTGGATAAATGACCTTTTATGCTTGTTAAAGCCCCAAGCTAAAGATGTGTCTGGCAGTTTTGGAGCTTAAAAACCTCAGGAAAGAAGAAACTGTGCAAATTATCCTGCTCTTTCCATCTTAAATAAACATTTTAATTTTTTATTATATATGTAGGAAAATGTATACTGAAAAAGAATATCATTAGTTTATATGCTATGCTTTTAAAAAGCATTTTGAAAAGTAATCATAGTCTTATCTATTGAAGATAATAGACTTTTTCTGTAGTGCATTTTTTTAATCAATTTTGTGTTTATAATCTATGCAATTGTGCTTCTGAATATAAAATCACACAGAGATCATTATGGAAGCAAACAGAATGCTAATGACATGGAAGTAATTCAGGTCATCTCTTGTTAAAATGTGAGTGGTAGACACTCAACTGAATACCAAATTTTGGTCATGCTCTTAGGTTTGGGAACTTTGATTTTTAAGACTTCAAAATAAAGTGGAAAAGTAAAACGTATGCATGTACAAATTTTCTCTCTTCCTCAGTCTTAGAGGTAAGTTGCCACCCAATAAATTTGGTTAGTGGCTGCCCATTTGGTCATGCTGTTCTGAAGCAGTAAAATAGAATCAAGACACTTTATCTTACAAAATACTAACATTGCAATGATCATTGTTAATTTTAGGAAAGTGTGGTTACATTTTGACAATTATCCATGATATGTGTACATCTAGTTAGTACACAACTAGTACATGTGTTTTTAACAGATGTTTTACATTATTTTATTGTGTAAGCACAACACAATTTATTTACTCACTTGCCAGTGAAATATTTTGGGCTTTCTTTTTTTGCCTGCTAAAAACAATAATGCAATAAACAATCTTGTAATATGGTATGTGTGTTTCCTTATGCATAGGTGTCACAGTCCCTCAGGTAATATTGAAGTGGAATTGCTGGATAATAGGGCAGCCTATTTGCACATTCAATATTACAAGATATTGCCAAGTTATATTCCAAGTTGGTCGAGGCTATTTGCACTATCATCAACAGTGTACACGCATTCTAGTTTCTCTACAGTCTTGCCAACAACTCTGATGGTCAGATTATTTGTCTTTTAAATTTTGCTTATCTGAACAGGTTAAATATTATCTTCTTGTTCAAATATGAATTTCTCAAGTTTGTGAGACTGAGTATATTTTTATATGCACGTTTTGTGATTACACAGTTTGAAATTGCTTTTTCACACGGGTCTATTTTTCTATTGGGTTGTTTGTACATTTCTTATCTACCTAATTTTTTGACATATTCTATATTCAAATGCCTTTATAAGTTATATGCCCTGCAAATATCATCTTCAGCCACTGGCTTGCAATTTGACTTTTTAAATGACATCTTTTCATATATCAAAGTTTTTAGCTTTGATGTAGTCTAATTCTCCCTGTCATGGTTCATAACTTATCATCTTTCATAACAAAAATGCATCCAGACCTTGATTTCAAATATACATTTTTATATTTTCTTTTAACATTTTTTATGGCCTGCTTTTCCAATTTACATCTTAACCCATCTGGAGGGGTGTGTTTGTATGTGTGTGTGTGTGTGCATGTGTACATGTTTGCATGCACACATGTGTGAACACTCTCATTTCTGTAAAGTATTACGGAAATTTATACCATTTGAATAATTTTTCCTGTACCATAGTCGAATGGTCCCATCATTTCTTTCTCATTTGTAATCTTGACACTGCCTCTGGTTTATATGAAGTTACAGTATTTATGTGATACTTTTTTTTTCCTGGAATCTCCGTTTTGTGCAGTTGATTTCTGTTTATTCCTGTGTCAACACTATGCTGCCTTTTTTTGCCATAGTTTCATCATGACCCTTGGTAGGCAGTAGGAAAACACCTCCTGCACCAATCAAAATTAGTATTTCTTCCAAATAGTCTTGGATATATTTGATCCTTTGCTCTTAAATATTTTTTAAAATCAGTTTGTTACCCTCATCTGAAATACTATTAGAAATTTTATTTTAATTCTATTCAATAAATTAACATTTTTATGATTTTCTAGTTTATCCAGGACTGCATTTTTACATTTAATTTATAATGTTTCAAAAATATTTCTAATAAAGTTTTACAGCATTTTCCATGCAGTTCTACTAGCTATTTGGGAATACTTATTCCTAGAAACCTTATACTATTTGCTGCAATTATTTAAAATTATCTTTTTAAAACAAAGTTTTCTATTGATTATTAGTTGAGAAATAAGTAATTTTGTTAGAATTGTATTTTTAGCAAACTAACTGATTCTTATTACTTCTAATACTATTCTATTTTTCTTCAATTTTCAATGTACCTAATCATGTCATTTGTGCAATTGATTTCTTCATGTCTAATATTTATTTCACCTTGTTTTAGTGCAGAAGCTGACAACGGTAAAATTATTATTTGTAAACAGTAAAATATTCTGTATTCAGTCAGATTTAGCAGGTTTTTTTTTAAGAAATATTGCAATTCATTTAAGTTTTCAAATGTATGGAATAGAGGATGTCAGCAGGATGGTGGGTTTTTCTAGACCAATTCCCTTTGAGAGAACTGGTTGACAAACTCATACACACCATGCAACTCAGAAAATATCCACACTGAAATGGGTAGGAAAGCTGAGATACACCTATACTACAAACCTCACTCCAGGCACAGAACCTTACAATTGAAAGGAAACCCTCAATTCCACACTTCTCTCTGAGGAGTGAAGAGTTGAACCACCCACATAGCACCTCAACTTTTAAATCCCAACCAAAAGTCTGGCTACTAAATCCCCTACCCCTGTGAGCTGGCAGGGCATGGCATTTGTGAGTTCCCCAGGACCACAAGAACAAATAAGTGGTTTTATTAGCAGGCTAAAACATTCAGCTTCCAGTTTCTCAATGGAAGGGGTTTGACTGATATGTAATATCTCAACTTTCCCAGTTACCACCCATGGGTCAGGCTTTTAACTAGCTTGCATCTAAGAGCTGACCAAGAAGGTAATCCCACTACCAGGGGATTTTCAGCAGAAACCTGTGATGTCAGAAGGGAAAGAGATGATATATTCAAGGTGCTGAAAGAGAAATGCTTGCCAACAAGAGTAGTATACCCAGCAAACCCGTCCTGCAAAAATGAAAGGGAGATAAAGACATTCTCAGACAAACAAAAGCTGAAGAAATTTATCACCACTAGACCTGCTTTACCCCTTGGTGACCTCAAAGAAAATACCTATGGAAGTTACACAAAAGAAAAACAGAAATAAAAAAAAACTATTGACACAAAAAAGAAATGCAAAAGAAGACAGCAAAGGGAAAAATGAAGGACAAAAGGACTAGAAGATAAACAAAGACAATAGTTAATCCTTCCTTACTGATAACTACTTAAAATTGAAATAAACTAAACTCCTTAATAAAAAAATACTTAATATATCTGTATCTAACACTAGGGCACCCAAGTATATAAAATGAACCTGAAAGAAGAAATTTATAATAATACAATAATAGCAGGAGACTTCAATATCCCACTTTCAATAATAGACAGAACTTCCAGACAAAGTTAATAAGAAAACAGTGGGCTTGAATAACACTACAGACCAAATGAACCAAACAGACATATATAAAACATTCTATCCAACAGCAGCAAAATACATTTTGTTTTTTTTGACCACATACAGAACACTCTCCACTATAGATCACATGTTAGGTCACAAAACAAATCTTAACCAACTTAAGAAGATCAAACTCATACCAAGTATCTTTTCCAGTGGTCACAGGATGTTTGGGGTGTTGCTTTTCTAGCTGGAAGCCTCTGTGGCCAGCGGAGCATTTGCTTGAGTTTTGCTCAGGCCCACTGGGCTCATTCCCACTTGGCCTGGCAGGCTGTGCTAGGTTCATGTTACCAGCTCAGACCCCATGCCTGCCAAGGGTTAGCCAGGCGCAGAGTGGCGAGGGGTGCATGAGCAAGTGAGCACCAGGTCCAGCCACTGAGCACAGCCAGGCATGTCAGCTGCTGAGGGGTGGGCAGCTCCAGGTGCCGTCACAGACACTGGTTCCCTGTGAGGCTGTGGCTAGACCAGGCATACCACAAGCAGCTTCTACTGAAGACAACAGGAACATGGTAGCAGCTGGAAGCTTGCAGATACCAAGAACTGCAGAGCTCCAAAGAGGATGTCACCGCCCTTGCTCCAGGAGCTCCTAGGTCTGGGCTCCCCGAAGGGCTGCAGCTCTTCTCTCCTCTCTCTTCTTTTCTTCTCATCACCTGCAATGTGGTGAGTAGGAGGCACATTTCAGCCCTGGTTGTGTTATAGCTCTTTTACTCCCACCACTTGGTGGGTCTCAGTTCTTCTCCCATGTCCAGGAAGAATGAGGTATACGGACAACTGGAGGGTGAGCAAGGTGAAGAGTGCTTTATTGAGTGACAGTACAGCTCTAAGGAGACCTAGAGTGGGTAGCTCCTGTCCACAGGCAGGTAGTTCCAATGAGTGGGCAGCTCTTAGCAGAGAGTGGACCCAGAGTGGGTAGCTTCTATCCACAGGCAGGCTGTCCCAACGTCTGTGCAGCCCTCAGTGGAGAGAAGACCTGGAATGGGCAGCTCCTATCCACAGGCAAGTTGTCCTGTCATTTGCTCGAGTCTGGCTGAGTGTGGGGTTTTAATGGTCCTCAGAGGGGATTAAGTGCATGCTGATTGGTCCATGGGCAGCCATGGGCGGGCAGAAAAAGCACCATAAATTCTCATTCCAGTCTGCAGAACTGACAGTCCGGCCCCCAGGATTCAGACCATCCCTGGCTTGAAGGTGGTGCTTCACTGGGGACCTGTCCCTTTCCACCCAGGAGCCTGTCTGCCTCCTGCCACCATCTATATGTCATTCATGGCACTTAGGCTATTTGTACCGAGGGGCACCTACCTGCAGGCCCATGCCAAGCTGCTCTTAGCTCCCCCTTGGCCTCCCTCCCATGCTCTTTGGCACCCAAAGTCTAGAGGGGGCTGAGGTGGCAGGGGGCTGGCGTGTCAGCATCACCCCAAGCGTGTGCACACCCAGCCAGGTCATGACAGCGCCTGCGCTCTGCCACAACTTTGCTCCAAAATCGGAGTGGCTGCCAGGGGCAGGGAGACGCCAGGCAGCAGGAGTAGGTGCTTCCAAGACTGTGGGTGGAGGGGGCTTCCTGGGCCCGGAGAGCACAGGGACGCCCGGGTCCGCAGCCATGGCTGGGCAATTGCAGCTGCACCCGGGAGTGTGGGCCTCCCACCCCAGCAACTCAGAAGGGGACAAGACTCCTGCCTGTTCCTGTCTCCCACAATCTCCGAGGAGTGTGAAGCCCCAATCGCACCTCCCCTGCTGCGGCCAGCATCTTTGCAGTAGCCACTCCAGATGGGCCCCTGATGCCATCACAACCAATATGGAATAAAACTTAATAAATAACAATACGAAAATAAAAAAATTAGAAATATGTGGAAACTAACACACTCTTGAACAATCACTGAGTCAAAGAAAAAATCAAAAGGGAATTTAAAGAATATCTCAACAAACAAATATAAAAACACAACTTACCGAAACTTACAGGGTGCGTAAAGTTATAATAGTAGTAAGTGAGAAGTTTCTAGCAATAGGGAGATAGAAATTCTAGCAGAGTATAAACAAGCAGTCCAAGAGATTTATTGTGATCCATTCACATTAGCAAAACCATTCCAACTCATGATTTTAAAAATGGAAATGTAAAACTGGCATGCCATTCCTTTTTTTTTTTTTTTTTTTTTTTTTTTTTTTTTTGAGACGGAGTCTCGCTGTGTCACCCAGGCTGGAGTGCAGTGGCATAATCTCGTCTCACTGCAAGCTCCGCCTCCCAGGTTCACGCCATCCTCCTGCCTCAGCCTCCTGAGTAGCTGGGACTACAGGCGCCCACCACCATGTCCGGCTAATTTTTGTATTCTTAGTAGAAACAGGGTTTCACCATGTTAGACAGGATGGTCTCCATCTCCTGACCTCGTGATCCGCCCGCCACAGCCTCCCAAAGTGCTGGGATTACAGGCTAGAGCCAACGTGCCCGGCCACGATTCTTTACCTATTAGAGTGGAGAGATTAAAGTAATTTATATTACCTAGTGTTGTCACATGAGAGAGCAGGGAATAGACATAAATAGGGTCAGGCTTCTTGTAACACAATTTGGCAATATTTTTCAAAATAAATATGACTATGATATTCGATTAAATTATTTCATGTTTATAAAATTACCCTATAGATTCTTTTGCAAATGTGCATCTAAGATATGGATACAAAGATAAGCATTATATAAAAGTGTAAAAAAAAAAGGAAACCAACTGTCCCTTAATAGGGACCAATTAAATACATTATGGCATAGCATATTAATAGAATAAAGGCAATGATAATACAGAATGAGATAAATTACAAGTGACTTGGAAAAATAGTTCTGTCAAAAAATTAAACAGGAAAAAGTCAAGTCTCAAATTGTAAATCTACTTTTATCTCTCTTTACATATACAATATGCAAGTGTCTTTTCTTTGTGGTAGGAAGAATACACATTGGCATATGAACAGTAGTTATTAGTTAAAAACGGGATGAGGGACTTGGGAAAACAGTAACTTTATCACACTTTTTAATGCAACTCTACAGTTTGATTTTCTATGGCTAGAGCAAATGCCTTCTAATGACAATTTTCAAAGTATAGACGTGTGGAGGATTTGGGGGAGACAAAGGAGATTGGGTAAGTCTGGGCTAGTCATGCATTAGTTTTAGAAGGCTAGGCTAGTTTGTTGAACACTAGGGGAGTGTCTAAAGGTTTTTGAGCAAGAAAAGAGTGTGCTCAGTTTTGTGGTGGTATTGTTTAGCAAGATTAATGCTGCAGTCCTGGGAGCATTAGATATAGGAGGTCTTTAGTATCATCCAGAGGAAATGAAAAGTGTACCTGAACTAGGTGAAAACGCTGGAAATAGACAGAAAATGTATATTGGAAGGTGTTTGAAAGAATGATTACAAGAAATAACCATGGATTGAATGAAACTTATGCCATACACAGTCTCTCAAAGGAGGACTTCCCAGAGCTGAACGAAGGAAGGATAACTTTCATGGAATTTATTTTGCTGTCTACTTCTATTTTAAGAAGTTTTCATTTGCATATTTTTCCTTAAACATAATAACTCAGTAAGGATGACGTATATTTCTTCTTTTCATGAACCTTTTTTTTTTTTTGACAACTACTTTCAGGAGATGTATATTCTACAGGGCTTGTTACCAGAGCAATATCGGGATAAGTACATTTAATATCATAAAATGTGAACAGGGGATAAGATTTTTTTCCATTTATCTTGAAGTTGAGAGGGTTGAAATGATTACTTTTCTTTGGTACAAAAAGCCGCCATATAAATGGGTTTCTTAGAACAAGTATAAGATAATAACAAGATAAAATGGTTCTTTTTCCATTTAAGTTTATTAAGCATTCAGTTCATAGAAAGTTACTGGACCAGTTAAATTAACAATTCTTATCTTGTGATTTTAGTCTAGCCCAAAGGAAGCAGCTTTATTTTGCATGGGTGCAGTCAACAGAAAAGCTAGACTTTTGTGTTTGGTAATTTCCCTGCAGTGTGTTTTATCTGAGATTGAGGGATAAAAAGAGTTGCCTTTTGGAAAAACAAAGGGAAAAAAAAGTCTCCCATTATACAATAGATACTGAATCATCCCTTTCATTCTACACACACACACACACACACACACACACACACACACACACACACACACACATACAGCCCCCTCAGAATAAAATTAATAACGGAAGTAATCAATAAAATCATAAATATGGAAATTGAGTCATGTTTAACATAAGAACATAAGAAAATGCTTGCTACACATACTTATTTTACATATTAGAGGGATGCCATAGATTTGTAAAGCAAAGGGGGACATACAACTGAGAGCGTGCAGAATTTTTTTTTGCCATTTTTTTTTTTGCCAGCTTTATTAAGGTATATTCACAAACATCATAATATATATATTTATGGTGTATACCATAATGTTGTAATACTTGTATACATTAAAAATTGATTAAGCTAGCTAACATAGGCATCAACTCTCATAGTTATTATTATTGGTGCTGAGAACATTTAAGATCCACTCTTTTAGCAATATTCAAATATATATTATCAACTATAGTCACCATGCTAATAGATCTCCAGAAATTACTCTTCCTATATACTTGAATTTTTGTACCCTTTAGTCAACATGTCCCCATCTCCTGCCCCTCCCCATAACCATCATTCTACTCTCTGCTTGCATGAGTTCCACTTTATTTTTAGATTACACATATAAGTGAGATCATGAGTTATTTGTTTTTCTGTACTTGGCTTATTTCATTTGCATAATGGTTTCCAGTGTCATCAATGTTGTCACAAATGACAGTGTTACCTCTTTTTCTTAAGGTTAAATAGTATTGCATTATATATAGATATTGTATATAAAAATAATTTATTATAATATATATGTATATATGCCATATTTTCTTTGTCCATTCATCCACGGATAAATGGATCATCATTACGTTCATTCTATATCTTGGCTATTGTCAATAACGCTACAATGAACATGGGAGTTCAGCTGTATTTTTGTTATACGGTACTGATTTCCGTTCTTTTGGGTATATACATAAGAGGGATTGTTGGGTCACATGGCAGTTCTATTTTTAATTTTTTGAGGAATGCCTAAATTGTTTTCCACCAAACATAATACTTTCCCTGAAAAAGGAATATTGGAGTCCACTATTATTAGTGTATTTCTATTTTTCTCTTCAGTTCTGTTAATATTTATATATTTAGGAGTTCCAATTTGAGTGCATATATATTTATAATTGTCATATTTTCTAGATGAATTGACCCCTTTATCATAATTCAATGATTGTTTTTATCTTTCTTTACAGTTTTTGACTTAAAATCATTTTTTTCTGATATAAGTATAGCCACTCCAGCTCTCTTTTGGTTACTATTTTCATGGCATACCTTTTTTCATCTGTCTGTTTCTGCTGCTGTAGCAAAAATACCACAGAGTCGGTAATTTATAAATAATATAAATTTATTTCTAACAGTTGTAGAAACTAGAAGTCTAAAGATCAAAGCCTTAGTAGATTTGGCTTCTGATGAAGGCTTTCCCTCTTCTTCCATGATGGCATCTTGTGGCTGTGTTCTCACATGGTGAAACGTGGAAGGGAAAAAGGGATGGAAGGGGCAATCTCACTCCCTCAAGCCCTTTCATAAGGCACTAGTCCCTTCTAGGAGAGCTTTGCCCTCATAGTCAAATCACTCCTAAAGCCTCACCTCTTCATACTGTTGCACTGGGGATCAAGTTTCAAAATGAATTTTGAAGAACACACAAACACTTAAACCATAGCATCAACTAAAATCAGTTTCTTGTAGGCAGTATTTAGTTGAATTTCTGTTTTTAAAAAATCAACTCAGCCAATGTGTGTGTATGTGTGTGTGTGTGTGTATATATATATATTTTTTTATTTTAAATATATACATATTTTTTTATTTTAAAACTTTTTTTGTCTTATTGTTTGTAACATTATTTTCTTTTTTTCCCTGCTTTTCCTGAGCTGTATTTTTTTATTGGAGAATTTAATCCACTTACATTTAAGGTAATTGTTGATAGGTAAGGATTTACCACTGCCGTTTTAAAAACGTTTTGTAACTCTTTTGTAGTTCCTCTATTCCATTCTCCCTCTTGCTGTCTTTCTTCATGATTTGATAATTTTTGTAGTGGCATGATTTCATTTTTTTTTTTCTTATATTTTGTGTATCATTTACAGGTTTTTTTCCTTGTGGTTGCCATGGGGCTTACATAAACATCTAATTGTTATAGCAGTCTATTTTAAGCTGATAACTTCTATTGAATACAAAAACTCCGTTTTTTAACTTTTCACTTCCTTACATTTTATGTTACTGATGTAACAATTTATATTTTTTAATATATTTTGTATCAAATTAACAAATTTTTATAGCTATAGTTACTTTTATACTTTGTATTTTAACTTATATGAGTTAAAAGTGATTTATAAACCATGATGACAGTATTCTGGTTGTATTACAGTTTAGTAGAGTATCTAAACTTGACAGTAGAGTATCAAAACTTTACAGTGAGTTTTACATTTTTGTATGTCCTCATGTTGTTAGCATATGTTTGTTTCAACCTGAAAAACTTTAGTTTACATTTCTTGTAAGGTAAATCTAGTGTGATGAACTCCCTCAGCTTTTGTTTGTTTGAAAAAATTTATCTTATTTTAACAATTATTTTTGAAGGACAGCCTTGTTGGGTATAACATTTTTGATTAGAAGTTGTTTTCTTTTACTATTTTGAATACATTATCCAATTTTCTCCTGGCCTACAAAATTTCTGCTGAGAAATACACTAACAGTCTTATGGGGGTTCTTTGAATGTGAAGAACTGATTTTTTCTTGTTGCTTACAAAATTCTGTTTGTCACTGACTTTTGAGAATTTGGTAATAATGGATCTTGGTGAAGATCTGGTATTTAATATATTTGAGTATCTTTGGGCTTCATGGATCTAGGGGTTCATTTCCCATTCTAGATTTGAGAAGTCTTCTGTCATTTTTTTACTTAAAGTAAGCAATCTGTCCCTTTCTCTTTTTCTCCTCCTTCTGGTACCCTGAAATGTGTATATTGGTTTACTTTATGATGTCCCATAAATCCTATAATCTTCCTTAACTTGTTAAAATTCTTTTTCCTTTTGTTCCTCTGACTGAATAATTAAAGTGATCTGGCTTCAAGCTCACAGATTCTTTCTTATGCTTGATTGGGTCTGCTGTTGAACAGCTCTCTATGAAATTTTTCAGTAGACTCATTGTGTTCTTTAGCTCCAGAATTTCTGTTTGGTTCTTTTTTTATGGTTTCTATCTCTTCTTTGAACTTCTCACTTTGTTCATTTATTGTTTTTCTAATAAATTTAGTTGTCTTAATATCTAATATAATTTAGTTATTTCTTATAGCTCAATGAGCTCCTTTTTTTTTTTTTTTTTTTTTTTTTTTTTTTTTTTGAGACAGAGTCTCACTCTATTGTCCAGGATGAAGTGCAATGGCATGATCTCGGCTCACTGCAACCTCTGCCTCCTGGGTTCAAGTGATTCTGCTGCCTCAGCCTGCCAATTAGCTGGGATTACAGGTGCCCATTACCATGCCTGGCTGATTTTTCTATTTTTAGTAGGGATGAGGTTTCTCTATTCGGCCAGGCTGGTCTCAAACTCCTGACCTCAAGTGATCAATCTGCCTTGGCCTCCTAAAGTGCTGGGATAACAGGTGTGAGCCACTGTGCCCAGCCTCAATGAGCTTAAGATGGTTATTTTGAATTCTTTGTCAAGTGGTTCATAGATCTTCATTTCTTTAGGGTTGGTTACTGGTGTCTTATTTTGCTCCTTTGGTGGTGTCATGTTTCTCTAATTATTCATGATTTTTGTGGCCTTGTACTGATATCTATACATTTTAGGAAGTAAGCATCTTTCCGGTCTTTACAGAATGGCTTTGGCAGGAAGAGCTCTTCGTAAATTAGCCTGTCTAGAAATTCTAGGCAGCCTGACTTAGATTCCATGTGCAGGCTTGCTGCTGGAGTCCTTGGGCAGAGTAACCTGATACCTAGGTCAACAAGTGAGTAGGCCTGGAATTGGCTCCACATGGGATGGTCTGGACTTTGGGTTTGCTGGGGGCAGGCCTGCAGCCTGAGTTCACATGGGCCATCTGGGTGTCAGGGCCCACTAAGGTAGGCTTGTCAACTGGCTATTCAGGGATATGCCTTGAGTCTGCCCATAGAGGCCAGCCTAGGACTGGAGTTTACCCAGGTGAGCTGGATCCCTAGATTTTCTGGGGCAGCCTGGACCCTGGGTCCAGTGAAACCTGGGACTGCAGGCACCAGTCTGGTGCTGAGGCAGTCCTGGAGCCTGCATCCACCAGAGTGGTCCTAGAGCCTTGGTCCATGGGTTCCAGCCTGGCACTGGGGCCTGCTAAGGCAGGCCTGGACTCTTGGTCTGCTGGAGCACTGAGTCATGGGCGCTAACCTAATGCCAAGGCCTGGTGGTGGGATAGGCCTGTAGCCGGTGGTGATGGGAATCATCCTGGCACCGGGATGGGCCTGATGACTTGGGTCATAGAAGCTAGCCTGAAGCCTGAGCCATGAGGAATAGCCTGATACTGGATTTTACTGGGGCAGGCCTGGTGCTAAGGTCTATAGCAAAGTCAAGTACTTATTCTTTTTCTCAGGCAGAAGGTGTCTCTCTCTTTGCTGTGCTATGCAGGCTTGGGGGAGGGATGATGCCAGTAATATAAGACTGTCTTTCTTGCTCTCTTCAATGTGTCTTTCCTTATTTCTATGCTACGCTGAGATATTATAATCTCTTACCTGGACTCCTTAGCTCTTGTATATTTTTGTGCTTGGATAGTTCCAATTAAGTTTCCTGAGAGAAGACAAGTGCAGAAAAGTTCTATTCCACCATCTTCCAGATGTCACGCTGTTTTTGTAAAATTGAAATAAAAATTACATATTGTGAAATGCGTAGATATTAGGGATTAAATTCAATGGATTTTGATAAATGGATATAAACATTATGACATAAAACATTATTATTACCCTAGAAATTATCTTAGGCCTCCATTTAGATAATTCCCCATAGATAGCCATTGTTCTGATTTCCATAACCATAGGTTGGTTTTGCCTCTTTTAAATTGTATAAAGATGGGCATTCTCACAAAAATGTATTCTTTGATTGTATATGTTTTTGAAAGTAAATTTTTTGACACTCATTTACATTGTTGCAGGTATCATCATTCATGTTTTTAAATCAGTGGGTATAATTTTATTGGATAACTATTACACCATTTATTTATCCATTCTGTTTTGATGGACATTTTAGGTTATTCCCTGCTTGGGACTGGCATAAGCTTTTTTATGGACATATATTAATATAAGTTTATATGACCAGTCCTATGCATCTATAACCTGAGGAAAGTGGAGAGGAACTGGAAATGTGAGCAGTTTGAGCATCTAGCACTACATCAGGGAACATTATTATCTTCCATTCAAGCTACCCTGGAGGATCTGTCTTCTCCCTTCTTGGCGCAAAGCTGACAGAAAACAGAAGAATGCATGAAAATATTGGGAGGTGTTGGATATGTTAATTACCTTGATTATGTTGATACTATCATGGGTATTTGCATGTGTACAAACTCATCAAATGGTATACATTATACCTCAATAAAGCTGTTAAATAAATAGAAATGAATAACTAGATACATGTATAAAAATGGTGACACTTGCTTTCTCAGCTGAGGTCTTGCTACATCAGGGAAGAGCCCTGCTGCCACTGACTCTCATTGCCATGGCAACACATGCCCTCTCAGGGCTTCTCTTTCCTACTGCTTTGATTCCCAGTGGGAAGGAGACCCCACAGGCATTCTCTTACACTAAACTGTCAGCTACCCTAATCGCCAGCCTTTTCTCCTCAATGTTTTAGGAAGTTGCTGTAGTTCTGCCATAATTTCCTGTAGGTATTTTCTTACTACCTTGTTATCTTGGGAAAGAGGGTTATGAGTTGGCTCTTGGGCAAATTATTTATTCTAGCTTCAACTGGATTATTTTTGCTAGAAATTCCACTAATTTCATAGCATATCATTGGTACACTTCTGCCATCTCTGATGCTGATGTAGTTTTTTCTCTTTGTTTTAAGCCTTATAATTCAGGTTCTAGAAGGAAGCAGTTGAATGTCAGTATTCTAGTCATGGTTATACTCAGATGTGTTCTTTACTCAGAGTTTTTATCTTTAATATTTCTTTGGAAGTTTAGAATTTAGGCATCAATATTTTCAAGTTAACAAAGAATGAAGGCAAAAGAGACTAGATAGATTTTGTGTGATTTCAAATTCTGGGTAGCAGTCTTGTTCTGAAATGTTGCTCTGTTATGGATTTCTGACTGTAGTTGAATCTGAGCAATACATTTTAGAAGGGATTACATACAGTCCCTTCTTTTCGAATGACATACTTTGCATGCGACATTTGATGTTGTATTATGCTGTTAGGCTTTAGAAAGTTCACAAGAATTTTGTCAAGGAAAGATTTTAAAAAGCTTCAGCTTAAGAATTCTACTTTGCTAGAAGTAATGTATCAGAAAATGAAGAATCACAACTTACAGTTAGATAATTAGAAAATAGGCAAGATTTAGATAAGAGAAAACATCTATACAATCAAGTTGCTCATTCTCATTAGTAATGTAATCTGTGTTTTCTAATAATCTTGCGGTTCAAAAGGTAAATTAACATTAATAATTTTTACCTGCTTTGAAATTTCCACAAATAAAAAAACACCAAAATCCTCTCTGTCTCTCCTATATCCTCCACCTACTTATGAGAAACTCAAGTCCTCACAGCCTTTACAAAAACTGTGTCTCTTATGGTCTGTCAAAATGCATCAAGGACTTTACCTATGGCCCAAGGGTCCATTATTGAGTCACTTCCAGTGGCTGAAATTTCCTATGGCAGCTGAAGCTGTGGTCACCCTCCAAGGTCAAGAGATGTCAAACTGCAGCAATGTCTAGCGTTGGCTGGTGTTCTGGGGAGTGCTAATAATAGGCCACCAGCTATGCTTATGATGATGCTCTTTCCTTCTTTCCTTATTTCACATGTTTACAGCATGCCACTGCCTCTGTTTTAAAGCAGGAGACATTTCTCCCCACTGACATCATGGAGTCATGTTGCTCCGGAAACAGGGCAACTTTGTACCTTCATTACATTGTGTGTTTGTGTTTGAGCGTTTATTCAGTTTTTGCTTTTGTCCCATTTTTCTTGGGGCTTGTCCAGTCATCTTAGGAGTGGGGTACACAGAGCCAGAAGAAAATGTAATTGTGTGAGACATTTGCGTTAATGGTCTCTTTAGTTAGATTGTGATTCTTAGGAAGATCCTCTGGCTCTGTAATGGCCTCACTCAACCATTATTCCAGGAAGACCAACATATATTTAAATTCAGGTAGTAGCCACAATTTAGAGTCAAGATGTTAATAACCCCATCCCACTCCAAGCATATTGCTTTTAAAATTAAAATTCTGTTTCTTTTTCCAGAGTTGCTGACTTCAAATCTTGTTTTCAAGCCATTGAAATTTAAATAGTTTTGTTTCTTGGGCCTGAACTTCAGCTCTTATTCTCGCTGCCAGGGATTGGTAGATAAGATCACATCTGCAATATTATTTGCATAAAGGCACATATATTTTATGATATAGAACCTTACTCTGTCCTACACACATTTAGAGCTAGCCTAGAATAAACAGTTTTTAATATGGTTTATATAGTTGACAGGTTTTTGCCTATCAGTTCAAAAAACTGAACTAAGATGATATTTTTAAAATACTTTAAAAAAGTGAAATATAACACACCCACACACACTACAATTCAAAAAATTAATATGTATTCAAAAATTCATATATGTTGAAACAATTATTAATAAATATGTATATTGAAATATATGTAAAAAAATCTCACAAATCATAGTGAAAGAACTAATGCAAACATGATTCAGGCCCTGTAACAACATTACCAGCATCATTAATGCCCCCTTCAGACTTGCTCCCCAGCACTGCCCAGGACACTCTTCAAAGGTAACTGCTATTCTAATTTATAACACCATAATGAATTTTGCACGTTTAAAAATGTTTTAAATAAACATTTATTGACTTAAGATACACGTCCAGAAGGGGCACAAACTGTGAACTTTCACAAAGTGACCAAATCTATGGAAATGGCATCCCAGAGGTATTCTTATGCCTCATTCCAGCAACTTTTCCCCCAACCAGAGGAAAACTGCTATATTTACTTCTTACACCATAATTCAATGTTGACTTTTTTGAATAGCACAAAAGTGGAATCACACTCTATGTTATCTTTTGTGTTTGGCTTTTTTCCTCAATATTGTTTGTGAGATTGATTCTTGGCAAATGTGCGGATATTCATTTGTTTTTCATTGCTTAATGGTACTTCATTCTGTGAATATTCCAAAATCCATAGCTATTTGCATTGATGAATATTTGCACTATTTTCAGTTTGGATTCTTGCAAATAGGACTGCAATGAATATTTAAGGATGAGAATAGACACTTCAGCGGTGTTGTGGTAAACATTCCTTTACAGGTCTTTAGGTGTGCATAAGTACAGAATTCTGTTGGTTATATAATGAGTTGCTTAATTGCTGGGTCACGAAGCCTGCATTTGTTGAGCTTTAGTAGCTACTGCCAGTTTTCCAAAGTGGTTATATCAAGTTACATCTCCATCAACAGGATATGATGATTTCTGTTGCTCCACATCCTATCCTAGCCAACACTTGGTATTGCTAGTTTGTTTACTTTTGGTGAGCATAATGTGTACTTCATGTGCATTTCCTTGGTATTTTGAGGCCAAGAACCTCTTTGTATGTTTATTGGTCATTTCGGAAGTCTCTGTTCAAGTCTTTTGCTCATTTATTTTTTATTTTATTCTCAACTTTCATCTCATTTTTATTTTTTTTTTTATTTCAATAAGTCTTTGGGGAACAGATGGTGTTGGTTACATAAATAAGTTCTTTAGCGGTGATTTCTGAGATTTTGGTGCACCCACCACCCGAGCAGTGGACACTGTACCTGATGTGTAGTCTTTTATTCCAAGCCACCCCACACCCTTTCCCCTGAGGCTCCAAAGTCCAATACATCATTCTTATGCCTTTGAGTCCTCTTAGCTTAGCTTCCACAAATGAGTGAGAACATACGATGTTTGGTTTTTCCATTCCTGAGTTACTTCACTTAGAATAATAGTCTCCAATTCCATCCAGGTTGCTGTGAGTGCCATTATTTTGTTCCTTTTTACGGCTGAGTAGTATTCCATGGTATATATATATATATATATACACATATATATATATATATGTATATATATCACATTTTCTTTATCCACTCATTGATTGATGGGCATTTAGCCTGGTTCCATATTTTTGCATTTGCAAATTGTACTGCTATAAACATGCATCTACAATTTGCATATATATATGTGTGTGTGTATATATATGTGTGTATATATGTGTGTGTGTGTGTGTGTGTGTGTGTGTGTGTGTATATATATATATATATACCTGCAAGTATCTTTTTTGTATAATGACTTCTTTTCCTCTGAGTAGATACCTAGTAGTGGGATTGTTGGATCAAATGGTAGATCTACTTTTAGTTATTTAAGGAGTCTCCACACTTTTTCATAATGGTTATACTAGTTTACTTTCCTATCAACAGTGTAAAAATGTTCCCTTTTCACCACATCTATGCCAACATCTATTATTTTTTGATTTTTTGATTATGGCCATGCTTGCAGGAGTGAGGTGGTATTGCATTGTGCTTTTGATTTGCATTTCCCTGATAATTAGTAATGTTGAGCATTTTTCCATATGTTTGTTGGCCAAATGTATATCTTCTTTTGAGAATTGTCTATTCATATCCTTAGCTCACTTTTTGATGGGATTATTTGTTTTTTTCTTGCTGATTTGTTTGAGTTCTTCATAGATTCTGGATATTAGTCTTTTGTCAGATGGACAGATTGTGAAGATTTTCTCCCACTCTGTGGATTGTCTATTAACTCTACTGATTATTTCTTCTGCAGTGCAGAAGCTTTTTAGCTTATTTAGTTCCCATCTATTTAATCTTTGTTTTTGTTGCATTTGCTTTTGGGTTCTTGGTCATGAAGTCTTGGCCTAAGCCAATGTCTAGAAGGGTTTTTTCAATGTTATCTTCTAGAATCTTTATGGTTTCAGGTCTTAGATTTAAGTCTTTGATCCATTTTGAGTTGATTTTCATATAAGGTGAGAGATGAGGATCCAGTTTTATTCTTCTACATGTGGCTTGCCAATTATCCCAGCACCATTTGTTGAATAGGGTGTCTTTTCCCCACTTTATGTTTTCGTTTGCTTTGTTGAAGATCAGTTGGCTGTAAGTATTTGGCTTTATTTCTGGGTTCTTTATTCTGTTCCATTGGTCTATGTGTCTATTTTTATTTTTAAAGTTGAAAAATATTCCAGATATAAGCCCTGGTTATATCTGTGGTTGTAGATATTAGAAATGTCTTTTTGCCATTTGGTGATTTGTATTTTCACTCTATTAATGCTGTCTTTTGGGTAACATGCATTTCTCATTTAATTGTACTCCATTTTTATTAAACTTTAATGGTTCATGCTACCTTGGGAAGAAATCTCTGTCATCCCAAAGGCCAAAAAGAATTTTAATCAGAAACTTTGTTGTTTTCTCTTTTATACTTAGATTTACCATCTACCTGGTATTGATATTTTTGTATGCAGTGTGGTAAAGGGCAGGGATTATTTCTTTCTGTGTAGATATTCAATTGCTCCAACACAATTTGTTGAAAAGACGGTATTTTTCCCCATGCTCTTTAATGTTGTTTTTCTCATATTCCAGTGTGTGGGTGTCTATGTGTGTGTGTGTGTGTGTGTGTGTATATATATATTATTATATTATATATATATTATATATTATTATATTATATATATTATATATATATTATTATATTTTATATATATATATATTATATATATATATTTAGTCCTTCAATTCCATGAACAGAGTATGTCCCTCTGTTTGTTTAGGTAACTTTTAATTTTGTCAGTAATGTTTCATAGTTTTGTTTGTTTGTTTGTTTTTTACAGAGTTCTTACACACTTTAAAAATATTTATTTCTAGCATTTTGTGGTTTGGATGCTATCCTTAATAGTATATTTTGACTTTTTTAACTTGTTTGTTGCACTTATACAAAAATGTAAATATTTTTTCTATATTGACCTTGTAGACAGTGTTCTTATAAATCCCTTTATTATAATAACTCAAATAGTTTATCTGTAGATTATATTGAATTTTCTACATATGCAATATTTACAGTGCCAGTAAAAGTCCCTTGCTTTCATTTTTGGCAATTTTTTTTGTTTGGCTATACGATTTTGGTTTGAAATCATTTTGTGCAATTTGAAGATGTCATTCCTTTTTTTCTAGTTTCCATTGTTAATTTTGAGAAGTCATCTGTCATTCTTCTTTGCTCTTTTGATATCAAGATGCCTAGTTTTTTCTCTGGCTGCTTTTAAAATTAATTACTTTCATTTTCTGCACTATTATGATAAGGTACCTAGGTTTCATTTTGTTTAGATGTATTTGAGGTTCCTAAAACTTGTTGAATCTGTGACTTGATGTATTTTGTGAGTTTTGAAATGTTCTTGGCCATTATCTCTTCTTCTTATTATTATCTCCTTTCCTTTTTACTAAGACTCTAATCTTCACATACAGTTGACTTTTTCTTTGTGTTTCATAAATAATTTATGTTCTTTGTGTGTGTGTTTTCCATTCCTTTTCTCTTTGTGCTTCAGTACAGATATTAAATTTTTCAATTGAATTCTTAATTTTAGTCACTTTATTTTTCATTTCTATGATTTCCTTTTTTTATTAGTTTACAGTTTTCTGAAATTCTACATTGTGTCTTTTAATTTAGTAATAATTTTGTTGGATATAGAATTTTGGTTTTATATGAAATTATTTTAAATAATATATGAGAATACTTATTTAAAAATCCATACCTGGTAACTGCAACATCAGAATCTCTTATAATTCTAATTCTATTTTTTCCTGGTTCTTTGAAATATTTTACAGGCCTAGTTGTTTTAGATTGATGACAAATTTTGTGCATAAAAAAGTCAACATAATTTGAGTTTCTGAATTTTTATTTCCCTCTCTAGAGGATTTAAATTTGCTACTGCCAGGCTGTTGAGCTATTGGTTGATTACTGTAATCTACTTAATCTAATTAGAGATTGAGCAAGTTGGAATCTGTAACCTGAAGGCCTTCAAGTGGTGGTCGATTTCTGGCATATACTTACTCCCAGGCTGTATGTAGCCTTTTGGTATTCAAACTAAAAGCTTTGGGTATTTACTTGGGTCTCTTTTCCTTAACAAGTCTAGGATTCTAACTTTAGCACCCCTCATTCCTGTGATGCTGCAATACTCCCTGCTCACCTGCTTATTCCCTCAACTGCTATTTTCAAAAAGGTAAATGCTTGTGGAGCAAAGGAGCACTAAATATCAGGCTCACTCCTCTGCACATTCTCCCAGCTCCACAAGTCTTTGGTGGTTTGGTTGCTCTCTAATGTCTTCAAGTATATATTTCTATCTAAATCATCTTCAGTTTTTCTCATTTTTCTTAGTGGAAATATTGACCTGAAACAAGCAAGTCTACTGTTGCTTGAAGAAAACATGAAATTTTTATTCTGTTGTTACATTCAAGATCCTTGCTAGCACCTAGACGCTTTTTAAAAATTAAACATAAATAGTATTGAATTGGCAAAAATGAGTAGCAATATGCTATGTCTCAGGTGAAAAACACATGCAAGGCAGCAAATAACATTCCACAAATATTAACAATTAAGTCTCCTTCATATATACTATGCACAATGCGGTATGATGAGAAAGCAGATGAGATCAGACTAATACGGAAGAGGCTACAACACATTGTTTTGTAAGTAATATTATGAAGACTATGGTACTACAAATATTATTAATGGTAATGTCAGGTTGATAATTTTCTAACTTTGTGTGTATATGTGCAGAAAACTGTGCTATGGAGATTATCCAGATGTAGTTCTGTGCACTTAAAAGAAAATTGCAAATAATAAAAGGAAACAATAAAATCATAACATTTTCCCTAATGAAGCAGGTGTCTAAGGTCAACATGCATTCTGTTCATTGACTTGAACTTCTACATCTATAGAACATCATAAAAATTGAGGCTACATATCAGTAATATTTACATTATATTTCATATGGGAAAATACACAATCACTTTTAAAAGTTATCAAACAAAAATTAAGTTGAAAAAAGGGTTAACCAGTTTCCAACTTCCGTATATAGCTAGCCAGTTATCCCAACATCATTTATTAAATAGGGAGTCCTTTTCCCATTGATTGTTTTTGTCAATTTTGTTGAAGATCAGATGATTGTAGGTGTATAGCATTATTTCTGAATTCTCTATTCTGTTCTGTTGGTCTATGTGTCTGTCTGTTTTTGTATCAGTATCATACTATTTTGGTTACTGTATTCCTGTGATACAGTTTGAAGGTGGGTAATGTGATGCCTCCAGCTTTGTTCCTTTTGCTTAGGATTCAATTGGCTATTCAGGCTCCCTTTGGGTTTCATATGAATTCTAAAATACTTTTTTTCTAGCTCTGTGAATAAAGTCATTGGTAGTCTGATAGAGCAAATTCCTGAATCTGTAAATTGCTTTGGGCAGTATAGTCAGTTTAATGACATTGAGTCTTTCTATTCATGAGCATGGAGTGTTTTTCCATTTGTTTGTGTCATTTTTTGAGCCATGTTTTGTAGTTCTCCATGTAGACATCTTTCACCTCCTTGATTAGCTGTATTCCTATTTGTGTGTGTGTGTGTGTGTGTGTATGTGTGTGTGTGTGGCAGTTGTGAATGGGACTGCATTTCTGAATTGGCTCTCAGCTTGGATATTTGTGTATAGGAATGCTAGTGATTTTTGCACATTAATTTTGTATCCTGAGACTTCGCAGAAGTTGTTATCAGCTGAATGATTTGGGCTGGGACTGTGGGGTTTTCTAAACAGAATCATGTTGTCTGCAAACAGGGAAAGTTTGACTTACTCTCTTCCTATTTAAGTGCTCTTAATTTCTTTCTCTTGCCTGATTGCCCTAGCCAGAACTTCTAACACTATGTTGAATAGGAGTGGTGAGAGAAGGCATCCTTGTCTTGTGCCAGTTTTCAAGGGTAGTGCTTCCAGCTTTTGCCTATTTAGTATGATGTTGGTTGTGGATTTGTCACAGATGGCACTTATTATTTTGAAGTATGTTCCTTCAATACCTTCAATGTCATTAATGAGTGTTTTTAACATAAAGGGATGTTGTGTTTTATCAAAGGCCTTTTCTGCATCTATTGAGATAATCGTGTTTTTTGTGTTTAGCTCTGTTTATGTGATGAATCACATTTATTGATTTGCATATGTGGAATCAACCTTGCATCCCAGGGTTAAAGGCTACTTGATCATGGTGGATGAGGTTCTTGATGTGTTGTGGGATTCAGTTTGCTAGTATTTTGTTGAGGATTTTTGTATCTGTGTTCATCAAGGATATTGGTCCACTGGCCATTTCTTAAGTGACTTCTTTGCTGCACCTTCTCTTCTTTTAGATCCATAGTAAATAGAAAACCTACAGAATGGGAGAAAGGACTTGCAAACTATGCATCTGATGAGGGTCTAATATCCAGCATCTGTAAGGAACTTAAACAAATTTGCAATGAACAAACAAACAACCTCATTAAACATTAGGCAAAGAACATGAACAGTCATGTTTAAAAAGAAGACCTACATGCAGCCTACAGGCATATGGAAAGAAGATCAATATCACTGATCATTAGAGAAATGCAAATCAAAACCACAATGAGATATCATCTTACACCAGTCAGAATGGTTATTATTAAAAAGTCAAAACTAACAGATGCTGGAGAGGTTGTGGAGAAAAGGGAATGCTTATACACTGTTCTTGGGAATGTATATTAGTTCAATAATCATGGAAAGCAGTGTGGAAAGTCCTCAAAAAGCTAAAAACAGAACTACTATTCAGTAATGGGATTACTGGGTATATACCCAAAGAAATATAAATCATTCTATTATAAAGACACATGTACATGTATATTCATTGCAGTACTATTCACAATAGCAAAGACATGGAATCAGCCTCAATGCCCATCAATGGTCGACTGAATAAAGAAAATGTGGTACATATACACCAAGGAATACTATGCAGCCATAAAAATTACAAGATCATGTCCTTTGCAGGAAACACGAATGGAGCTGGAGGCTATTATCCTTAGAAAACTAACGCAGGAACAGAAAATCAGATACCAGATGTTCTCACTTATAAGTGGGAGCTAAATGATGAGAACACATGGATAAATAGAGGGGAACAACAGACCCTAGGGCCTACCTGATGGTGCAGGGCAGAAGGAGAGAGGGGATCAGAAAAAATAATTATTGGATACTAAGCTTAGTACTTAGGTGATTAAATAATCTGCACAGCAAACCCCTGTGACACAAGCTTACTTATATAAAAAACCTGTACATGTACCCCCGAATGTAAAATAAAAAAAAAGTGATATTCCAATCATTTGGATAATTTAGTTATCTAAAATAATGCACTTCCCTGGATAACTGGATAGATGGGATTTTATTGATGCGTTCGATATTTTGTCATTTGATGAAGAGCATTTGTGTTGAGGTTTTATGAAGCATCTGAAAAAATACATATTACCTTATTTTACTGCAAATAGTAATTGCCAACAGTCAAGATATGTACTACCACCAAATTCCGTGTTATTTGTGATCAAAAGATATACACAGATACTTGAAAACTGATTTCTACGTTGCATATGGGAAAAATACCTCATTTTTCTCAGCTGTCCATTATTTTTGAGATATTATGTGCAGTGATAGTAAGAACAAGCAGATTTGGAACACATCAGCAATAATTTTTTCAATCAGAGTCCTGCCAAAATGAAAGAATTTGACAGTATCCGGCACCCTGTACTCATGCTTGGCTTCTGTAGAAACTGTGGCTTGCAAAAGGGCAGCTGGGTACTGTGTTTTGGTACCTCATTCTTTAAACGTATAATGGGAATCTGGTTGGTTCAGGAAAACCCTTGCCTACTTATTATTACTCTGTTTTTAGAGTTGTTGCTGCCATTGATTAGATGACATTTAAGCCCACTGCACTCTCATACCAGATTCTTGTACAGGTAAATTCTAATGCTTGATGGAGTAACAGAGTACTGCTGTGGAGAAAATGCAGTAACTGGTCAGTTACTCTTTAATTCCAGAACCTCCAGCAGTTGTAAGGAGGACTGGATAAATTGCATTTGGTGGGTTACTTGACAGCCGATTTGCACATAGGATGCCATGGGCTATGGTAAAATAATGTGTTCTACTTGTGGCAAGTGTGCTTAGAATAAAAACACACTAATGCTGTATTCTCAGTAAGGCAGAGTAGGAAATAAGACAGAAGGTAAATGGAATAACTCTCTTAGCCTTTTTCATTTTTTGAGATGGAATCTAGCTTTGTCACTCAGGCTGGAATGGAGTGGTATGATCTCAACTCACTGCAACCTCCTCCTCCCAGGTTCAAGTGATTCTCCTGCCTCAGCCTCCCAAGTAGCTGGGATTACCAGCACTGGCCACCATGCCCAGCTGAATTTTGTATTGTTAGTAGAGACAGGGTTTCACCATGTTGGTCAGCCTGGTCTCCAACTCCTGACCTCAAGTGATCCACCTGCCTTGACCTCCAAAATTGCTGGGATTACAGGCATAAGCCACCATACCTGGCCTCTTGGCCTTTTAACATACATTCAGTAACGCATGTAAAGAATTGCTTCATGTAGAGGAAGCTTCCTTTTAAGAGGATTTTGGAGGTATTTATAAGACAATATGGGGATGCTATATTTGTGTCTAACTACAACAAAATGTATTACAAGGTTTATTTTTCCCTTATTATATAAGAAAAACATATTTAAGAAAGATATAAAAACAAAAAAGAAAATAAAAATAGCTTACCATTCCAGAAATAATTTAACATAATTTTTCCACATTATTATATATGTAATTTTTATATACATTTTTGTATATAGATTATTTTAAAATAAGAATATACTGTATTGGACTCTGGTTTTTTTTGGTTGTTGTTCATTTAACAATGTATGGCGAATATTTTCCCATGTTAATAAAAGTATCCTATACTAGTCATTTGAATGTTTGCTGAGAATTAATTAATTTTACTGATGTATCCTAATTATATAATTATTCCCTTGGTGTATTAGTCTGTTCTCATGCTGCTAATAAAGACATACACGAGGCTGGGTAATTTATAAAGGAAAGAGGTTTGATGGAATTACCGCTTCACATGGCTGGGGAGGCCTTAAAATCATGGCGGAAGACAAACGAAGAACAGAGGGTCCTCTTATATGTCAGCAAGCTGAAAGAGCTTGTGCAAGGGAAGTCCCATTCATAAAGCCATCAGATCTCATGAGACTTATTCACTATCACGAGAACAGCATTGGAAAGGCCCGCCCCTATGATTTAATTACCTCCCACCAGGCCCCTCCCACAACACGTGGGAATTGTGGGAGCTGCAATTCAAAATTAGATTTGGGTGGGGCCATATCACTTGGTGATAGACATTGAAGTCTTTTCCTTCCTTCCTTCCCTCCCTCTCCCTCCCTCCCTCCCTCCCTCCCTCCCTCCCTCCCTCCTTCCTTCCTTCCTTCCTTCCTTCCTTCCTTCCTTCCTTCTTCCTTTCCCTCTTTCTCTCTTTCATTCTTTCTTTTCTTGCTTCTTTTTGGTATAAGCCATGTTAACATAAAAATCTTAATAGCTACATATGTAACCATACATAACTGTCTCCTTATGTTAAATAGCTAGAAATGTAAGTGGTGAATCAAAGGGTATGTGCCATGGTACAGAGATCAGCTGAATTCAATAAAGTACCAGCAGAAAGCATCTTTATTCTTTTAAATTTTTGTTTTGAACTATAGTTCTTTTGTTCCTACAGCAAAAAAAAAAAAAAATTCAGGCAGGTTTCATAGTTTTCCATGACACTCCTAAATAATAAATGGATAATTTATTTAGTATTTTATGAATTGTCCAAAATCTGGAAGAATTTCATGGTCTAACATGGTTTGGTAGGTGCTCCTTTTGGAAATAATTACTATTCCTGATAAAATTCTCCAGCAATTTTCTGATAGACATTAATGAACTGAAAAACCTAAACTTTTAAAATCCTAACAGTGTTCAATCTTAGGAAAAATCTAATGCCATTTAACAAACCTCATGAAGAGTCTGTAATTTTTAACCAGCTATTGCATTATAGTTTATCCAATCTAACAATTATTTTACAGCCATTTCCCTCCATGAAATGTGTCTTCCAGAGGAATTGTTTGAATTGTCATGTTCATAAGCTCCTTCCTTTGTGACAAATTTTAAGAAACACTTCGATGTGTTGATAATCAATGTGTCTGTGAAGTTGCTTTACCAGACATTAGAAAGTTCTATCTACAAGACTAAGTGGGGTTTATTCCAGGTAGATAAGTGTAGTTAAATAAACAATTAACATTATTCACTACATTATCAAATAAAAAATAATGGTCATAAAATCATGTTGATTGATACAAAAAAGAATTTCACAAATTTGTGTTAATTTATGATTAAAACAAACAAAAAGTTTTTTGCAAATTAGAAACAGCAAGTTCCTTACTCTGACAAAAAAATATCAGTAAATAACCTACAGGAAAAATCATACACTATAGTGAAATATTAAAACTATCCACCCAACATTAAGAACAAGATGATTTTGTCCAGCTGTTTAATACAATATTTTAATTCAGTACCTAACCAATAAACTAAGATAAGAAAAAAGTCTAACGAGAGTTAAAAGAGAAATAAAGGTGTCACTATTTGTAGAACAAGATGATCAAGTATGTAGAAATTCCAAAATAATCCACACATGTAAATTAATAGTGAATTGCACAATATCACTATATAAAGGTCATAAACAAAACGTATAATGCACAACGAATTTTTAAAAGTTGCGAAAATATCATTTATAATATAAAAAAATCAGATACCTGGGAATAAATCTAAATAATAATGTACAAAATCTCTTTATCAAAATTAAAGAGCTATATAAATGAAAAGATATTTCATGAGGTTTTGGAAGCCTTATTATTGTAAAGATTTTATTTATTGTCACACTAATTTTTTTTATTGAGATGGAGTTTAGCTCTGTTGCACAGACTGAAGTACGGTGGCGCGATCTCAGCTCACTGCGACCTTGCCTCCTGGATTCAAGTGATTCTCCTGCCTCAGGCTCCAGAGTAGCTGCCACTACAGGCACCTGCCACCACACCCAGCTAATTTTTGTATTTTTAGTAGAGATGGGGTTTCACCATATTGGCCAGGCTGGTCTCAAACTCCTGACCTCAAGTGATCCACCTGCCTCAGCCTCCCAAAGTGCTGGGATTACAGGTGTGAGCCACTGTGTCCGACGTTTCACACTAATCCGAGATCCAATGAGATTGCAATAAAAATACCGTTAGGATTTAGGCATTTATTTATTTCAAAAGTCACCAAGCTGAATTTAAAGTCCATTAGGAAAGGCAAAGGTCCAAGGATAGGCAAGACAATCTTGAAAAGAAAAAAATCTGAAAGACATTTACTCTCTTCACAGATTATTATAGAGCTAGAGTAATCAAGACAGTGTGATATTGGTACAAAAATAAACAAATAGATTAATGAAATAGAATATAGTGTACCAAAATAAACCAGCATATATATTGCCACATTATTTGTAATAGGAAACATAGCAATTCAATAATAGAAAAAGGGTGTTGTTAATAAATAGTCCTAGGCCATTTGGATATTCACATGGAAAAAAATTATCTTGATCCCTAACTCCTCACACACCCCCCCACACACACAGTTTCCATTTCATTTGCAATCTAATTGTTAAAAGTAAAATAATAAAGATATTAGAGGAAAATGTGATTATCGTCATGATTTTGATGTAAATAAGACAAAAAGCACTAACCACAAAAGAAACTGTTTTTCAAAATACATATCAAGTCTTCTGTTATAATTACGGTAGAATAACTAAAGAGGTTTCCTCCAGTTAGAATACTGGACAAAGTCACAATGGTTTTCAGATTTTAGAATGCAGATCACATAGAACTTTGATTCACGAAACAAGAGAAACAAAAGAGGAGAGGTGAAAGAATACCTTGGCTATCTGTAGGAAAACGCCTTTCTGGACTATGGCAGGGAATGGAATCACAAGGAGAACATGGTTGTCCTCCTGACTTGAGGAGACTGACTCTCGTTTTGGAAAAATGAGGCAGCTACAGTATTCAAGGAAGAGTACTGGGGAGGAGAGAATTGCAGAGAAAGAGCTCTAGAAACCCACATAGGGGGCTGGGCGTGGTGGCTCACGCCTGTAATCCCAGCACTTTGGGAGGCTGAGGCGGGTGGATCACCTGAGGTCAGGAGTTCAAGACCAGCCTGGCCAACATGTTGAAACTCCATCTCTACTAAAAATACAAGAATTAGCTAGGCCTGGTGGCGGGCTCCTGTAATCCCAGCTACTCAGTAGGCTGAGGCAGGAGAATTGCTTGAACCCGGGTGGCAGAGGTTGCAGTGAGCCAAGATTGTGCCACTGCACTCCAGCCTGGGCAACAGAGTGAGATTCTGTCTTAAAACAAACAAACAAACAAAAAAACAAACCCACATAGGGATAACTTCGATTCTGTTGCTGAATATCACGCTACATGTGTGTAAGGTAAAATGTCATGAGGTTGGGAAAAGAGCATCCAGGTAGATATATTCTGACCAGGTCCCAGACCTCACAAAGGGCTACAGGGCATTTTATGTTTCAGAAAGAGGAAGTGTCCTCATCGAACACCTGGGGCATCCAGTGAGGACAACGGAGAGGCTGTCCTTCAGTAAGGTGGCTAAAAACCGAAGGCGACTCCAGACTCACGCTAAGAAAGCTTTAAAGCAAGCTATGAAAACTTTAAGCTGCTCTGCAATTAACTTAAATGCATGACAGAACAAAGTGTAACTCTCTCAAAAGGAAGACTACAAAACCAGGCACTCAATAACACAAATTCACCATGTCCAGAATTACTGAACATGCAAAATATACAATGAAGAAAAATGTAACTCATTAACAGGAGAAAAATTAGGCAATGGAAAAAGACATGCTTCTCCTGACAGGGTCAATACAAGCAAAAAATAAACGAAAAAGAAAAGGAAAAAGACACATACATGACAAAAATAATGAAATTAGCAGACGAGGACCTTACAAGAGCTTATATAAACATGCTCAATATGTGCCAGTATTAAGGGAAAATGAACATAATGAAAATGGGAATAAAAGATAAAGAAGAAAGAACAACTCATTGGATGAGCTTAAAAACAGAATAGACATTGAAGAAGTTTATCAATTAACTTGAAAGTATAGTAATTGAAACTATAGAAACGTAGGCCCAAAAAGAAAAGAGAAAGGCTAAAATGAAAATTAAATCAAGAGCCTCATGACTTATATCACAATATCATATGTCATATATAAAACCCTGTACCAATTTACTAACGAATAATACTATCCTGGTTTAATTTGCATTTCTTTGACTACTTGATTTACCATTTCTTTCACATGGCTTTTGTTAATATTTTTTCTTAGTAAATTTCCAGGAGAAAAACAGTCGTTTATGTTATCACAGGCAAACTGGGATCACGTTGATTAAATCAGAATCTTTTATGATAAACAGCCATTTCAGCAATCAGAATATAGGCCATCGGTTAGATGAAAGTAGGAATGGACCCACAGTTTTTTTTCTTACCTATTAGAATAACTTTAATTCTAACTTGAATCCTTGATGAGAAGGTGAGTGTGCCGTTACAGGTTTTCATTTTAGTCTTTAAAAAGACAATCATGATCAAAGAGCTACCACAAAATGAAAAATAACAATGAGAAAGTTTGCTTGATATGCTTTTGCTTTAGGGGCCCCACGTTAGTGTGATTCCACTCTTTGTTAAGTACACAGTGTTTCACAAAACACAATTAAGTTCCTAAGGAGATATCTCTGTTGAATGTAATGGCAAGTAGAATCTCAAGAAGGCTTGGTTACAAGATCCTAAACCTTAATTCGTATACATGATGGGTCTGTCAATAAGTAGGAAACCATTCAAACACAGCATTTAAAAGTTGCACCTTCAGAGTGTGATATTCCCCTTCCTGTGTCCATGTGATCTCATTGTTCAATTCCCACCTATGAGTGAGAATATGCGGCGTTTGGTTTTTTGTTCTTGCGATAGTTTACTGAGAATGATGATTTCCAATTTCATCCATGTCCCTACAAAGGACATGAACCCATCATTTTTTATGGCTGCATAGTATTCCATGGTGTATATGTGCCACATTTTCTTAATCCAGTCTATCATTGTTGGACATTTGGGTTGGTCCCAAGTCTTTGCTATTGTGAATAATGCCGCAATAAACATGTGTGCATGTGTCTTTATAGCAGCATGATTTATAGTCATTTGGGTATATACCCAGTAATGGGATGGCTGGGTCAAATGGTATTTCTAGTTCTAGATCCTTGAGGAATTGCCACACTGTCTTCCACAATGGTTGAACTAGTTTACAGTCCCACCAACAGTGTAAAAGTGTTCCTATTTCTCCACATCCTCTCCAGCACCTGTTGTTTCCTGACTTTTTAATGATCGCCATTCTAACTGGTGTGAGATGGTATCTCATAGTGGTTTTGATTTGCAGTTCTCTGAGGGGTGGGGGGAGGGGGGAGGGATAGCATTGGGAGATATACCTAATGCTAGATGACGAGTTAGTGGGTGCAGCGTACCAGCATGGCACATGTATACATATGTAACTAACCTGCACAATGTGCACATGTACCCTAAAACTTGAAGTATAATAAAAAAAAAAAGTTGCACCTTCTGTACACAATGTTACAAGCTGTTATGCGTTGAATCATGTTCCTCCTTCACTCTGAAATTCATATGTTGGAGTTCTAACCTCTAGGACCTCAGAATGTAACCTTATTTGGAAATAGGTTCATTGCAGATGTAGTTAGTTAAGATAAAGTCATACTGGAGTAGGGTGGGCCCCTAATCCAAGATGACTGTTGCCTTTACAAAAAGGAGAAATTTGGACAAAGACATACACACAGGAAGAATGCCATGGGAAGATGAAGGCAGAGATGGAGATGATACAGCTACAAACCAAGGAATGTCAGGTTGCCTGCAAACCACCAGAAGCTAAGGCAGAGGCAAGGAACAGATTTCCCCTCACAGTCCTCAGAAGAACCAACCTGGCTGACCCTTCATCTTGGACTTCTGACCTCCAGAGCTGTTAGGCCATAAATTTCCGTTGTTTAAGCCTCCAAGTTTGTGGTATAGAATATGTTTGATATGACAGTTTAATATGGCAGCCTCAGGAAATTAATATATATGCAAAAAACCCCAAACAAAATCTCCCAAACAAAAAAACAAAACTGTCATTTGAAAAAGTGATCAGAAACAAATAAATTCATTAGCAGAGCATGCTAGGATTAGGTAAAGCACGAGTAGAACAAATAAGTATGTTAAGAGAGATAGTGACTAAAAAAAGGCTACAGTGGATGAAAAACTTTTTAAGAAATCCTTATTTTTAAAAACTAGGTGTTAAGGTTGCATGATAAAAGCAGTTTAAATTACCTTTGCTTGGCATGGTTTTTTGAATAAAGAGAGCTGTTAAAATATGGCATTGAGATATAAAGGGCATCACTTGAGCAAAAATGTGAAGCACAGAAATATAGTTTATTATTAATTGGGTTTTACTATTAGTATCTTGCATTTTTCTGGCTCAAAGACAGCAAGATACTACATTTCAAAAGGTTTAAACTTAGCTCAAAATAGCTTTAAATTGTAGCAAGAGGAGCTGTGTAATTCAAATTTTCTCTTTGTACTTGTCTCATCTTTAAGACTAATGGAATTGATTGGTGAATTATTATTAAAACATCCTTCAAGTTTGAGGCATTTCCCAGCGAGTTATTCAGAATGCTGATTGTTTTCCTTTTACCAGCTTTCATTTGTACTTTATGGGTCAGTGACTAAAATGTAGGATGCTCTCTAAGTCAGAGTGACTTCAATATAAAAGATGTTAGGGAAGCAAAATTGCATGCCAAGCAAATCTTTATCTTAATTAGCTGCTAGAACATGAAGAGTTTGCTTCTGTGCCTAAAACATATTACAGCTGCCTACTTATGTGAAGCCTTTATTGCACCACCCAACACAGATTTTTTTCCCCATAATCACTGAGATTTGAAATTTTAAAGGAGAAAAATAAATTCTTTTCTTGGATGCAGTATATTCTGCCGAAGAGTGAAGAAGCACGAACATTTCCAGTAGAACAAGATTTTCCTGCTTTTAAAAATACTACATTAAAGCTGAAAATTTAGGCCAAAATTTTCAAGTGGTAATAGTTACAGGCAATTCATCTTTCTGGTCAGAAAAGGGTGTTACTGCAGCTATTTCTGCCTGAAACTGGGTGGCACTACTACTTTTTTTTTTTTTTTTTTAACTGAGCAGACATTTTCCTTACACTAAAATTGAGAAAAAGAGAAATTTCTAAATTTCCATTGAACAGTTCCTTGCACATCATTTTAACTCTGTGAGACAGTGTCACATCGAAACGACACACTACATCACGAAGCTTTTCTAAATGACGGAGGTGGCTTGCAGCTGCTGACCTCACTTCTCTTGGACTTGGCAGCAATCCACACTGCCTTGATCATGGCAGTGAAAATAAGATAGTATTCAGTATTATTTGTCCAAATCTGGCGTATCATTGCTTGTGGATACATGAATGATCTTGGGACTTGAAAACATTGCTGATGGAAACTCAAACAAGATAAAGGGCTAATGACATTGATAGGAAACATAAGAAGAAAGTTATTCCATGACTTCATAAGAGTTGTCAGAATTTATTATGCATGTAACTACAGGGGAAGTGCAAAGAGAAGTTGTTTCAGAAATTGATGTAAGGGTAGGACAATACATTGTGCAAGTTGACTCTCAATGAGACTATTTGTAGCATCCCACTTTTGGAATGCCATATTCTAGAGCTCAAATTGGACTGAAAGATCTGTCCTGGTGTGCCTGCCCTGTTGTTTCACATGGTTACGATTTTCAGGTGTAGTGATTGTGTGGATTATTTTCTATTTAATCCTTCTAGACCCACTTTTTACCCATTCCCATCCTGCTTTATGTCCCAGCATGCTGCTACATCATGGATTTCTTATCCTCTGGATTCTGGAGCAGAAGATGGAAGAGTGAGATTAAGATTGACAGTTGACCCTTGAACAACACAGATTTGAAGGGTGCAGGTCTCTGTCCACTTATATGTGGATATTTTTCTTTTTGTATATATTTTTTATTATACTTTAAGTTCTAGGGTACACGTGCACAACGTGCAGTTTTGTTACATATGTATACATGTGCCATGTTGGTTTGCTGCACCCATTAACTCGTCATTTATATTAGGTATATCTCCTAATGCTATCCCTCCCCCCTCCCCCCACCCCACAACAGGCCCTGGTGTGTGATGTTCCCTTTCCTGTGTCCAAGTGTTCTCATTGTTCAATTCTCACCTATGAGTGAGAACGTGCAGTGTTTGGTTTTTTGTCCTTGTGATAGTTTGCTGAGAATGATGGTTTCCAACTTCATCCATATCCCTACAAAGGACATGAACTCATTTTTTATGGCTGCATAGTATTCCATGGTGTATATGTGCCACATTTTCTTAATCCAGTCTATCATTGTTGGACATTGGGTTGGATCCAAGTCTTTGCTATTGTGAATAGTGCCACAGTAAACATACGTGTGCGTGTGTCTTTATAGCAGCATGATTTATAATCCTTTGGGTACATACCCAGTAATGGGATTGCTGGGTCAAATGGTATTTCTAGTTCTAGATCCCTGAGGAATCGACACACTGTCTTCCACATTGATTGAACTAGTTTACAGTCCCACCAAGAGTGTAAAAGTGTTCCTATTTCTCTACATCCTCTCCAGCACCTGTTGTTTCCTGACATTTTAATGATCGCCACTCTAACTGGTGTGAGATGGTATCTCATTGTGGTTTTGATTTGCATTTCTCTGATGGCCAGTGATGATGAGCATTTTTTCATGTGTCTGTTGGCTGCATAAATGTCTTCTTTTGAGAAGTGTCTCTTTCAAACAAATTTACAAGAAAAAAACAAACAACCCCATCAACAGGTGGGTGAAGGATATGAACAGACACTTCTCAAAAGAAGACATATGTGGATAGTTTTCAATAAATACATTGGAAATTTTTTGGAGATTTATGACAATTTGAAAAAACAGATGAACTGCATGGCCTGCAAATATGGAAAAAAATAAGATAATTTTGTCATAGCTACATAAAATGACATAAAATATTTTAGAAATTAGTCTGTTTTATTATTTGCTACAATAAAATATACACAAATCTATTATAAAAAGTTGAAATTTATTAAAACATATGTGCACAAACACAGACCATACATGATGCCATTTGCAATGGAAAGAAATATAAACAATTCTAAAAATGCAGTATTAAAACTGCATAACGTTAACTGTAGTACATACTGTACTATTGTAATAATTTTGTAGCCACCTCCTGTTGTTATTGCGGTGAGCTCATGTGTTGAAAGTAATTGCTTAAAATGCCATGTGACGCTAATCATCTCTGCGTGAGCAGTTCATCTCTCCAGTAAATTGTGTATCACAGTAAAAAGTGACTTGCAATTCTCACGTATTTTTCATCATGAATAACACCATGGGATCTATATGAAGTGCCACGAGTGATGCCAAAAGTGCTCTCAAGAAGCAGACAAAAGTCATGACATTACAAGAAAAAGTTGAATTTCTTGATAGGTACCACAGATTGAGGTCTGCATCTGTGGTAGCCACCATTTCAAGATAAATCAGTTCAATGTAAGGACCATTGTAAAAAGAAAAAGAAAAAGAAATTTGTGAAGCTGTTGCTGCAGCTATGCTAGCAGCAAGAAAACCTTACATTTCTGGGGAAATACCTTTTTATCTCGTATTGAGAATGCAGCTTTCACATGGGAGCAGGATTGCTATAAGAAAGGCGTATCTATAGATCCTAACATGATTCAAGAAAAAGCAAAAAATATTATATGACATCTTAAAGCAAATGGAAGGTGGAGAGTCTAAAGCTTAAGAATTTAATGCCAGCAAAAGATGGCTTGATAATCTCAGAAAGAGGCTTGGGTTTTCAAATTTCCAGAAAACAGGAAAAGTATCTTTTGCTGACCAAGAGGCAGCAAACAAGTTCCTAGATGACATTAAGAAAATCATTGAAGAGAAAGGCTATTTTCCTGAACAGATTTCTATTGCAGATGAAAGTGCCCTATTCCAAAAATAAAATGACACAAAAGACATTTATTAGTAAGGAAGAGAAGTGAGCACCAGGTTTTAAGGTAGGAAGTGATGGGCTAACTCTACTGTTTTGCACAAATACAGTCAGTTTTATACTGAGGGCCCCTCTTTCTATAAAGCTTCTAACCCCTGAGGCTTAAAGAGAAAAGATAAACAGCAGATGTCAGTTCTTTTGGTTGTACAACAAGAAGGTTTGGACAACAAGAACACTTTTTTCTGGATTTGTCCCATTGTTGCTTTGTCCCTGAAGTCAGGAACTACCTTTGCCAGTAAGAGACTGCCTTTTAAAGTTCTTTTGATATGGGACAATGCCCTGGACAATGGCCCAAACCCAGTGAGTTCAATGCTGAAGGCTTTGAAGCAGTCTGCTTGCCCCCAAACACAACATTCCAACTCAGCTTCTATATCAGGGGGTCATAAGAACCTGTGAAGGCTCATCACACATGGTACTGTATGGAAATGATCATCAATACTATCAAAGAGAACTCTGATAGAACATCATGGAAGTCTGGAGGAACCACACCATTGAAGATTTCATTGTTGTTATAGAAAAAGCTGTGAAAGCCATGAAGCTTAAAACAATACATTCCTTCTGAAGAAAACTGTGTCCAGATGTTGTATGTGAATTCACAGGAGCCAATCAAAGAAATTATGACAGATATTGTAGATATGGCAAATAAGGTGAGAGTGAAAGGTTTTCAGATATAGATATTGAAGATATTCAAGAGCTAATAGACATCACACCAGAGGAATTAACAGAAGATGATTTGATGGAGATAAGTGTTTCCAAATCAGTGCCAGATGATGAGGAAGAAGACATAGAAGATGCAATGCCAGAAAACAAATTGACATTAGAAAAGATGGCAATTGGATTCTGATTATTTAAGACTACTTCTGACGTCTTCAATAGCATGAACCCTTCTATGATACAGGCATTGGAGCTAAAGCAAATGATAGAAGGATTGGAACTGTATAGAATCATTTTTAAAGAAATGAAAACTCAAAACGTCAGAGAGAAATCACAACATACTTCCGTAAAGTCACACCGACTGTGCCTGCCTCTCCTGCCTTCCCTTCTACCTCCTCCACCTCTGCTACTCTTGAGACAGCAAGATCAACCCCTTCTCTTCTTTCTCCTCAGCCTCCTCAATGTGAAGACTATGAAGATGAAGACCTTTATGATGATCACTGCCACTTAATAACTGGGAAATGTTATGATTTTCTTAATAACATTTTCTTTTCTCTAGCTTGCTTTATTGTAAGAATGCAGTATATAATACACACAACATACAAAATATGTGTTATGGACTGTTTATGCTATTGGTGTGGCTTCTGATCAACAGTAGCCTGTGAGTAGTTACATTTTTGGGGAGTCAAAAGTTATAACTGGATTTTTGACTACACAGAGGGTCAGGCTTCCAACTTTTGTGTTGTTCAAGGGTCAAGTGTACATATTGCTCAGGCTCCCTCCCTGAGTGTTGGCTGCCTTCCTCTACATGAGGCCAGTTTCTCTCCAAAAGCTCTCTTCAGACAGATACCTTTTTCAAGTTCCAGTCACTGGCTTCCTACTTTTCCTTACCTGGCTTACGGGTAACAACTCACTGCGGTTGCTAGTCCCAGTTTCAACAACAAACTTGTTAGTTTACCTAAACCCTGTCTACACCTTTGTAAGTTACCCTTTTATTACACTTTCTTCAAATTACTCAGTTTGTGCATGTCATCTTTTCCTGCCAGGACCCTGGCTGATATACAAACTAAACCTATGTTTTGGATATGTGTCTATAAAGCACATACTTACAAGTAGTTGTGTATTGTATTAGTATAAATACAAGGATTCCATGATTTTTAAATATGTGGAAATGTGACTGTTTGATGTGGAGATACTTCATGGATCTTTGAACACTTGATTATTGCAGAAAGGAGCTGAGCTGATATTGTTCACATTTTCCCTAATTAGCAGAGATATATCTCAAAAAGATTGGGATGATAGGCTTACTTTGTGGTTCCATTTCTGCAACTGCTTCCTGGAGTTATGCAATCATAGTAGAGTAAGTGTTTAAAAAGATGATTTACCATATAAATATGTAACAATTTTACAAGTTTTAAAGATGGAAGATGAGAAGGGTGCATATGTGTGTGTGTGTGTGTGTGTGTGTGTGTGTAGGCATGACAGACAAGGTTATAGTTTAAAAGCCAGTTATTGGTATGAAAACATAAACAATTATAGTAATATGCAGATACATGCTTTGCTTGTGTTTGACATCTTGACCAAAATATTTTTCAGTTCCTGATGCTATGAGAACAGATTAGATCATCTGAGCACAAAGTGAAAAGGTGTAAGGCTTACTTCTCCCTAACTCATTAGCAAACATGGTAACTTGTTAGACAAAAAGAAAAAATACAAAATTCACAAAACACATTAAAAAGAATGTTTTTGAGAAAGCAAAGTACTACCAAGAGCATTATCAAGATGTCAGTAAGTGGAAAAATATGATGCTCAAAAGAAAAATTGTAAGTTCTATACTACTCTAAGTAAGGCAACAGGTAAAACTTTTTTTTAAAGAAGGGGTGATTCCATAACTGGTTAAGCAGTAGTACTACATGATACATGGAACAATAAGGGCAATTTGATAGGTGGAAAAAGGCTAATTCTGATCTCTCAAGAAAGAAAGGACTATAGTTATTGATGATTTTCTGAAGAATGGTGGAAAATGGGCTAAACATTCTTAATAGATGACCCATATTCTCACTGTAAGTATCTGATATGTCACAAGAAACTTTCGAGATCTAACAAACTCATGACAATCTCCACGTCTACTGATTGATGTGGAAGCAAGTACTATGATGAGAATAATGTGAAATATTAAGGAAACTGAAATCTTGTGCAAACAACTGAAGACTTGGGCCACAAGGAATTGAAAGGAGTTAGCCAGCTTGCTTTAGGCAGACAGCAAGGGAAGGGTCCCTGGAGAACCTCTGACCCGCCCCACAAATGCTTACACCAGATGTTTTATGCAGATAAGGAAACTTGCACAGAGGGCTTGCCTAAACATGCCCACAGCTGACTAAGGGCTCACATGTGCACTAGGGGAATGGGGTGGAGCCACAAGAAATTCACACCTTATACAAATAGGGAATCCAGCCCCATTAGCATATATATTCATGCTGCTGATAAAGACATACCCAAGACTGGGAAGCAAAATAGGTTTAATGGACTCACAGTTCCACATGGCTGGGGAGGCCTCACAATCATGGCAGAAGGTGAGAAAGACACTTTTTACATGGCAGCAGCAAGAGAGAATGACAGTGAAGTGAAAATGGAAAGTCCTTATAAAACCATCAGATCTTGTGAGACTTATTCACTACCACGAGAACAGTAAGGAGGGAACAGCCCCATGATTCAATTATCTCCCACTGGATTCTTCTCATAACGTGTGGGAATTATGGGAGCTACAATTCAAGATGAGATTTGGAACGTGGAGCCAAACCATATCAAGAGGCTTTGTATTCAACTGGGAGGGGGCAACCGACGACCTGCTTTCAGAACCCCTCTCTTTGCTGATAACTTTCCTTTTGCTTAATAAATTATACTCCACTCACTCTTCAACTGTCTGCATGCCTAAATCTTCCTGGTCATGAGACAAGAACTTGGACCTAGCTGAGCTAAGGAGTAAAAAATTCTGCATTAGAATCTTTAAACTTTATTTGATCTCTCATGGAAAAAAAGAAATTCTATCAGGTTTACATAAGGAATGTAATTTGATTTTGTGGTCTATGATTGATGATTCTAACCTGAGTGTCTTTTGCATGGGGTGGCCCCTCTCATGGATTCTGGGAAGAATGTTTTTCATAGGAAATGTACTTCCCTGATCAAAAGAACTTTTGAAATAAAATATGACAGAAAATAAACGTCATTAAAAAATAAACAAAAATACACCCAAACATGAACATAGAGCCTTTTAAAAGCAACAGCTAAGACATAAAAAACAACTGTATGATTTGGCTATGGTGTTGTATGCTTGTCATCCCAGATACTCAGGAAGCTGAGGTCGTGTTACTGAAACATAAGTGATTTGGTCTAGGTCCTGCTGTTTAGTGCACAGAAAGCCAATCACTGAGACAATGAGTATTGCCAGGGAAGAAAGCTTTATTTGGAGGCTATGGCTGAAGAACTGGGAAATCAGCCTCAAATCCATCTCTTTGATCCACAAATATTAGGGAGTTATGCAGCAGGGAAGAAATGTAACTACATGCACGTAAATATGAAGTAGGGGTAAGAAAGAAGAGTTGGTCAACAGGAAGCAGGTGGTCAGTAAGGCAGTCATGATGGGTGAGGGGTCTGGTGTCTTATTGTTCAGATTCGGTTATTTGGTAAATTTCAGTTCTTTGATACTATCAGGGAACTTGAGGCTTAACGGTTGATTTCCTGAGATAAGAACTCAGATAAGACAAATGTAACTTTCTCAAGTTTCAAGATTGGGAGAGTCAATTTCTATGTTTATTCAAAAGAAACCGTAAACATCAGTTCTATGAGACAACTGAGCCAGTTTCAGTACCCCCCAACCCTTTCTAATAAATCAATATTTATCAATTCCTCAATCATTGTGAATCTGGTTGTCTGTCTTTCTGGTTGCTGCATGCTGAGGGATGGTGTTGTGGGCAGCTCCATACCATGGGTGACCATGTGGCCACCCAGGAATAAAAGGTTAACCTAATTTTATTTTTTTTTCTTGAAACACAATCATTTTCTCTCCAGTTCCCCACTTTGATCGAAGACAAATCACAGCAGGACCAATCTACCTGCAGAATAAGCTTCAGTCCCACGATACTTGGCCTGATTCCTCACACAAACTGCAGCAAGAATCATTGTCCATATCGGCTCTCCTAAATTGGCTTTGTTGGAACCTCTAACAAAACTATTTCAGTCAAAGCTCTGGGAAAATAAGGAGTTTATCCAACTGTGCTCTGTTATAAAAGAAAACAGATTCTTATTGAATTTATGCAAACAACCACATTGCTCTGAATAAAGAATATTCAGTTTGTGAATTCCAGAGAAATTAAGCAGAGAGAGTGAAATATTTCTCAAATTCTGTATACTTTATTCAATTGTTAAAGGATATAAGTAGCTCAAAGATAAAAAAAAGTTCTCTGGATTCCTGAAAAACAAAACAAAAAGAATCACAAATGTTCAAATAAAAAGCCCATAAATTATTCCAGTCCTCCATCACTTGTTCATGCAATTAATACCTACTTTGCTTCATATTGGGTTAGTAATTTTCATGAGCACATCAGCCTTTTTATTAGAGTCATGGAGGTTTTTCTCTAGTTCAATGGTACCATGTCCAAAGTTATCAGAAACCTACAATTAAGAGTCCTTTTCATGAACTCCCCCCAAAGAGCAAGCTGTAGATTGTAGCTGATTATAAGCTACTTTTTGGGGAAAAAAAGCAAAAACAATTGTGGATGACAAGTCTAAGGACAGACACACTTGTCCAAAAATGGTTATTTTTGTGGCATACCAAAATTTAATATAATCGACCAGGTGCAGTGCTCAAACCTGTAATCCTAGCACTTCAGGAGACCAAGGAAGGCAGATCGCTTGAGCTCGTTCAAAACCAGCCTGGGCAATATGGTGAAACTCAGTCTCTATAAAAAATAGTGATAAATTAGCAGAGAGTGGTGGGCACACACCTGTAGTCCCAGACACTCAGGAAGCGGAGGTGGGAGGATTGCCTGAGCCTGGGAGGTGGAGGTTGCAGTGAGCCAAAATTTTACCACAGCATTCCAGCCCAGTTGACTGAGTGAGACCCTGTCTCAAAAACAAAAAAATCACAATAATCATGATTATTTCTGACAGCATATATTGACATATCAGAATTTTAAGAATCTTATACAATCCTGGAACACATATTTACAACACAGCTATATAAACATAACCCAAATAAAGTTAAACACTATCTCACATTTGAAATTAGTTTGACCATAAAGTAAGGTTTTTACGAACCTTTTATAAGCTTTTACAGTTTTTTTAAATTAAAGATTAGGTCATTGCTTGAAGAGAACCCTATTATTCTGACACAGGGGCCCAGACCCAGAGGCTGGCTTTGCATCAGTGTGCTTTTGGTATTAATTTTTAAGTTCTAGAAAAACTCGAAACTAATCTTATTCCTTAACTAATTGTTCCTTACCATCTCACATGCCCACCTCTTCTGCAATAATCTCTGGGCCTATAGAAATTGAAGTTTTAATTTCTCAATTTAACACAAGTTCCAACCCATTGTATTAAAGTGGTTAAGTGACTCCTTGCGTGTATCTAATTACTAGCATTCTATTGACAGAACTGTGATCAAAGGCATCAAAAATGCGATAGTTTCTACATTAAACTTATCAATCTGCCAGTGTATTTCTTTACAATGTTTCTTAATTTGCCTTCATAAAAAAATTAACTTTCTATCATTTAAAAAATGGTAAATGCAAATATCAGTTTTGGAAATTCAGTATGAGGGCAAATAATCTCCTTTCACCTAAATATTATAAAACAAAGCAAGGACAAAGTAAGAAGCAGCACGCAATAATTTCTTTTCAGCTATTTTAAAAGAGTATTATCATACATTTCCAAGACTGGTTTTTAGATGCAGTACAGATAACTGATTGGTAAGTTTCGCCACTGGAATCTTCAAACCAGTGCAACACTTGTACATATTTTGTTTTCAACTACACACATGAAGCAGTGATAAATAGCTTGGGATCAAAAATAACTAGAAAATTTCACTCCTTTTATTACTACTTAATCCAAGTGAATGTCACTTAATTATAATAATGGTAAACACAACTAAAGTAATTTGAGAGAAATCAAAGTCAATATAATTATCATAAGGAGAAGGCTAGTCTTTCCTGAACCTTAAAACTTTGTACCCATATCATCATTTTTCCTTATTACCCAAAAGAAAAGATCTGAAACTGACTCAAATTATTGATTTATTAATTGAATTACCTTGGATATAATCACCATTTAAACATTTCTGTTCTTTTCCAAATAACACAATAAATAATGTACTGTTTCTGCTCAGAACTTATAAATGTAAGTGTTTTGTTATTTTTGCAGGAAGCTTAGAGCTCTTGTAGCTCTCTAGGTCATCGAAGATAAGCAAAAACAATTTAATTTTAAATGACTGGTGTGCTCTCTCAATGTTTGCAGGCTTGACAAAGGTAGCTCAGAAACTTTAGGTAAATAGAGCAAATCATGAACTGTAGGAAATGCACAGGAAACAAAATGACTATGCACAGAACCAAATATAAGCCCTCCATTACAAACTACAAAACAACAATGGTTTGTGTATATGTATATGTAAGTAAAACTCAAAGGATAACAAACAGCAAATAAATGAAAATTAAATGCAAAAACAAATAAACAGGAAATCAACCCCCAGTTTTTTTCCCACTCAGTTTACCTTGGAGGCTACAGTGTTACCCAGGCCCTTAAAAAATGACAGGAATGATAATGCAAATTAATGCATTTAAGTACACCTCACCACTATATACATTTTATGCAATTAAGAAATTCACTTAAAGCATGTGACCAGTAAGTACTTTAGTGCTACTACTAGCTATGCAGAATAGTAATTACAATGTGAAACAAAGCAATGCAAGCATTTATGTAAAATTTGGCTCCATGTTAAATCTGGCTTCATGCTTAACTATATTGAGAACGATTGCCAGACTGCCAGTGTATTTCTTTACAATGTTTCTTAATTTTCCTTTATCAAGACTTAGAGTTTTAACTATGAGCAATGTTAATGAGTCAAATTTTTCCAAATTTCTGTCATGTTTTAAAGAATATTTTACTATCCAAACTTTTTCAACTTTCTGTTCTCTCTGTATGTGCAGGAAGAGAGACATATAGAGAAACCAGAAAAAAACAACATGACTTACACAGGCCATTGATGATGTGCTTGGTCTTTCTGTTTGTTCTAAATTTTCTTTGAAAAAAACCAGTCATTTTATTTTAGGACAAAAGTTCACTATATAAGATGCTTTCTCATATAAAATTATCCTTTTCTTTATAACCTTTTTTACCAAAAATATATCTTCACATCCATAACTTTCTTTACATCTCATTCCCCAACTTACTGCTTCCTTTCTCCCTTGTTTCATAAATAACCTTTTCAAGTCCATAATTTAAATTAAACTTTAGATAACTTGTGAATTATACAAAATTATTCTTTTTCTCATAAAGAACACATCTTCTTTGGCACATTTTATATAGAGAATTACTTATTAACTAATGTTCCTATTCTTACTAATCTTAAATTTTAGTGAAAACCTACAAAGCAAGAAATCCTGAATTATCAAGTATTTGCATTTTATAGATGAGAATATTCCACAACTTTTAGAAGCATATTTCCCCATATCATAACAATTTCTTAATTGAAAATGACTCAGACATCCAATAAGCACCAAAATGATTTTAAGATTTTAAATTATATAAAAAGTTTACCTGCAATATTCATCCCATTTTGTAGATGTGTGGTGTTATTTTTGAGTTCTCTGTTCTGTTCCATTGGTCCATATGTCTATTTTGGTACCAGTACCATGCTGTTTTGGTTACTGTAGCCTTGTCATATAGTTTGAAGTCAGGAGCGTGATGCCTCCAGCTTTGTTCTTTTGGCTTAGGATTGTCTTGGCCATATGGGCCATTTTTTGGTTTCATATGATGTTTAAAGTAGTTTTTTCTAATTCTGCAAAGAAAGTCAATGGTAGCTTAATGGGAATAGCATTGAATCTACAAATTACTTTGGGTAGTATGACCATTTCCACGTTATTTATTTTTCCTATCCATGGGTATGGAATGTTTTTCCATTTGTTTGTGTCCTCTGTTATTTCTTTGAGCAGTGGTTTGTAGTTCCCCTTGAAGAGGTCCTTCACATCCCTTGTTGGCTGTGTTCCTAGGTATTTTATTCTCTTTGAAGAGATTGTGAATGGGAGTTCATCCATGATTTGGCTCTCTGCTTGCCTTTGGTTAGTGTAAAGGAATGCTTGTGATTTTTGCACATTGATTTCGTATCCTGAGACTTTGCTGAAATTGCTTATCAGTTCAAGGAGTTTTTGGGCTGAGATGATGGGGTTTTCTAAATATAAAATCATGTCTTCTGCAAACAGAGATAATTTGACTTTCTCTCTTCCTATTTGAATACCTTTCTTTCTTTCTTTTGCCTGATTACCCTGGCCTGAACTTCCAATACTATGTTGAATAGGAGTGGTGAGAGAGGGCATCCTTGTCTTGTACTGGTTTTCAGAGGGAATGCTTCCAGCTTTTGCCCATTTAATATGATATTGGCTGTGGGTTTGTCATAAATAGCTCTTATTATTTTGGGATACGTTCCATCGATACCAAGTTTATTGAGAGTTTTTAGCATGAATGGCTGTCGAATTTTGTCAAAGGACTTTTCTGTATATGGTTTTTGTCATTGGTTCTGTTTATATGATGGATTATGGTTATTTATTTGCATATGTTGAAACAGCTTTGCATCTCAGGGATGAAGCTGACTTGATTGTGGGTGGATAAGTTTTTGATCTCCTGCTGGATTCAGTTTTCCTGTATTTTATTAAGAATTTTCACATTGATGTTCATCAGGGATATTGGCCTGAAGATTTTATTTGTTGTGTCTCTTCCTGGTTTTGGTATCAGGATGATGCTGGCTTCTTAATGAGTTAGGGAGGAGTCCCTCCTTTCCAATTGTTTGATACAGTTTAAGAAGGAACGGTAACAGCTCCTTTTCATATTTCTGGTAGACTTCGGCTGTGGATCTGTCTGGTCCTGGGCTTTTTTTGCTTGGTAGGCTATTAATTAGTGCAATTTCAGAGCTTGTTATTGGTCTATTCAGGGATTCGACTTCTTCCTGCTTTAGTCTTGGGAGGGTGTATGTGTCCAGGAATTTATCCATTTCTTCTAGATTTTCTAGTTTATTTGGGTAGAGGTGTTTATAGTATTATCTGATGGTAGTTTGTATTTCTGTGGTGTCAGTAGTGATATCCCCTTTATCATTTTTATTGTGTCTATTTGATTCTTCTCTCTCTTCTTCTTTATTAGTCTAGCTAGTGGCCTATCTATTTTCTTAAAATTTTTTTTCAAAAAAACAAAACAAAACAAAAAAAACAGCCCCTGAATTCACTGATTATTTTGGAGGGTTTTTCATGTCTCTATCTCCCTCAATTCTTGTCTGATCTTAGTTATTTCTTATTGTCTGCTAGCTTTTGGATTAGTTTGCACCTGCTTCTCCAGCTCTTTTATTTATGTTACAGTGTCAATTTGAGATCTTTCTAGCTTTCTGATGTGGGCATTTAGTGCTACAAATTTCCCTCTTTACACTGCTTTAGCTGTGTCCCAGAGATTCTGGTACATTGTCTCTTTGTTCTCATTGGTTTCAAAGAACTTCTTGATTTCTGCCTTAATTTTATTGTTTCCCCAGAAGCCATTCAGGAGCAGGTTGTTCAATTTCCATGTAATTGTGTGGTTTTGAGTGAGTTTCTTAATACCGAATTCTAATTTGATTGCATTGTGGTCTGAAAGACTGTTTGTTATAATTTCAGTTCTTTTGCATTTGCTGAGGAGTGTTTTACTTCCAATTATGTGGTCAATTTTAAAATAAGTGCCATGTAGCACTGAGAAGAATGTATATTCTGTTGATTTGGGGCAGAGAGTACTGTGGATGTCTACTAGGTCCACTTCATCCAGAGCTGAGTTCAAGTCCTGAATATCCTTGTTAATTTTCTTTTTCATTGATCTGTCAAATACTGACAGTGGGGTCTTAAAGACTCCCACTATTATTGTGTGGGAGTCTAAGTCTCTTTATAGGTCTCTAGGTACTTCTTTTATGAATCTTGGTGCCCCTGTATTGGGTGCATATGTATTTAGAATAGTTAGCTCTTCTTGTTGAATTGTTCTCTTTACCATTACATAAAACCTTTCTTTGTCTTTTTTGATCTTTGTTGGTTTAAAGTCTGTTTTGTCAGAGACTAGAATTGCAACCTCTGCTTTTTTGTTTGTTTGTTTTCTTTTCATTTCCTCGGTAAATGTTGCTCCATTCCTTTATTTTGAGCCTATGGGTGTCTTTGCATGTAAGATGGGTCTCCTGAATACAGCACACTGATGGGTCTTGACTTCTTATCCAATTTGCCAGTCTCTGTCTTTTAATTGGGGTATTTAGCCAGTTTACATTTAAGGTTAGTATTGTTATGTATGAATTCGATCCTGTCATCATGATGCTATTTGGTTATTTTGCACACTAGTTGATGCAGTTTCTTCATGGTGTCATTGTTCTTTATATTTTGGTGTGTTTTTGCAGTGGCTGGTACGAGTTTTTCCTTTCCATTTTTAGTGCTTCTTTTAGGAGCTCTTGCAGGGCAGGCCTGGTGGTAATGAAATCCCTCAGCATTTGCTTGTCTGGAAAGGATTTCATTTCTCCTTTGCTTATAAAGCTTAGTTTGGCTGGATATGAAATTGAGGGTTGAAAATTCTTTTCTTGAAGAATGTTGAATATTGGCTCCCAATCTCTTCTGGTTTCAGGTTTCTGCTGACAGGTCCACTGTTAGTCTGTTGGATTCCTTTTATAGGTGACCTAGCGTTTCTCTCTGGCTGCCCTTGACAGTTTTTCCTTCATTTCGATCTTGGAGGATATGATGATTATATGTCTTGGGGTTGATCTTCTCATGGAGTATCTTAATGGTGTTCTCTGTATTTCCTGAATTTTCATGTTGGCCTGTCTTGCTAGATTGGGGAAATTCTCCTGGATAATATCCTGAAGTGTGTTTTCCAGCTTGTTTCCCTACTCCCCATCTCCTTCAGGTATTCCAATCAATAGTCGTTTGATCTTTTTATGTAGTCCCATGTTTCTTGGAGGCTTTGTTCATTCCTTTTTATTATTTTTTCTCTAATCTTGTCTGCATGCCTTATTTCAGCAAGGTGGTCTTCCAACTCTGATATTCTTTCTTCCACTTGGTTGATTTGGCTATTCATACTTGGGTATGCTTGTGTATGTTTCATGAAGTTCTTATGCTGTGTTTTTCAGCTCCATCAGGTCATTTATGTTACTCTCTAAACTGGTTTCTCTAGTTAGCAGCTCCTCTAACCTTTTATCAAGGTTCTTAGCTTCTTTGCATTTGGTTGGAACATGTTTTTTAGTTCAGTGGAGTTTTTTTTAATTACCCATCTTCTGAAGCCTACTTCTGTCAATTCATCCATCTAATTTTCCCTACACTTCTGCGCCATTGCTGGAGAGGCATTCGATCATTTGGAGGAGAAGAGGCATTCTGGCATTTTGGGTTTTCAGTGTCTTTTCATTGATTCTTTCTCATCTTTATGAGTTTGTCTAGTTTGGATCTTTGAGGCCGCTTACCCTTTGATGGACATTTTGTGGGGACTTCTTTTTTATTGTTGATGCTATTGTTGTTACTGTTTGTTTGGTTTTCTTTCAATGATCAGGTCCCTCTTCTGTAGGGCTGTTGTAGTTTGCTAGGGGTTCACTTCAGGCACTATTCTTCTGATTCACTCCCATGCCTGGAGATGTCACTTAAGGAGGCTGGAGAACAGCAAAGATGTTCCTGCTCCTTCTTCTGGGACCTCTGACCTCAAGGGGCACCAACCTGATGCCAGTAGGATCGCTTCTGTATAGGGTGTCTGACAACTCCTGTTGGAAGGTCTCACTCAGTTTGGGTGGCACACGGAGCAGGACCCATTTATGAAGCACTTTGTCCCTTGGTGGAGGAGGTGTGCTTCATTGGGTGAAACTCATTTGTCTGGGCTGCCCAGATTCCTCAGAACTACCAGGAGGAGAGGCTAAGCCTGCTGGTCCACAGACACTGCTGCTACCCCTCCCACTAGGGGCTCAGGCCCAGGGATATCCAGGTTCTGTCCCTGAGCCCCTGAGCCTCTGGCTGGAATTATAGGAGTTCCTACAGGGAAGCCCCACTCAGTGAGGAAGGATGGGTCAGGATCAGGCCTGGAGAGGGACTCTGGCCACAGACTACCACAGCTGGTGTGTTGGGGTGTGGGGACAAGTCTTGGGACCAAGCCATCCAGCCTCCCTGGCTCCAGCAGGAGAAAAGTGCAGCCTGAAGCTAAAGAGATGGGTGCCACCCTTACCCCACCCAGGGAGCTTAGCATGTTAGGCAGTTGCGAGTCCCAGTGCTGGCTGCTGCCCCTTCCCTAAGGAGCTCAAATGCCTTAGACAGCAGGCAGCCACAGCCAGTGCTGGTCGGCTCTCCCCCAGGAGTTCGGTAGGCTTAAGCAGAGTCCAGCTGAGAGGCTGTAAAAATCTGCACATTCCAGGGTTCAGACGCTAGGCCTTCCAATCCATGGGTTGCACACTTCCCTGGAAAAAGCACAGATTTCTTGGCTGGGTAGCATGCTCACTCACCACTTCCCTTGGCTGGGGTAAGGGGGTTCCCCTGCCCCATGTGGCTCTCAGGTGGGCCACTGCACCACACTATTCTCCCTTCTCTCCATGGTTCAAGCCAGCCTTCTAGTCAATTTTGATGAGAGAACCTGGATACCTTGGTTGCCAGTGAAGGATTCACACACTTATTATGGTTTTCTTCCATGGGAGCCTCTGAATGCTGCTGCTTCTAGGTGGCCATCTTGGCCCTGCTCCAACATTTCTATTTTTATCTCACCAATAATTTTAAAGCCAGCTTGATTATTAAAGATTTACTTAAGTCATGTGAACTTGAAGAATACTTTGGACTTATTTACTTAATTTGTGAGACACATCATATAACATAATAAATACACATACACATAAACACATCTAAACATATATGCACACACAAAGATCCACTGGCTTTTACCTTGGAACTCTAGCTATAAGATAGCAATACAAACTCACCGGTCTACAAACATGTTCACATGGCTAAACTTTGTTTGCCCAAGTAGGTCATCCAGTGAAGGGCATGAACCAACATTTTGGGTAAAGTATTCTCCATGAAAGTTTGAGTTTTTAAAGGCAAAACCTCTTCAGATTCCAAAGGACAGCAGGGCCAAACAGCACCACAGAAGAACATCATGTATTGACCAGGCCTACTCCTGTTTACATAAAAGACTGGATACATGACATTCCGTCCCACTTTCATTCAACAGCAAAATGAGACCTATGGAGAGGCCAAACTTCTCCAGATTCCAAAAATAATGAGGCCAAACAGTATTTCAAAAGAATACCAGTTTATCAAATTCTGGTTTTCCATGACTATACTAAAACACATACCTAAACAATCACCAAAACACAATCCCACTGCTGCAGCAGCAAACAAATCCCAAGAGTGTCCAAGCAGAAACAGGGTGCTTTGCTCTCTTCATTAGTTAGGCTTGTTCAATCTGCAAATGGAAATTCTTTCAGAATTCCCCAAATTGAGAAGAGAAGATACCATTGTCTGGTGCCCACAAAAGATATTCACCCATCTGGACACAGACGACAAATTTCAAAGGCTGTTTTTCCTAAGCAATCAGGAACACAGTTGGGGCCAGCAGCGGCAGGACCAGAGAGAGATCAAAACCCACCTCTGGCCACAAAATGGGGCAGGCAGCTGCTTAGGAGGGCTTTTGAAGCTCCCAGCCCATTTCAGCTGAGCCAGGAGCAACACGTTCATGGTCAGGGAGCCAAAATCCGTTACCAAAACACCAGAGGTTTTGTCTAGGTTATACTGCTCATTGCACAGAAAGCCAATCACTGAGACAATGAGTATTGCCAGGGAAGAAGGCTTTAATGGGGTGCTGCAGCCAAGGAGATGTGAGATTAGTCTCAAATCCATCTTCCTGACTGATTAAAAACAGGGGTTTATACAGCAATGAAGAAATGTAATTGTGTATGGAACAGCAGGAATTACGGAGGGATAAAGAAAAGGAGTTGGTCAACAGGAATCAGGTGGTCAGTTAGGCAGTCATGACAGGTGAGGGGTCTGGTGTTTTACTCAGATGCGGTGATCTGGTAAGTTTTAGTTTTTTGATACTACCTAGGAGTTCTGATGGTTAATTTCCTGAGAAAGAAACTCAGGTAAAGCAAATGTAAGTTTCTCAAGTTTTAAGACTAGAAAGGTCAATTTCCATGTTTATTCAAATAAACTGTAAACATCAGTTTTATGGAACAATTGAACCAGATTCAGTAGGAGGATTGCTTGAGTCCAGGAATTCAAGTCTGCAATACGCTATGATCATGTCTGTAAATAGCCACTGCACTCCAGCCTGGGCAACATAGAGACCTCATCTCTTAAAATAAATAAAGTAACACTGCTGCTGATTTGAATCAATCCCTTAGTGGAATGATAATGTTGAGCTTCTCAGAGATCAAAGCTAAAGGCTTTTTGTGTTCATTAACCTGTGATGTTTTCACAATCAATAACTGGACAAACTTCTCTCCATCTAATGTCACATTAGTGAGTTTGACCTCAAATGGTAAGGATCTAATTAAAGCTGTATCTCCCTTTCTATAAATTGCTTAGTCTTTTTGAAGGCACAATAGACTATATTCAAAAATAGCTAAAGAACAGAGTTTAAAGGAGTAAATTAAGCTTATTTCTAAAGTGCTGTATTTTTTAGATGATCATTATCTGCCCCCATACTTATTCACTAACTTTTCAGACTGTTGGTGTCCTTTACAACTTAAGACACTCCCATATACCTCAGACTTCTCCCCTTAAAATAATGAGATTTCAAGTTTCAGCAGAAAAATGATATTGTGGGACAGTAATTTTACTACCTGCTGTGACTTTATCTGAAATGTACTGGTATAATTATAGTAAAGCAGACATTTATTTATATTTGTGTTTTAAGTTATAACATTACAAACGACCTATTTATAATTTTGCAAAACAATAAAAAAATCTACTTAATTAGTTTCTTTTAGGTTCTAACAGACATATGTTCAGAAAAGAGCAATGGCATCCAGCTGATTTTATTTATAATTAATGTCTTTGGAGAGGTGCCATTTCTTTAAGAAAACAGTTTATTAATTTTGTTAGAAACTATTGATTGCTTTTGTGAGCAATTGGCTTATCTTTATTTTATTGTTACTGTGATCCATGTAACTAATGACCAAGTTACTTAATCCACACTGATATGACCATGTTTCTTACTTTCTTGAGTAGAAATCTCAGATCTTAATGAATGTCTCATCTTTAATCAGTGGAAAAGTCCCATACCAAGTATTTTGTCCATTAACCTCAAGCATGGCTTCACTTTTTTCCCCCAAATTTATTTTTTCTTTCACTTTATATATTAAATGTTTATAATCTCTTTGTGTTGTGTCTATTTTTGTAAGGCAACTGAAATCCTTTTTGAAGCAGACTGGGGTATAAATAAATGATACAGATAAAAAATAGGTAGTTGAATAGATGGATCATAAGTAGGTAATTTAGAATCTAGTCTATATTAAACAGCACAACTAAAAAGAACTGTGGTGCAGTTCTTTGAAAGGCCATTCCCATCTCTCTTCTGTACATAACAGCAGAACTGATGCTTGATTCCCATTCCCCTCTTAATTGGTCTCGAAATTTTGGAAAAGTCATTACATTTCTCTTGGCTTCAGTGTTCTTATTTGTCAATGCGGGAGTGATTGAATGATATTTGAAATCCATTCCAACTTTAATAACATTTGGGGATGAAAAATTTCACCAGTCAAAGCTTGTAGAGAGTTTCTATGCAGAAGCATGCCATTAATAATCACTACCATGTAAAAATTACTGCTACTTTCTTATTGCAAATTAAGTTTGTTACTTTATTTAAAGTTTTATTTTATTTTTTAATTAATTAATTATTATTATTATTTACAGAAACAGGGTGTCACTAAGTTGGCCAGGCTGGCCTCAAACTCCTGAACTCAAGTGATCTGCCCACCTTGGCCTCCCAATATGCTGGGACTACAGGAGTGCATGACTACACCTGGCCTTCTTTTTAAATTTAGTTTAATTTTATCGTATTAATTTATTTTTGAGACTGGATCTCACTCTGTCACCTTGCTTGGAGTGCAGTGGCACGTTCATGGTTCACTATAGCCTTGACATCTTGGGCTCTCACCTCAGCCTCCCAAGTAGCTGGGACTATAGGCATGCGCCACCATGCCCAGCTACATTTTTAAATTTTCTGTAGAGACAGGGTCTCCTTATGTTGCTCAGGCTGGTCTTAAACTCTTAGGTCCAAGCAATCCTCCTGTCTTGGCCTCCCATAGTGCTGGGATAATAGTCATGAATCACCACACCTGGCTAAGCAGTTTTCTTAAGCAGAGCATGGAGTTACCAGATGAGTAATGAGATTGCCTTGTTGTGGAACTCTAGATTAGTCTGAATTTTCTTGTTGAAATTATGGCACCAAGGATGGAGGTGAGTTCCATTTTAAGTCAGAGGATGGAGTTACCAGATGCGTAATGAGATTGCCTTGTTGTGAAACTCTAGGACATTAGTCTGAATTGTCTGGTTGAAGTTACGGCACAAAGGGTGGAGGTGAGTTCCATCTTAAGTCACCCCAGGTAGGAGGAGGTTGGTCATAGATCAGTGATGATATCCAACAGAAATGACAGGAAAAACCTTAGAAGTAGCAAATTATTCCCAAAGATTGCTTTTTAAGGAAAGTTTGGTTGTTCTTCTATAATAGAAGCAATCCATCTTTAAGATACAAATGCTTATTTTAATGTAAATTTTTATATTTAGAGTTTTCTTAATATTTGGTGTTGTCTTCTCCTTTTTATAGAATTTGAAATTTCAAGACCAAGAAATGTACAGATGCCAGCAGGTGCCATTATCTAAAATATGTTCCCATCTATAAATTCTTACTCCAAAGCTTCCAATGCCACTTTAGGATAGGAAGGTAGTAGATAGGTTTTGTTTTAAGCAGCCAGTGCCCTCATGTCTCAGTTGTGAGTGGTGGGTACTAACAGCTCACAGACTCACCCTTCTGAGAATTCACCTAGGTTGATAGGAGCCACCTCACTATCTGGGGCACAGTCTGGAATGATAGGCCCTCTCCCAGGGGGCAGCAGCTGGCAAAGATCAACAGATACCAGGGATGAAAAAGGCCAGCCTCGTTGCCTTAAAAAGGAATAAGTCATTCATGCCCCAGAGCTCCTCACGGGCTCAGGGTGGGGCTAGACTTCAAATGAACCATCTTCTCCACTGCCGTGCCTGGGTGCCTGCAAACTACATTTCCCATATTACCCTGCTAGCTGTATCCCTGTTAAATTCAGCCAATGGGAGGCACTGGGGACAAGTTAGAGGGAAGATAAATGAAGGAACATTTAGTTATTGACTCCAACGGTTGTTATCAGTGATGAATCCATATGGGTCTGCAGCAAATTCTGCAGCAAACACCTGGCCAACATGGTGAAACCTCGTCTCTACTTAAAATACGCAAATTAGCCCCAGGTGTGGTGGCACATGCCTGTAATCCCAGCTACTCGGGAGGCTGAGGCAGGACAATGGCTTGAGCCCGGGAGGCAGAGGTTGCAGTGAGCTGAGATCGCACACTGCACTCCAGCCTGGGGGATAGAGTGAGACTCCATTTCAAAAAAAAGAAATACATATTTTAAACTTTTAGCTGTTAAAATCCATTAAAATGTGTTAGGGTGTTTGCTTCACTGACAGAAAAAGAACATTCCTCAACATATCAAGAAATTCCTCAACATATCAAGAGTTTGCTTCTATGTTTTTCACTGCACTCACTGTCTGCCATGTTATATATGTTCTGCCCTTTCTGCTACATTTAAAAATATGTGCATATTTAGATATTGCTAAGCATGATTAGTATTTATGTGGTCACTGGCAGTAAACCAAGATAAAACATTATAAAACAAGTGTCAATAAATTTTCCCTCCTTCTTTGCATTTTATTTTGATGTAAAATTTCTGGTTACATAAAAGTTATGGTAATCAGCCATATTTGTTGGATTTAGGTAGATAGCTCATAACAGCTCTCCACAGTCCCACTGCCTCTGAATGGATGACCTCATTCTCAACGTGGAATACCGGAAAAAAGTTATCAAATCCTAAAGTTTGTGTGGAAAACCACTCCAAAAAACTGAGAAAATAGAATTCTTACCTATGTGGACACCACTTCAAAATCTCATGTGGATTTTCCAATTTAGTAGGTATACCTGTCAAAAAAACCCATCACTGACTTTGGAAATCAAGGCTGCTGGCCTCGCTCTGGTTATGAGACTAGAAAGATGCATGTTTTTGTGTGATATGTATTCGGGAACTAGACTGGTGAAGTCTATATGCCGTGTAGTAGCTACCGGCATCCCTCATCCTCCTTAAGTACAACAAACCTCCATTTTAGACCCAACCTAATGTACTCAAGGTAGCAGTGGTCAAGCCTTCAGCTGACTCCAACTAGAAAACACTCAGGAATTACTGACCTCATGAATTTGCACACCTCCTGCAACTTCCATTTGTGAGACCCAAATACCCTGCAAGCTTGGCTATCATACGGTATCATTGATTTCATTGTTTTGCCGTTGTAGTGCCCCTGTTTGCCAGCAAATGTCATAGGAACATTCACACTGTAAAAGCTGGGCAATGGAATGATAATGGAATATTATTTCCCTAAGTCACAGAATGGCTAAAGTATGAAGTGTTCCACACAAGCAAGTACTAGAGAGCATTTTGTTGGAGGATTACCAGGGTGAGTGTACTGCTATCCAAATACTCAAGCCTGTTTTTGCTTAAATCTCTAAGGAATATAGTTTTCCTTCCTCAGCCTACAAGAAGGCACAGACAACTTTATTGTATCTATCTATTAAAAGAGGCATAAATGAAAGCAGGATCAAGCAGTTTAAAAACCACCGCAATGAGAACATAAAAGTGTAGAGGACTCATTCAACCTTAAATCGCAAAACCTTCATACTTTAGAACATTGATGATATGGCTGAGCATATCCTCCCTTAGGGGAGAAAAGCCCAGCGAAGCTCATGTCAGGGTAAAAATCATATTTTTTTACTTAGTTCTCATAAGCATATTTGATTGATAATTTAAATTAATGAGGCAGTGGGAAAACTTCACTTGGCATTGCAAATGGAGCACAGAAACACATGATTCAGTAGGAAAATAGATTTAATAGCTGTGAACATAAACCATATTGCTATAAAGATCAAAATAGTGTTTTCTTCTTCTACAGCAAACAAAATAAAACTAACAGTAAAGGCATTCTTTTGATATACCTAGATTATACCATAAATAGGACAAAACTTTGGCAATAAATACTATTTTTCAAAAAGTCATCCTTGACACTGACCTGGAAAGTAAAAAAGGTAATATTACTTATACAGATACTTAATTTGCACACAAGGAGAACTTTAGTCCTGTGACTTTTTAAATTGACAGTGTGTATTATATTAAAATAATATGAAACTTAGAAAACACATTGAAATTTGTTTAGGCTCATTTGTATTAACCATTTTGTTGAGTGTTTCTGAACTTTTCCCGTTGAGTATGCTAAAGTATTTGAAACATAGAAGGTTGGTTTGACATGAAAGAAAACTATAATCTATATAACTTAAATAATTAGCATATTTTGTGCAGGGAAAGTTATCTTCAATATTCTTCACATAGGCAAAATTGACAATAATTAGAAACATCATTTAAAGATCATCTTAGTAACCTGAAATGTGAAAAAGGTTTTCTCAAATTAGGCCAAAATTTAAGCTGCTTTAAAACTCTTTTCCTTCCATAATATAAAATTACACATCCAATTTAATTAAATAAAAAGAAATAAAAATGAGCTAGATTCTGCTTTGGTAATCTTAAGTCAGCCAGTTGTGCATAACCCATCTTAGAAATTCTATCAGCACACGTATTTGATCAGGGTCTCCTGAAAAGAAGACTGATGTAACTAAGACAGTGAAAGAGTGAAATGCAAAGAAAGGTGAAATATAAGCATCCTGTCTGGTTTTGAAAAGTAAATTAATATTTCTACTAGAACTTAGACATTGTTTCTATTATAAGCACCTGAAAATTTTCCAGTAATTGTCCAAATATCAGGTAAATAGAACTCATCCATTAACATAAGGCAGTTTATAGTGTCCCAGGAGATATCGACTAGTAATAAAAGACAAGTTTATTAACCATACAAAGCTGGAATAGATTATCCTCAACTATACCTTATTTTAATTAGTGTGGATCAACTACTTGTTATATGTTTTTACCTTTAGTAATTACTAACCGTAATCTTCTGAATCATAGGACAGTAAACACTAAATTTCTTGCTTTATTTCCACCATTTCCTAACTTGCGGGAAAAATTGTGCTGTGTATCTCAGTACTAATCCTTTAAAAGGCAAGAGCTTTGATTCGCTAATTGATTCTCTCTCTCTCTCTCTAGCTTGCCTCTCTGTTCTTTACTTTAGGTTTAGTGTTTGCCTTTTTTTTTTCTTCTCAATAGCCAAATTGTATTTCTCAATTTCTGCCTCAATAATTTTGGCTTCAGTTCAGATATACAGAGGATTTGGTAAGTTTTTTGCTTTGAGCCATGGTTCTTCCTTTTGCTTTAACACTCAACCACACCTACAAAGAGAACACCATTGTTCCCTGCATTATGATTTAGAAATGGCAAACATTGGCTGGCGCAGTGGCTCACGCCAGTAATCCTAGCAATTTGGGAGGCTGAGGCAGGAGGATCACCTGAGGTCAGGAGTTCGAGACCAGCCTGGCCAACATGGTGAAACCCCGTCTGTACTAAAAATACTAGCTGGGCGTGGTGGTGCACACCTGTAGTCCCAGCTACTCGGGAGCCTGAGGCAAGAGAATCGCATGAACTCGAGAGACAGAGGTTGCAGTGGGCCGAGATGGCACCACTGCACTCCAGCCTGGGTGACAGAGCTAGCCTCCATCTCGAAAGAAAGAAAGAAAGGAAAGAAAGGGCAAACATTACCCTCTTTAAGCCACTTCAGGTAACTTGATTTCATGCAGAGTCACATCCAGATTTTTATCTTCCCTGCAGTCTTTCATGTTCCTTTAAGTGAAATGTGTCTTTGTTTTGTTCTCTTTCTCATTCCCTCCTTAATTTCTGCTTTCATGTTCAAAATAGATTTTATTATCTGTTATTATCTGTTCCCAGTAAGACTCAGCTCAAACTCTATCAACTATTAGAAAACTATGCAAATAGATTAAGAAAAGCTTTTATTGTTGCCCTCAAAGGGATGGCAATCTAATCTTTCCAAATATGGAACAACATACAGGCAACTATCAAAAAGGCATGAGAAAGAAAAGAAACTTTTTATCTGAGGAATGTCAGCCCCTGCCCCACAGGCATCCCACCTAAGGTAGGTAATCATCTAGAAGCCACCTGCTGTATAGACTCTAGACTCAGTATCACCATCAGTAGCTATAAATTAACCTAAAACTGCCATACGCTGGACACAATAACTCATAGTTCCACAGTACATAGCCAATCACTAATCAATGTTATCTCTGTAAACCAACAAGAATTCCTGAGAAACAGATTTTGTAATTGCCTCCCTACTGATTCGTCCTTTTTTCTTTAAGAACTCAAGACTCTGTTTTGTTCATGGGAGTACTTCCCAAGATAACTTAAAAGTGCTTCCTGAGCTGCAGTCCTCAGCCCTAGCCCAAATAAACTCTTTACCTTTACCTATATTTATTTTGTCTCAGTTTCTTACTTTGGGTCAATGGTCACATTAACTTTGTGTATGGCATGAGCAATGGTGTAGGGAAGCAAATGTGAACCTAGCTCGAGGTGTTGTGTTACTCCCCGAACTCTGTGGCCCTGAGTAACTTAAAGACTTCTATACATTTAAGCTAATCCATACATAGCACTGAAGGTAGTTTTGAGAATTGATTTACATAAGGCTTCTGAAAGTAATTTATAAACTATAAAAACTACACAAATGCTTATTTTATCATTTGCTTTGTTTCTTTAAATTGTGCGCACAACACAGCAGGGAGCTTCTTCTGTTAGCTCTTTAATAGCCCCTAGCAAATTTACAGGCAGAATTCAATAAATTTTCAGTCATGGAAGTTAGCAGATGTTAAAGAAAATCATTTGAATCATTCCTCTAGTTACAAAAATACACATTCCAGTGTGTTTAGCTATCTGTAAAATTACAGTAGCAGTGGTTATGAAATAGCAAAGAATGACTTTATTCATCTGTGTTTAGAATATAAAGGCTGAGAAGGCGTATTAGGGGTAGCAGAGCAGTATTGAATGTAAATGCGCAGCAAGAGGGAGAAACGATGATGTTGTCATACTCTTCTGGCCTCATTACTCTGAAGGAACTTTCTTTTCCTTAATGCATCTATGCAACTCCCTGAATGTTAATGAAAGTGGCATGTGCCCAATGAGGAGAAAAGAGATCTAAGATTAAAAACCAACCCCAATGATGCACGTTTCATAAGCTGATCTTACTGTTCCATGCACTACTTCTTTAAAATTCTGTTTTTTTTTTTTTAAGGCACATTAGCAGTGTCTATTTGATGCCTAGAAAAATTTCAAATGGAAGAAAAGATTTGTTTGAAAAAGTAAGGGGTGAACAGTTTCCACTGCAAACAAAAACTTCTGGTCTTAGAACTGTTTTTGAAGATACATAATTTTGATAGTTTTTACAGAAAGGTAGGGGTGTAACTTAACAGTTGTTTGTCCAAGACATTGTCACGTGCACCAAGCATTTTGCTCCTCCATGTCCAATCACTATTTTTTGTTGATGTTGTTGTTGCATTCTTATGGTTGGAGAGTGGATCAAGTGTATCTGGTTGCAGTTTCAGTTAATTTTAAGATCATTTGTATGTCCTTCCATTGTCATTTGGAATCTTTTTACCACTTGGAAAATTGCACTCAATATGTCGTTGTCCAATATCAAGGCCAAGAGCCCTACTCCCACATTTTAAAATATTGTAATAATCTATCACATTTGGAAAGGTTATAATAGAGAACCATCATTGGATCTCTTCTCAACAATTCTGCATATCTTTAGGACATCTTTTCTTATATGCTACCCAGAATGTGGCTGGACTTCACTTTAAAGTTGTCTTGAATTAAGCAAAATTAGGAAAGTGAATACCATATATGGGAATCAATTATCAAATATTATGTTATCTACTCTATTTGATAAATTACATCACTGTCCCTTCAATTACAATAGATACCTGACAAATAAGCGTCACCATGCTTATACCAAAATGTGAATTTTTTAAAAAAGATTAATGCTAGCTTCCATGAATTCATTATTATTTAAAACACTCTTTATTAAAGTATAATCTTATACTATGTACATCGGAATTACCTGGATGCTTTAAAAATGTTTCCCGGTCACCAGTTCTGGAATTCTATTAAGTAGACAAAAGGGGTGTGTAGATATTACTGCATTATTTTCCGTGAAGCGTGAAACTCATAAGTAGCCATAAAAAGAAATAAACATTCATGGAATATATGACCATCGCTGAGAACCAAAACTTGTTAATTTATTAATTTGTAATTTATGTGTGTATTACAAAGGACACCGTGATAGAATATGGTTTGCAAAATATATAGTACATATTAAATTTTTAATAGTTACCTAAGCAATTTCTCCAACTGAAGTATTTTGAGAAAACAAATAGTTTAGTATCAAGTTTAAAATAATTAGTTCTTCATTTGAAGTAAATTTTGTAATGATAGCTTACTATCGGCTCCTGAATACACTTTAGACAATAATTCTGCTAATATAATATTAATTATTTTTCTAGCAGGATATGTTCTTCCAACTCCATGTTGTTTTTGTCATCCAGAGTCTTGGAATTCTACTCTTACAGAAAATAGATAACCATTTTATTTATCTTCTTGGTGTTGAATCTTCCAATGCTTTCATCACTTAAATCAAACAGTCATAACGTCTTTGATTTTATTGTTTTTAGCAGCTGTAATTGTATTTTACTCTCAGAAACATGCTCCAAAGCATTGCTTGGTCATTTTAATAAGAAGTTAAAGTGCTACTAATGTAGATGTCTGTGACTTCAAAACAAATGGCAGAAAATAAAATAACTTTAATTTTTATTACTTCAAGTTGTATTTTTTTTTTTTTGCTTTGTTTTCAGTCCTCACAATAAAAACAAAAAGTGGGAGGAAGAGATCTTAGGAAGAGAGGAAGATAATTTTTTTTTTTTTTTTTTTTGAGATGGAGTCTCGCTCTGTCACCCAGGCTGGAGTGCAGTGGCGCGATCTCGGCTCACTGCAAGCTCGGCCTCCTGGGTTCACGCCATTCTCCTGCCTCAGCCTCCCGAGTAGCTGGGACTACAGGCGCCCGCCACCACGCCCGGCTATTTTTTTGTATTTTTAGTAGAGACGCGGTTTCACCGTGTTAGCCAGGATGGTCTCGATCTCCTGACCTCGTGATCCGCCGAACTCGGCCTCCCAAAGTGCTGAGATTAAAGGCGAGTGGAAGATAATTTTTTAAAAAGTTTATTCGGAGTACATGTTCTATGTTTCCTGCAGGCCCTGTGACTCATCCTTTATAGCATCTAGTCAAGCTGATCAGCTTCTAAGAACAGATGGAAATGAAGCCCTTCCTCACTATAATGCAGCCATTAGATGATTATCCAGTCCATTCAGTTCTAAGTGCAAATTCACTATCATTTTATTTCTAATCTATCTACCTTTAACTGATGTGGCGAGCAATTTGACTTTACTTGGCTTACTATTGTGTTTCTGTTAGAAAGTAATGTGATGCACATACCTAATATGAAACTTTTACAACAGAGAAAGAGATTTTAATTTAAAATAGCTTTCTTACTAGAGCTTGGACCAAGTTCATTTTCAGAAGTTATTAACAAGATGATACAGGTATCAACATAAAAGTGCAAGGGTAGTTGGTCATTTGATTTTGCATTCAGATCATATATTTTATTTTCATTGTAAAATATTTGAACTACTCAGGATCCAGTTTATGAGGGCTCTTTTGTGTGACTGTTACAAGTAGAAACCCATAATAATATAACCAAGGATGTGAAATTGCTTTATGCTAATATTTTAACCTGTGGGAGTGTACTTTCTCCTACTCTTTTTTTGAAATGTACAGCCTCATAGAGATGCATAATTTTTACCTACTCATTCTTAGTAGCAGAAAATGAGATTATCAGTATAGTAAGAAGCTTTTAGTAAATTAAGGAATTAAAAGGATAGTAGTCTCTTTATCAAATACCAGGATTATGACTACTCCTACCTCCTCTTCCAATTTTTTTTTCCGTTGAGGTTTTATAAGTGATTTGCTTCACAGTACAGATGTTTTTATAGATCAGCACCTGCAAATTTATGCTCATTTGAGTCTATATTTATGTGACAGCTGTCAGTCTGAAATCAAAGCTTTGTGAATCATACATTGAGATAAGCTCAATTAACTACATCAAGAAAGTTTGATAGCAAAAGTGGTCCAGAAACATTTCATCATGAAGATTGCAGAAGTCATTGAGTCCCTAGACACAATCCTTGCATCTAAAGTAACAGTTATCAGTTTTAACACAAAAAGTAATAGATGTAGAAGTTACTTGAAATAAAAGGCTAAAATACAACCTTTGTCCTAAATGCTTTTGTAAACTGATCAAGGACTCAAAGCCCACATGCCACATCCATTTGTCACACAGTTATTGAAAAGGAGTCAGTGTTGACTGGTGCACTTGGAGAAGTCTTTTTGCAAGAGTAGAGTGAATAGTGAGTACTGACTGATCAAGAGGAGGCAAATACATGGAGGAAAAAGAGAAAGATCATTTTAGACTGTAAATTCCCTGAAGGTAGAAAATATATCTCTTCATATTATCTGTCAAGCATCTACCACACAGGTTGGCTGAATTATTTTGAAGAAAGTTTGGGATAGCGCAGGAAGAAAAATTATGAAGTGTGCAGGAAGTGGCAAAAATTGACCTATGTTGAGTGGAGGGTATATTCTGGAATGATTAATGTGGATGCAGAGGGAAGATCATGACATTGGCTGTATTATAAAAGCTGAAACAGCAGTAAAGAGTAATTATAAGAGATGATGGGTGAAGTAGTGATTACTGGGTGTCTTTTCAGTGAAATGATGAGTTTATCTGGTTGTATAGAAAGGCGCACCTTAGATTGTTTTTCTGTTGACTGAGCTATATTGCAGCTGAGTAGAGGTAGAAGTTAGGTTGTAGAAAATTTGTGACTATGCAAATAAATTTTGATTGTTTGAGAAAAAATTGGTTCCTTCTCTGTAGAAAAGATGAGCCCAAAGTTTACATTTTATTGTATTATATGACATTAACCAGTTTTGCATTTACTAGCAACTGCAGTTCAGCATTCCTGATTTTATATACACAGCACACACACATATACCCATACATATACATTTATATGTATATATTCTGTTCTCTCTTGAACTGCTTTTAACATCTTACTGATTGTCTCAGCCATTAATTCCCTCACTTTAATCCTTGTTCATTTCATATTTGAACAAGAATCATAATTTTGCCTTTTTGAAAATTTAACATTAGCAGCAGGATAGATTGTCTGGGGAAGAAGTTTGTAAGTCTAGAGATCAATCAAGACTGTTTTAAGGAATTCTATCCCTCAGTACTCAAAGTAGGAAGTTGAGGTCCTACATTTGGGTAACCAGCATATTTTGGAAAATAATGGAAAACCTGAGACGTTTTGAAAGCAAAACCAGAACAGAATTTTTTTTGGGTGTATATATAGACAAGTCAGAGGTAAAGTTGTAGCTCGTAAGCCACTCGAGGGAAAGCAAAGATCTGGGCCACCCTTGATCTTTTTTCTAAGACATGATCTAATATTTTATGAAATGTATCCCCAGGAGGCTTAGGTGACTTGCTTCATTCTCTCCTCTGGGAGTGTTCCTTGCATCATATTGTGCCAGGGAGTTGCTGCCAGGTCTTAGAAGTTGCTTGGATAGTTTACAAATGGGGAAGTACATATTGATAAAGCTGGAAAAAACCTTGGGGAAAAAAAAACAAGTGAAAATACCTCAGCAACAACATACTGTTAAAAATTTCTATTTACCTCTTGTCAACAAATACATCTTTAAATACACAAACATTTTTAAACATTTAAATACAAATACTTTTAAACATATTACTGTGATGGGAAGAATGTAAGCAACCTGTGTTCAATGAAAATAAAAAGTGATGTAATTTATGACATTCATTCAATGGAGTATTATTTATTCATGAAAAAGTATGCTTGTGAAATTGGTATTTTAACAGTCATTTATGGTATGATTTATATGGCAGATTACTAAATTGCAAATAAAATTTGACTTCAACTAAGTAAAACAGACAAACAAAAATATGTATCTGCTGATTGAGACTCCAATGTTGGCCCCAGAAATTTGTATTTATGAATTTCTTTCAGATAATTCTGTTCAGCAACAAGATTTGGGGATCATTATTCAAATTCAACAGATTCTGATTCACAATAATTTATTTAGCAATCTGCTGTCTTCCTGCCTACTGATACATTTATCATTTCAGAAGAGAGAGCAACTTGCATGATTTTAATAGGGTAAATTTTTGGGAAATTTTGATTTCTTAGAAATTTATTCAGTAAATATGATCGAGCATCTACTATGTGTGAGACATGATCACAGAGGCACTGAGGATACATCAACAAACTCCAAACTTGGTAAACATAATAAGTAATATTCACCCTTTATTTAAACTGAGTCACTAGAATGTAAATTACTATACGTACATTCCAGTGGCTTAAATTCTAATGACTCAATGTAAATACATGAAGAGAGAACTTTACATGTTAATGTCCCTTATCTAAAGGAATAACGTGTATGTATGACAGAGTAGCTTCTCTACATTCTTGCCCAAGCATAGCAGCTTTAGCAAACGTGTACATAAGGCTGCCTATGTATCCAGCACTATTCTAAGCATTTCATATGCATCAGGATAGTTAATCACATTTTATTATAGTAGAGTAAAAGATGACAGGATAGTATATTCTGTCTTTACCAGCCCCTCACCCAACACTCAGCTGCTCACTCACTCACGGACAAGAATGCCTGAGGAAGCCCTGGTCATTTCACTCAACATTCCCTCTACTTTGACTGTGCTGGGAAGTCTTTACCTCTTTTCCACTATCAGCAATCCCCCCTCTTTCTTTCCAATTTTCTTCTTTTCCAGTCAACGACTACATGCCCACTAAAGGAGGGCTCTAAGAAGTGGTCCTCCACCTGCAATATCTCATATAAAATCTGCTGTAGGTCTATGATGGAGGAATTCATACAGTGTTTAAAGATAAGAAATACAAAGCTTAGAATGCTGAAAGGTTCATAACTAGCTTCAAACTCTGTATTATGGTTAATTTCCATGTGTGATTTACAAGTGATACTAATATGCTCTTGATTTGTTTTCTAAAATTAGGATCTTAAGAACCACTGGGTTGGTGAAAGAAGTATTGGATGAATCTGTGTTTTCCAAATTCAACCAACTTGGACAAACATAGTAGATGCAAGTTATTAGTAAGGTTCTAGTTATCTGCTTGGATAAAAGCCTCATGAGTGTTCATTATCTTGTTATGCTTTATAACAGACATATGTTACTCTATTATATATATGTTATCTATAAGATATATATAATGTTATATATAATATCAATTAAATTAAAATAGATCAAAAAAAGGAAAACAATAATACAAATATGCCCATTTAAAAATCTGGATAGAATAAACAACACAATTGAATGATAACCTTAGCATATTATATTTGAAAATATACAAATTCTAAGCTACAGTTTATCCCTTCCTCATTTCTTAGATCACTGCGGTTGGAACACTAGTTTTTTAGTAGAACTTATATTTCTATCATCGTAAGTTTTGGTTGCATAAGGTTATTAATAGTTAAACAGGTTTCTTTGCTGCTTGATATATTTATTATTTAAGGTGCAGGTTTAGCTAAGCTGCAAAACTATAGTGGCTTAAATAAGATATAAATGTATTTCTCTTGCATATTTGGTCCAGTGTTGGGCAGAATATCTAGGGCAGGTAGGAGGCTCTAGATTTCATCTCTGAGTATAAGTAGCTCCTAAATTGTTACTTCTTCCTGACTTCAGAATGTGAAGTGAAAGTAAGCAGCTTCCTTTCCAAAGAAGTGATTCGCAGGTGCACATGTCACTTCCTCTCATGCCCCATTAGCCACGTGACCACAACCAGATGCAAGGAAGGCTGGGAATTGTAGTTGCTAGATGGGGCAGTAGGAGTGAGGAGGGACCCCAGGGATTCTACGATTACAATGAGGGAGGAAAAAAAATGGATATTGGGCAGATAATATTGAATCCTGAAAAACAAACTCTAAATATGGAAAAAGTGAAGCATCCTTTAAGTCCTTTAATGTAGATGTAGAATCTGCTCTTCAGTGGTCCTAATAAAGCAGGGCTTTGTATTTCATCGTCCTTTTCATTCATAAAAGATACTCATTTTTGGTGTGTGTTTGTGTGTGTGCATGTTTGCGCACGCGTGCATGTTCATGTGTGCTATCAATGGCTTTAATTTGATTGAAGATAAAATTAATACTAGGAACTGAAATACTTTCGAGATAGGCTGTGCACAGTATGACGTCACCACTTTAGCTGTCTTATCAAATTCAGAGCATACAATTCATGTAATCCTTGTTTCCCTTCCACATTGACCAAGGTAAGATAATTCCAAACATAGCTTAAAGAAATGTCTTATACTAAGCTTCAGAAAATATCAGAAAGTTGCATTATCAGCAATGCTAATGTAGCAAAAAGCAGGTGGGCTCATGCCAATGTTCTCCTGAGAGATGGTTATGGAAGTAGATTGTGGTAATTAATGAGTGAGCAGTTGAAGAGTAATAAAAAAGAAAAAGTTTAATTAGGAGTAAATGGTAAGGGAGTTTAAGCATTGGAGGAATAATATTAACATTGTGGGAAGTAGATTGAATTATGTTTAAGATCCAAAAATATTTGAAGCTATCATCTTATTTCCCTCTTTATGTCACGCCTAAGTAGGAATCTATATGAAGCTACTTTTACATCATACAGTTTGTTTATTCCTTTATTATTAGTGAATTGCTTTAGACTAACTCTATCATACTTCCAATTTTGTTATCTACATGATTTCATTGTCCTTTGATATAAATCTACTTTTCCTAGCTTGTGAGCAAAATTTAGCTAACATAAAATCTTATTTATGTATTTATTTAATTAATTAATTTATTTTTTTGAGACAGAGTCTTGCCCTGTTGCCCAGGCTGGAGTGCAATGGCATGATCTCAGCTCATTGCAGCTTCTGCCTCCCCGGTTCAAGTGATTCTCACCTCAGCACCCCTGCCGAGCAGCTGGAATTATAGGTACATGCCATCACGCCTGGATAATTTTTGTATTTTTAGTAGAGAGGGGGTTTCACCATGTTAGCCAGGTTGGCCCCGAACTCCTGAACTCAAGTGATCCTCCTGCCTGAGCCTCCCAAACAGCTGGGATTACAGGCGTGAGCCACTGCACCCAATCAACATAAAATCTTTAAGGCATTATTTGTGTTTAAAGTAGGGTGGGGAATTTCTGCATCCGAAATTAGTCAATTGACAGTGTTCTACAGCATGGAGTATCAGAAAGGATATCTGTTTCTCCAACTTATGACAGCACACATGTATATTTTTGCCTGGAGGAGGGAGGGATATGAAAAAAGATTTGAGAAGAGAATGAAGAATCTGAACTTTTGGGCAGGACTCATGTATAAAATGACTGAAACTTTTTGTTTGTTCCTTTGTTGAAGGTTAGTCTTGCACAGAGTAAATTATGGTACCGTTGAATCTCCTGGGCACCCTGAGTTCAGTAAAACTTATAAAGATTCTTTAAATCATATTATACTTTCTCTTCTTTGTATGATAGCCTTGATAAGTGCAGGGGCTAGGACTACTGCAAGTAGTGGGAAATTAGGAAGGCTTGTCAGAGACACTGAGGGCGTCTCAAGGATTCTGGATAGGAATGTATCAGCTCTAGGATATAGCTGCGTTTGTTGAGGTTTTTGGCTTGTCCACAGCTGAAGATATTTGTAAAGATTTCAGTAACTTCAAGACCCAATGTCATCCATTCTATTAAAAAATGGAAGATTATACTTGCTTAGGACCTCTTCAATCTCAGCATTATTCTTTGTAAAAAATTCTCCTCCACTTTAAAAAATGACTCTTGACCATGTTGTCTTTACTATTATTTTCTTTTGGAAAAACACACAATTTTTTCTTAAGAAAAAAATCATTTCCCTGCTTATTTGTCCTCAAATCCATGGTATATTAAATAAAAATGACTTATTTATTACCTTTCTAATGAGCCACTTTCATAAACTGTGGTTGATAAAACAACTTTTGGAACTACTTGCATATTTTACTGGTAACATTTCATCTAGAACATTAAAACATTTAAGGTTTTTAGAGGTATTCAAAGGAGTGATATGTATTCATATTGCATGTGTTCACAATAGTGTAATCTTTCCTTTTCTTTTACATCCTCAGTTTTATTGAACTAGAGGAAACATCCCCCATTCAGATACAATACTCATTTTTATAAAACATTTAGGCAAAAAAGTCACAACTACCTTACATAAAGCCTGTTTAAACCTCTCAAATTTCATAATCCGATCAACATTTACATTCTTATATTCTGGTCACAGGAACTTTTATTCCCTACCCCCAGACCATTTTAGCTTTTCTGGTGAAAGAGAATTTAGGTTCCTATCAGAGAGTGGATCCAAGGCACTCAGGCCTTTTTGTCAACGTTTGTCATAATTTGCCTTATTGTTGCCCCAGGCAATGTCAGCTTTCTCATTATAATCTTTGCCTTTTAGTTTTCCGTAAATTTCCCCAGTCTGGGGCAAATGCAGAAAACTGGTGTGGGCCCTTTAATGTTGGGAGACCAGCAGGGTTTCCCTTTGGTTCACCCAACCATTAATAGTGTTGTTAAGACCTTTGTTTTAACCCCATAAATTTTCATTGTATTTATTTCATTTCTTAATAACCGTCGAAAGATTTTCACCACCCTTCAGGGGCTAGTCCTTTGAGTCCCTTTTACCTTTCCAATTTTTTTTGTTGTTAATTACCTTAATGTTTTATTAAGCATCTGTAAGACCCATGAAGGATAGCAAATTTGATAAGGCTTCTCAAACAGCTGTATGATTCTGCAGGAGTAATGTCACTTGGGATGCCCGTGGAAAAGGCGCCCTTTTAACCCCAACATTTATTATGACCTGGGTAACAGGCATATTCAGTGGGAAAATACCCCAGTCATCATAAAGCCAGTCCCACATGGCTTGTATATGAAGCATATCAGTTGCTTCTTCTGGGAATAGTTGGAATCTTATTCTTGAGAAGAATTAGAAACTTATTTCTCAATAGTGACACTGGTGGAATAGAATAATTTTGTGATAAAGCATAGTGACATATTTTCGGACTCTACCATTTGTTATACAGCTGGGATTAAAAACCTCATTTATTCAAGAGCACCATGACTGGTTCCATTAGGTAGTTAGGACAATTTGTAAATAAAACAACAAAAGATCCACTTAGCATAGTATTATGCTTTTTGCAGGACACTTTTCTGGGTGGACTTGGACTAACCCAGTTTTCCCCACTTTCTCACTTGAACTTCTAAAGCATAAAAGTAGAATGTGCTAGAAATGTAACATTCTGAGATAGGGAGGGACTGGCCAGAACAGTGTGGCCTCTGTTTCAGTTCCCACCTAAAAACAGGATGTATTTCAATGCTTTAGCCCAGCAAGTCATATGCCCTGGGGTTTAAAACCCAGAGTAGGCTGCCGGGCGGGGTGCCTCACGCCTGTAATCCCAGCACTTTGGGAGGCCAAGATGGGCGGATCACCTGAGATCAGGAGTTTGAGACCAGCCTGGCCAGCATGGTGAAACCCCGTCTGTACTAAAAATACAAAAATTACCTGGGCATGTTGGTGGGCGCCTGTAATCCCAGCTACTTGGGAGGCTGAGGCAGGAGAAGTGCTTGAACCCAGGAAGCGGAGGTTGCAGTGAGCCGAGATCACGCCACTGCACTCCAGCCTGGGCAACAGAGTGGCGGGCTGCTTTCTGCAATCTTTCAGCTGTGCTGCAAGTAGGGCACTCATAGTCAAGACTTTATCAGCCCTGGGGCAGCTTTCCTTCCTCTTGGGGGACCAGCTCATAGTGAATCCTAAGCTTCTGCCTATCTATAAGTGTATTAGTCCGTCTTCACGCTGCTGATAAAGACATACCCGAGACTGGGCAATTTACAAAAGAAAGGACTTGCAGTTTCACGTGGCTGGTGAACGTCTCACAATCACGGCAGAGGGTGAAAGGTACTCCTTAGGTGCCTGCTGCCAGAGAGAATGAGGAAGAAGCAAAAACAAAAACCCCTGATAAGCCCATCAGATCTCGGGAGACTTATTAAGCATCATGAAAATAGCACGGGAAAGACTGGCCCCCGTGATTCAATTACCTCCTCCTGGGACCCTCCCACAGCATGTGGGAATTCCGGGAGATAGAATTCAAGTTGAGATTTGGGTGGGGACACAGCCAAACCATATCAATAGGTAATAAATCTGCCTCATGTAACTTGTGTGCATGGGTGTTCTATCTCACCAGACTCATACAAGCTCGTAACCAGTGCATGTTAAGCCTGCTTCACACTCTTCAGCATGCTTTGCTAAAAAGTTTTTGCCACGTTAATTTTTTAACATTGCATGAATTTGTAGACATAAAAATGAGAAAGCTTACTGAAGACACTCTACATTTGTTTCATACTCAATATAATATTTCTTCTTGAGTATAATAAGCTACCTAGCTTATAAGTTAATATATTTGGATAAAAACCAACTTAAAAACTTAGCTACATTTCTATGCAAACTAATCTTTCATCAAAGCTAATTAGTGATTTTAAAATGCTATCAAATACCATCTTATCTTGTATAAGATTTTAAAATTTGGAAGGGTAGCTCAAAATCAATTTGGGTTAATTCAAATTACATCTCAGAAACTAGAGAGTTAAAATAATTTTTTAAAAGGAACTTTATATATTGCCTTAACACTTTGTGAATAAAAATCTTTTATGTTTTTCTCCCTTTTATTTATGATCCTTGGATATCATTTGAGTTCTTGCTAAAAGCTGCCATTTTCATTTCTACAGCTTAATTGCTTACAAATTAATGATTCATAATATTTCACAATTTTCACTTAAATGGTCTGGCATATATTCCTATTGTAATCATGTCATAAAATTAAGGGGAAATTGAATGCCTTGCAGAGTCCGATAAAGACAAGTTCATTCTTTCTTGTGCAATGATTTCCTATAACATTTGGAGTTATATCAAATCTAAATTTGTATTCTAAGCAGAAATTACATGTGTTTTTCCCGAACATGTGTTTTCTTATGCTCCTAACCTGTGAAATAGGAACTTATAAACTATTCTTTTAAAGGCAAGCATATCAATTTAGATGTCTTCCTTTGCAGAGAAAATCAGATACAAATAATCCTATGAAAATATAGTTGCATAAGAGTGAACCATCTTATTGTTTATTTCAGATTTGCTCATACCAGCTTGTGTATATTGTTGAGACAGCTCACTGAATGGCATTATTCAATGGTTTCTCTTTGTGGCTCATCGCCTTTGAGACCATACTTATAAAGTACACCTAATGGAAGTGTCTTAGAGCCTTCTTAAGTGTTTTGCTGAGCCAGGAGAGGAACTGAATTATAGATCAAAAGAACTAACGTGTTTCAGTTGGCAAAAGGTTGTCTTAGTCTTCACAGACTTGCCAATCTCTTCTTCCACCAATGAAGTATTTCACTCAGTTAGCTATAGGAAAGCATTTGTTTGTTATGAACAAATTACTTTAAATTCAACTCCTGACTTATTGCTGAAAATGTAATTTTCCTACACACACACAGACATACACACACACACTTACACACATGCACACAAAGTAAACTCTGTCCTAATGTATTTGCCCAGTAGTTTTTTTTGCTTTGTTTTGTTTTTGTTTTAACTGAACTGGGGCTGGCAGAAAAAAAGCAACAGAAACTGGAGAAAAATTAAAAGAGAAACAATATAAAGAATTTGATATAGGAATGACTAAGCTTACTTAAATGAATTGTGAGATATAAACTTGTCAATATGATTTTGGTTGCAGAAGATTGTATATTACATAAGCTTCACAGATGACATGCATATCCAGAAACTACAGTAATTTACAGGGGCAAACTCTGCAACTAAGAAAAGGAGACAGAACTGTTTCCACTCAATGCATTCCTCCATCAAAGAACAAGGTAGCAAAATGGTTGAGAATTGCGTATTTGGCAAGACACTGCCTATCTTTAACACCTGGGTATGCCACTTGCTACCTAACCTTGAACAAGTGACTACTTCTCTATGTTACATTTGTTTCATCTGTAAAATGGGGGTAACACTGATGTCTAGTATAAAATGCTGTTGGAGGTTTACATGAGATAATCCATATAAAATCTCTAGCGCAATGCCAGTCACATAGTAAATTCTCTGTAAATATTAGTTCTGACTATGCTTATAAGCACTTCATCTTCAAATGTGGAATTTTTGAATATTACAATGGGAAGGTATTGATTCATTATTTATTCAATAAACATGCCTACTGTGTCTTCAAAAATAAGACCATAAAGGATGGTGAATTAAAAATAAAGTGCAGGAAAGGAATTATTTTTTTCTAATGTTATATGATGGTTAGCACTGTACAGAAAAACAGACTCAACCCTCTAAATCAGTTGTCTGTTTTATTAAGGACGTATCATTTTCACAAGGGAATCTTGATAAATACAAATTTATCACTCCACTCACTCATTCATTCATTCATCCACTAAACAGTCCTTTACTTCTTACCTACCACACATCAGGCTAATGCTAAGAACTGATACAAAGACTCAACCACACATGATCTGTGACTTCAAGAACATAGAGATCTTATGGTACGAAAGATATGTAAAGATAAATTATAATTAATTGACACAGCATGTGCTACTTTGAGAGAATAAACCCAAAGCTGAATTTTAATGCAACTATTAGGTTTGAATAGGCAGAAAAGCAGAGAAAAGCATCTCTGGAATGGGAACACTTGACCCAGAGAAGAAAGAATGCAAGGAGATGCCAGGTTTGGAAATGGAGAGAAGCTTAGTGCTTAGCCAAACTTGGGAAGGGGCTTCAGTGTCAACCTAAGAAATTCAGCTTCCTAAAATTGTAGTAACAACAGGAAATTTTAAGCAGGGAGATGACTTTGTGGTAGGAAAGAAAATGAACTAGAGTGGGAAGGAAGTTGGAGATACCAATGATATAGAGACTGTCCAGAGGTAGCTGCAATATTCAAGATGAGAAATAATTGAGCCTTAAATGATCTAGGGGGAAGAAGCTACAGAACAAAAAAACACACAAAACTATGAAAGAGAGTTGCTAGTTAGAATCTTCGTGAGCAAGGGACTAAATATATTTCAGTGGAAGAAGTAGTATATCTTGTGATTTAGTGATTCTCACATTTTAAAATTGAGGTAACTACTTTCTGACATGAAACTATAAGTGCAAAATTTTGATATAGATACTTAGAATTTGCCTTAGTTGTGAAGTAGCCTGTAATGTAAAGCATTTCTCTGAGAAACAAAAGTGGATTTTTCCTCTTAGTCAGAGTTTCTTGAAACCCACATGTGAAAGATGCCTTGATATAAAACATGTATGTTTTAACTTTGGGCTCAGTTTTGCAGGAATGTATCTGAGATGGAAAACCAGATGGCTATATTTCAATGTATTTTCTCTTCCATTTTATGGAAAATGACCCATGATCTATTTTGGCTTACATGAGATTTACTCATAAATATATATGAGTATAATGCCTTGCAGCTCCTGTTTAATGCATTTATGAAAAATTTTTCACTTTCTGGGAAGCTTTTCATTCAGGGCAGCTGCCTGGAAACACTTATGATCTCTGAGGAGAAGCTTTGAACGTGCACAGGCATTTTTAAAAATGGTATGTTGTTAGGCAACTAAAAATCACAAGCTCAACATGGTAGCATTATCTTTTTGTCAGAGGTGTGAACTGGCTCTTCCATAATCAGGCTTTCAACACTTGGAAAGTTTTTTTCTGAGTACGTATTTCCTCATCTGTAAAATAGGCGGGTTCTGTTCTGATTTCATCAAGTTATGATAAAAGAAAAGCACAGTAGGTAGGTATGATAAAAGAAAAGCACAGTAGGTAAATAATCAATTATAGTGACATTTCTTCCTCTTCACTCCTTTTGCTACCCAAGTGACGTATCATACAGCAAGCTAACACTTGGTAGAATGCCAATTTAGTATGATACTGGTTTCCAGTTAATTTAGGACTATAAAAAGTGCTGGCAATGCCCAACTCAAACTTACGTTTGAATTGGCTTTTTAAATTGCTATATGTCATAAAGACCAGTTGATAGGCTGGGCATAGTGGCTCATACCTGTAATCCCAGCACTTTGAGAGGCCAAGGAGGGCGGATCAAAAGGTCAGGAGTTCAAGAGCAGCCTGGCCAACATGGTGAAATCCTGTCTCTACTAAAAATACAAATATCAGCCAGGCATGGTGGCACATACCTGTAATCTCAGCTACTTGGGAGGCTGAGGCAGGAGAATTGCTTGAACTCAGGAGGTGGAGGTTGCACTGAGCCGGGATCAAGCCACTGCACTCCAGCCTGGATGACAGAGCAAGACTCTGTCTTAAAAAAAAAAAAAAAAAAAAAAAAAAGAAACAGTTGACAAAAGAACCTAAAATTATAATTTAGAGTTCTTGAGATTATTTAACTGTAACTTATGGTAATTCAACTGGCCATAGTGACTATTCGTATGATGAAAGAGTATGTGATGAGCAACAATGAAATGAGATAGGTCCAACAGAGCTTTTCCAGGTGCAGATGCTCCCAGCCACGGACAGTCTGGCTGGTAGGCAAACATGGAATCCAGGGACTTCAAGCATCTCCACTCAGATCCATTTTGGAGGAGGCAAAATGAAGTACCAGATGTTTGGGGGCAGATAAGTTCCAAAGAAAATGATTACTGAGAGTCAGTTAACCAGGCTGTCAGCTTCTGCAAACTCTATCATAAGTCAGTTGACTCCAGACTGCAAACTGGTGCTTAGGAATACCAATGATTGCCTCTAAAGGCAGAAATTAAATGCTTTGTACTGGACATTGCCAACCTTAAGTTCCCTGGTGCACTTGGGTACCACCATCCGGATGCTCTGAGTGTGAGGTGCCAAAGTGCCCTTGTATTTTCTGTAGTTCTCAATGGTTAGATGTCACACTCGGTTCCCTGAAGAAAATGTCTCTCTCCCAGTCCTGTGGGCATCTTATCAATTTATCATCATCAAGATTCAGCCTCAAGTTTCTTCCCATCTAAGGGGCCTGTTTAGAGCCTCTAAGCTTTCTGCTTTCAGAAAGCTACATATTCACTAGAGAGAATGGGTATCTATTCTGAATTTTCTCTAGTATGACGAGATTACTGTCTTATATTGTTCTTCATTTCTTCCTAAGTGTCAGTCTTATCTCCCCAAGGAGATTGTAAGCGCCTTGGAGGCAGGGATCATGTTTTATATTCCTGGGGCCTCACATCCTTTGAATATACAATTGAGCAGATATTAAGAGATACTTAGTAATGGATTTATTGAACTTGAAATCTGAAACTGCTAATTCTAGAATTATTACCATACATTTGTGTATTTTTGGGGATTTTGCATAAAAATACTGTAGGTAGCTATATTCTTTTCACCTGCTCCCATAAACTATCAAAGTTTATGTCTCACGTATTTAGTTCTATCAGATATTGAGTTAATCACTTTTTTAGGAAGAAAGATTTTGGAGAAAGAAAGTTGGCTTCTTTACTCCATCTTCCTACTTTATATATTTGGAATTTTTCATTAGACATGACTAAAGAAGTAGAAGGAGAAACAAAGATCTAACTTTTAAATTATTCACTAGGCCTGCACAGGTTTGGTATGCAGATTAGCTCAACAGATAGAGGTAGATCAACATGGCAAATTAAAAATAATATCTAAGGTTTAATTCACACGTTGTATGACAGTCTCACTCTTCTATGTCAACCATGGACCTATACCTTAGAATTTATTGTCTCCGCTCTTCCAAATTCTGTTCCTTCCAAATCCTTGGCCAGACATCCAGGACATTGGCCACTGAATGGAAATCTGTACATATTATCACTTTGGGCTACTTCTCTTTCCACAAAAAGTGAATGCTTAAGTTCACTGCTCATAGCTCTGCCCATTGGAAAGAATTTCCCTTTTTGCTCTTTTTCAAGGCCACTCCTATATGTGTCTATAGTGCAGCCACCATCCATTTCAGCCCAGGTAATGAGCCAACCAATCCATTACCTATGCTTGGACTTTGCCCTCATCTTTCAGTTGTTTCAATTGTGCCCTTCATAGAACCATGACTGCAAGGCAGTCCCAGGTCCTCTTATCACCTGTTTTATCAGACCACATCTAGTACCATTTGTGTTAGTTAGTTCAGGTCCTCCAAGAAGCCCCTTCACAGATTTTACTAGGGAAAATCCCTGTGAGAAAAAATGGGGAGGAAGAACAGAGAGGCTGGGAGAGTCATCATACCCCACGCAAGTCTGACCATGAGGGAAGGAAAGAGAAAAGGAAGGTTGGGTGGAAGCGTCATAGACCAGTATGCAGTCTCAAGGAAGTCCAGCAAGAGACCACTGGGGAGTCCATGAGGCAGAGTTGCATGAAAAGAGAAGATATCTGTATCCTAATGTCAAAACTGCCTTAGCATCACTGTGCCTACGGGAAGCATGATGTCAGCTTAAACATGGTGATGGATTTCAAAGAACAGCCAGAGCCTCTGTGCATTACACTTCCTCTAGTTCGAATTCTGCAAGGTGCATTGTCATGGCCACCAAATTAATGTTTCTAAAAACACATAAATTCTAAGCAATCTCAATTCACAATTCAGAATAGAATGTTCTGCATCAACTCAGGAGTTCTATTCTTATGATATGAGATTCATGGGTAGAAATTAAAATGGACAATTTTATCTAACCACTATTAGCGAAAACTATAATTGGAACAAAATCTTTTTACCTCTTGCTCTCATGGATGTTTGGGTTTTTCAAATGTCTTTGTCATTACTTGTGATTCACCTGCTTAGCACGTTCCTGTTCAACCTTTAAGCCTCTGGCTTACTTGCCTTCTTCCTGTGAAGCTCCATGGTATTGCACTCTTAACTGTGTTATGTCCCACTAGAATGTAATGTTTTTGAGGTCAGGAACTGTGCGTGTATGGTTTGTTGTTGTATATAATGTGCAGTATAATACCTGGTGCTTATTATGCATTCAGTTCATGTTTGTTAAACAAATGCATAGAATCATTGTCTTTAGGCACTACCCTACTTATAACGAATTGAAGAAATGATAAAATCCATTATTATTACAGCTATTTGTATGGTATAGAACAGACCTAATTTTCTATTATGTGATTTGGCTTCTGAAAATTTATTTACTCAATTCCTTTCTGTAGTTAGGTTCACATGCACCCATATTACATGAATATATTCATGCCATCTCAGAGATCATTAGGATGACAAAAAAAAAAAAAAAAAAAAAACATATAACGGCTATCAATTTTCCCCAAAAACCAGCAGGTATAAGCAATTGTTATTCACATTGTTCATTTTATAAGCAATATAGGAACTCTGCATTTAAATAGGAAAATTGAGTGATTTCTAAAATCAGAAGCTAATATATTTTGGATTATTATTTTAAAAAGTTTAAAGGATACATATATACATCTGTAGGTTTCCTGGAGTCTCCAAATCAGGGATGCCAGCCATCCTAGAGTGTCACTAAAGTGAGAGGCAGCATGAACTTGTCTCAGATATGTTGGCATGATTTAGGAGTGGGTAGGGATGGTAGAACAAGAGTGATCCAATATTTTAAAATATTTTCTTCTGACATAGTAATTACTGCATACATGACATCATGATTTTTTCCTCTTCACTCATTCTTAGCCTGTGGCACTCAACTCTCCTGCTAGGCAATCAGCACCAGGACTACTTTTGAAGTGGTCTGCTGCTGGGATGCATTCACTTGGCCTCTGCCTCTATATTGTTTTTGGTCACCTTTCCCATCTTTCTCTTACTATTCCCAATCCTTATCCATATGCCAGCCTGCTGGCTATGCCGAATTCTCACTCTGGCTTTCCTCTAATACTTGGCATCTGGGGCTGGAGCTCTTGCGCTGCAGGCTTCTTGCTGCTCTCTGGAGGCCCTATTCTACGGGAGCTGCTCTCAGCAAGCTGTCAAGTTAGAAAGGAAATAATGAAGCATTAGCTGAAGAGTCAATATCTGATAAGGCTTAATGTGCCAGCCCTAATGATAGTTTGCATTTTCTTCTGGGAATAGTTATTTGAAAACTGAAAAAAAAAAAATAGTACCAGGATCCCCCTCTTTCCCCACCCTCCCCACCACCATGGATGCCAAAATCCACAGATGCTCAAGTATCTTATATATAATGGTATAATATTTGCATATAACTTATGCATGTTATTCTATATACCTTAAATAACATCTAGATTACTTATAATCCTGAATATAATGTAAATGCCATGTAAATTGTTGTTACGCTGCATTGTTTTTTAATTTATTTTTTCATTTCTTTTTAAAATATTTTTGATCCATACTTGGTTGAATCTGTGGAGCCAGAACCTGTAGATACCAAGTGTTATCTGAGGACTGTATTTAAGGTGTAAGGTACAGGATAGTGTAGATTTGGGGGATAAGTAGCGTTTTCTGATATAAAGAAGGCTACCATCTAAGACCATCCGTGAATTGTTATTATAATCAGATAAAAAAGTCAAATAAAAATGAGTGAATATTTTAAAAAATTATGTGACTCATTTCTTTTGAGTAACTTGACAGCTATGGTCACATTAATTGTGTACAGAGATATAGCTTTAGCTGTTTCTTAGGAAATTTGAATTTAATTAAACATGAATAAAAAGCCAAAAAGATCTTTGTTTTATTAGTGTCTCTCCTTCAATTATCATAATAAAGAGATAATCTCCAGCAAAAACAAAACTAAAAAACTTTTACAATTAAAGCATACAATGTCCAATTTCCAACATTCTAAACTATCATTAAAACATTTATTTTTTTCTCTTTATTCCTTGCTGCAAGGAGTTATTTAAAACTAAACCCAAAATATCCACTCCATAGCTCATCTAACCTGCATATAAATAGAGAATATATGTCAACTTTCAACTTACAGATTCACCAAGTAAAGGAAAAACTTTTAATGATTTCAACTCTAGGAAGGAAATGTCTTAATCACCATAAAAATGGTGTCATTAGAAAAACAGTCTGTTTTATATCTTAATATTTGTAGCATTATTTGCCCTGGTATTATAGTTTTTCATCAACCTAAGAAAGTGAGTTGTTTAACCTTATTATTGGATGCAAATAAGCATGTTTTTAAGGTACAGTATAGTTTACTGTGTAATGTGTATCAAGGATGAAGCCAAGAGAAGAAAATAACTCATTAAAAGTGTCACTTGTTACTGCAGCAATAATCAATAGAGCATTAAACATCACATCTTATTGCAATGAATGGGGAATAAACATGAAGTCCACAGTGCACTCTTGTAAATGGTATGACTTGTAAATGTCAGTGAGGACTTATTTAATACTAAAAGGCTATAAGAATTTGCAAAGGGAGTTTTAAAATTCATCCAAGATAGCTGAAGGTTACATGAAGAAAGGGCAGCTATATATAGCATGCACACACTCAGGTAATGTAAAATATGAATGGATGAAAAAGAACCAAACCTAATTCTAATTGGAGGGTTCATTATATTTGATATTCTAGAAAGAGCATGTATTGAGACCTGGAAGTTTGGCATTATGAATATTTTATTGCATATCTTGCTTTATATTCACTTTATATTCATATAAAGCAGGCTTTTTTTTTTTTCCAATGTAAGCAGTGTATATGTATAGGTAGAGAGCAAAGAAAAATCTTACAGATTAATGCAGTTCAGAATACATCATTTAGGTGAATTGTATTCTCTTTCTGGAAGCTTCTTTTAAAATTTATAATCTGCAACATCTCATTGCACAAAATTTCCATCTCTTCATCCAAGCAAGTTAAATTTGTCTTGATTTATCTGCATATTGATCTGTAAACCTGATAATTGATAGGGAAGATTCTTGGAGATTTCTAAAGTCTGTCATTTTTATAGATGCAGACTTTCATGTAGCACAATCAGAACATTCTGACATAGAAAAAAAAAATAATCAATGTATGTGATATAGTTTGGCTCTGTGTCCCCACGGAAATATCACCTTGAATTGTAATAATCCCCACATGTGAAAGGCGGGATCAAGTGCAAATAATTGAATCATGGGGTTAGTTTCCCTCATGCTGCTCTTGTGATACTGAATGAATTTTCATAAGATCTGATGGTTTTATTAATATAAGGGGCTTCCCCCTTTTCTCAGTACATCTCTCTCCTGCTGCCATGTGAAGAAGGTTGTGTTTGCTTCCCCTTCTGCCATGAATGGAAGTTTCCAGAGGCCTCCCCAGCCATGCAGAACTGTGAGTCGATCAAACCTCTTTCCATTATAAATTACCCAGTCTCAAGTAAGTCCGTTTAGCAATGTGAGAATGGACTAATACAGTATGTTAACAGGAACCCTGGTGGCTTAACTCATTGTGGAAATGGACAGCATGGGTTACAAAACTCATATCTTAGAGAGGTTTGGCCATTATCAAAGCAAAATTCTCTTTCATGGGACTAGTTTTAGTTTCTCTCCATGGACTTATTTTGAGGTGAAAACAGTAGAGAAACTCCATGGAAAATTTAGGTCTTTTGTCTTGAATATGCTATAGAGTTAAAAATGCAATATTACCCTTTTCACAAGTTTAATTTAGCATTCCTCATAATGGTTTATATTTCAAACAAAAAAAATTATCATAGTGTTTTAGTCCATTTTCGTATTGCTGTGAAGAAATACTCAAGACTGGGTAATTTATAAAGAAAAGAAGTTTAATGGACTCACAGTTCCACATGGCTGGGGAGGCCTCACAGTCATGGTGGAAGGCAAGGGAGGAGCAAATGCTTACATGGCATCAGGCAAGAGAGCATGTGCAGAGAACCTGCCCTTTATAAAACCATCACATCTCAAGAGACTTATTCACTATCATGAGAACAGCATGGGAATATCTCGCCCCCATGATTCAATTACCTCCCACCTGGCCCCTCTCATGACACATGGGGATTATGGGAGCTACAATTCAAGATGAGATTTGGTTGGAGACAGAGCCAAACCATATAATTCCACCTCTAGCCCCTCCCAAATCTCATGTCCTCATATTTCAAAACCAATCATGCCTTCCAAACAGTTCCCCAAAGTCTTAACTTATTTTAGCATTAACTCAAAAGTCCATAGTCCAGTCTCATCTGAGACAAGGCAAATCCCTTCGACCTATGAGCCTGTAAAATCAAAAGCAAGTTGGTTACTCCCTAGATACAATGGGGGTACAGGCATTGGGTAAATACACCCTTTCCAAATGGGAGAAATTGGTCAAAACAAAGGGGTTACAGGCCCCATGCAAGTCCAAAAACAAATAGGATAGTCATTAAACCTTAAAGTTCCAGAATGATCTTCTTTGACTCCATGTCTCACATACAGGGTCATTCTGATACAAGAGGTAGGCTTCCATGGCCGTGGGCAGCTCTGTCCCTGTGGCTTTGCAGGGTACAGCTCCCCTCTTGGCTGCTTTCATGGGCTGGCATTGAGTGTCCGTGGCTTTTCCAGGCACACAGTGCAAGATGTCAGTGGATCTACCATTCTAGGGTCTGGGTAGTCCTCTTCTCACAGCTCCACTAGGCAGTACCCCAGTGGGGATTCTCTGTGGGGGCTCCAACCCCACATTTCCCTTCTGCACTTCCCTAGCAGAGGTTCTCCATAAGGGCCCTGCCCCTGCAGCAAACTTCTGCCTGGACATCCAGGCATTTTCATATATCCTCTGAAATCTAGGTGGAGATTCCCAAATCTCAATTCTTAACTTCTGTGCACCTGCAGGCTCAACATCACATGGAAGCTGCCAAGGTGTGGGGCTTGCACCCTCTGAAGGAATGGCCTGAACTGTACCTTGGCATATTTCAGCCATGGGTGGAGTGGCTAGGACACAGGGCAGTAAGTCCCTAGGCTGCACACAGCAGGGGGGCCCAGGGCCCAGCCCAGGAAACCATTTTTTTTCTCCTAGGGCTCTGGGCCTGTGATGGGAGGGGCTGCAGTGAAGGTGTCTGACATGCCCTTGAGACATTTTCCCCATTGTCTTGGTAATTAACATTTGGCTCCTCATAACTTATGCAAATTTCTGCAGCCAGCTTGAATTTCTCCTCAGAAAGTGGGTTTTTCTTTTTTATCACATCATCAGGCTGCAAATTTTCCAAACTTATCCTCTGCTTCCCTTTTAAATGTTAAGTTCCATTTCTAAATCATGTCTTTGTGAACACATAAAACTGAATCCTTTTTACCAGCACCCAAGTCACTCTTGAACTCTTTGCTGCTTGGACATTTCTTCTGCCAGATACTCTAAATAATCTCTCTCAAGTTTAAAGTCCCACAATCTCCAGGGAGGGGCAAAATACCACCAGTCTCTTTACTAAAGCATAGCAAGAACCAGTTTAGCTCCAGTCCCCAATAAGTTCCTTATCTTAATCTGAGACTACTTCCGCCTGGAATTTTGGGTCAAAGCCGTTCAACAAGTCTCTAGCAAGCTTCAAACTTTTCCGCATCTTCCTGTCTTCTTCTGAGCCCTCCAAACTGTTCCAACCTCTTCCTGTTACCCAGTTCCAAAGTCTTTTCCACATTTTGGGGTATCTTTACAGTAGTGCCCACTACCAGTACCAATTTACTATATTAGTCCATTTTCATACTGCTATGAAAAAATACCCGAGGATGAGCAATTTATACAGAAAAGGAGGTTTAATGGACTAACAGTTCCACATGGCTGGGCAGACCTCACAAGCATGGTAGAAGGCAAAGGAGGAGCAGAGGCTTACACGGCAGCATGCAAGAGAGTTTGTCCAGGGGAACTGCCATTTATAAAACCAGCAGATCTCATGAGACTTATTTACTATTATGAGAACAGCATGGAAAAAACCTGCCTCTGTGATTCAATTACCTCCCACTGGGTCCCCCCCACAACACATGGGGATTATGGGAGCTAAAATTCAAAATGAGATTTGGGTGGGGACACAGCCAAACCATATTACATAGTATTCAGGCTTGTTTTAGGAGTTAGAAAAAGAGGAAGAGGGAACTGATATGTATGTTGTCAGCTCAGCTCCCAAGAAGCACAATTCTGTAGAATATGCCAAAGACATCACAAGGTTAGCAGTTCAATTCTTCATACAAATGGATGCCATAATTTAGCGCCTTTTTTTTAACCAGCCAGTAAAAACTCTCACTTGCAACACAAAGACAATCTTCAAGGCATGCAGTTGCCTTCTATTTCTAATAATTTCTGAAACATGGTAGTGTATTCACGATTTTATTTCAGATTCCATAACTGAAAATCATAACAATAGAATAGAAAGTTCATTTTCACACAATGCCTAGAATTAAATAATGGCAAATTAACTAAATATATAGAGCAAGCCCAAAGAAGAGTAAGAAAAATACTAGACAATAACAATAATGAAAACAGTGCTATGTGTGATGCATTGTGTTGAGATCTTTATACATGTTGTATGGGTTTCCCATTGCTGGTGTAACAAATTACTACAAATTTGATAGCTTAAAATGACACAAATTTATTATCTTACAGTTCTGGGGGCTAGAAGTCTATAATGGTTACAGGGTTGTGTTCCTTCTGGAGGATCTAGGGGGGAATCTGTTCTCTTGCCTTCTTCAGCCTCTCAAAGCTACCCCCATTCCATGGCTCATGGGCCCTTACACACTCTGACCTCTGCTTTAATCATCACACCTCATTCTCTGAACTTGACCCTTCAGCCTCCCTTTTATAAGGGAGGGTCCAATTCAGAGACCATTTTACAATTCACATGGAAGTCTTGTGAATTGAATGGACTCACCCAGATAATCCAGGATACTTTCCCCATCTCAAGATCCCTACCTTAATACCGAAGTCCTCTTTTTCTTGTAACATATTCCCATGTCTGGGGATTGTGACATGGATGTCTGTGGGGACCATTATTTTACCTACCACACATGGATATTGTGGAAATGATGTATTATTTCTGGCCCTGCTGTATATCCATTTTGACCTTTGTTACCTATTGCTTTGAAATTCTCTTTTCAATATTAGGGGAGGGGAGTAAGCCAACTTAATTACTGGATATTCAGGGAACAGGAATGATACTACTTTACCAAGATCTTTGAACTCCATCCCAACAAATCTTTCTTCCACGAATCTAACACATCACAACACTGATTCCAACATAAAAGGATTAATTTTAATTTCCTTTTCCATTCAATTCCAACATGCATGTTTCTTGCAAAGGTGCAAATGAGCTGTGAAATGGTAGGATTACTAGAAAACATTTCTGAGAGAAGCAACATTCTGAAGAATTGATTCACAGGGAAGATAATAAAATTATGGCTACTTAAGGGGAATATATTTCTACTTGACAGACAATGGGATTGTAACTATTGAATTATCTCTGAGAAGAAAGATCATTACAGGGAAATCATGACAAGATGATGTCTTTCAGCATCCTGCCCACCATCTTACATCAGTACAGCTGTGCTTTAACTTAGAGACATGGTATTCATGCTGCTTTTGGGGAAAAATAAAGCATAAAATTACCTAGAATCCTTTGTTATGAGGTGTCATTTTCTATTATGCTTTGTACACTGACATTTCACAATAATAAAATTCTAAGTAGTCATGCCTCTGCCTTCAGGGTAGCTAAACCATGATTGAATGAAATTTACCTACTAAAGTCTGGTTTTCTGAATAAAAGAGGTCAGGACATAGACCCGTACTCTCCAAATTTCATGTTCTAGTAAAATCATTTAAATGAGATGTAGTTGTAACATATGAAAATAACTCTATGTTTCCATTTTGTGTTACAACAATGGATTTTGAATCTCATATTTCAGACCTCAGTCACAAAGATAATTTTATACATTTTTGTAATTATGACTGGGGCCTTGCCCAGGCTAATTAACCTAGTTTCTCTTCTTCTACTAAAGGCCAGATCTTCACAAGTGTCCTGGGACACTCTGCCTCTCCTCTCCTCAGGGACTTTAACTCTCGAGTTATTATGTCTTGATCATGCATCTTTAAATTCTCCCTCTCAGCTGGATAATTTTCTTTAGGAGGCACATAACCTGCACTATCACCAACATTAAAAATTAAAACAAAACTAAAAGATAAACTTTCCTTTGATGCCTATCTTTCCAATACAAATTTTCTCCATTCCTTTATAGCCAAATGCTGTCAAAGGATTGTCTATACCCACAGTGTCTACTCTCTTTTGTTCCATTCAGCATTTCTTTGTCACTATCATACACACTTTAGACAATAAGAAAAATATAGAGAAAATTTAGTAGTAACTTGTGTAATTCCTATCCACTTTTGTCAAATCCCAAAACTTTGGGAAATTTGTTTCACAATTTTTAAAAGTAAAATAACTGGTTAAAATAAACCCCTCTCTAGCCCCCAAATCCCATTCCAAGGTATCCGTGATATTCTGAATTTGTATCTACTGCTTATTATCAAGGTATTAATAAATAAGACATAGGGTGTATTAGGCCATTATTGCATTGCTATGAAGAAATACCTGAGATTGGATAATTTACATTTTTTACAGAGGAGGTTTAATTGGCTTGTAGTTCTGTAGGCTGTATAAGCATGGCACCAACATCACTTGGCTTCTGGGGAGGTCTCAGGGAGCACTTACTCATGGCAGAAGGTGAAGCAGGAGCAGGCACATCACATGGCAAAAGAAGAAGCAAGAGAGAGTTAGAGCAAGGTGCTCTACACTTTTAAGCAACCAGATCTCTCAACAACTCACTCACCACTGTGAGGAGAGCACCAAGGAGCTGGTGCTAAACCACTTACAAGAAATCCACCCACATGATCCAATCACCTCCCACCAGGCCTCACCTCCAATACTGGGGATTACAATTCAACATGAGATTTGGGTGGGGACACATATCCAAACTATATCAACTATATTGTAGGGATATTACACAGTTCTTAAATCTCATGTAAATGGCATTCTTCTGCAGCTTCCTTTGTTCACTTAACAATATGTTTTTGTGATTTTTTTCCATGATGATGATGATATCTATCTATCTATCTATCTATCTATCTATCTATCTATCTCTGGCTTACTCATTTTCCACTGCTGTATAGTTTTCTATTGTTTGAATTTGTGATAATATACTTATGCTTTCTCCTCTAGAATAATATACAGGTTGTTATTAATTTTGCTGTATGAAAACAAACCATGCTGCAAAAAAAGTTCTTGTAAATTTTCTTAGGCATTACTCTAGTGAGAAGAATTAACAGGTTGTAGAATATGTGTGCATTCAAGTTTACTAATCAACTTAACATGACATTGCAAAGTACCTTTCCAAGGTGAAAACACTTAGGTTATTGTCTTCCTTGAGACTACAAAACTCACCATGTTTCCCCTGCTATTTTTAATTTTGGATTGAGAAATTATCTTCATCCTGGCTTTATCAGTGAGAATTCTCTGCTGCCAGAATGGAGGGTGTGTCAGGTACTCAAGTGTATCATCCGCCAGAAACAATTTTTATGTTAATTTCCCAAATTTCTTAGTTTAGTAAATTCATATCCCTAAATCCACAATATAGTGATTATAAATTCTCAGGTGAGATCCCTCCCTCCCCCAAGACCCATTAGAGACAGGCAAGATTTCTTGTTGTTACATATTTTTCTCCTAATCCATGTGTTCCATGAGGGGAAGCTTTTTGAGGATCATTGCATTATGCAATTTTGGGTTTTATTTTCAACTCACTTTACCATCTTCATAGCCTTCTCTTTTGTTCCTGTGTGGTTTTCCAGACTAAGCCCTGTTGTTACTGAAACTGGCAAGCTCACTGCCAGGGCAGCGACAGGATGCATCTGTGTTTGCCTCCTAGGTATTTCCCTGGCCTTCTCAGAAATTAGCCCTTCTTTTCAACAATATTTGCAATATTTTATTCAGCATTTTGTAGCACAAGTTAGATTCATCTATGACAGACTTTGTAGCGCAAGGTAGACTCATCTATTGTCAGAGAGTACATACAATCAAAAAAGATGTCAAGTCCTAATTTTTCTCTCTAGCTAGCTTTCTCTTTTAAACTCTACCTGACTTACACATTTAGATGAGAGAATGTGTTGTCTAAGTGGAAAAGTTTAACATGTTGAGTTTAACTTATCCAAAAGTAGACTCTTTTAACATGTCAAGCTTAATATATGCACAGCTTGTCTCTTGGCTCTCATAACGTGTGTACTAGTTAGGATGCTCCAGGAAATCAGAACTAATAGGAAGGATGGATGGATGGATAGATGGATAGATAGATAGATAGATAGATAGATAGATAGATAGATAGATAGATAGATAAAAAGATGGAGATTTATTATGGAAATTGACTCATGTAATTGTAGAGGAGCAGAGGTCCCACAACATGCTGTCTATAAGCTGGAGATCCAGGAAAGCCAGTGGTTCTGTTCCTCCCAAGTCTGAAGGTCCAAGAACCAGAAGCACTAAAATCCAAGGGCAAAAGAGAATTGATGTTCCAGCTCAAAAAGAGAGAGAGAGAATTGATCTTTCACTGTCTTCTCATTCTATTGGGGCCCCACAACAGATTGGATGATGCCTGTCTATATTGGTGAGGCCTTCTTTATTCAGTCCACTTATGCAAATGCTAATCTCTTCTGGAAACATCATCACAGATACACTGAGAAATAATGTTGTATCAGCTCTCTGGGATATCCCTTAGCCCAGTCAAGCTGATATCTTGCTTCTCTTTTTCTTTGTCACTTCTGAGTCAATGTTGTCATAATCTACCTAGTTGTTTAGGCCAGAAACATGAGTGTCTTTTTGACTATACACTTATCTCTATACTTGATGTATTACCAGTTGTACTAGATTCTTTCTTAAAAACATACATGCTGGTTCCTGGTCTGTCTGAATTTTTCAGGCCTCAATGTAAGCTGGCTTCCAGTGGGACTTTGTCAGTGGGAATCACTATAGGGTAATCGACAGTGGGAGAGACCTATAAATCTCGTCTTGAGCGGTATTCTTTGCAATAGCTTCATCACCTCCCTGGTTTCAGCTCCCTCTGGACTGGCCCATCATGGTTCCCACTTCTACCAAATGACTCAGCCTTGGATTCTGCTAGTATCACTTCCTACCTTTAGTCCTCCAGCCTTAGGGTGGTGGTTTCTTGATGTTATTTCATTGTGTCACCACCAACTATGTTTAACTTCTTTTCCATTCCATTGTAGGGAAAACCAATTCTTTGTATTAATTTTTCTCATTTTAAGTTACTTAGAGTGGATTCTGCTTTTTTGGTTAGACTCTAACTGGTACAATATATTCCCCCCCCCCCGGATTATTGCCAGGGAGCCTTCCAACTTGTATCCTTGCTTTCATTCTCAACTCTCCAATCTACTCGTATTACTGTAAATAGCTCATGTCATTGGATTTTCACTGCGTTTAGAATGAAACATGAATTGCCTAACAAGAATTATAGGCTCACCTACAACTTTTCAGTCTCAGTCTATACCACACATCCCCGTTCAATATTTGGTAGCTCTGCTGTTGCTGGTACTTTTTCTTCTACTGAAAATGACAAGCACTTTTCTACTTCTGAAAAGTAGAAAACTTTCTACTTGGCACATACGATGCCCTCTGCTTAAAATGCTATTCGCCTCTGAGTCCTAACTGAAGGTGATTCATCTTTTGGGCCTCAGTTTGAGTCACCTCCTTACAAATATCTTTTTTTTTTCTTTTTTTTTTTTTGAGATGGAGTCTCGCTCTGTCACCCAGACTGAAGTGCACTGGTGCGATCTCGGCTCACTGAAACCTCCACCTCCCAGTTTCAAGAGATTCTCCTGCCTGAGCCTCCTGAGTAGCTGGAACTACTGGCACGTGCCACCACACCCAGCTAATTTTTGTGTTTTTTGTTTTGTTTTGTTTTGTTTTTTAGCAGAGACGGGGTTTCACTATGCTGTCCAGGCTGGTCTCGAACTCCTGACCTCAAATGATCCACCTGCCTCGGCCTCCCAAAGTGCTGGGATTACAGCTGTGAGCCACTGCGCCCGGTCCCTCACAAATAGTTGATCACTGAAACCAAAGTACACCCGCTTGTTACCGGCTTTAGAGCACCTTTTGCTTCCTCGAGTGTTATCACAGTTTGAAATTATCTACTCACTTATGAATTAGTTGGTTCAGTGTCTTTCTCCAGTTTGGGAGCTCTGTGAATTTGGACTCGGGATGGGTCTGTTTCCCACTGTATCCTGTGTCCCCAGCAGTGTCTGACACAGAAGATGCTCCATCAATATTCGGGAATACATGTTAAATGCAACAATAGAGGGATTCTTAACGTTTATTTTTTCAAGCACATTAATAAATAATTAGTTTGGATTTGAAATTGAACACACTGGAGAATAGTTCATAATTGTGCCCAAACTGGATGGCATTTTTCTCACCGACCTGAGGCAGGATTTGATTTGCCTTCAGGTTGCCTAAGCAGCATGCTTTGCTCTTTTGCCTGGGTGCTCTTCATGAACTCTTGCATTTGATACCTTTAGAAAGTAAAATAAAACAAGAGAAGCACTGGAGCGAACTCTCTTTAAATGCGAAAGGATTTTCTGGGTCGAAAAAGAGGCCTTTTTCAAGAAATCCCCAGGAAAGCGTGGTTTCCTTACCCATTTCCATGATTCTTCTTCTCAGCAGGCTCTCCTAAAAATAGTTGCCATCTGTGGCTAAGAGCACCGCAGACTGCAGGCCCCGAGGCGCAGCAAAGGTGGGTGTTCAAGCTAGAGGCTGGCATGCAGGTCTGGCTGGAAGGAAGAAACTATCAATAGGCTGAACATCAAATAAAACGAGCCGCGATTTAGTTAAGAAATTCCATTTAAACATCAGACACATGCAAAGACACCTTTAGGACTCACATAAAATTTTATTTCTTACCGATATCCTTCCTTGGGCACAGAAGACCAAATATACCATGATCTATAATTATCTACCTTTCTTTCTGTTTGAACAATGGCTTGTTGCCTAGAAACTGGGGTGATAGGTATGCCATAAATACATGCTCGAAACAGCTCTTTTTTTTTTTTTTTTGCTGGATCAATTTTTTTTTCATACTGCTTCTATTGTTATGAAGGTTCATTAAAATACATTCGTATTCTGGATTTGTTTGTTTGGAATAAGTACAAACTGTGTATGCCCAATTAAGTATGAATAAAATATTACAGTTTCATTTGCCTTTCAATTCATTATCTGACATGACTTGGCTTCTATGGAAAACAACTATTTGTGTGTCATGGAAGAGTACACAGTTAAAAAGTTGTTTATCTAGCACTCTATCAGCTGGAACTCTTCTAACTGATAATTTCTCCCACATGTAGTGCAATGAAAACTAGTATTTATAATGATGGTATTGAAAAACAAGGAATTATCACAAAATTAGTGAATTAATACAATCTCATAATTTTATGTACCTGAGAACTGAGCCTCTGACAGATGATCTGCCCCCAGATGTCATGGTTAGTGATGGCTCTGGGACTGGAATTGGAATTTTCTGATACCCATGCCAATGAACTCACCATCTTATCCCCTTGCCTGAAATTTCCTTCCATCTGCAAAATTTTGATTCTAAACGTACAGATCTGTCAGTGCCAGAAAATGATCTCTCTGTGTTTTTTTTGTTTGTTTGTTTGTTTTGTTTTGTTTTTTTGAGACAGAATCTCACTCTGTCGTCAGGCTGGAGTGCAGTGGTGCCATCTTGGCTCACTGCAACCTCCACCTCCCGGGTTCAAGTGATTCTCCTGCCTCAGCCTCCCAAGTAGCTGGGACTACAGGTGTGCGCCACCATGCCCGGCTAATTTTTGTATTTTTGGTAGAGATGGGGTTTCACTATGTTGGCCAGGATGATCTCCATCTCTTGACCTAGTGATCCGCCCACTTCAGCCTCCCAAAGTGCTGAGATTACAGGTGTAGCCAGCGTGCCCCGCCCTCTGTGGTTTTCTAATGTCAAAAGCACTTTTTAAAATTTTAAATGTTTAAAATTTACATTTCAATACCTTTTTGGGGAACAGGTGGTGTTTGGTTACATGAATAAGTTCTTTAGTGGTGATTTCTGAGATTTTGGTTCACCTATCACCTGAGCAGTGTACACCGTACCCAGTGTATAGTCTTTTATCCCTCAGCCCACTCCCACCATTTCCCCTGAGTCCCCAAAGTCCATTGTATCATTTTTATGTCTTTGTGTCCTCATAGCTTAACTGCCACTTATGAATGAGAGCATAAAATGTTTGATTTTCTATTCCTGACTTACTTCACTTAGAATAATGGTCTCCAATTCCATCCAGATTGCTGCAAATGCCATTATTTCATTCCCTTATATGGTTGAGTAGTATTCCAGGGTATATATATGTATATACATATATCACATTTTCTTTATCCACTGGTTGATTGATGGGCATTTGGGCTGGTTCTATATTTTTGCAATTGCAAATTGTGCTGCCATAAACATGCATGTACAAGTGTCTTTTTTGTATAATGTGAATGTCAAAAGCATTTTAATGTCTCAGTCCTTTATCTTGTTAGTCACAGTGATTGTTCATGTAATAAACTCTGATGACAAATCCCTTTCAAGTCTTCTACATAATCAGAAATCAGTTATACTGAATATTAGTTTTATTTTTTAAACCGTCATTATATTACAGTTGTCCACAAACAGAATAGATAAAAGTGTATGGAAGTCAGGAAGTGTAGTAATCAAACACTCATGCATTCACCGTACCAGGTAAGAACTAGCATATAATATTTGTTGAAGCTACCTTTGTGTTCCTCCTCCCCTTTGGGGTTAAGTAAATTTGTCATTCTTGAGTCTTCAAAAATGTCTATATGTATAGGGTACATAGTAACTCTACCCAGTGCAATTAAACAGGAAATATTCCTCCATTACACTGTATTCATGCACTAATTTATGCACTGAAACTATCATTCATTTATTCAATCCTTAATACCAATGTTAAAGCACTGCTTCAGAAGATATGGAGAGAGATTATACTACATTAAGTAATATAATTTTATGCATTATAGAATAGAGTATGTATATGTATAATCAATATCTATATTTTTTCTCAAGATATTTTAACTATTATCAAAGGCTAGATGTTCAACAGGACATTATACATTTCTTTGATTTTTAAGTACTAACATTAATAATATCCATCAATTATTGGATGCTTAGTCCATGCTAGGCACTCTATGATTACTGTCTCTTTTAATATTATGACAACCTTTTGATGTAGTTTATCATTTGGACCATGTGAATGACTGTAACAAGCATCGCAAAATCTCAGCAGCTTAACAAAGAGAGATTTGTTTCTTACTCATCTCGAAGTCCCTTTTCTTTAAGCAGTGATTCAGGGATCCAGGCTTCTTCCTTTGGACCATTGGAGCCAAAGGGCTCATGGAACATTTTAGAGGCCAGGTCTGGAAATGACATGCACCTGTTCTGCTCACATGCCATTGACCTGAATTAATAACAGCATCCACGTGGTTCAAGTTAAGCTGGGAAGTGTAGTCTACCTGTGTGCCCAAATAGAAAATAAAATTATTTGGAAAACTCATAGTATTTTCTCTGCCACATAAATAAAATTAGGTGCTGTCTTTATTATTAATATTTTCAATTTATATTTGAGAAAGTCAAGGCTTAAAAAGATAAAAGGACTTGCTCATGGTAGGTAAATTGTTGAGCTAAGATTCTCAGAAGACACATCCTTACCTACTACACAATACAGTCTCCCAGCTCTTTCTTGAACAAATCAATGTTCATTATACCAGTGGTCTATATTGTTGTAACACATTGCAACTAATAAGGAAAACATGCATGGATTTCCTTTAGAAATTAAATGATTGCTTAAGTATTTTTCTAAAATAAACCAGCATACCTACTTCTTGCATATTTTATTTTCTGAGTCATTGGCTTCGAGTAAATGATTTTGAGTGTTCATAAATCAGATGAAAACAAATTATTTGTTTTAACTGCATCAGGGATAATTAATTATTGGACAATTTGAGCTTTTTAAAATTTTGCTTTGTGGAATTTAGACTCAGAGTTAAATATAACTTCCCTTAATGATGACTAAATTAAACGAAATTACAACTGTCTTATCTACATGGATAATTGGGCCATCCACATGAGGCACTTCCAATTCTGAATTAATCATCTATTGCTTTTTTTCATAAGCTATGTTGATATTTTACCACGACTTAGGACTAACTAAGGTGGTAAATTAAAAATCTGTTTTTTCATTTTGATGATAGCTCTACACAATTTCTATATTGGTGCAAATGTTGAGTTCTTACATTTAGTTGGAAATATTTTTTAAATAACTTCATATGTAAATGTTATATGGAACCATTCTCCTTCACCTAGGAACTATATGGAATGTCCCAACTCCTTAATATTCTCAAAATTTTTGGCACCAAGAAAGGATAATCAGAAATGAAACCAAATGTTGAGGTAAAAATCAAATAAGCACTATGTCCCTGTTCTCTCTTTTAGTGGAGTTGTTCAAAGTATCACGGTATTTGATAAGCCCAAATTCATGATGTAAGTTTTGAAATAATTATCAGTGAACAGCATTGTTCTCTGTTATGATTTATAGAGTTGCTCTGAAGTTTTTGTTTTGTTTTGTTTTGTTCTGTTTGGAAGGGAGTGTGATAAAGAGAGCACTTTTGTCCCTAACTTGCTGTAGAGCTTTTCAAAAATTGTTAAATGTCTTGTAGGATGCTTTGTTGGCAAGCATGAGATAACTGTATTGACTTGTGTGCCTCAGCTCCAGAGAAAACAAAATTAGTTTACTGGAGCAAAAAATGTTTTGAAAATTTATATAAATTCTACAAAGAAATGTCTAAAAACTTCTGATTTTGCACTGGACACCTCTCAGCCAAAATGGTAGAATGGTCAGGGGTTGAATTGTGACCCCCAAAAAGATACTTTGAAGACCTATCCCATGTACCTGAGAATGTGACCTTATTTGGAAATAGGGTCTTTGCAGATGTAATCAAGTTATGATGAGGTCATTAGGATGGGCCCTAATCCAATATGACTGATGCCTTATAAGAAAAGGGAAGACTATATCAAGAGAAACACACAAGGAGAGAGCACCAGGTGGGCACAGATGTAGAGACTGAAACCATGTAGCTGTAAGCCAAGGATTGGACAGGATTGATGGTCGCCATCAGAAGCTAGGAAGAGGCAAGGAAATATTCTGTTACTGGAAAGGGGTCCAGATCCAGACCCCCAAAGAGGGCTCTTGGATCTCTTGCAAGAAAGAATTCAGGACAAGTCCATAGAGTAAAGTGAAAACAAGTTTATTAAGAGAGTGAAAGAATAAAGAATGGCCATTCCATAGGCAGAACAGTCCCGAGGGCTGCTGGTTGCCCATTTTTATGGTTATTTCTTGATTACACGCTAAACAATGAGATGAGTGGATTGTTCATGCCTCCCCTCTTTAGGCCATTTAAGGTATCTTCCTGACATTGCCATGGCATTTGTTAACTATCATGGCGTTGATGGGAGTGTAGCAGTGACGACGACCAGAGGTCACTCTCATCACCATCTTGGTTTTGATGGATTTTAGCTGGCTTCTTTACTGCAAACTGTTTTATCAGCAAGGCCTTTGTGGCCTGTATCTTGTGCCGATCTCCTATCTCATCCTGTGACTTTGGAATGCCCAACCTCCTGGGAATGCAGCCCAGTAGGTCTCAGCTTCACTTTACCCAGCCCCTATTCCAGATAGAGTCACTCTGGTTCAAAAGCCTCTGATATTTCTATCCAAAGACTCAGAGGGAGTGTGCCCCTATGAGTGCCTTAAGTTTGGACTTCTAGTCTTCAGAACTGTGCAAAAGTAAATTTCTGTTGTTTTAAACCACCCAGTTTGTGGTACATTGTTACAGGAGTTCTAGGAAACACATACAAATGGCTGCAAGTCAAACATGCAAAAGGGAAAGCTGTTTTTACTTATTTGCTTCTCTTTTCTCTTGGGGTTGGAGGAGAATCCCTGCCATGGAGCCAGCGACCTAGGGCCTGAGAGTGTGGCTTTAGGCCCTTGAGGTGGTGCCTCAAGTAACTCCATGGAAGTCACAAAAATCAAGTAGATTAAAGACCTGAGTGTCCCCCCGCCCCTCCGCATGTTCTTATGATAATGGGAGTGGAGTTGGTGATCAGGTGGGCTGTTTGTTACAACAAAGTATTTGTAGAAGATAAAAGGTTTGTAAAACTAAGCAATACATCTTTTCTTCAACAAACCCTGTCTCACTTTCTGTTATGTGCCTGTGGTCCTCTCTACTGCCCAGGAAGCTGGGTCATTCCACTTTCTCTGATCTAAGAGAAATTGCAGAGATGAAGGAGGGCTTGGCAGTTCGGGGACTAGCAGCCGGTGGTCAGCATCAGAACCAGTACCATCAAAAAACTGCAATGATAGTTGTCAACACTAGGTGGCACCACAGCAAAGCCTGCAGACGCCCCAGTCTCCAAGGAGTGCCACGCATCCCTGTGCTAGGAAGTTATAGGAATTCTCCTTCATCTGTGCGTGCCTCTTGCTTTCAGTAACCTACACCTTTCCTTTCAAACAGAAGTGATGCCTACCTGTGGACTAAGGCAGGGTTCAGCCTTAGAATGGGCTCATAATTCCTAGAGAATCATGATCCTGTAGAAGCAGGTGAAAGCAAAGACACCTGGATGAAAAGTTGAGTAAAAAAGAAAGCACCAATACCTGTGCTTTGAGTCACTTCACGATGTCCCCACCGCCTCCCTAGCTAAGACAGCCCTGCCACTTTCCCTGCCCTCCCCCACTTTTGTATGTCCAATTGAACCCTTTCTACAAAAGTCCCTTGAGAATGCCTGTTGTTCTTCTGAGGATGCTGTTAATACTCACTTTAGACATCACCAGGAGGCACCCAGTGCGGCTGGCTCCATCTCACAAAATGTGACTTCTGCGATCCCCATCCTTCTTTGTATTTCTGGAAACACATGAACTGTACATTGAGTTGGTAAGATCCTTCCTGGAACTTACTCCTGACCACATGATCAAAGCCCTGTGTAGTTTTCATGGTATAAGGCAATAACTCTTACTTAAATTTATTGGTTCTTTTTATATACAAGAGAACAGGTCAACTGCAACCTGTGTTTTAAGCACATTCAAAATACATTATAATTTGTTTTCATTTAACTGTCATCAACTTAGGTGAAAGTCATCCTTTTTAAGACCTTTGATTTGGAAGGAGTTTTCTCACTTGTGTTACATATTATGCCTTGCCTTTAAAGGTAGTCTTCAAACAAATATAATAATGAAAATTGGTTTGTATTAATGTAGTGGTAAAAATTTAGGTCTAAGGAGACAGATGAATTAGGTTTCTCGAGTCAATTTGAATGCAACAAAAAAAATCTAGGTTTCTTATTTATAACTCCTGCATTTTACAAATCTGTCCATTTGAAGCTGTGGGCTTACATAAATCTGTCACTTGGTACATCAAATAATCTGGGATTGCTTACAATTTAACCATTAAGATCTTTTCTAATGCAGCTCATTTTTTAGAAAATCGTATTCAAGCATAGATTGCTGGGTTTTATTTAAAATTAAGATTTTTAAGACACAATATTCTCTTTTATTTCAGCTTTAGATCCCTTCCCCAAACAGTAAAAATGCTCGCATAAAAATAAAATATTATGAACAGATTTAGTGGCAGCTGATTCTGGGTTAAATGCTCCACCTTGTGGTTGAATAAGGAAATTTACTTTTTAACTTTTTATTTAATGATGTTAATATGAAAGTTGTCTTCTCTTTTTGTCCTTGGAAGACAAAGAGACTGCTGCTGCTGATGGTGAAATTATCCATAATGTGTATATAGATTCACCAAGAAGATATGATTTGGTGGCTTCAGAAGCCAGATTTCGGGGTACACCAGAGACTCAGCAATTGACATTGGTGCCATCTGGTAAAACGTGACCAAAATGAACCCCAAGTTAGTACCCTGAAGGTTTTACCCTTTGTGTAGAAACGTTTCCTAAGTCATTCTACACAATAAATTAATACTACACAATTAATACCTGCACATATAGTCCAGAAGGAAATGAAATGGACAGGTGCCTGTGTGCGCGCCTGTGTGTGTGTGTGTGTGTGTGTGTGTGTGTGTGTATGTGTGTGTGTGTGTGTGTAGGTGGGGTAAGGGGATAGGAAATTACAGCTCTGAGGGTGAAACTAATTTAGTTCTATTTTCAGAAGCCTCAAATCTCCACTCCCACTTCTCTTGCAGTATGCAGGAAGGAGGCTGGATCCCATCAATACCTAAGGAAAGCTCACTATCACTTGCTTTGGAAAATGGAAAATTCCATTCTCATCAGCTTTCTGCAGAACCTGGAGCCATCTCAGCCAACCAGAGTTCTTTCATCGAGATGGGCCCTACAGATGCTTTCTCCTTTCTTTTCATCCTAAAGAAATGCTACCCTCATATCTGTTTTTACTTCCATAAGCTTATTTTTCTTTTTGTCACAGAACTTCGTAGGTACATTTTAGGGCACATTAAATTTTAGCTAATACTTATTGCTTCCGAAATAATATCTGTTCTGGTTTTCAATTGGCCATTCTTGCATTGCTATAAAAAATACCTGAGACTGGGTAATTTATAAAAGAGGTTTAATTGGCTCATGGTTTTGTAGGCAGTACAGGAAGTATGGTGCTGGCATCTGCTTGGCTTCTGTGGAGGCCTCAGGAAACTTACAGTCGTGGCAGAAGGCAAAGCAGGAGCAGGCACATGGCCAGAACAGGAGAGAGAGAGAGTCGGGGGTGAGGTGCCACATACCTTTAAACAACTAGATTTCACAAGAACTCACTCAGTATCTCGACAAGAGCACCAAGAGGCTGGTGCTAAGCCATTCATGAGAAATCCACATCCATGATCCAAACACCTCCCACGAGGCCCCACCTGCAACACTGGGGATTACAATTCAACATGAGATTTGAGAGGGAACAAATATCCAAATTATATCACCATTGCATTTTATTGTTTTCTACCTTCAGTAAAATAGCTTCTGACAGCAAAATGAGTCACACTAGACCTCCTGAATTTAAGGAGAAAGGTGTGTGGTCTATTAACATTTGTGTATTTTGTTGTCCTTTCCTTGAAAGTAGAAGATTCAGAAGGAAGTCCCAGGCCTCCTAGTCCCTTCCCCCTGTCTTTGCAAAGAGGATGAAGACGGTAATGCCCCATCTCAGGGAACATGTTCCTAACAGCCAGTTTAAAACCTTTAACACAGAAAGAGAAAGAAATAGTTTTGCTGAATTCATTTACTAGTAATATTTTAAAAGCAGTGTTTAGGCCGGGCATGGTGGCTCATGCCTGTAATCCCAGCACTTTGGGAGGCTGAGGTGGGCAGATCACAAGGTCAGGAGTTCGAGACCAGCCTGACCAACATGGTGAAACCCCGTCTCTACTAAAAATACAAAAAAAAAAAAAAAGAAAAAAAGAAAAAATTAGCCAGGTGTGGTGGCACGCGCCTGTAATCCCAGCTACTCAGGAGGCTGAGGCAGGAGAATCGCTTGAACCCAGGAGGCATAGGTTGCAGTGAGCCGAGATCGCGCTGCTGTACTCCAGCCTGGGCGACAGGGAGAGACTCTGTTTCAAAAAAAAAAAAAAAAAAAAGGTAGTGTTTAAGGTATGTCACATATGTAGAACATCAGAATGAGAAAATGATGACAGTGGGCAGGCTGGCGGGCGACTGCAGATGAAATGTGGTGATTATGAAAAGTGTAGCATCTCTAGAGCCTTAGGCACATGCCTGGTTATGTGTTAAGAGCTATTCAAGAATAAGCTGTTCTAATAATCACAACTCTATAAGATGGGGCTACTAGTGTCCCCATAAAATATAAGGAAACTGAGACATGGGGTCATTGTCACACCTCCCTAATGTCATATGGCTGGAAAGTGGCAAAGTCAGAATTTGAACCCAGGGTCCTTCTGCCTCCAGCATTCATGTTCTTCATCTCAACACTCTCCCAGATTTTGTGGCAACAGTTGAAAATCAATATTGCCCTAAACCACTGTAATTTCAACAAAGATCTATGAACACCTATCATGTGTCAGGCCCGTGATGAACTCTGAGGGCACTGAGATGGATGACCTGGTCCCAGCTGTCCAGCCTCTGGTGAGTCTTTTTCAGCCTGTGAACACAGCTGTGGGAAACCTCCAATACCACACACAGCTTTTGCCCACCGGGCAGGCCCAACAAATGGCGTCTAGACACCACATACCATAGAGCCGCTGCCTTGCCAGCCATGAGGTCACACAACGCACTAGTCCACAGCACGCAAGCTGCCTTGGCGGCGTCTCAGGCCTGCTAATTGGGACAGGTGCAGAGTGATGACAGCGGGCCACCCACAGAGCTCTGGCACACTGGCAAAGACATGAGGAGCGGGAGGACAGGAAGAAGAGAAAGCCTGAACTGCAGCCTGGGCAGTGGTGGCTGGCAGATAAAAACATCCTTTATGCACCAAGAACTTGGCTATTTTTGGAATGGGCATTCCCTAATCTCTAAAGCAAATGGTAAAGCCTCAGGAAATGAGAGCCTATGAAAATATATGCCTACATGCAACCACCAGCCTTCCAAACTGGAAAGATAATTTGCACATATACACACATACACGCACGCACAGACACACATACATACATGCACAAACACTCCGATAATTCTAGTAGAAGCTGTGGATCTTTGTAGGATGTAAAGGGAAATGCTACTTCAGGGACAACCATTTTAACAGGTTCATTTCAAATGGGTAGGTAAGAATTAGAAGTAAAAATAAAAGAAAGACCATCTCAGTTACAGGTTAACAGTTGGTTAGGAGACATCATGAAAATGCTAAAGGAAAAGGAGCAGATTTAGAAGAAGCATGTAAAGAAATAAAGTTGACCTTTCTAGATTCTGAAGTTATCGGCAGAATTGATCTAATGTAAGTATTGGCAGGAATATTGTAGGAAGACACCAAGAGGAATGAGATAAGGTCACTTGATTGCAGGAATTTATAGTATAACAGGGCAAATCATTAAGAAATGTCTAAAGTTTTGGTGGAAAGACGCTCATTTTTATGTGAACTAATGGATGCTAATTTTCTTTCAAATGTATAACTGATATTGAATTTAAATGCTCAGCTACATGTAACATGCATTTCTGTTACAGTCTGTTAGGATCTCAGTGGGACTTTAAGAAATAATAAGACATAGAAACATGACTCGTAATGAGAAGCTAAACACAAAGATAGCGTATATGATTTATATTATGCAACTTTTTTTTAAAGTTAGGAGGCAATCACAATTGCTTACTTAATCTAGGTACTTGCAATTAAGCCATGAGCTGAGTATCAGATACCTATTCATTTTCTCCACATCAAAAGTTATCTGTAGGCCAGGCATGGTGTTTCACGCCTGTAATTCCAGCACTTTGGGAGGCTGAGGTGGGTGGATCACCTGAGGTCAGGAGTTCGAGACCAGCCTGACCAACATGGTGAAACCCTGTCTCTACTAAAAGTACAAAAATTAGCCAGGCATGGTGGTGTGTGGCTGTAATCCCAGCTACTCGGCAGGCTGAGGCAGGAGAATTGCTTAAATCTGGGAGGCAGAGGTTGCAGTGAGCCAAGATCACGGCACTGCACTCCAGCCTGGGCAACAGAGCCAGACTCCATCTCAAAAAAAAAAAGAAAAGTCATCTGTAAATCAGATATTCTTAGAACATTTTAATAAGTCACCTCCTTTATTTCAAAAGCTTATGCTTTGCAACGTATTTATCAAAAAATACCTGACAACTGCACTTCCGTTTGGATGTTGCAAGAATAAAATTAAGATAATATTCATGAAGTCTTCTGAGGCCCTTATTATAGATATTTTAGATAAATGTTTCATTGTTATTAGAAGCTAAAGCAATCTATTAAGTGCCCATGGCATTTATTTTTTAATCGTGAAAACTTGGAAGTTATTTGGTTTCTGTTGTAATTTTAATAGTTACATTTGTAACACAAAAGATAAAGAAAATTTATTTGTTAATGTTTGCTTGTGTGTGTGTGTGTGTGTGTGTGTGTGTGTGTGTGTGTGTGTGTAGGATGACTTATGCCCCGCAAAGATATTCAGCTCTTAGACCCTGTATCCCTGTGTAAGTTACCTTATGGCAATAGGGATTTTGCAGATGTGATTAAGTTACAGATCTTGAGATGCGAATATTATTTTGAATTATTCCAGTGGGCCCAGTGTAATCACCACAGGGGTCTTCATAAGAGGGAGAATTAGAGTCTGCAGCAGACAGCACCATGGAAGCAAGAGGTTGCAGTAATGTTAAGAAGGGGTCATGAGCCAAGGAATGCAGGCAGCCGCTGGAAACTGAACAAGAGAGAGGAATATCTTCTCCCCTGGAATCTGTAAGAGGAACCAGCCCTGATTGCACCTTGACCTTCATCCAGGGAGACTGACTGTGAACTTCCGACATCCAGAAATATAAGAAAATAAATTTGTGCTGTCTTAAGCCACTAAGTTGGTGGCAATTTGTTATACAGAGCCCCAAGAAACTCATAGTGTGTGTGTGTATACATTCATATACTCAATGATGTCTCAGATAATAAGGTGAATCAGATCAGCTGTCCCTTTGATTGAATTCAAAGTCAGGTTTTTTTCAATGATTCATTTTTTTTAAGGCATTTTGACATACTGTAGTATGGTTTCTTTTTTTTTCTTTTTTGAGACGGGGTCTCCCTCTGTCACCCAGGCTGGACTGCAGTAGCTGGGTCTCAGCTCACTGCAACTTCTGCCTCTGGGGTTCAAGCAATTCTCCTACCTCAGCCTCCTGAGTAGCTGGGATTACAGGCGTGTGCTACCACGCCCGGCTAATTTTTTTTTGTTTTTAGTAGAGACGGGGTGTCACCGTGTTAGCCAGGATGGTCTTGAACTCCTGACCTCGTGATCCGCCCGCCTGGGCCTCCCAAAGTGCTGGGATTACAGGCGGGAGCCACCGCGCCCAGCCCAAAGTATGGTTTCTATAAAAGTCTAAACAAAACAAGGGTCAGCTCTTTTTCTCAAGGACATTATTATTTGCTGAATCTTCCACCATTACTGTACTTTAGAGACCATGTGGAATTGTTTTTCACTGGGAGAAGGGGAGTTTACTTATTTAGGGTAATATTGGTGTAAAAGAATGTAGACACAAGCAAGCAGTTACTCAATCTACAATTGTAAAGAAGGCTGCTAATGTCACCATAAAGTGGCTGGGTCCTGGATTCTTTCTGCCAGCACACAAAATGAGGATAGGCAACTCTCAGGGCAAATTGAAAGTTGACAAGGTTTGTCTGCAGGACCCTCCCAGACACCTTTTCTCTACATATCTTTTAAGAACAAGGCCTGCACATTTCTTGGTTCTAATATGCAACTCCTTTTCTGTTAAAATGGAGAGTATGATATTATATTTGCATTCATACAGAAACTAATTGATAATGAGAGAATAGGTTAAACTTTAATTTGCATTTATAATTCTTAATTATGGAGTATTTTGAGGCTATGATTAGCAATAGAAGAAAGCTGGAGACCTTCATGTGGTGATGTTGGGCATAAGACTGGTCCTGAAGCCTGCTCATGTCATTTTTAGAGTACCTTGGTGGTTTTGCTCAAAAGATGCAAAACATTCTAAAGAGTGACAACAGTCCTCTTCCCGTGGTATATTCATGTAGGCTAGCAAGAGCTGATTGTGATATATCCAAGAATTTAAAAATCCAGTTGTTACACAACTGGTAGCTGAAGACAACTATAGGGAGAACATTTACACCACAGAAATTGGCAAAAGCTCTAACTCAGGGCTTTTTTCCCCTTCCCCTTCTGGGATGGCTTATATGCTCATTATAGTTTACTTCCTGTTCTCTCTTAAAAATAATCTTTCTTCTGTTCTCCCTGAGCTGCAAGACTTTTCACCAGGGACTTTGAGCCTACCCTCACTGTAATTTCTTTTCTGACCGCTGCTATTTCTTGGTCAGGGCTGGCTCAACCAATAGGTGCAGTAGACACAGCGTCTAGGGCCCATGATACTTTCAGGGGCCCAAGAAATATTTAATTTCTTTCCAAATTATATGAGAAATATAAATATAATAGCACATGCACATATGTAATATAACATATATGTGTATATATGTAAAATGTGTAATGTATAATGAATCTAGCCCATATTATATTCATCTACATAACCAACACATTCATAAAGTACAATTTCTGGTATTTTGTTATGGAGGAAGGAGATCACAAAGACAAGGTGCCTAGGGCCCACAGAAGTTATAATATGGCCTCCCGTAGGCCCTCTTCAGCCTCAGTCCAGAGTTGACTTAAAGTAAGTCTTGTTTTTTCAGGATGCACTTTTATAAAATTCACCTATATGCTATAATGTATATTGGCAGCACCACTTCAGATGCCTGGGGGATAGGCACTACATTACCCTTAGAAGCCCGAGTTAAGTTCATGTTTGCATGTGCTTTTAAATATGTCTGGTTTTGATTAATACCATCTTGTATTTGTGATTCTTTCAAAAGATGGAAAAAACAGCAAAACCAATATATGGATTCCAATGAATGGAACATCTGCTACCTTTGTTACATATTTCATATTTGGTATGATTTGGCTCTGTGTCCCCACCCAAATCTCATCTTGAATTGTAATCCCCATGTGTTGAAGGAGGGACCTGGTGGGAGGTGAGTGGATCACGGGGGTTCTCATGATAGTGAGCGAGTTTTCACAAGATCTTATGCTTTAAAGGTGTTTGGCAGTTTCTCTCTTGGCCCAGTCTCTCTCTCTTGCCACCATGTAAGATGTGCCTTGCTTCTGCGTATGCCATGATTGTAAGTTTTCTGAGGTCTCCCCAGCCATGCAGATCTGTGAGTCAATTAAACCTCCTTTCTTTATAAATTACCCAGTCTCAGGTGGTATCTTTGTAGCAGTTTGAAAACAGACTATACAATATTCATGCTTAGTTTCCTACTTGCTTGTAATCATTCAATCCAATAGTAAGAATTTTAATGAATTATTCTCCCTTTGCTATTTTCTAGTTTATTCACATGTTCCCTCAGAGGTTTAGGTGTTTTTTTTTTTTTTTTGTTTTTGCCTTTTGGTCTTTTCTTTTCTTTTTAATTTTTTTTTTGTTTTCTTACTTTTTATTTATTTATTTTTTTGGAGAGCCAATAGATAATATATATTTTTAAATTTATTGCAATAGCTTTAGGGGTACTAGTGGTTTTGGTTACATGGTTGAATTGAATAGTAGTAAAGTCTAAGAATTTTAGTGCACCTGTCACATGAGTAGTGCACGTTGTACCCAACAGGTAGTTTTTCATCCCTCACCTCCCTCTAGTCCTCCCCACTTCTAAGTCTCCATTGTCCATTTTACCACTCTGAATGCCTTTGTGTATCCATAGCTTAGCTCCCACTTATACATGAGAACATGCAGTATTTGGTTTTTTATTGCTGAGTTACTTTACTTAGAATAATGGCCTCCAGTTCCATTCAAAGTTGCTGCAAAAGACATTATTTCATTCCTTTTTATGGCTGACTAGTATTCCATGGTGTATATGTATAACACATTTTCTTTATCCACTCATTGGTTGATAGGCACTTAGGATGTTCCCATATCTTAGAAACTGTGAATTGTGCTGTGAGAAGCATACACATACAGGTGTCTTTTGGATATAGTGACTTCTTTTCCTTTGGGTAAATACCCAGCACTGGGAGTGCTGGATCAAATGATAGATCTACTTTTAGTTCTCTGAGAAATCTCCATACTGTTTTCCATAGAGGTTGTACTAATTTACATTCCCACCAGCAGTGTATAAGAATTCCTTTTTGCGGCTGGGTGCGGTGGCTCATGCCTGTAATCCCAGCAGTTTGGGAGGCTGAGGCGGGCAGATCACAAGGTCAGGAGATCAAGACCATCCTGACTAACATGGTGAAACCTCATCTCTACTAAAAATAGAAAAAATTAGCTAGGCATGGTGGCGGGTACCTGTAGTCCCAGCTACTGGGGAGGCTGAGGCATGAGAATGACATGAACCCGGCAGGCGGAGCTTGCAGTGAGCTGAGATTGTGTCACTGCACTCCAGCCAGGGCGGCAGAGCAAGACTCCATCTCGAGAAAAAAAAAAAAAAAAAAGAAAAAAAAAAAAGAATTCCTTTTTCATCACATCCATGCCAAAATCTATTGCTTTTGACTTTTTAGTAATGGCCATTCTGGCTGGGGTAAGGTGGAGTCTCATTGTGGTTTTAATTTGCATTTTCCTGATAATTAGTGATTTTTTTTCCATACATTTGTTGGCCATCTGTATTTCTTCTTTTTAGAAATGTACATTCATGTTATTTGCCCATTTTTAAATGGGATTATTTGTTTTTTTTCTTGCTGATTTGTTTGAATTCCTTATAGATTCTGGATGTTAGTCCTTTGTCGGATGCATAATTACAAATATTTTCTCCCATTCTACAGGTTGTCTGTAGATTATTTCTTTTGCTGTGCAGAAGCTTTTTAGTTTAGTTAGGTCTCACTCACTTCTTGTTGTTTTTGTTGCATTTGTTATTGGGCCACAGTCATGAATTCTTTGCTTAGGTCAACGTTCAAAGGAATTTTTCCTAGGTTATCTTCTATAATTTTTATGGTTTCAGGACTTAGGTTAAAATCTTTAATCCAGCTTGAGCTAATTATTGTGTATGGTGAAAGATAGACAGAGATTCAGCTTCAATTGTCTACATGTGGCCATCCAATTTTCCCAACACCATTTATTGAATAGGGTATCTTTTCCCCAATTTATGCTTTTGTATGCTTTGTCAAAAATTAGTTGGTTTTAAGTATTTGGCTTAATTTTTGCATTCTCTATTCTGTTCCACTGGTCTATGTATCCACTTTTACATCAATACCATGCTATTTTGGTTAGGATAGCCTTGTATAATTTGCAGTCAGGTAATGTCATGCCTCTGGATTTGTTCCTTTGGCTTCAGATTGCTTTGACTATTTGGGCTCTTATTTGGTTCCCTGTGAATTTTAGGATTGTTTTGTCTAATTCTGCATTAGATCTGTAGATTGCTTTGAGAAGTATTGTCATTTTCATGATATAGATTCTTCTAATTCATGAGCATGGAATGTATTTCCATTTGTTTGTGTCACCTATGATTACTTTCAGCAATGTTTTGTAGTTCTCCTTGTAGCAATCTTTCACCTCCTCAGTTAAGCGTATTCCTAGGTATTTGATTTAATTTTTTTTAGCTATTGTGAAGGGGACTGTATTCTTGATTTAATTTAATTCTCTGCTTGGTCTTGCTGGTATATAGCAGTGCTACTGATTTGGGTACATTGATTTTGTAATATGAGACATTTCTGAATTTGTTATTCAGATCTAGCAGTCTTCTGGAGGTATCTTTAGAGTTTTCTAGGTATAAGACAATATTATCAGTAAACAGAGACAGTCTGACTTCCTCTTTTCCAATTTGGATTCCTTTTATTTCTTTCTCTTGTCTAATTGTTCTGACTAGGACTTCCAGTACAATGTTGATTAGAAGTGGTGAAAGTGAGCATTCTTGTCTTGTTCCAGTTCTTAGGGGGAATGCTTTCAATTTTCCCCACATAGTATGATGTTGGCTGTGGGTTTGTCATATATAGCTTTTATTATTTTTAGGTATGTTGCTTGTATGCCTAGGTTTTGAGGGTTTTTATTGAAAAGGGATGCTGGATTTTAACTAACGCTTTTTCTGCCTCTATTGAAATTACCATGTTGTTTTTGTTTTAGTTCTATTAGTGATGAATTACATTTATTGACTTGTGTACGTTGACTCACCCCTGCATCCCTGGAATGAAATCCACTTGATCATGATGATTATTTTTTAGGATGTGCTTTTGGATTTGGTTTGCTAGTATTTTATTGAGAAATTTTGCATCTATATTCATCAAGGACATTGGTTTGCAATTTTCCCTTTTTTTTTTTTTTATGTCCTGACTTTTGTATCAGGGCAATATTGACTTCATAGAATAAATTAGGGAGGATATTTTCTTTCTCAATATTTTGGAATATTTTCAGTAAAATTGGCACTAATTCTTCTTTGACTGTCTTGTAGAATTCGGTTGTGAATCCATCTTGCCCTGGGACTTATTTTTTTTTTATTTTTTTTTTTGAGATGGAGTCTCGCTCTGTCACCCAAGCTAGAATTCAGTGGCGTGATCTCGGCTCACTGCAACCTCCGCCTCCTGGGTTCAAGCAATTCTCTTGTCTCAGCCTTCCGAGTAGCGGGGACTACAGGCGCACACCACCATACCTGGCTAATTTTTGTATTTTTAGTAGAGACGGGGTGTCAACATGTTGGTCAGGCTGGTCTCCAACTCCTGACCTCAGGTAATCCACCCACCTCGGCCTCCCAAAGTGCTGGGATTACAGGCGTGAGCCACCGTGCCCAGCCAAGCTTATTTTTTTGTTGGCAGTTTTTTCATTATTGATTCAGTCTCACTGCTTGTTATTGGTCTGTTCAGGATTTTGATTTATTTCTGATTCAAGCTAGAGGGGTTATATGTTTTTAGGAATTTATCCATTTCCTCTGGGTTTTCTAGTTTGTGTGCACAGAGGTGTTCATAATAGACACAAATGACCTTTTGTATTTCTGTGGTGTCAATTGTAATGCCTCCATTTTCATTTCTAATTGAGCTTATTTGAATCTTTGCTTTATTTTCTTCATTAATCTAGCTAGTGGTCTATTAACTTTATTTTTTTAGAGAACAAACTTTTTGTTTCTATAATCTTTTGTATTTTTTTGTTGCAATTTTGTTTGGTTTTGCTCTGCTCTTTGTTATTTCTTTTCTTCTGCTAGCTCTGGGTTTGGTTTATTCTTGTTTCTCTATTTCCTTGTGGTGTGACATTAGGTTGTCAGTTTGTGATCTTTTCGACTTTTTGACGCAGACATTTAGTGCTACAAACTTTCCTCTTATCACTTCTTTTGCTTTATTCGAAAGATTTTGATAATGTGTCACTTATCATTCATTTTGAAAATTATTTACATTCCCATATTCATTTCATTGTTAACCTAACAATCATTCAAGAGTGGATTTTTTCAATTCCATGTATTTGTATAGTTTTGTGGGTTACTTTTTGAATTGATTTCTAATTTTATTCTGCTGGGGTATAAGAAGATACTTGATATGATTTTGATTTTTAGGATATATTGAGACTTTTTTAATGGGCCACTATGTGGTCTATCTTGGAGAAAGGTCCATGTGCTGATGAGAAGGATGTGTATCCTGTAGTTCTTGGGTAGAATGTTCTGTAAATGATTCTTACATTCACTTGTTCTAGAGTTCAGTTTAAGTCCTGTGTTTATTTGTTAAGTTTCTGCATTGATGATCTGTCTAGTGCTGTCAGTGGAGTGTTGAAGTACCCCACTATTACTGTGTTGCTGTCTATCTCTTTTCTTAGGTCTAGTAGTAATATTATGAATCTGGGAGCTCCAGAGTAAGGTGAATATATTTTTAGGATTGTCATATCTCCTTGTTGAATTGATCCTTTTATCATTATAACTTTCTTTGTCTTCTTTTAACTGTTGTTGCTTTAAGGTTTGTTTTATATGATGTAAGAATAGCTATTCCTGCTCATTTTTAGTTTCCATTTGTGGGAAATATCTTTTTCCAATCTATTACCTTGAGTCTACAAGAATCCTTACATGTTAGGTATGTCTCCTGAAGACAGCAGATATTTGGTTTGTAATTTTTTCTATCCATTCTGCCAATTTGTATCTTTTAAGCAGAGCATTTAGACCATTTACTTTCAACACTAATATTGAGATGTGACATACTGTTCCAGTTATCACATTGATTATTACCTAGTGACTTTGTTTTATTTTTTGTGTTATTGTTTTATAAGCCCTGTGAGTTTTATGCTTTCAGGAGTTTCTATTCTGGTGAGCATCAACCTTTTGTTTCAAGACTTAGAACTAATTTTAGCATTTCCCGTTGGGCTGGTCTAGTATTGACAAATTTTCACATCATTTGCTAATCTGAGAAAGTCTATTTCTCCTTTACTTATGAAACTTAGTTTTTAAAATTTTTTTAAAGTTTTATTTTAGTTTCAAGTGTACATGTGCAGGTTTTTTCTATACATAAATTGCATGTTGTGGAGGTTTGGTGTACATATTATTTCATCATCCAGGTAATAAGCATAGTACCCAAGAGGCAGTTTTTCAATCCTCCCTCTCCACCATCTACCCTCAAGAAGGCCCCAGTATCTATTGTGAAACTCAGTTTTGTTGGGTACAAAATTCTAAGCTGATAGTTATTCTGTTCATGGAGACTAAAGATAAGACCCCAGTTCCTTTTTGCTTGTAAGGTTTCTCAGAGAAAGAATAGATTTTCCTTTACAGGTTACCTGATGCTTTTGTCTCACTGCTCTTAGAATTCTTTCCTTCATGTTGAATTTAGATAGTCTGAAGAATATATGCATTGGTGGTGTCCTTTTTGCCATGAACGTCCCAGGAGTTCTTTGAGCTTTTTGTATTTGGATGTCTAAATCTCTAGCAAGGTCAGGGAAGTTTCCCTCAATTATTCCTTCAAATAGGATTTCCAAACATTTTGCTTTTTATTCTCCTTCAGGAAACCAGTGATTCTTAGGTTTGGCTATGTTACATAATCCTATATTTCTTGGAGACATTTTTCACTTCTGATTCTTTTCTTCTTATTTTTGTCTGATTATGTTAATTGAAAAGTCTTTCCTTTGAGTTCTGAAATCTTTTCTTCTACTTGGTGTAGTCTATAGCTAAAATTTTCCACTGCATTTCATAGTTCCCTAAATGTATCTTTCATTTCCAGAAATTATAATTGGTTTTTCTTAAAATATCTCTTTAGAACATTTTTCATTCATATCCTGAATTGTATTTTTAAATTTATTTATGTTGGTTTTCACCATTCTCTTGTATTCCCTTGAATAACTTAATAATCAACCTTTTGAATTCTGTGTCGCAGATTTCAAAGATATCATCTTGGTTTGGCTCCACTGTTGGGAGTAAATGTGATATTTGGGGCTGATATAGAACCCGATTTTTTCATATTGCCAGAATCATTTTTCTTGTTCCTTCTCATTTACTTACTTTTTTTCTAATTATTTTTGAATTTACTTTTTATTTGACTGGGTTTTAAATTTTTGTTCCCCCTTGAGGATGAGACTTTAACATTTATAAGCTGTTGTCATCTACCTTTGGCTGTAGGTGTTTTCAGTGGTGAAGACTTTGTGTGAGTTTTCAGTTGTAGAAAATCTTTGTGTGATGAATTGCTCTGATGAGGATTTAGTAATGATATGCTGGATGTGTGAGCAGATTCACTGTCTCCTGTGGGGCTGAAGTGGCAGAGGTCTCAGGAAGCTTATCTCATTTCCCAGTGGTGTGCACTTTTATAAATGTTTTCCCCACTGTTTTACTCACTGGGTTGAACAGTTCAGGCTTTGGGCCATTAGGAGGTGCCCATGAGGAAAAACTGGCCAAGGATAAAGCAGATGGGTAAGTTCAATACCCCAGTGGTGACCAGAGGTCCCAGCTGGGGAATCTCTCAGTGAAATGCACTGAGGTCTTTTCAGAAGGAAGGGAGAAAGCCACCATACCTCCCCTTCAGGAAATTCATCCCAGTTACACTCTTGACCCCATGTTCCAGCTACTCAGATTAGACAAACACCTCTTTATCTGCTTCATGTAGACAGGGATGGTGACTCTACGTCTTGTGCAAGCCAAGCCTGAATCAAGGGCGCTCCTACTGTGGGGATGCATCCTGCAGTGTTCCAGAAAGGCTGTCTACGGATGCACCCATGCTAAGCTCCCATGGGAGACATTCAGCTATGTCTGGAGTGGCAGACGCGGGGGAGAAGAAATCAGTATTAGGGTTCTCTAAAGAAGCAGAACTAATAGGATATATGTATATAAGAAAGGGAGTTTATTAGGGAGAATTGACCCACATGATCACAAGGTAAAGTCCCATGATAGGTCATCTGCAAGTTGAGGAGCAAGGAAGCCAGTGGTGGATCAGTCCAAGTCCCAAAACCTCAAAAGTAGGGAAGCCGACAGTGTGGCCTTCAGTCTGTTGTTGAAGGCCTGAGGGCCCTGGCAAACCACTAGTGTAAGTCTAAGAGTCCAAAAGCAGAACTTGCAGTCTAATGTTTGAGGGAAGGAAGCATCCAGCACAGGAGAAAGATGAAGACCGGAAGACTCAGCAAGTCAGCTCCTTCCACCTTCTCCTGCCTGCTTTATTCTAGCTGCATTGGCGGCTGATTAGATGGAGCCCACCTAGATTGAGGGTGGGTCTGCCTCTCCCAGTCCACTAACTCAAAGGTTAATCTCTTATGGCAACACCCTCACAGACACACCCAGGAGCAATAATTTGCTTCCTTCAGTCCAATCATGTTGACACACAGTATTAACCATCACAAAGTCCCCTTCTCCAAGACTGTTCATGAGCACCAGGGCTGCCTAACCGTTGAGGTAGACCCCACAAACTTTCCACACTGAGTCCAGCACTGCTGCTGTGACTGCTGAAAGAAACTTTCCACAGTGAAAAGGTAGGGACCCAAGGCCTGAAGTGTGGTTTCTTTTGTCCCATGGAATGCTCCCTTAATGTGGTACATTCCCTCTTTTTCTAGGAGTAGCAGTCCCTGAGCACCAGCCTACTGTGACTCCTGCTGCTCCTCTGGGTCTAACCACCCAGTGGGGCTGCCATACTTTGATGCTGGGAATGTCTACAAGGGATCGAGTGATGTGACCTGTCCTTCAAGTCTCCCAGCACCAGATCTGATAGGGGTGAGAGAGGAGTCATGTAGATTCTGTGAGATTCCTTGGTTATAAATAGCCTTAGTGTTGTGGCCTTCACAAATGCCAGCTGTACTGGTCATGTAGACAGATTCAACACCTCCTGGTTAGCCAGTGTGACCACAGTCATGTTAGTCTCTATTCAAACTGGGGTTGCACAGAAGTTTTCTCCTTTGTGAGCATGATGTTAACGGAACCGGCTGATATTGTATTGGGTTGTGTCATTTAACCTCTAGCCAGGAGGTGGCGCCTGCGAAAGACCACAAGCTGTGATAGCAGCAGTGGAATTTTTGCTTTTGCTTGCCTTTTGTTACCCAAGGAGGTGCTCTGGTGTTTGAAGTGATGTGTGGGGCCACGGAACTTTCAAATGTCTCTATCCATTGTGTTACCCTACAAGGACAGGTGGAGAAGCAAAGCCCGGCGGGGGTGGGTCAGGCCGTCTGTGCTCTGGCTTCCCATGTGGAGTCACAAGCAGCTGCCCCAGTGGAAATCAGAGGTCAGTTCCCCGGCCCCTGGGGTAATGTTCCACAGAGCAGCACAGCTGCTTCTGTTGCACAGAAGAATCCACATGGGGAGTGAAGTGTAGCAGGTGGCGGTAAGCCCCACTCTGCTCCCACACACTTGGCAAGGCAGGTCTCACATCAGCAGTGTTCTGCTAGCAGCAGCTTGCTGGGTTCCAGGCAGCCTGCAGTCAGAACTTCAGATTGCCCCAGGCCATAAGCTTTCCTGACCAAGACAGAAACTGGGCTTTCAGGCCACATTCATGAAGCAGAGGCCCTCAGCTTCTGTGCCTGTGGCTACAGCACACTTCCCAGTTACCCCTCAGTTCTGGCCGATGGGGTTCATCTCCGCTGAAGATTATATCGCAAATCTCAGTTGGGAGCTTCTCTCAAAATGTGACTGCCACCTGAGTTAGCTGGCAGACTTCTGCGATCTTCCCTGTGAGATAGGGTGAGGAATGGCTTCCCTCTGTCCCTGCTGGGGCCTGGGAGAACATGCAAAGCTGTCCAAATGCTGCTCCTTCTCATATGTTCCCCACCACCCACTAAATCAGTTCCAATTCTAGATAGAGTTAAGGCCTCCCCCCGTGGCCTGGATTGCTGGGATCTTCCATGGCAGTGTTTGTCATGGTGGCATTCTCTCCCCCTTCACACTCTGGAGGCTCACAGTTTTCCACCTGGACCATGGTATAGGCTGCTGCCCAGCACTTCTTTCAAACGGTCTGTGATTTTATTCAGCTTTTCTAAGTTCCCGTGTTGCTTCTTGGAGAAAAGTTCACAGCGTGAATCTCTGTATTTTGTCTGTCCACATGGGCTGTCTTAAAATTTGTGATGTCATCTCCATATGGGATGAAGCATGGAGGCAGGCTAACAATGCCTCCAATTTGCTATGGGGGGGAGAAAACTATTTTTAAAATTTTTAATGAACACATAATTGTACATATTTATGGGGAGCAATGTTATATTTCAACACATGTATACATTGTGTAGTTATCAAACCAGGGTATTTGACTGTTCATCACTTCCGATATTTATCACTTCTTTTTGGTGTAAACATACAAAACCCTTTCTTCTGGCTATTGATATATACAATGCCTTATTGAGAACCATAGTCAACCTACTGTGAAATAGGACAACAGAATATATTCTTCCTTTGAGTGTTACTTCTTTTTAAAAAAATGTAAGTTGAATTTAATCTTTATTAAAGTCTTGACAGTAGAGCACTTATTAGGGATGCCAACCAGAGCTGGTAACTCTGTGGTAGGGTTTGAGGGAAGGTGTGAAGCCCCTCTTTCTCAATAATATCTGAATCACAGGTTTCACGCGTGTCTGTGTGAAGAGACCACCAAACAGGTTTTGTGTGAGCAACAAGGCTGTTTATTTCACCTGGGTGCAGGCAGGCTGAGTCCAAAAAGAGAGTCAGTGAAGGGAGATAGGGGTGGGGCCGTTTTATAGGATTTGGGTAGGTAAAGGAAAATTACAGTCAAAGGGGGTTGTTCTTTGGCAGACAGGGGTGGGGGTCACAAGGTGCTCAGTGGGGGAGCTTTTTGAGCCAGGATGAGCCAGGAGAAGGAATTTCACAAGGTAATGTCATCAGTTAAGGCAGGAACAGGCCATTTTCACTTCTTTTGTGGTGGAATGTCATCCGTTAAGGCAGGAACCGGCCATCTGGATGTGTACGTGCAGGTCACAGGGGATATGATGGCTTAGCTTGGGCTCAGAGGCCTGACAACAGGCACTTGAAATTTCCCAATAAGAATCTTTTTTTTTTTTTGGTCACAGTCATGTTAGTTTCTATTCAAATTCTTCCTTCTCTATCCTTCCTTCCTGCCCCATCATCCTCCCCATCCCTTCATCCCATATGGAGATGACATCACAAATTTTAATGTACATAGGAATCACTGGGGTGGTTTATTAGGAATGCACGTATCTGGGCCTCAGCTCTAAGGATTCCAGTTCTGTATGGGCTTAGGGTGGGACTCGGAATCTGCATTTTTACTAGACCTTATTTCACGCTAATGCAGGCTTACATTCTTAGTGGCTTATACAAAAGTATTTTCCAGATACTTTGCAAATCATGAAAAGTCCAGAACCAGGATATAAGAAATTTAGAAGACTATTGATGAAGACAATGGAATATAATATTAATAGTTGCCATCAACTGACAGCGTAGAATATGCTTGATGTTTAACGCATGTTAATTTTCATCATTATACCAGTCCTGGAGGATAGGTGCTATTGTCACCATTTTACAATGAGAAAAGAGAGGCTGAAAAGGAAGAGTAATTGCCCATCTTCTCACACAGTAAATAGTAAGAATGAAATCTGAATCCAAATACAATCCCAAAGTCCTTCCTTTGAGGAAGAGAGGAAGTTTATCTACTGACTCTGATAACAATTAGTGACTAAGGCCATTTCTTGAATGAGTAATTCTTAGCCCGTTATAGAACCTACAAGACACCCCAAGTCTAAAAAATGTTTTGTTGTTGTTGTTGTTGTTTGGTGTGTTTACCTGTGTGAGACAAACTAACAACATAAGCCATGCTTCCTCATTTCTGTTTGGCAGCATGATTTCATAAGCCCCTATGTGTTGATATGTAGTTTTTTGGAGGGATTCTTTGTAGATAAAATAGGATAGAGTGCAAAGACTTTCATGTCTCTTGCCTGAGTCACTATATTCCTTAAAAATAAATGAGCCACGCACGGCGGCTCACGCCTGTAATCCCAGCACTTTGGGAGGCCAAGTCGGGTGGATCACGAGGTCAGGAGTTCAAGTTCAGCCTGGCCAAGATGGTGAAACCCCATCTCTACTAAAAATAGAAAGATTAGCCTGGTGCAGTGACGGGTGCCTGTAATCCCAGCTACTTGGGAGGCTGAGGCAGGAGAAACACTTGAACCCAGGAGGTGGAGGTTGCAGTGAGCCGAGATCATGCCACTGACCTCTAGAGTCTATAAGGAGATGTACTCTATAGTCCTCAGTAAGACTGTAGGTTTTTCTCAACTTTTATTTTAGTTTCAGGGTTACATGCGCAGGTTTGTTCTATAGAAAAATTGCATGTCGTGGGGGTTTGATGTACATATTATTTCATCACCGAGATAATAAGCATAGTACCCAACGGGTAGTTTTTCAATCCTCAGCTTCCTCCCCGCCTACACCCTCTAGTAGTCCCTGGTGTCTGTGGTTCCCTTCTTTGTTTCCATGTGTATTCAGTGTTTAGCTCCCACTTATAAATAAGAACATGTGTTATTTAGTTTTCTGTTCCTGCACTAGTTCACGCAGGATAATGGCCTCCAGCTCCATCCATGTTGCTGCAAAGGACATGATCTCATTCTTTTTCTCATTTTCTTTATTTCACTCATCTATCTAATGATTAATGATGTTGAGCATTTTTCTTTAATTTTTAAAAGCTTGATTTTTTCTTTGTCAATATTCATTTGATATGTGTGATGAAAATGAGACCCTAAACCCCCCAAATAACTGAATGAAACCCCTGTTTGCCAAGGGGACTGCTGAGAAACCTTAAAAGCTACATCTCCTACCAAAACAGGATAAGAGGTATGACACATCTCATTACAACCCTTCTCTCAATAACTACCATTGGACTTTCTTCCTTAAGGGCTAAACAGAAGCAAACCCAGTTGACAGCCTTGCTACGCCACTGATTTCAATCAACTGACTGGTACTGCAGCCAGACCTGCCTTCCTCCTTGTGGTTTCCACAAGCAGCTGATCAGTTTAACAACACATCCCTTCCTGACTTTTGACTACTGACCACAGACTGGTTCTGGTCAGTTGACAGAGCACAGGTTTCCTCTTTGTCCTCTATTTCATATTTTTACACATACAGCCCAATTTTAATGCATCTACACATTAAGTCTCTGCCCCAAAGTGAACATGGGAAATATGGAACATGCATGCTTGTTTAATGTCCACCTGTGAGAATATTCATAGCTCCTTCTACAACCTGTTAAATATGTATACTTAGCCAATTCATTCAGCATAAATTTCTGTCTCATCCTTCTTCCTTCAAAGTACCTGTTTTTGGTCTCTAATGGAGGCTACACTTCCCAGCCTGTAGGATGACCATCCTGCAGGCTTCAACCCTTTATGAGGAATAAATCTCTCTTCTCCAAATTTATGGATCTTGTGATTCTTCGGTTGACAGATTGTTCTCCAGAGCTTTCAGTTAAGAAGTTTTGAGCTCCTTCTTATTTTTATTTGACCCCAAGTGAATGTGTTCTTTCTTGGGTTAGTAGAAAAGGCAACTTCCTGTTCTACTGGGTATAGATTTGATTAAATTGATCTGGGTACTGGACACGTTCTGTTCAGCCACCTCCAATCAACATATAAGCAGCCACTGTGTCTTGCTTAGGCTACTGCTATAGCTCCTAAACTAAATTGCTATAATCCACTCTGTGCCCCTCTCGATGCAGCCAGCATGGGGTTTTCAAAATGTAAATGTGATCCTGTTACTATTGCTCTCTCCAACTCCCTCCCTTTCTCCTGTAGGATTTGTTTTAAATTGCTTTTACGATTAAAAAAATGAAGTTCACTAGTACGGTCTACCAGTCCCTTGGTACCCCCACCCACATTTTATCCTTTCTGCTGCATGGCTTTATGCCAACCTTAACAACTGCTTCAGCAAACTGTGGCTTCCACTTACATTTCCCATTCCCTTCCCAGAGCAGGGATTTACGCTTGCTTTTGTGGAGGCCTGAGATATGCTTCTTTCCCCTCATTGCTTAGCTACACCCACTTCCTCTGACAGATCCCAATTCATGCATCACTTCCTTGATTTTGATGACTCAATTGAATGCATCTTCACTGCTACCAGGAGCACCATGCTCTCTCCTTTGTAGCCCTTTCTCAGTGGTATGTCCACATTTGCTCATGTGATGACTTGATTTTATCTGTTTTCTTTTTGTTTGTTTGTTTTGTTTCAAGATGGAGTCTCACTCTGTCGCCCAGGCTGGAGTGCAATGGTGAGATCTCAGCTCACTGCAACCTCCGCCTCCCAGGCTCAAACAATTCTCCTGCTTCAGCCTCTCGAGTATCTGGGATTACAGGCACATGCCACCATGCCCAGCTAATTTTTGTGTTTTCAGTAGGGACAGAATTTCACCGTGTTGGCCAGGCTGGTCTCGAGCTCCTGACCTCAAATGGTCTTTCTGCCTCGGCCTCCCAAAGTTCTGGGATTACAGGTGTGAGCCATGGCACCCGGCCTATAGCTGTCTTCTGTATGTGACCATAAGCTCCTTGGGGCAGGTACAGCATCTGTTTTCAGTCATCATTCTATCCTGAGCATCCAGAACTGGCATATATTAGATGATTAATATTTATTGAGTATGTGAGTAAATGAAGGAATGAAATTGGTATATATGAACTTGAACATTATGGATAATAATGGTTAATCATTATATAAATGTACATATGTATAAAATACTACATTTGGGCAGGTTTTAGGGAGTCATCAGCAGTACATGAGGCCAGTTGCTTCTGAATGGGCAAAGGAATGTCGTGGGTCACTCCTGTACTTCTTCACTGTGAAAATGTTTTTCTGATTAATGTCTATGGAGTGTGGACTTTCATGGCTGTAAATCAGGTATCCTATAAGCCCCCAGATAGGAGTGCTGGCTGAACTGCTGCTCAGGAAAGGCAAACCACTCATTTATTACCATGTGTTAGGTTGGCACAACAGCAATTGCAGTTTTTGCCATTAAAAGTAATTGCAAAGACCGCAAAAGCTTTTAATGGCAAAACCTGCAATTACTTTTGCAGCAACCTAATAGTAAGATGGCAAATTATATACAATATATACTTTAACATCCTGATATGTTGGCTACATTTTAAAGGTAAATGCTTTCAATGCACCACCTATTTCTATATTTCTATGTTTGCATACGCCTAAAGCATATAAATGTATATAAATAAATTTTTACCACAAATCGTTAAGTGAATAATGTACAAAAGGCATAAAATTCAAATTTGTTTTTTTCAATACAACGACTAAATTAATTTATACCCAGGTTAGCAGGGGTTCCTTGTGTTTTCTAAATATTCTGTTAATGCTTGTGTTTAAGAGTGGTATAATAGATGAATATAAGAAGATTTTGTTCTAGGATTTTTGACTTATAAAACTCCCTTCACTTTTATTTGTGGGAAGCCCAGACAGGTCACTGGGGTACTGACTCAATACACAGAAATCATCTGAGGCCCATTGCCCATTTCAGTCTTTCATTTGATCCAGCAGTCAATGCAAAGCCACCTCATCAAGAAGTTATAGAAGCAGTAGCATATCTTATGAAAGTTGCAACTCATTTATTTCTAGGGTCTCTTTTAAAGTTAATGATTTCCCATGCAGACTCTTCTACTGACAAGCACTCAGTATTTCTCAGCTAATCGCATTCCTTCCCCTTCACACACATTACTATCCATTGCACAACACTCTTTAGAGCCAGCCACTCTCTAGAAGACTGTAATTGCTTACCTCTCTTAGGAAACTATCCAAGCCCTAAGCCCTACCAGGAGCTATTAGAAATTTCCTTGGCTATTCACAAAATTTGTTTGTTGATGGCTTAACCTCAAAAGAAAAAGAGATTTTCCAAGCAAGTTATAACAAACCTGAATAGGCTCTTGAAATATGTAAGCCACATCCAGAAATGAAATCAGTTCAAGTAGCAAAATTAATTGTTCTTGCCCATATCTGCCAGCTAGCAAAAGATAAAAGATCAAATGTTTGTACTAAAAGTAGATATGATTTTGAACTAGTACATGACTTCAAACACCATAGCACTTCCTAACTGCCACAGAAAATCCTATGAAAACAAATGAAAAATTTTGTATATGCTTCGCTATTACCTAAGGGGATAGACACAACAGTAATGGAGTTTAACAAAAATGTTTCAGGATTTTATCCCCAATAGCAGAGATAAATTGGCAGTGATATTGATTCAACATTAGTGGGTAATTTAAAGAGTATTTCCAAGGATGTTTGCATGTTTTGCTATCTTAGTCAATGTGGGCTGCTACAATAAAACATCAAAGACTAGGTGGCTTCTAACCAACAGAAACTTATTTCTCACAGTCCTAGAGTCTGAAAGTGTGAAATCAGGCTGCCAGCATAGTCGGATTCTGGTGAGGGCCTTCCTCTGAGCTTCACTGTTGTCTTCTTGTATCCTCATATGGTGAAAAGAGGGTGAGTGAGCTCTCTGGGGTGCTTTATACAAGAGCACTAATCCCATTCAAGAGGGCTTCACCCTCATGACATAATCACCTCCAAAAAGCCCTACCTCCTAGCTACCATCAAAACAAAGGTTAGGATTTCAACATCTGAATTTTGGGAGGACAACAAATGTGCAGTCCATTGCACCTACCTACCAACAACACAATTCTTACAAGATGGTAGAAGTAAGAAATGAGAGGAACCACATGGGCTATGAGTAATGTTCTGGTAATTGTTTATTTTCAGGATGGATTGAGGCTTTTCCTGCAGTCTCTGATATAATAGGCACACTTTGTCCTAAAGGATGGCAAAAAGAGTGACTTCTGAGCTGGGGCTTCTGTTGCCCTTCTGGAAGGCCATTCCAGTATTGCACAAGGCCAGTTGCTTCTGAATGGGCAAAGAAATGTCATGGGCCACTTCTGGACTCCTTCACTATGAAAAGTGTTTCCTGATTGGTGTCTGTGCTGTATGGAATTTCACAGCTGTAAGTCAGGCATTCTATAAGCCCCCAAATAGGAGCTCTGGCTGAACTTCTGCTCAGGAAAGGCAAACCCATAACCCACAGGTGCCTATCTTGGTAAGAACAAATATTGATCCTCCATAATGGAAAGTGACTTGTTGATTTCCTTTGAGGAACAATGCTATCTCGAGGCTTTTTGTTGGTTTCCTTTGCGGATCAGTTGGACGCTCAGATGCAGCAGTAGCTACATCCGTGTTGGTCAATGAAAATCCATGTCGTAGGCCCCAAATGCAGCCTATATGTTTGTCACTATGACCACTCTGGCCATCATACTGTACTGGAGCGGCCGATGACAAAGGCCGGCTGATATCTCCTGGCTAAGTTGTTCTATGTGTTTGGTTGCTCAGTGCCTTTTCCACGGTGAATGTTTTAGATGATGTTAACACTGAATTCACATGTTGTATGACAATGTCACTCTCATGTGTCAGCCATGGACCTCTACCTTAGAATTTCTTGTCTTTGTTCTTCCAGTTCTTTTCCTTCCAAGTCCTTGGCCAGACATCCAGGCCAGTGGCCACTTCAGGGAAATCTATAGATATTCTCATCTTGGGCCACTTCTCCTTCCATACAAAGTGAATGACTAAGAGCACTACTCACAGCTCTGCCCATTGGAAAGAATTTCCCCTTTTGCTCTTTTGCGTGGCCAATCCTATGTGCGTGTAGTGCAGCCACTATCCATGTTGGCCCATGCACTGAGCCAACCCCTCCATCAGCCACTTTTTCCTCATCTTTCAGCTGTTGGAATGGTACTCTTCATAGAACCATGACTGCAAGCCAGTCGTAAGTGTCCCTCTTACCACCTGTTTACTCAGATCACAGCTGGTACCACTTGTGATAGTTCAGGCCCTCCAACAAGCCCCCTCGAAGATTTTACTAGGGGAAATGCCTATGATAAAACATACGGAAGAAGAGCAGGGAGGCTGGGAGAGTCATCATACCCCATGCAAGTCTGAGCCTGAAGGAAGGAAAGAGAAAAGGAAGGTTGGATGGAAGCATCACAGACCAGTGTGCAGTCTAATGGAAGTCCAGCAAGAGACCACTGGGGAGCCCATGAGGCAGAGTTGCCAGAAGGAGTTCCCTGTATCCTAGGGTCAAAACTGCCTTAGCATCACTGAGTCTATGGGAAGCATGGTGTTGGCTCAAACATGGTGATGGATTTCAAAGAACAGCCAGGGACCTCAGTCAGTTCCACTGCCTCTAGTTAGAGTTCTGCAAGGTGGATTCTCATGGTCACCAAAATATCCTTATATAGGCTCCTCCTGATGATTGCCTCATATAATTAACCCAGATTTCAGTCTTATAAAAATGAGCCTGGGCCAGGTGCGGTGGCTCCCGCCTGTAATCCCAACACTTTGGGAGGCCAAGGCAGGTGGATCATGAGGTCAGGAGATTGAGACCATCCTGGCCAACCAAAATTTCTCTAATGAAAATACAAAAATTAGCTGGGAGTGGTGGCATGTGCCTGTAATCCCAGCTACTTGGGAGGCTGAGGCAGGAGAATTGTTTGAACCTGGGAGGTGGAGGTTGCAGTGAGCTGAGATCGTGCCAATGCACTCCAGCCTGGGTGACAGAACAAGACTCTGTCAAAAAAAAAAAAAAAAAAAGAGCCTGGATGCAGTATCGATAAACACTTCTACCCAAGTTATTCAACCATTTCATTGGCATGTGACTTGTGCAGTCTCACATAGCCCTGCTCTTACAAGGGCTCCGTACTTGAGGTTTAATGCTTTGGGTTAAATGCTTTGGGTTTAATACTGTGCTGTTGCCATCTTAAAATTCTGAATAATTTTTTTTTTTTTTTTTAGAGACGGAGTCTCGCTCTGTCACCCAGGCTGGAGTGCAGTAGCACGGTGTCGGCTCACTGCAAGCTCCACCTCCTGGGTTCACACCATTCTCCTGCCTCAGCCTCACGAGTAGCTGGGACTACAGGTGCCTGCCACCACGCCCGGCTAATTTTTTGTATTTTTAGTAGAGACGGGGTTTCACCGTGTTAGCCAGGATGGTCTCCATCTCCTGACCTCGTGATCCACCCGCCTTGGCCTCCCAAAGTGCTGGGATTACAGGTGTGAGCCACCATGCCCGGCCCTGAATAATTTTTTTAATGAATGGCCCCACTATTTTATTTTTTCCTGGGCCCCACAAATTCTATAGTCAGACCTGTCAATCCTACCAGCAAAACCTAACCCATCAAGAATGAGGACAAATATTAGGATTATCACTGCTGAAATAATTCAGTTTGTTCTCTTTAGAGATTTTCCAGCCAGCTTTGCAACTGCTATTTAAGTCCACTCTAAAATATTCCTCATTTTAAGAAACAAATTATCAGCTCATTTCTATCGAGATGTTCAATGCTTATATTCCCAGTGACTTCTATACCCCTTTAAATCACTGCTTGTTTATAAGAACACAACTTCTGCAACAAAACAGTTTAAATTCATTAGCCGGGGTTGTCATGGTCAATTGCATAGTGTTTTATTTCCTTTAGCTACAGGGCAGTTTATAATGAACACATCTGACTGTGCCTAAATAAATATTGCATATGATAGTTCAAGTAAAAAATTCATGACGGAGGGGAAAAGCCAACCAGATCTCTGGAAAGAACCAAGATGTTCAATGTTGAGATATATTTTCATTGCTTCGCTTTGGTAATTTAGACTCTTGTCTTGAGGTACTCTTTCAAGAACTAATAACTACTTTTTTTTACCTGGTGATTGCCTGAGTTACATTTGGCCAGGGGATGATTTCCAGGGTCTTAAGTGCTATTGCACCACCACTGTCACATCAGACGATTCAACAATTTCTTCTCTAACAAAAGGAGCAAAAAGGACTAACCCAAATCCAATTGCAATTTTCTCTAGACAAACTCTTGATTGGCAAAATTATGGGGATGCTAATGACCTGGATATTGTACATTCATATTCTTCACAGTGATTGTCTCTACCCTTGGCCAAAAGAGAGTGTTGAGAGAGACAAAAGTACTCTTGATGGCTATCAGCTGAGCTGGCCTGGCTCTAACAATTAGGCCATGGTGTTCTGCTGAACATAAAGAATGTCACATAACACTGCATCAGACAAGGCCACTCTGCCTATGATAGCACAAGACAAAAACAAACCACTCCATATTTATATCTGACTGAGCACAGCCAAAATCCAGAACACAGTGCAAACTAAGAAATAACCAGACATCCCTCTCCGTTAGCTAATACGAGTAACTGGTACTTCCTTACCAATTCTAGTGTGGCTCTACTTTATTTCTCCTGCCTTTATATAAAAATAATTAATACACTTCAAACATAGAACAGCCCTTACTTTGACAGCACTTAATTCAGAGCACAGCCACGTGTTCTCAAATCTTCTACAAAATCATCTAACATAAGCTCCAGTTCTCTAACCTCCCACTACCACCCTCAACACAGAGATGCCCCATGGCTCACCATGTGTTCTTCCTCACAGCAAGAAGCAATTAAACTCACCTTTGTTTGACTACCAGTTTGTTTCTAGTAGACTCTGACTAGAGGACATTGATAGTTCTTATCTCAATTCTTAATTTTAATTATATCTTTCTTTTTTTTAGTTATTTGTTAACATTGGGTTACTTACAGATGATAACAGCAAGAATTGTGTTGATTTCATTCACTTTGCATTTGCAAAGCCTGGTATATTGAAATCTGTTAACAAATACTTGTAGAATGAATGGGGATTAAAGGAAATCTGAGAATAGGAAAAACACAATATATTTGACTTGAAAATTTTTAAAAATTATCTTCTTTTCTATGTAATACAGTATAAACCAGTTATGCCAAAGTTTGACAAGCCTAGAATCAACATCCTTACTTTATAAAGACTTACCTTAAAAGCATAACCACTACAATGGAATATTATTTGACCATAAAAAGGAATGAAGTATGTACTGATACCTGATACAACAGAGATGAATCTTGAAAACATTACACTAAGTGAAAAAAGCTAGTCACAAGAGACCATTTGATATATGATTCTATTTATGTGAAATGTCCAGAAAAGGCAAATCTGTACAGAAAGTTGTTTAGTGGCTGCCTAGGGCTGGGGGATAGAAGGATTGGATGTGAAAGCTAAAGGGCATGAATTTTTTGTGGGGTAATGAAAATATTCTAGAATTTTTTGTGGTGATGGTTGTACAACTTTGTGAACATGCTAAAACCCATAAATCATACAATTTAAATGGGTGAATTATATGTATATAATTCATATAATTATTTGTATGAATTTATATGTATAATTTATATCCTTATGTACATATAATTATATGTATAATTTGTATCCTTATATACATGTAATTCAATAAGACTATTACCCCAAAATAACCATCAATACAGCATTTTGTATCTACTAGAGATGTACTTTTGATATTTTTAGTGACATGAAAGCACATTATTAATATAAAGTTGTGCAAAATATGAAGACACAGAAATGACTACACAATGTGATGTGAAGTATATTTATAGACAGACAGAGAGGTCTAAAATAAAATGCCTTAAAATGTTAATGCTATTTTAGCTGCATTTCAAGTGATTTTTATTTTTAATTACACAGTTTTCCTATTTTCCAAGTATTCCATGATGAGAAGATATTACTTATAGTCAGAAATACGTTACAAAAATATTCTAAG